>NC_000009.12:68220552-68845552 GCF_000001405.40 Homo sapiens
GAATTCACTCAATCCTAACATAATGACACCAAGCAACTCATGAGGGATCTGCCCCCCTGACCCAAACACCTCCAACTAGGCCCCACCTCCCACATTAGGGATGAAATTTCAACATGATATTTGGAGGGAACTAATATCCAAACTATGTCATAGAGGTATGTGTGTAACCTCATTCATTTATGCATTCATTCAACAAAATATGTAGTGAGCACCTGCTATGTGCCAGGCACTGTGCTAGGCTGTAGATATGACTCATAAATAAGATGAATATTGCCACAGTCCTTAGGAGCCTAGTGTAGTTGGGGAGTAAATAAGCAAACAGATAATTTCTATACCTGGTAATTACTACCTTGATAGGGCAAAGAGGATTCTGTTTGTGCTGTATAAGCACATGAAAAGTACAAAGTCAATCCTTGGGAGGTCATGGAATCTTTCCTAGGAAATGATATATAAGGTGGATAAAAAGGTAACCAGATACAGATGAGAAGAGAAGGTGGGCCAGAAATTTTGAAATACTGAACCAACTGGATGTCATTCACTGACATAGGGTAATAGTATAGATGACTGGATTGGAAAATGAAAAAGGAACTAAAAGTAATTAAATGAGCTGCAGACATGAAAATGAACACTTGGGAAGTCCTGGCAGGAAGTCATCAATAAGACAACATAATGAAGTGGAAAGTGGTTGGGAGTAAGGCTGACTTGGATTCAAACCCTAGTTTCACCACTTAATAG
Source organism: Homo sapiens (assembly GCF_000001405.40). Lineage (NCBI taxonomy): Eukaryota > Metazoa > Chordata > Mammalia > Primates > Hominidae > Homo > Homo sapiens. The sequence goes on from NC_000009.12 coordinate 68,221,288, forward strand.
ACGTGTTACGTTGAACAAATCCTTTAACTTTTCAGAGCCTCAATTTTCCTCTTTGTAAAATACAGATAATAACATGGACACTATAAGGGTTTTGTTGTTGTTGTTGTTGTTGTGAGACGGAGTCTTGCTCTGTTGCCCAGGCTGGAGTGCAGTGCCTCGATCTTGGCTCACTGCAACCTCTGCCTCCTGGGTTCAAGCGATTCTCCTGCCTCAGCCTCCAGAGTAGCTGGGACTACAGGCGCACGCCACCATGCCTGGCTAATTTTTGTATTTTTTGTAGAGACGGGGTTTCACCATATTGGCCAGGCTGGTCTCGAACTCCTGATCTCAGATGATCCGCCTGCCTTGGCCTCCCAAAGTGCTGGGATTACAGGCGTGAGCCACCGCACCTGGCCCAGACACTGTAAGTTTTGGGGAGGATTAAATGGGATCATCCATGTAAATGCGCCTATCCCAGTCTCTAGCACACACTGAACACTCAAAAATGGGAGGTTTTGGTATTTCAGAAGAAAATCAGGTGTCGGGGAGTGTTAGTAGTAACCTTGAACTATATGCAAAGACTAAAGCTAGGAAGATAGGAAGAGTTTTACAAGATCCTTTTGGCTATATAGTTAAAGTTATTAGCAGTTAGAGTTTCCCTTACAGTTGACAAGTGAACCATACAAGTGAATGACTTGTGGTTCCTCAGATAAAAGCACGAGTCAGAGTTGTAATTTCTGTTTTGTGGACGTAATTGTTGACCAAGTGCACTGAAGGTAGGGATGGCCAGTAGCAAAATTATAAAGCAGGCCTGTTTGTCTTCAAACACTCCTGAGTAAACTTGTCATTTCCTTGTAAAAATGCAAAATAGACTACTGAGTAGAGGTGATCAATTACAGAAATGCACTTACTTTGGCTTTCTTCTGAAACCTAATAAAATGACAGTAAAGGGATTATTTTTTTAAGGCAGAAACCCACAATGATGATGAAATTAGAAAGGAAGACAAGAACAACAAGGTTGTGGAATTCAGAAGCCATATAGACAAGAGGTAACACACCTGAGAAAGATGATCCCTAAATTTGTCTTGGAGAAAACTCAGAAGTACCTGACTACATCATAGACCTCCCAAACAGCTTCCAAATGTCAGATACCACTGAAAATGGGGATAAAGGTAGGGTCAAAAATAGGAGGATTGGGTTATAAGTCTGTATAAGAAGTTGTTAGATCCCTACATCCTCTCTTCAAACCTGTATAGCCAGATAATGGTCCCTCTCCCAGCCTGGCAGAGGCTAGATAAGGTAAATAGAGAAACTTACTTCCTGGAGAACATTTGGCACATTTGGGGATGGAGTTCAGTAATATAAATGAAGGGGTAGTGAAAATTTATCGGAACATTTATAACCTAACAGAACCCCATGTCTTTTACCCCATTCTAATTCCAGACCACTAGAGATTAGAAAATTATTCTCTGGGGTATCTGACCACTTCCAGAGGAAAGACATAAAGATGCTGATGTCGAGAATGACCCAACTAAATGGCCCAGCCAGATGACCCAGTTGAAGCTGGTGGACAAGAAGTTTCATTCATGGAATCAGAACTTCCAATAAGGTCTTTTAGTACCTCACTCCTAAATTTGAATAGACTACCAAAGATTATCAGACATCTAAGGGGAACTACCAGCATGAAAGGTAGAGACCAAAGCAAACAAACAAACAAAGAAAATAATTTGGAACTAACCAAGACTATGCTGGGAGAAGAAAACTATTATTAATATCCACAGAGCGTAGTACAGCCACTATGGAGAACAGTATGGAGGTTCCTCTAAAGACTAAAAATAGAACCATCATATAATTCAACAATCCCACTGCTAGATATATACCCCAAAGAAAGGAAATCAGTATATTGAAAAGATATCTGCACTCTCATGTTTACTGTAGCGCTATTCATAATAGCCAAGATTTGGAAGCAACTTAAGTGTCCATCAACAGATGAATAGATTTTTTTAAAATGTGGTACATATACACAATGGAGTACTATTCAGCCATAAAAAAGAATGAGAAATGTCATTTGCAACAACATGGTTGGAACTGGAGGACCTTATGTTAAGTGAAATAAGCCAGGCCCAAAAAAGCAAATTTCACATGTTCTCACTCATTTGTGGGACCCAAAAATGAAAACAGTTGAACTCAGGGAGATAGAGTAGGATGATGGTTACCAGAGGCTGGAAGGGTAGTTGTGGTGGGAGGTGGGTGGTTAATGAGTACAAAAATATAGTTAGATAGAATGAATAAATCTAATAGTTGCTAGCACAACAGGGTGACTACAGTCAACAATAATTTACCGTACATTTAAAATAACTAAAAGAGTATAATTGGCATGTTAGTTACACAAAAAAAGGATAAATGCTTGAGGCAACGGATATACCATTTACCTGGATTTGGTTATCACACATTGTATACTTGCATTAAAATACCTGCCGGGCACATGGCTCATGCCTGTAATCCCAGCACTTTGGGAGGCTGAGGTGGGCAGATCACCTGAGGTCGGGAGTTTGAGACCAGCCTGACTAACATGGAGAAACCCGTCTCTACTAAAAATACAAAGTTAGCTGGGCATGGTGGCTCATTCCTGTAATCCAAGCTACTTGGGAGGCTGAGGCAGGAGAATCACTTGAACCTGGGAGGCGGAGGTTGCAGTGAGCCGAGACCACACCATTGCACTCCAGCCTGGGCAACAAGAGCAAAACTCCGTCTCAAAAAAAAAAAAAAAAATCTTATGTTCCCCATAAATATAAATACCTATTATGTACCAATAAAAGTAAAAAGTAAAAAGTTTCAATTGATTCACAACTTTAAAAAATATCCACAGAGGTGTAAGAGGAGATATTGTATTGCACCCACGAACCAGTCTTATGCTATTTCAGAAAGGGACATTCAAGAAACAAAAAGGGAGCTCTGGGAAATTTGAACAATAAATAATAGTAGAATAAAAAATTCAGAGAAAGTTTGGATGATAAATTTGAGCCAATCTCCCAGTAAGCAAAGCAAAAATATAGAAAATGAGAGTTAGAAAAGAAAAAGAAAAAAATTAAAGGACTAAAATAAGAAGTCCAACATCTAAATAAGAGGAGATCCACAAAGAGCAACAGAGATAAGAGAAGAAAGGAAATAATCAATAAAATAATTCAAGAAAATCCAAGGACATGAATTCTCAGATTGTAAGAGACTACTTGAGTGAAAAAAAAAAAAAAAAGAATGGAGTTAGACCCATCCCAAGGCACATTATTTGTGCGATTTTAAAATACCGATATATTAGTTTGCTAGAGCTGCAGTAACAAAACACCACAGACTGGGTGGCTTGAACAGCAGAAATTTGTTTTCTCATGGTTCTGGATGCTAGAAGTCTAAGATCGAGGTGACAGCAGTTTCGTTTTTTCCTGATGCTTCTCTCCTTAGCTCACAGATGGCTGCCTTCTAGTTGTGTCCTCATACTGTCTTCCCTTGGTCAGTGTTGTCTGTGTCCTCGTCTCCTCTTCTTAAAGGGACACCAGTCATATTAGGTTAAGAATTGCCCATTAGACCTCATTTTACCTTAATTACCTCTTTAAAGGCCCCACGTCTAAATACAGTCATATTCTAAACTACTGGGGGTTAGGGCTTCACTGAGTGAATTTTGGTGGAAAGTGGGGCAGGGGACACAATTCAGCCTACAAAAACTGGAAACAAAGTGAAAATCCTATGTGTTTCTGTGCTCAGAAGACAGGAAGTAGTCATACCCAAGAGTCAATAATTAAACTGGTTTCTCACCAGCAATTTGGGAGACTGGAAGTCGGAAGACACAGAGCAGTGCCTACCACATTCAAAAGAGAAAAGAGGCCGGGCATGGTGGCTCACGCCTGTAATCCCAGCACTTTAGGAGGCGAGGAGGATGGATCACCAGGTCAGGTGTTCAAGACCAGCCTGACCAACATGGTGAAATGCTGTCTCTACTAAAAATACAAAAATTAGCTGGGCATAGTGGAACACGCCTGTAATCCCAGCACTTTGGGAGGCCACAGAGGGCAGATCACCAGGTCAGGAGTTTGAGACCAGCCTGACCAACAAGGTGAAACCCCATCTCTACTAAAAATACAAAAATTAGCCAGGCGTGGTGGCGCATGCCTGTAATCCCAGCTACTCAGAAGGCTGAGACAGAAGAATCACTTGAACCCAGGAGGTGGAGGTTGCAGAGAGCCGAGATCATGCCACTGCACTCCATCCTGGGTGACAGAATGAGACTCCGTCTCAAAAAAAAAAAAAAAAAGAGAGAGAGAAAAGAATTCCAACCCAGAATTCTCAACTTCACTGTGTCAGAACATATGAAGTAAACAAATATTCATCTCTACATTTGCCAGTCCCTGTGGACTTAGACCAGATAGTATAAATAATAGTCACAAAAGGAGTATGAATGGGATAAGAAGCCACTTCTAGTCTGAGACAATTAAGAGTAGTAGTGCCTTCTCTGCACTCTCACCGCCTCATTCTGACAGCTGAAGTGAAGGACTCCCAACTTCTGGAACTGCCCAATGAAAGTAGCCTTGTGTGAGTGTTAGCTGGCCTGCTTTGGTCTGGGATGCAAGTAGAAATAAACTCCTCTCATATTAAGCCACTAAGACTTTAGGGATATGTTGCTGTAGCATAGCCTAATGTAGCCTGATTACTGAACGAGCCACCCCATCAACTGAATCTATGTATATACTAAAAACATTTTAAGATACGCAAGGTCTCAAAGAGTTCACTCGATGCACACTTTTTCTCAGGAAGCTACTAGAGGATGTGCTCCACAAAAAATAAAGGTATAAATTGTGAAAGAGGAAAACATAGGATTTAGGAATCAAGGGAATTCAGCACAAGACAGAAGAAAAGGGAATCTGCAGCAAGATCCCTGAGCTGTGCATGTAACATAAAGGGCAACAATTTCCAACACAGAGCAGATCACAAGACCCTAGGATAGATTTCTTGAAGAAAATGAAATTAAAAGAATACTGGATTCATCTGAACATACGAAAAGGAGATTTAAGCAACTTTTTAAGAGCTTGGGAATGAATTAATGATAAATATATGGTATTATGCAACCAAAACTACAATAAAAACTCATTAAAAATTATAACTCATAAAATTATTAATTTCAGGGAAAATAAAAAGTTGAGTAGGAATGAAAAAAGAATCAGAGGATACTATAAAGCTCATCTGTGGATATTGTTTACATAGTCATGATAATGAAAAAGAAATAATCTAACCAAAATTAAACGTTGGAAGTGTGGGGAGATAGAAATGGTAGTGTATTCGCTATTTATGTGTTGGGGAGGATACCTGTAACTTTAACATTAGTGAGCTTTACTTTACTAAGGCTAAATAAACAAACTCAAGTGTCCAGAAAGGCTAGAGAAGGAGCTTACAAGAATGAAGCTATTGTGGTGTGATTCAATAGGGAATAGGTGGGGCCTTGGCAACATCAATTTGTAGTATCCCTGCCAATTGATACTACAACATCAATTTGTAGTATCCCTGCCAAAATTTAACTATGGAAAATAGTTAAATTTTAATATGCACACATCTGTGGTTGTGGTTATACAGATATATATATATATATATATATATATATATAATAAAAATTTATATATAAATAAATACATAAACAAACTCAAGTGTCCAACAGGGCTAGATAAGGAGCTTACAAAAATGAAGCAGTTGTGATGTGATTCAATAGGGAATAGGTGGGGCCTTGGCAAACCAAAGAACATATTCTATCTAAAGTGGATGGCCACAACTTGCTCCAGCTGTGGAAACTTGGGCCATGTACTGCTAGATCTAAGGATTTTCTTTTGAGAGATGCTAGATATATACATTTTTTAAAAATAAAATTATCCTGATTTTAACAACATTGCCTTATTATATAAAACATACCTTGGAGGGTGTGGGTAAGACACAATGTCCTTGAAATTATATTTCACTGGGTTAATAAAATTGGCTCCGGAAGAAAATAATTTTAAACAGCAAACCAAAAAGTGAAGGCCTTCAAAACTAACAAACCAAAGGAAAACAAAACAAAATGACAACAAGAAAAAAACAAAGAAACAAAACCCCTGGACCTTACCATTTTTCTAAGGCATGTTGACATGATAAAATCAAAATTGCTTTGTGCTTATAAGGATCAAAGGTTATGCTTTTGACTTTATAAATTCAGAGAAAGAATTTAATTGGAATTATTTTTATGAATTAACTGAAGATCTAAGGCAACTGGATAATTTAGGTTCTGCTAGTATCTAGAATATTCAAAGTTTATGTTTAGTCTGACACTAAAGAATCCATTATTTCTCTTGACTTCCAGGCTGGTCAGTGTCTTTCCTGTGTCATATACCAAACAATGTGTTAGAAATTGTCTTCTCACTCATAAACTAATATTTGTTCAGAGTAAAAAGTCAAGCAAGTAAATAATGAGAAAAAATTCAGTGTATTGTATAAACAAAGACAGAAGGCAGACCAATGGTTACCTGGGGCCTAAGCTAAAGAGATTAATTGTACACAGTCACAAAGGAATTTTTTGGGATGGTGAAAGTGTTCTAAAACTGGATTGGGATGATTGTGGCACAACTGTATAAATGTTATTAAAACTCATTGAGTTGTACACTTAAATGAGTGGCTAAGTTGTGCTTTAATAAAGCTGTAATTTTGAAAAAGAATAATGGATGATCAACTGTGAGCTAGAGTATGATGAAAACACAAGACATTTACATAGCTTCAAAGTATCTCCCCATCAGGTACTTATTAACTGCATCAGGGAAACAGTAATTTTCTTGTGGCAGAACCCTGCTGACAAAGTTAACATTCTAGTAAAAGCACAGGTGGATGTCATGTGCCTCCTGAAGTGATGCACAGAGAAGGATGCAACATCAACTTGTAGTATTCCTGCCAAAAATATATAACCTGAATTTAACCATGCTGAAACATAAGACAAATCCAAGTGAAGGAACATTCTACAAAACAACTGACCAGTACTCCTCAAGAGTGTCAAGGTCCTGGAAGACAAAGACTGAGCAATGCTTCTGATTAAAGTAGACTGAGAGGTGACAACTGAATGCAATGTGGGATTCTGGATTAGGTCTTGGCCCAGAAACAGGTCTTCGGTGGGACAACTGGCAAAATGTGAATAAGGTCTCTGGTTTTGTGAATGGTAGTGTATCGACGCTCATTACCTGCTTTTGATCATGGTAGTGATAGTAAGATATCAACATTCAGGAAAGTACAGTGAAGGGTATATGGGAATCTCTACTATTTTTGTAACTTTTGTAAGTTGAAATTGTTTCAAAATGAGTTAGAAAATTAAAAGGAAGTTTTCTCTTTCAGCTGGGAAAACAGCAATGGATTAATAACAAGAAATTAATGGTGAAGTGGTGACGAAAATTCTACATTGCTTAGAAAGCAAGTAAGAAAATCAGTGGTTGTAGAGAAGTTCTTACATGAAGTAATAAAAATAAAAATTGTTATGTTAAGCATTTTCTATTTTCTTTTCCTCCCCTCCAAATGAAACAGCATACTATTCTGCATGTTTTTCTACCTAACAATGTATCTTTTTAATGACTCTTGTATTTTAAACCTAAAATTTTGATTAAGCTTCACTTAATATTAAAAAAGATAGTATAGGTCACGATGTTATTTGATGCAAACGTTGGAAAGACAGAATCTTCTTGATCCAAGAGCTTTTAGAATTCAAAGTCTGATTCTGGTTATTACTCTGCTCATTTAAGATAGTGAAATGAACATTTACATTCTGGCAACCTCAGAAGTACAATGAACAAAGGACACCAGCCAGGTAGGGCAAAGGCCTGTGCACCCCCTTTTGCTGTTACATGTTTATCAGATGCGTGCTCTGTTTCTGTTATATTACATTACTTTTCTCTTCAATGTTTACTGAGGAAGAACAAGTAGCTCCTCAGGCAAATCAACTGTTAACTTTGCAGTTTTTATTTAATCTCCCAGGAATGTAACCCTTAACTTTAAAGAATGTAGTGACCATAAAACTTATAAAGCATGTTTCTTAAGGAAATTGTACCTGTTTATTTAATCTATCAGATATGAATGTTATAGAAAATTAAATTTGTCCACTTAAGCTGTAGATGAACTTTTCACCTTTCTGATCAGAAATTCACCATCTTATAGTATAGGTTCTGTTATTAATCAGAATATTTCATTTAGACTCTTTCTATCCAACTTTTTCTTAGAGGCTATTCAAAATAAAGGTGCTTCTAACAGTTTCATATCGAAATACGATGCAAAGCCTTGCTCTTCCATGGTATCCTTTGAGTGAGCCAAACTTATTTAGCCATTCCCCTATAGTTAAATAGCTAGGATGTTTCCAACATCTCACCTTTAAAACAATAGTGCTATGAATGTCATAAATGTTTGTATATGTAAATATGTGGGATAAATCCCTATCAGTAGAATTTCAAAAGGTATACGCAATCAGTATTTTCATACATATTTAAAATTTTCCATCCATACAAAGGTTGCTAACATATTTATTTAAAATTTTAAAAATAATTTTATATGCCTCTTGTAACCAGTAATAGGATGCCAAGTTTTTTTTTAAGGTAACATTGCTCCTCTTCCCCCATTGTCTCTGTCATCTATAGTACTCCCTGAGGTAGTTCATGTTATTGCAAGGGTGTGTATCATCACAAACATATTGCTTCCACATACATATATCAGCATACATATATATATATATATATGTATAGCATATATATATATGAGCACATATTAATATATGCCCATGCACATACAAGCATGTTTTTGTTAATTTTTACTGAAATGGAATCATACTACATACTTATGAACAAATTGCTTCTTTCACCTTATATCACTTATAATTGTTATTCTACAAATCAGTACATATAAAAAATACATATTTACATATGTAATACTCTATCTTTCTGTTATAATTTTCTGCATGCACATGTATGCATATACATATATTCATAAACATAAAACTTAATCTAAACGGGATTTTTTTTTGGGGGGGTGATATGGTTTGGCTGTGTCCCCACCCAAATCTCATCTTGAATTCCCATGTGTTGTGGGGGGACCCGGTGGGAGGTAATTGAATTATGGGGGCAGGTCTTTCCTGTGCTGTTCTTGGGATAGTGAAAAAGTCTCACAAGATCTGATGGTTTTAAAAAGGTGAGTTTCCCTGCATAATCTCTCTTCTCCTGTCTGGTTCCATGTGAGATGTGCCTTTTGCCTTCCGCCATGATTGTGAGGCCTCCCCAGCCATGCGGACCCGTAAGTCCAATAAACCTCTTTCTTTTGCAAATTGCCCAGTCTCAGGTATGTCTTTATCAGCAGCATAAAAATGAAACAATACAGTAAATTGGTACAAGTAGAGTGGGGCGCTGCTGAAAAGATACCTGAAAATGTGGAAGAAACTTTGGAACTGGGCAACAAGCAGAGGTTGGAACAGTTTTGAGGGCTCAGAAGACAGGAATATGTGGGAAAGTTTGGAGCTTCCTAGAGACCTGTTGAATGACTTTGCCCAAAATGCTGATAGTGATATGGACAATAAAGTCCAGGCTGAGGTGGTCTTAGATGGAAACAAGAAACTTGTTGGGAACTGGAGCAATGGTGACTCTTCTTATGTTTTAGTAAAGATACTAGGGGCATTTTGCCCCTGCCATAGATATATGTGAAACTTTTAACTTGAGAGAGATGATTTAGGGTACCTGGCAGAAGAAATTTCTAAGCAGCAAAGCATTCAAGAGGTGACTTGGCTGCTGTTAAAGGTATTCAGTTTTATAAGGGAAGCAGAGCACAAAAGTTTGGAAAATTTGCAGCTTGACAATGTGCTAGAAAAGAAAATCCCATTTTCTAAGGAGAAATTCAAGCTGGCTGCAGAAATTTGCATAAGTAACAAGGAGCTGAATGTTAATCCCCAAGACAATGGGGAAAGTGTCTCCAGGGCATGTCAGAGTTCTTCATGGCAACCCCTCCCATCACAGGCCCAGAGGTTTAGGAGGAAAAAGTGGTTTTGTGGGCTAGGCCCAGGGTCCCTCTGCTGTATGCAGTCTAGGGACTTCATACCCTGCATCCCAGCCATGAATGAAAGGAGCCAAAGTACAGCTCTGTCTGTTGCTTCAGAGGGTGCAAGCCCCAAGCCTTGGCAGCTTCCACATGGCTTTGAGCCTGCGGGTGCACAGAAGTCAAGAATTGAGGTTTGGGAAACTCCTCCTAGATATCAGAAGATGTAGAAGTTTGCTGTAGGGGTGGGTCCCTCATGGAGAACCTCTGCTAGGGCAGTGTGAAAGGGAAATGTGAGATTGGAGCCCCCAAACAGAGTACCTACTGGGGCACCATCTAGTGGAGCAGTGAGAAGAGGGCCACTGTTCTTTAGACCCTGGAATGGTAGATCCATGGACGGCTTGCACTGTGCACCTAGAAAAGCCACAGACACTCAATGCCAGCCTGTGAAAGCAACCTGGAGAGAGGCTGTACCCTGCAAAACCTCAGGGGCAGAGCTGCCCAAGACCATAGGAACCAACCCCTTGCATCAGCATGACCTGGATGTGAGACATGGAGGCAAAGGAGATCATTTTGGAGCTTTAAGATTTGACTGTCCCACTGGATTTCAGACTTTCATGGGGCCTGTATCCCCTTTGTTTTGGCCAATTTCTCCCATTTGGGATGGCTGTATTTACTAATGCTGTACCTCCATTATATCTAGGAAGTAACTAACTCGCTTTTGATTTTACAGGCCCATAGGTGGAAGGGACTTGCCTTGTCTCGGATGAGACTTTGGACTTTGGACTGTGGACTTTTGAGTTAACACTGAAATGAATTAATGCTGAAATGAATTAAGACTTTGGGAGACGGTTGAGAAGCCATGACTCATTTTAAAATGTGAGAACATGAGATTTGGGAGGGGCTGGGGTGGAATGGTATGGTTTGGCTGTGTCCCCACCCAAATCTCATCTTGGATTCCCATGTATTGTGGGAGGGACCCGGTGGGAGGTAACTGAATCATGGGGGCAGGCCTTTCTCATGCTGTTTTTGTGATAGTGAACAAGTCTCATGAGATCTGATGGTTTTGAAAAGGGGAGTTTCCCTGCACAAGCTCTCTTCTCTTGTCTGCTTCCAGGTGAGACATGCCTTTCACCTTCTGCCATGATTGTGAGGCCTCTCCAGCCATGTGGAACTGTAAGTCCAATAAACCTCTTTCTTTTGCAAATTGCCCAGCAATGTGAAAACAGACTAATACAGTGGGAGATTACTTCTCCATACCCTCTTTGTCTGCCAACCATATCACCTCTGCTGTTTCCTCTCCCCAAAAGGTAACCCATGTTAACCTCTGATTATGATCAAATAATTATATGTATTTATTTATATAAATACCATTTCTTTATATATTTTGAACATATTAATGCATACACAAGTGTGCTAAAATTTATATTTCTACTGCTGTCACCATCTGTAGCTTGTATGATTTACAGAATTTCATGAACAAAAATACATGAAGTAAAAGGAACCATTATGATGTAAAAGCATATAGATTAATAATATTCTGCTTACTAAAAGTTTCTTTTTTCTTTTTTTTTCCTTTGGAGATGGAGTTTCTCTGTTATTGCCCAGGCTGGAATGCAATGGCATGATCTTGGCTCACTGCAACCTCCATCTCCTAGGTTCAAGCGATTCTCCTGCCTCAGCCTCCCGAGTAGCTGGGATTACAGGAGTGTGCTATCACACTCGGCAGATTTTTGTATTATTAGTAGGGACACGGTTGCACCATGTCGGTCAGGCTGTTCTCAAACTCCTGACCTCAGGTGATCCACCTGTCTTGGTCTCCCAAAGTGCTGGGATTACAGATGTGAGCCACCGTACCCGGCCTACCAGTGGTATTACCCAGGGATATGAATAGCTAAGCTATACTTTAGGCACAAACCAGCACTATTATCAAGATGCAATATGTGAACTCATCTTTCTTCTAGCATCAGTTCAGAATTAATTTTAATCTGTGTATTGTATACTGCTGCCAAAAACTCATTAACCACAATTAAATTATGAAAGTACATGTGTAAATTTATGGATAGCAATACACAATCCAAAATATGAGTTTGCTATAAAAATAAAGCATATGGGTAGAATCATATTAATTATAAGTAACCAGAACTGTTAATAAGAAATTAATATTAAAATATATTGAATTTGATATTTCCATAACTGAAGTAAACTAATTTAATAAGCGAAGCTAACCAGTCTAAAATATCAAAGGAGAATAAGAATAAAGTTTATTATTAAACATACAAGCTAATCAACTTACTTTCTTATATTTCTTGATAATATGTTGAATTTACTTTCGAGCATGTTTTGAAGAGGTAGTTAGTCAATCTTTATGTCCCTTTTGAAGATATGATGAAATAGTTACATCTCTATTATGGAATAACATGAAGTGGTTTAAAAAATGAGTGATGTATGGTCTGGCATGGTGGCTCACACCTGTAATCCCAGCACTTTGGGAGGCCGAGGCAGGTGGATTATCTGATGTCAGGAGTTCAAGACCAGCCTGGCCAATGTGGTGAAACCCCATCTGTACTAAAAATACAAAAATTAGCCAGGCGTTGTGGCGGGTGCCTGTAATCCCAGCTACTTGGGAGGCTGAGGCAAGAGAATTGCCTGAACCTTGGAGGCAGAGGTTGCAGTGAGCCAAGACTGCACCATTGTACTCCAGCCTGGACACCATGAGCAAAACTTCGTCTCAAAAAAAAAAAAAATGATGAATGATGTATTTCTAATTCTAGTGAGAAGGAAAGAGTATCAGTGCATATTGTCAAGTGAAGAAAGCAAGCTCCAGAACAAAGCCTATGTATGTTCCTATTTATTAAAAACAAAAGCCACATATGTATACAAATGTACTCTATCTTTCTGTTATAATTTTATGAATGCACATGTATGCAAATACATATATTCATATACATAAGACTTAGTCTAAACAGGAATATTCTTTCAGGAGGGAATCTTGCTTCTCCTACAGAAAAATACCTAACATGGCAGGGGCAAAGGTAATATTGGACCAAAAAAATCTGGACCTATGTCTATTAAATTGCTCACAGTGTTTATATAATATCGGTGAAGGGAAGTAAAATTGAGGTTAGTGAAAGATACTCCACGTTTTACCCTAATACTTTTCTACTGTTTGAATTTTTTATAGTTATAATACATTCAGGTATAATACATAATTTATATATAAATACTATATATATACACATACACACACATATATATATATGTGTGTCTATATATATTTTAATAAGAAACAAGGTCTTTCTCTCTCACCCAGGCTGGAGTGCAGTGCAGTGATCATAGCTCACTGTAACCTCAAACTCCTAGGCTTGCGTGATCCTCCCACCTCAGCCTCCTGAGTAGCTGGGACTACTGGTGCATGCCACCATGCCCAGCTAAGTTTTAAAATTTTTGTAGAAACAGGGTCTTGCTATGTTGCCCAGGTTGACCTTGAACTCCTGGCCTCAAGAGATCCTTTCCCCTCAGCCTCCCAAAGTGCTTGTATTACAGGCATGAGCCACTGTGCACAGCCTACTTATATTATTTAAAAAACAATTAATCAAATAAGTTGGTTAGGATTAGTTTCAGTGGCATAAACAGAAACTTAAACAATGTGAAAGCTTATTTCTGTCTCCTTCTGCCAGGTGAACACACAGTGTTCATCCCCTCAGGAGGACACAGCTTTTGAGGTACCATCTTGGAAGCAGAGACCAGCCCTCACTAGACACAAACTTCCTGGCACGTTGATTTTGGACTTCATAGCCTCTAGAACTGTGAGAAATAAATTTTTATTATTTATAAATTACCCTGTATTGGATATTTTGTTATAGCAGCACAAAAGGTCTAAGACAATGACTGAAGGACGGAGCTATAGGACTCAAAAGACCCTGGTCTTGAAGCCAGAAAGACCTGGCTTTGCCAGTAGCATGGTATTTCAATTAAGTATGATTAAACACTCTTCGAGGGAATAGAAAGGGGAAGGAAGAATGGAGATGGATCATTTGTTTCATGCCTTTTACTTACGTGTAAGGAATTATGAGCAGGTGCCTATGGATTTTGGAATATGCTTCTCTAACACTATAAAAATTAGAAAGTGAAACTTATAGCCACAAATGTCCATTTAAAATTTCTAATGACAATGGAAGAAATTATTTAGACTCTCTCCTAAACTATTACACCATACATCATTGCAAAACATTTTTTTTCATTTTGCCCAACCTCCACTCCTGTCATTCCACCACTCCTATAGTATCTAAAATATAGTTTCTTTTAGAGAGATTGGTGCACCACTCAACTTGTCAGCTTGAGGGCTTTGAATGGTGTTTTCTTTTTTTTTTTTAATTTCATGGCAAGCTGACTTACAAGTGACTCAACTGTAAGCTAAGACTTATTAATAGCATGGTTTAACCACCAAAGATAATGAATTCAAACAATGTTACTCACAGCCTTTAATGTCACAGCCCCTAAAAACATTGAAATGTACATTTTTCACCTGCTAGTCATCTTCAGTATTCTGGAGAGGAAATATTCTTTCCTGTCCTTACAGTGGTTGTATATCTTAAAAGACGACTATATGACACTTGAATATTGATATTCAACCTTAACCAAAGCAGTCACAAGAATACAAGCCATTGACCTCTGGCCTTTTAGATATGTTCCCAACAAGTTCATGTGTACCCAATGAAAAATGTTAAATAAACTGATAAACTTTAAACATTTAAAAATATTTTATTTATTTACTTGCCACAGCTAGATAAGAGGAACTGGGTTAATTTTGAAACTCTCAGCTTCCTTTCCTCTAAACCAGTAGCTATTGCTGGCCACTAGTATGTTGTTTCCTTTGCAGGAAGTTGCAAAAATGAGAAAGAAAAAAACGAAAAACAAAACCAAGTTGGTATTATTTTTAGCTTTCTTCTTATTTGGATATAGCTACAGTTCTTTTTCTTATGGTGATTAACATAACTATTCAAGAGAGAAGAACCAAGCAAAGGGGAGTAGTAGGGAATTAGTAGGGAATTGTGCCAAAGGACATATGGCAAGGTTATTGTCAGAAAGCTGAGCTGCTGAAATCCAGACAGTTTAAGAGCTTATCTGCTCTGCTCTGCTCCACCTAGGAGGACTCCTACTACAATGCAAAGACTCAAGTTTCACCTTAATTAGGTCTTTCCCAGGCCAGGTATTAGTGACCTTGGGAAAAAAGTTTAAGCTTCTCAGCTTCAGATCTTCCTCTGAATATTAGCACTGTGGTAATTGGCACAGTGGTACCTAACCCTTTGAGGGTCCAGGATTGTTTTAATGGTGAGTGATTTACAAACTGAGTTTAAAAGAGCAAGGAGGATCCAATTTCGCAAAATTTCATTAACTCTGCTTAAGAAAACAGTATATTATATTAGCTTAGATCAGGAGTTGGGAATCTATAGCCTGCTACCATTTATTGTGTAGCCTGCAAATGGTTTTTACATTTTTAATACATTGGAAAAAAAATTAAAGAAGATTATTATTTCGTGATGTGAAAATTATACATGTTGAAAGGAAAACTTTAGAGTTTAATTGAGTAAAGAATGATCTGTGAATTAGGCAGCCCCCAGAACCAGAGTAGGGTTGGTTACAGCTGAGCATTTGCCTTATTTGAACCTGGTTTGAAGAGTTGGCTGCCTGTGGTTGGCTGAAGTTCAGCTGCTGTGATTGGCTGAGACTCACTACTTGTTACAAGAGTAGGTTACATATCAAGTTTTACATATCAAGTTGAAATATAGTTTTTTATGTACTGGGAAACCTTTAGGGTAAACTTAAATTATGTAAGGAGGCAGCTTTAGGCCACAATGAATTTAACAATTCCTCCTTTTGGTCAACCTGTCAATTTTGAGAGGATGATTAATTTTGAGGTTGCCCAAAACTTTAGGCACTGACATCACTTTTTATCATCATAAATAGAGTTATTTGGTCTCTAATCCCATTGGAAAATAGCAGAACACTGGATTTTGTAAGGTGGGAACAAGGAAACAGTATAGAAAAAAAAACTGATTGGTTAACATCAGATTACTTTTTTATTTTTTTGTCACCCAGGATGGAGTGCAGTGGCACAATCTTGGCTCACTGCAACCTCACCTTTCGGGTTCAAGCAATTCTTCTGCCTCAACCTCCCAAGTAGCTGGGACTACAGGCGTGTGCCACCACACCCAGCTAATTTTTGTATTTTTAGTATAGACGGGGTTTTGCCACGTTGGCCAAGCTGATCTCAAGCTCCTGACCTCAGGTGATCCACCCGCCCTGGCTTTCCAAAGCGCTGGGATTACAGGCATGAGCCACTGTGTCTGGCTGAGATTGCTTTTTTGTAAGTAATCTGTTGTTACTTTGGGTTACTTTTCTGTAAGGGATAGAGCAGAGGGGACTTCCTTATTATACTGGAATCTTCTGTCTTCAGGAGAAGAAAAAAAAAAACTCGTCTATTTTGGGACCTGTTTTTTAAAGTTTTAGTTTGATTTTGTGGTGCTTAGCATGAGCGACTCCATTTTGGTTTGGTCTGGTCTGCTTGGGATTAGTGCAGGAGCTCAGTCCAAAACAATGGCCTCTCATAATTTTGTTTAATACATGAAATTCAAATTTCAAACTTGTAGACATTTGCTCTCTCTCTTATTATATAAGTACCTACACAATGTCCTCAAATTTGCTTTTTGATCTGTAAAGACTAAGATATTTATCATCTAGTTTTACAGAAGAGTTTGCAGATCTTCTGGTTTAAAAGAGCAGGAGATTTAGTGTCAGGCAGGTTTGGATTGAGCCCAAGGGCTGCCATTTACTGATTGTATGACTTTGAGCAAGGTATTTATCTTTTCTAAGCCTCAATTTCCTCATCTATAAAATGGGCACACAAATAGTATTTACCTTGGAGAGTTAAATGGGATAATGCATTTAATGTGCTTAACACAGTGCCTATCAGATGCTTAGGGGCTCAAAACATTATTATTGTTGTTGCTGTTGTTGTTTTACCCTAAAGTAAATGAGACAAAATAGCAAAGCTAGATGAGGAGGAATTTTTAAGATACATCAGAAACTGTAATAGATTCTAAAATATTATAATTAAGAAATTTCATACTTATTTAAAAAGGCATTTTCAATTTAACAATTTAACAATTTAACCCTCTTATAAGTTAAAAAAAAAAAAAAAGCCCGGCACAGTGGCTCACGCCTGTAATCCCAGCTCTTTAGGAGGCTGAGGTGGATGGATCAGGAGGTCAGGAGTTCAAGACCAGCCTGGCTAACGTGGTGAAACCTCGTCTCTACTAAAAATACAAAAATTAGCTGGGGGTGGTGGTGCATACCTGTAATCCCAGCTACTCAGGAAGCTGAGGCAGGAGAATCGCTTGAACCCGGAGGCAGAGGTTGCAGTGAGCCAAGATCGTGCCACTGCACTCCAGCCTCGGCAACAGAGCAAGACTCCATCTCAAAAAGAAAAAAGAAATAAAAATAAAAAGTCATGCCCAGCTATTTTGGGAGAACTGAAATTACAACTCTATCTGAGAAAATAAAATGACAGGACTCCACAGAATCCATAGATAAAAACTTAACTGAAGAGGAATATGGAACAGACTAAAGGAAAAATTTTATCAAGCTGTAATCTTTATACTTGTGCCTAAGGCCAGAACTTGAAACTGCTGAAGACAGTGTTTCTCTACAAATGCACACAGGCACCCCATTTTGATGCACAGATAGGTGTTTATTTCTTTTAAGAATAGCAGCTTTATTGAGATAAATTTCACATATGATACAATTCACCAATTTAAAGTGTACAAGTCAATGGTTTTCAGTATAATCAGAGTTGTACTACCATCACCATAATCAATTTTAGAACATTTTCATCACCGCCCAAAAACCACTGTAGTCTCTCCCCAGTCCTCCACTCCTGGGAACCATTAATGTACTTTCTGTCTCTATAGATTTGCCTATTTTGGTTATTTTATATAAATGGAATCATACAACATGTGGTCTTTTGTGAATAGCTTTTTTCACTTACCATAATGTTTTCAAGATTGATTCATTTTGTAGCAGGTATCAGTCCTTTTTCCTGTTTATTGCCAAATAATTTTCCATTGTACGGATAGATCATATTTTGTTTATCCATTTGTCACATTTTGGTTGTCTATCAGTTGATAGATATTTGTGGTGCATTTAATTTTTGGCCAATGTGTAAAACTTATTTTGCTCTCATTGAGGCTACATACTGTTACAACAATGCTATTTGGTCAACTTGACTGAGCTGGCCTCATAGGTTACAGGTTGTTCATTGTTAGAGATGAGACTTTAGACCAGACTGGACAACATAGTGAGACCCTGTCTCTACCAAAAAGAAAAAGAAAAATTAGCCAGATGTAATGGCATATGACTGGAGTCCCAGCTACTTGGGAGGCTGAGATGGGAGGATCACTTGAGCCCAGGAGTTTAGGACTGCAGTGAGCTGTGATCGTGCCAATGCAATCCATGCTGGGCGACAGAGTGAGACCCTGTCTCAAAAAACAGAAAGAGGGATTTTAGTATAACATTCAGCC
Organism: Homo sapiens; assembly: GCF_000001405.40. Taxonomy (NCBI): domain Eukaryota; kingdom Metazoa; phylum Chordata; class Mammalia; order Primates; family Hominidae; genus Homo; species Homo sapiens. Next base: position 68,239,902 of record NC_000009.12, read on the forward strand.
AGTGCCATATTGGGAACCCACAAGAATGTACTTTTAAAAATATGTCAAAGAAGATGGTGAGGGCTGTAATAGCTGCTATTCAGGCAGTAATGCAGTGCTGAAGGGACATCAAGCAAATAGTGTGATGCCTGTGGGTGCAATGTTACTCCTTCCCTTAGGTTGCCAAAAAAATCAATACTTCATAGCATTCCTGAAACGAAAAAGCTTATGAACCATTGTGTTTAGGGCGTAAGCTATCTATTTTGGGCTACCCATCACAGCTTCTCTCCTTTGGCAGAATACAGTGAACTGAACCACCACACCTAAGGTATTTGCCTTATTTCTTCCTCAGCTGGTTCATGGTTACATTGTCAAAGCTGGCAAAGCATTCAAGACCTGATTTCTCAGACCGAGTGTATGTGTGAATATAATATACTCATTTGCACAAATATAAACCCTCTGTCTTAACTGTGTTCTGCAAAAGGCGTGATAAATACTTTCAAGTTATATGTACTTATCAGTAGAACTAATGGAATACACACAGTATATTTTATGGGGAATTTCAGAGAAGGAAGGAAAAGTCAACCTTTTATTTGGCATCAGGATAGTAGTAAAACATTCTACTTGTGCATCAGATAGATTTTTATGACCTAACCTGGACAAGTAACTTAACTCTTGGTGCCTCATGTTTGAAAGAGGGATAACACTCTACAGGGTCATTCTAAGAATTACATATTGCCAAAACACATGAAAAGATTCTCAACCTTGTTAGTAATCAAGGAAATGCAAATGAAGATCACAATGAAGTCTTCTTTTGTACTCAATTGATTGGTGAAAAATGCATGCCTGATAATATTGACATACAGACCAATGAGATCTCTTATAATTTGCTGGGAAAATGTATCAATTTGTACAAACATTTTGAAAAATAATTGTGCATTTTCTTGTGAAGTAAAACATTTGAATAATCTAGGACCCAGCAATTCAACTCTTAGACACTCAAGAGGAAGTTGCACACACATATGTCAGGAAAAATGTTCATAGCAGCCCTGTTCATAAGAGCAAAACCTGGAACAATTGAGAGGAAATGAATAAATTGCCGTGTAGCCACACAATAGAATACAAGACAGCAGTGATGCTGAAAAATATAGCAAGCCTCAGGAGTTTATATATTATATGGATAATTTTATGAAGCTCAAAAACACCCAAAATTAAACAACATATTCTCTAAGTACATACGTGGGATATGTGATAAAACTAAAAAGAAAACAGGGAAGGATCAGCAATCCAGAACCAATTCATGACTGTTGTTACTATCTTATGGGGCAGGCTGTGGATTGGAAGCGGGGGCGGTGCACATAGGTACGTGTAGCTTACTGGTAATGCTTTTATGTTAGGAATGAGGTCAAAGGAGTTCACTATAAATTTATATTAGAAAGAAGGGCTATCTATGGATTAGTGATGAGAGTGTCATGCACCAGCAAATATGATTAATGAACTTAGGTTACCTGAGGTCCAAATAAATAATGAGAAAAAAGTAAATAAAAGTGATGCATGAATACTAAAAATTTGGAATTACATATATAATATGTAATAATAAAAAAAGAAAAAATTGTCACTGGTTATCCTTCAGGTATAAAAATTACAATTAAAATTGTAATGTTATAACCTTCCATTCTTTCCCCTATGAATTAAAACTTTTTTTTTTAACGAGACTAAAAAATCAAGTTGATAAAATCTATGCCCTGTGGGAACTGGTTAGGTCAGGCTACCCACTCCAGATTTCCAGCAGGCTGGCCTCAGCTCTACCTACAGCCAGTAGCTTATTAAGGCTCTAGGCGCCAGTGACACCTTCAGACAGGTGGTTAGTGCGCCCTAAGGACTCTCCGCAGCGTCGCTCAGGTTCACAGAACACGCCCAGGGGCGTGTCCAGCTGTCGTCGGGGAGAGCCCACCTCCCCGGGGGGTGTGGCTAAGGGACGAGGCAGTTCTCGTCCAGAGCCCAGGTAATCCGGGCGGGATCAGCTAGCGTCGCGATGTGATGACGTCAGGCCCCGGCCAGGCCGGGAGTGGCGTGCTGGGCGTGCGCGGCTGCGGTACGGCGTGTTGGTCCCAGCGGTTCAGCTGAGGTAGGGACGTGCTGTAGGCCGGAATGTTACCGGCTGTTGGATCTGTGGATGAGGAAGAGGATCCTGCGGAGGAGGATTGTCCTGAATTGGTTCCCATTGAGACGACGCAAAGCGAGGAGGAGGAAAAGTCTGGCCTCGGCGCCAAGATCCCAGTCACAATTATCACCGGGTATTTAGGTAACTAACCATCCCAGTCACAAAATGCCGTGAACTCTGGTGTCATGGGATTTTGCGGGCTGCCGGTGCCTCTTCTCCTGAGGCATTGGGGCCTCATGATCAAGAGCAAATGTCTTTGAGGTAGGGGCTGGGTCACTTGCTTCTCGTATGGGTTACCTCTCATCTTGGGAGTTAATGATGCCCGGTCCCCTCTGCGTTAGATTCCCATTTCTCAAGTGAGATGGAAAGTTAGCCTTTGAAACAAGGCTTTGAAGCTAAGACACGCCCCCCTAATTGTCTCTGTGACCTCTTACCAAGTTATCTTACCTTCCTGACGCTCATCTACCTCACCTGAAAATGGAAAAATACCTGTCACCTGTGAAATAGGGCCGGAACAACCTACCTATTGCCATTAAAGGATGTCCCGTCTGTAAAATGCCCGACACGTGGGGCTTTCGTCAGCAGATTCCCCTTCCCCAGGAGCCAAAGTCCTCCAGCCAGTTGGCAGGAAGTGCTCCTATCTTAAACACTTTTCTTTTGAGGTCTGTTTGTAAACCACTGCGTAGGAAGTAAGAATAAAATCTCTGTCCTCCAAGACTATTTCTCAAACTAAGAACGTTTAGAGTGTACAGGGATACTCGAAACCACAAGTTTGTGAACTTGGTAGTTTCGTGAAGGGCGGTTTATGCACTTACACTAGAAGTTTCTTACTGGAAAAGTTTGAGAAATATATTTTTAAACCTTACAGTTAAATAGAAGGGCTAGAACAAATATATGACTGTATTAGAAGTTTGGAAAAAGTTAAGAAATGTAAATAAAATAATACTGTTTCCGGGAAATAATATTCCTAGTTGTTGCTAGAGACAGGTACAGACTTGGGCCACTTCGTGACCTTTTATGTAAAAATAAGAAATAACTGCTTTTGTTTTTTTAAAAACTTTGTAGACTGTAAGTTTATTCCCGTTTTTTGCTCGGAAGTAATTTTATAAAGGAATTTATTTTTGGCGTTTCCCCACAGTTATTCAGAGGCTGCTCTACTGAGAAGATGAACAAATTTCTTGTCCAAAACAATGTATTTCAAACGTGCCCCTCGGGCCTTTCCCGTGTTGCTCACTGGTAGGTCAGTAGATCATTGGAGAAAATGATCTGAAGCTCAGGAGTGAGAATTAATACCAGCAACCTTGTTGCTGAATCTAGGGATAGTTTCACTCCTATCCCTGACCATTTTCCCTTTTTGAAACACTGTTCCTTTGGCTTCTATTACATTTTTCTTCTGATTTTTCCACCTGCTTCTCTGGCTTCTTTTTAAGGCTCCCTCCTCCTTCCCCCTTTGTCCATCTTTAGCTACACACCTGTGTAATTTCTATTTTGATGTCCTACAACTTAAAACTTAACATGTCTGAAACTTCGTCTGTTACCATCCCCCCAAATCCTGCTTCTGTGATCCCAACCATTTGGAATACTCTAAAAGCCTCCTGACTAATCTGGAGTCTTGCTGCCCTTTAATTTATTCGTTGCATGTTAGCCTTAATGATCTTTATAAATGTCAATCCGACTGCGTCACACCTTTCAGTGGCGTCCCTATGGGTTAAAATTCAAATTCCTTAACATGAATTACAAGGACCTGTAGGATCTGGATCTTGCCAACCTTTCCAGCCTGCCAAATTGGCCCCGCACAATAAACTAAGGTTACTTCAAAGGTGCCAAGTGTTTTAGCCCCTTGGAATAGGTACTTTTTTACTGTGACTCCTCTGGCTAGATGTCCCTCTTAGGTTCTCCATAGCATTTTGTGCATCTCCTATTGAATATGTCACCCTGTGACATAATTGCCTCCTTATTCACTGAATTCCCCTCCATTCCCCCCTTCCCTTAATATTTCTAAGCTCTATGAAGGCAGAGACTATCTTGTTCACTTTTTCACCAAGGCCCAGCATAAATCTGTAACGTATTAGAAACCTTTGAATGAATGAACTATGTCTTAAAGTGTTTTTTTTTTTCATAATATGGTTAAAAAGCCCTAGTAAATCTTCTCTTAGAAGATTTCTTACATTCACCCTTTCCTTTCAGTTTTCACATCACTGCCCTGTGAAACACTCATGTTCAGGGCCTCTGTCTCAGGCTTGGACTGGTTTTAAGATCTTCCTCATTGCCCTAAGTCTCTCTCTTCCATACTATACTTCATATTTTTGTGATGTTGAGCTTCCTAAAGTACTCTAAATATAAGCCTTCATCTCTTAAAAAGCTTTGAAAGGAATATGACCTAAAAGATATTAATACCCTAATACTCCGTAAAATCTTCCTAGTTGTAGGAAGATCTAGTTATATACTAGAAAACTTTATTTCAGAAGACATGTATAGCCTACATGTAAAAGTTTTTAGCAGCACTGTAATAGTAAAACACTGGAAACAAACCAAATGTCCAACAAAAAAAAAGATAAAGAAATGATATAGTCATACAATTGAACTACAATACTATGCAGTTAGGATTTTCTTTTTTTCCTCTATGAATTTTAGTGTGTACGGTTCACAAGACTTTTTTTTCTACTGGAGATTGACATATTGGGTTTCATATGCCACCTGCTGGATAAAGTTGGTATAGCTTTATGAATTTATCTTAACTGAACATTCTGTTCATTGTTGACACTACCTGGCTCTATTCCCCATTTCATAAAAACTTTTATAGATTGTTTAAAGCATACTATAAGTAGCCATATAGTCAGCCTGAAGTTGCGTCTCGTTAATGTTGAAATAAAAGGTCACTATAAATAAAAGATTGTGTGTCAATTTTAGGGAAGGTTAGGCTAGGTTGAAGAAACTGTTTCAACTTGTAGGAGTGTTTGTAAATATTTATAAAATTTTATGTCTACATAAAGTATTTTGCAACAGGTTTCAAAGGATGCTTTAATCTTATCCTCTAGGATATTCTATACTAAAATAATATATGAAAAATAGCATGCAAATTCTCAAAAACGTTAGGATTCTTTATATGTTTTTTGTATCTTTAAAATTATTTTGAATTTTTTTATTTACAAAAAATATGTTTTATAGGTGCTGGGAAGACAACACTTCTGAACTATATTTTGACAGAGCAACATAGTAAAAGAGTAGCGGTCATTTTAAATGAATCTGGGGAAGGTAAGTAAAGTTCAATAAATGTCATGTTGCAAGATTTTGTGTGACTGTTTATTCCTCTGGTGAATTGATATTCCATATTTAAAAATGAAAATGCAAGGTATTGTATTGATGTGGATAGCTTTAGAAAAATTAGATTAATTTCTGTTAAGATTTATATGGGTTGAGATACTGAAATTAGTTTTAATAAAATTTTATTTTGTATAACTTTGGAATTCTTATTAACAGAATTAAACTACATTTTTACATGAAATAAATGACTCCAGAAGTAAAAATCTAGACATATGAAAAAACGTTTATTTTTTATTTTATTTTATTTTTTTTGAGATGGAGTCTCTCTCTTGCCAGGCTGGAGTGCAGTGGTGCAATCTCAGCTCACTGCCACCTCTGTCTCCCGGGTTAAAGTGATTCTCCTGCCTCAGCCTCCCGAGTAGCTGGGACTACAGGCATGCGCCACCATGCCCAGATAATTTTTGTATTTTTAGTAGAGACAGGGTTTCACCATGTTGGCCAGGATGGTCTTGAGCTCCTGGCCTTATGATCCACCCGCCTCGGCCTCCCAAAGTTGCTGGGATTACAGGCGTGAGGCACCATGCCTGGCCAAAAAATGTCTTTTTTAGGAATTAGAAAGGCAGTTTTGTATGGACTCTATTGCAACTCATGAAAAATATTTGAAAATGCTTCTGTTATTAGTTAACTTTGTTTAATGTTTATTATCTGCAATGCAGTTAAAACTCAATATTTTAAAAAGAAAGTAAACATATGGTCTTTATCCTCATGTATTTTATCTGTGAAAATAAGTGTGCTTAACTTCTCAACTCAAATATTAAACTGTAGTAAAAAAAAATAGCTCTAGACACAATACTTCTGTTATCTTTATAGGAGTTTTTCTTCATAAGTATGAATTGTAATCAAAGCTCACTTCTAGCCAAAAAACAATATCTATTAGACGATTTCTTTTAAAATGTACTATTTTTTTCAGTTGTAAAAAGTAAAAGAGCTAGGTTTTATGAACAGGATGGGAAGCCAGTTATATTCCAGTTATATTCGATTTCTGATTTTAATAAACTAAAGAGAAAAGTGCTTTTTAGGCAAAAATCCTGAGATTTCTAATAACAGACTGTTTTTTTCATCATCTTATTAAATAACCTATTGCACACTGATTACATTTATTCTTACTATTTTCTTTATTTTTTCCTGGATCATTTTCACAATTTTATTTTTCACAGCATTCTCAATACTTTTCTTCATGTTTCATTAATGTTCTGTATATAGTCCGAATTCTGTAGCAACCTCTTTAGAAGCTCTTTATTAATACCTAGCTGAAATATAAAAAATATGTAAGTGTAAAACTACTCGATTTTATGGGAGCTCATTTGCTTAGTGGACTTTTAGAACTTCACCGTTTGGTATATTTCTTTATTAGAGGAAAAGTAAAACATTTAAAATAATTCTTATAGATAACAAGCATTTCAAATATAGTTTATTCTTTCTTAAGTAAGTATTGCTAGGAAAATATGTGAATTTGACTAAAAGTTTAGGTTTTTTTTTTTTGAGATGGAGTCTCGCTGTGTTGCCCAGGCTGGAGTGCAGTGGCACAGTCTCGGGTCACTGCAACCTCCGCCTCCCGGGTTCACGCCATTCTCCTGCCTCAGCCGCCTGAGTAGCTGGGACTACAGGCGCCCGCTACCACACCTGGCTAATTTTTTGTAATTTTAGTAGAGATGAGGTTTCATTGTGTTAGCGAGGGTGGTCTCGATCTCCTGACCTCGTTATCCGCCCGCCTTGGCCTCCCTATAAGTTTAATTTTTAAATGAGCACATGGTACACTGGCCAAAAACCTTCCTCAGGATGAACTAGGGTTTTTACTCATTGGGAATATTCAGCAGTTTGTCTAACAGAAACAATTTAGAAGAAGAATGAAAAGAAAAAGATAAGGCAGTCTCTTAAGAGGTTGAAGGGCATACAGAATCCAGTATATAAAACATACTAGTCGATTTAGAAAGTTTACCCTGGACAAGAAAAAAATGCCTTCATTAAGAAATGGGGGTGGCCAAGTAAGAGGCCTAAGGAGGAAGTAGGTATGTTTATCAGTTTAGGATGTGTCTTTTTCAGGGCTTAAGACATCTTAAATAAAAGCTAAAATAATGTAGTGTACTGTAATTTAGGTATCAAGGCTGCATGAATAAAGTGAAAGAATATAAGTTATAAAATGCAGTTTCTGCTTTAAGATCTCCATTATTGAGTTATCCTCATCTTTGTTTTTTGTTGGCTAATGGACATAAGCTAAAGAGTGCTGTTTGTTATTTATTCTAGGAAGTGCGCTGGAGAAATCCTTAGCTGTCAGCCAAGGTGGAGAGCTCTATGAAGAGTGGCTGGAACTTAGAAACGGTTGCCTCTGCTGTTCAGTGAAGTGAGGAATGTGTTTACTGTGTACATGGTTTACTAGAAATGTTTATTGATTATATTTCCAGCTTTAATTTTCTTGAGTAATTTAACTGAATTTACACAGTTTGCTTCATTGTATTTTCAAACAAATAGAAAATAAACTTATTAGGAAGCATTTTCTTAAAGTGTTTCTTGCTGTCTTTTCTATCTGCTCTAATGTTTTGGTCCTTTTATTGAGTTTTTATTGCTTTTGATGTCAGGGCTTATTTAATCTCTAGTGCATGAAAGTCTCATATGTAAAAAATGATTATTCTGAATTTAATCTGTCATTGGTCATACTTCTAAGTGTTCAACCTTATAAAAAATAAATGACTATCAAAAAAGAAAAACCTTACATTATGTTCTAGTAGTTAAGTTTCCAAGGACAGTGATCACTAGTCTACCATAGACCCTAGAAGAGTTACCCAACACATAGTAGCACTCAAATATTTGTTGAATGAATTATAAAAATGACTACTTGTATTGTTAATTTTGTGTATTCTAGTGAATTAAATCTCTTCGGCATCATTTACTCCCTTAGGTATTTGACTTTGTGTCAAATGTTTTGGCAAGGATAAAATTATAACAGACTTTCTTGAACAACCAAAATGTAATCTATTAAGGATTTTCCTTCACTTTTGATAAAATAAGAAAAAAGGAATTTAAAACCTTGCATCCTAATGTAAAATAGAATTATATGGTGTTTAATATCAGTGTCCCTTTAGCTATTATATTAAACTACTATAGTTAATAAATTTTATCATTATTTTGTATGTTGGTTTTTAAAAATTTCATAAAGCTATAAAAAGATACTTGGTCAGATAAAGTTTCCTCTGCTTTTAATTTTAATAAAGTATTATTATGTATATGATTTCTTTTTACCTATTATATATATGCATCTATTGTTTTCTCACTGGTAAATATGGGACAGACATTTTGTTAGAAGGTTAGAAGTGAGTTAAATTTTCACATTCCTAAGGATACTTTTGTCTCGGGTTGTTGAATACATTTTAAAGTGTTTATAATAATCACTTCAAAATATTTAGGTAATTAACTGTAAATTATGTTTTGGTATTCTCCAGGGACAATGGCCTTAGAGCTATTGAGAATTTGATGCAAAAGAAGGGGAAATTTGATGACATACTGTTAGAGACCACTGGATTAGCAGACCCTGGTAAGAAGTGAGATTATTAATAACCAGAATATAGTTCTGTGATATATTGTAAATAGATGTATTAGAGGAATATCTAAAATGAGTATTAAAGCTTTTGTTAGTATTAAACCAAAAACTTTTTTTGGTTTAAAAGAGGAAAAGTACTCGTTTGTCATTTTCTTTGGCAGTTGAATGAATGATCAGAGTATTTCTTGGTGCTTTTAAGCTGTTAATAGAATTGGAAGTTTTATTGATTGATTTAGGATTATTTGTAAGAACAGAAGTTGTTAAAAATAAGGACATGTAGGAAGAGCAGAGACGTTCTACTTCTAAGTACAGTTGTCCCTTGGCATCCATGGCGTATTAGTTCCAGAACCTCTGAGGATACCAAAATCTATTAATGTTCAAGTCCCTTACATAAAATGGTGTAGTATTTGCCTATAACCTATGCACATCCTCCCATATACTTTAAATCATCTGTAGATTACTTATAATACCTAATACAATGTAAGTGCTGTGTAAGTAGTTATTATACTGCATTGATAAGGTAATCATGACAAGAAACTCTAAACTCTACTATGGAAAGCTACACAGAGTCAACCTGTTTCTCACAATGGGTTTCTGTTACCTTCTTACCAAGCTCTAATTCTTGATAAAGTCTGCTTATTTTCCCCAAATAACTTTTAGATAAAATCTTTATTTTCAGTTTGCATAAAAGTTAGTGCTTATTCTGTGAATCTGACCCATACCATTATTTTCTTTTTGATCTGGGTCTCTGGCATTGGGGCGATTTGTAAAACTATATTAAAGTATTTGGGGGTAATTTACTAAACAGGTCATAGTTGTCCAAAAGAAATATTGAAGTATCCTGAGAGTTCAAATGTGATCAGTGGTTATTGTACTTAAAACAATTACGTAGTAACATCATCCCCATGTTTTCAAAGTAGTATTGAATTAGGCTATTTTGGTCCTTATAGTAGGCATGGGTTTTCATACCTTTCTGATAAATCTGACTGATGATAGGACTTGGACTAATATGTTGGCGTTAAATATTATTTGAATCTGGTAAGAAAGAATATATTGTATGCTTTTATTAGAAATAGCAAATATCAGTTTATTTCATCATAGCCAGTTTTGCCATTTTATAGACAAAAACTTGATACTTTTGAGAGTTTAATTAAACACTATTCAGCTTTTCAGAGGAAGAAAGAAAAACTAAAGATCACAGAGAAAGCTTTTATACAAATTGTAGTTATAAAAAATGTTAATGTTTCTTGCTTCTAACTTTCTTTACAATAAAGATTTTATTGTTTGGGTAAAGATGGAACATTCATTGTAAAAAAATTTAAATACCTAAAAAATACAAAGAAGAAAGTTGAAAAGTAATCATCTCACTATTGTGATATACAAGTAAGGGCTGGGCATGGTGGCTCATGTCTGTAATCCCAGCACTTTGGGAGGCTGAGGCAGGTGGATCCCTTGAGGCCAGGAGTTCAAGACCAGCCTAGCCAACATGGTGAAATCCAGTCTCTACTGAAAATTCAAAAACTAGCCAGGCGTTGTGGCGCACCCCATAATCCCAGCTACTCAGGAGGCTAAGGCATGAGAATCGCTTGAAAGCTGGGAGGCGGAGGTTATGGTGAGCCGAGATCACGCCACTGCACTCCAGCCCAGGCAACAGAGCAAGACTGTATACACACACACGCACATGCACACGCACACACACACACACACATTCATACACACACACACAAGTAGGTAAATTTTATTCCAGGGATCTCTCTATGCCAGTGCTACTTGGTAGTATGTTGAATGGCAGCCTCAGCCTCAGCTGGGAGCTTGTTAGAAATGCAAATTCTTGACCAACCCAGATCTACTGAATCGGAATCTCTAAGGGAGGGGGTCAAGCAAGCTGTTTTTAATAAGCCCTTCAGGTGATTCTTATACTGTACAGCCATACCGCAGGGATATTGTGGGCTTAGTTCCATATCACTGCAGTAAACTGAATATCACAATAGAGTGAGTCACACACATTTTTTTGTTTCCCATTGCATATAAAAGTTATGCGTTTTGGCCGGGTGTGATGTGACAGGCCTGTAGTCCCAGCTACTTGGATCACTTGAGCTCAGGAGTTTGAGGCTGCAGTGAGTCATGATTGCACCACCGCACTCCAGCCTGGATGACAGCATGAGACCCCATTTCTTAAAAAAAAAAAAAAAAAAAAAAAGCTGTGTTTATACTATACTGTAGTCTATAAAATGTGTAATAGAATTGTCTAAAAAACATACATACCTTAATTAAAAATATTTATTGCTAAAAAATGCTAACGATCATCTCAGCTTTCAGCAAGTCATAATCTTTTTGCTGGTAGAGGGTCTTGCCACAATGTTGATGGGTGCTGACCAATCAGGGTAGTAGTTACTGAAGGTTGGGGTGGCTATCGCAATTTCATAAGATAATAATGAAGTTTGCTGCATTAGTTGACTCTCCCTTTCATAAAAGATGTCTCTATAGCACATGATGCTATTTGATAGCATTTTACCCACAGTATGACTTCTTTCAAAATTGGAGTCAGTCCTCTCAAACCCTGCTTTATCAATTAAGCTTCTGTCATATTTTAAATCCTTTGTTGTCATTTTGACAGTGTTCATAGCATCTTCACCAGGAGTAGATTCCATCTCAAGAAACCACGTTCTTTTCCCGTCCATAAGAAACAACTTCTCATTAGTTAAAGTTTTCTTATGAGATTGCAGGAATTGAGTCACATCTTCAGACTCCCCTTCTAATTCTAGTTCTCTTACTGTTTCCACCATATCTGCAGTTATTTCCTCCGTTGAAGTCTGAAATCCCTCAAAGTCATCTGTGAGGGCTGGAATCATCTTTCAAACTCCTATTCATGTTGATACTTTGATCTCCCATGAATCACGAATGTTCTTAATGGCATCTAGAATGATGAATCCTTTCCAGAAGGTTTTCAATTTACTTTGCCTAGATCCATCAGAGGAATCACTATCTATGGTAGCTATAGCCTTATGAAATATATTTCTTAAATAAGACTTAAAAGTCAAAGTTACTCCTTGATCAGTGGGCTGCAGAATGGATGTTGTGTTAGCAGGCATGAAAACAACATTAATCTCCTTGTACATCTCCATCACAGCTCTTGGGTGATCAGGTGTGTTGTCAATGAGCAATAATATTTTGAAGGAATCTTTTTTTTTCTAAGCAGTAGATCTCAATGGTGGGCTTAAAATAAACCATGCTGTAAACAGATGTGCTGTCATCTAGGCTTTATTATTTATAGAAAACAGGCAGAGGAGATTTAGCATAATTCTTAATGGCCCTAGAATTTTCAGGATGGTAAATGATTATTGGCTTCAACTTGAAGTCACCAGCTGCTTTAGCCTCTAACAAGAGAGTCAGCCTGTCCTTTGAATCTTTGAAGCCAGGCATTGACTTCTCTATAGCTATGAAAGTCCTAAATGGCATCTTCTTCCAAAAGGAGGCCATTTCATCTCCATTAAAAATCTGTTGCTGGCCGGGCTCGGTGGCTCATGCCTGTAATCTCAGCACTTTGGGAGGCCGAGATGGGCAGATCACGAGTTCAGGAGTTTAAGACCAGCCTGGCCAACATAGTGAAACCCCATCTCGACTAAAAATACCAAAAATTAGCCTGGCTTGGTGGTGGGAGCCTGTAATCCCAGTTACTTGGGAGGCTGAGGCAGGAGAATGGCTTGAACCCGGGAGGCGGAGGTGGCAGTGAGCTGAGATTGCACATTGCACTCCAGCCTGGGTGACAGAGCGAGACTCCATCTCAAAATAAATAAATAAATAAATAAAAAATAAGTCTGTTGCTTAGTGTAGCTACTTTCATGAATGATGTTAGCTACATCTTCTAGGTAGTTTACTACAGCTTCTATATCAGCATTTGCTGCTTTCCCTTGCACTTTTATGTTATGGAGATGGCTTCTTTCTTTAAATCTTGTGAACCAACCTCTGCTACCTTCCAACTTTTCTTCTCTAGCTTCCTCACCTCTCTCAGCCTTCATAGAACTGAAGAGAGTTAGGGTTGCTCTGAATTAGGCTTTGGCTTAAGGGAACATTGTGGCTTGTTTGATCATCTATCCAGACCACTTCATATCAGCAATAAGGCTGTTTTATTATCATTTGTGTGTTTACTGGAGTAGCACTTTTAATTTCCTTCAAGAACTTTTCCTTTGCATTCACAACTTAGCTAACTGGCTCAAGAGACCTAGCTTTTGGCGTATCTTGGCTTTCAACATAACTTTCTCACTAAGCATAATCATTTCTAGCTCTTGATTTAAAGTGAGAAACAGGTGACTGTTCCTTTCACTTGAACACTTAGAGGCCATTGTAGGATATTAATTGGCCTAGTTTCATGTTGATCATATTCTTTATGTTGTCATGGTTCTGTCATAATTCTTTTAGTTCTATGTTTTAATAGTTTTGGTGCTCATTACCAGTACTGTTGCTTCTCCATTCCCGAGTTAGTCCATCTCCTGATTGAATTTCATTGTCAGGCAGTCTTTTCAAGTTACAGGTACTGCATGCATTCTTTGGGTTCTTATACACTTCATTGATTCAAAATATTTGTCTTTTGTTTTTATATTACTTGAAGGATTACTTGGCTCGGTATAAAATTTATCAGTCACACTTTTTTCCCCCTCAACTTTGTAAATGTTGTTCCATAATCTCCTAGTGTTTGATTGGCTGGATTTCTTTGTCCAATGTTTTCTCCTTTTATTAGGAAGAATTTGTGAGTATTATAGTCTCTGAGTTTCAATGCTTGCTGTTTTCTTTAATGCTTGAGAATGTCTGTCTATTGCTTTCGTTCCTGAAAAATAACTTGTTTGGGAACACTTTCATTAGAACTTTGTGGTCACTGTTTTATTATTTTGGGACATCTAGTGTTACTGTAGAAAAGTCTGATTTTTCTCCCTCCCTCCTTGAAGGCACTTTTTTTTTTTTAATCTAAAATGCCTGAGAGTTTTCTTCTTTATTTTTGAAATTCAGTAATATAAACAAGGTATATCTAAGTGTCACTTATAATCATTTTTCCCTAAATTATAATATGCCCTTAGTTCTTCTAAGAACATTTTCCTTGTTTGTTACCATGAATACTTTTTTTTGGTCAAATTATTAGATCCTCTACTTCATGACACCAGTTTTTTTAATACTGAATTTTCTTTTGTTCTTCGTATGTATTCTAATTGCTTTGATTTGTCTTTTACCTTTGCATTTACTGTGATCATCTGAAGCCTTTCTTTTTGTCAATAATTCTGTTTTCTCCAGTATCTGTCCTGTTTTTGATATTTTAAATGAATTAATTGGTTAAGTCATTGTGTTATATAGGCTCTAAGTTTCTTTAGCACTACAAACTGCATTTTCATCTTATTCTGCTTCTTGCTTTTGAGCTTGTTTATTATAAGGTTGTATTGTTTTCAAGTTCTTCATTATGATGAAGTTGTTGAGAATTTTCTTTAGTTTTTATTGGGTTATGTATCCTTCCAGAATGGGTTCTTTGCCACTTGTATGCCCTATTCATTTCTTCATTTTGTGTTCTTTCTTGCTTTTTATTCCCTGTATGTGTGTATTTCTTTTTGTCAGGCTGTAATACATATGCATACAAGTTTCTTCTTGATATGGGAGAACTTCTATGTGGTGCTGATGGGAAATATTTTTAATACTCCACTCTCCTTACCCAAGTTTGTTTTTCTCCTGAGCCCTAGTTTGAAAGCTGTATATTGTTGGAGTGGAGGGAAAGAGAAGGGAAAAGTGGTGATTCAGAGAGCCAAATGGGGCAATGTGGCTTTTAGGCTCTGCTCTCTTGAAGTACCAAGTATTTCACTCTTGGGTCTGCCCAACTGCTTATGAATAAAATTCCTTTGCCTTGTATGGGGACATCATTCGACCTCAGACCTCTCATTTCTCTTTGTTCTGAGCCCTAGAATGTGACCTGACCTTCTCCTTCCCAAAGCATGGAGATGGTTAAAACTCACTCTTGAAATTTTTTTGTTGACTTTTCCCTCTGTTGCTTATTCATTCCTCGGCTCTACTTTTTGCCATTTTGGAGTGTATTTCTGGTAAGTGTTTAGGATTTTGTAAACTATTTCCCTACAACCTCTTATTGGAGGTAGGGGTAGAGTTGGGAATGACCATCAATCACATATAACTTTGTTTCTTATTTTGACTATCAGTCTTCAAAATTTATGGCAGGCCCTTTTATATTTGGTTGCTGCTAATAAAATGTTGGCCTTTTTGTTTTATTTTTTATTTTTATTTTTTGTTTTATTAGATTTTGAAGAAGGGAGATTCTAAAATGTAGTTCAGGTTTTCTCAGTGTCAGCACAAATAACATTTTGGGTTGGATAATTATTTGTTGTGAGGGGGTTGCCCTGTGCAGAGTAGGATATTTAACAACATCCCTGGCTTCTACCCACTAGATGCCAGTAGCATTCCCCTAGTTAAGACAACCAAAAACATCTTCAGACATTGCCAAATATTCCCTGGGGAGAAAAGCACCCTGGTTTGAGAGCCACTAATCAATTTTGTTCATTCATCTTTACTCCTCCTAAATACCTACATCCAAATTTTAAATAGATCTTTCTCATGTAGTCTGGCAAGTATTATATCAAAGATAAATACCAGTTTTAGAATAAAGCATTAATATACTCTTACATTTCAACTTAAGAGGCAAATATTAACAGTAGGATTTGTAAACTATTTATTAGACTAAAAATCAATGAATTTTTAAAAATTACAAAATGATTTATGTATGTTAGATATTTTACTGAGTGAAAAAATTCATGCTTTTTTAAATGACTTATTGTTTGGAGTAGTGATACAGTAGATTTAATTTTCCCCCTCATTAATTAAAATCATGTTTTAGCCAAGAAAGTGAACAGAATTCTTATTGGCAATTCAGTTGTTTCCCATTTTGGAGACTGACACTCTCCAGTTCTAAGTTAAATAATTGTCATGGTAAAGTAATTTCCTTGAAAAGAACGGACATTGATTCAGCCCCTGTTACTCACAAATCCTATTTGAGTCAAATTGGAAAACTATTACGTTTTTGGGAAAAAAATCAATAGGTATCAGGAAACCATTAGATCTTGTGGCCCTTGCTATATCTTGCATGAGTAATCACTGTAAACAGCTGACCGGTATTTCATTGTTGACACAGAGTGATGCTTGGGGGACCACATCTTGTCAGAGCAGGTGGACAGCTTTAGACGTTGGAATGAGTTTGATTATCCTTGTTTTTCTCCTACACTCATTCTTTTAGACAGCCCTGTCACTAACTGGGCCTGTGATGCTTTCAAAAATCAAATACTTTCCTTGCTGTCAGTTTTCTTTTTCTTGCGTTGTGGCATACTAATCAGGGTATGTGGTTTGGTACTGAACCAATTTCTGTCAAAAGCAAGTTTTAATTTATTATTTAGGAAAAATTTTTCCTAAGACCCAGGTTTTATACAGTCCTAAATAAATAGTGTGAGGAATAATTAGTAATGCCATAGAGTATATAATTTTACTTCTAGTTCTACACAGATTACAAGTAAATTTTTTTTGGGCAAGTGATTTTGGAATTATCTATGTTTTGTTTTCCTTTTCCTTTAGAGTGATAATTCACTATTTATGATTGAATGATTATCATATTAAAGAGGTGAGAAAATAAAAATAAGTCTGATGTGCACAAAGCCATACTGCTCAAATTGTTTGATAATATCTGTTAATTAAATTATTATGGCATCGGTAGAAGAATGATGTTTTGTTTATATGTGGTTAGAATTGGTCTTTTTTAAAGGAAATAACGAGAGATGGAAATGGAATGGGTATAAATAGTAAAAGGTTCTATCACTATAATTCCCTTTTGCTATAAATAGTTAAAGCTTCTATCACTATAATTTCCATAAGAAGATATATGTGTTTACCTGTTAATTTTATCAGGGCAAATTAAAACATGGATAGAATCATGTTTCTCAGTGTGAAGAAATATTTTTATTTGATGAATATTATATATTTTCAGGTGCAGTGGCTTCTATGTTTTGGGTTGATGCTGAATTAGGGAGTGATATTTACCTTGATGGTAAGTTAAAAAACAGTTTTCTTTTATCTTTCTTGGTTTTTTTTTTTGTTTTTTTTTTTTTTTTCTGAGACAGAGTCTCACTTTGTTGCCCAGACTGGAGTGCATGGAGTGCAGTGGCATGATCTCGGCTCACTGCAATCTTTACCTCCTGGGTTCAAGTGATTCTCCTGCCTCAGCCTCCCGAGTAGCTGGGACTACAGGCGTGCACCATCGTACCTGGCTAATTTTTGGATTTTTAGTAGAGACGGGGTTTCGCCATGTTGGCCTGACTGGTCTTGAACCCCTGACTTCAGGTGATCCGCCAGCCTCGGCCTCCCAAAGTGCTGGGATTACAGGCGTGAGCCACCACACCCTGCCTCTTTTGTTTTTTAGTAAAATCTTTATGGTTAAGCTTATTGTTGTTCATTCATATTATAACTTTAATTCCTTGCATTGTTGTTCTTTTCACACTTTAGTTTAATGATGAAATCTTTGTTCATATAGATTAAAAAACCCCAAACAGTGGTGGAAATCGATGTCACTCAACTTCCAATTTAGTGCTTCCACTAAGGTTTTCTTTAAAAAAAAAAATGCTTTGTAGGTTTTCTGTATCCTCTGTTGTTTGATTTATGCCCTTAATATAATGTTAGAGCCTTTTATTTTAATCCTCCAGGCAATATGAGGATCATATTTTTGCTTTTATTTTCTCTTGAAGATAAGAATTAAACACTCCTCCCTTACTTTATTTACCTGAACACTTTTGGGCAATGATATGCCTTCATTTAAAATATATTAGAAACTTTCTTAGTTAAGCGACTATGTTTTCTCCCTTTCTCTTTCCCTTTTTCACCTTTTTAAAAACCAGTCGAAATTTTCTTACTTTTTCAAAAGTAATAATCATTAAGAAATTTAAGAATTATTAAGCTGGGCCCCATCATTGAGCTCTAATATATGTGGCGGGTAACTGGTTGAATTCCTTAGCATAATTAAACTCATTCTTTTGTTATCAGCATATATTCAGAGATTGCAAAATGAATTGGTAGTTTGGAAACTTAGGCATATGTTATGTAAAACATTTATGAGCTGGATTTGGATTTGGATTTGGTGAGAGATGTTAGGAATGATACCTTAAGATGTCTCATTCTTTAGGCAATAATTTAAATCTTAAGAAAAGTCTTGATTTTGATTATGTGAAAATAAACTAGAAATAACCTGTCTTATGTACTTATCACATTTGACTATGTTATGAAATTTGACTTATATTTTGGATTGTAAGCTTTTTCAGTGCCAAGGAAATCTTATTTTCTTATTTATTTAATTTAAAATTTTTATTTGTTTTATATCTTCTCTAGTGCCTTAAAATAGTGCTAGCCACTCAGGAAATGCATTGACTTATTACTGGAATTTAATTAAATGGCAGCACTGGCAAGAGAAAAAAACAGTACATTGTTTTATTGAGTAGTATTTGTGAACTGAAATAGGTTAGTTTTAATTTTCATTCTGAAGTATGGTTGCACAAGTATTAATAAGCATTCTTTTTAAAAAGTGATTAAAATGTTTTTTCCTTTGTAGGTATCATAACTATTGTGGATTCAAAATATGGATTAAAAGTAAGTTGAAAGATTGCTATGAGTGGCTCATTATTGAGAGCTGGGAATATGGGGATTGATTGTTTAATTTTCTTTATGTTTGTATCTGAAATTTTCTTTAACAAAAACCTTTCTCAAAAAGATATCCTGAACAATAGGTGAAATTTGTGTTTTAATTATTAGTTTGTGTTAAATATTTCTTTTCTATTACTCTGAGTTTGATTTGGTGATAAAATTTGGAATTATAATTTGTAATAAGCATATGGGGTTAGGATAGAGTTTGGTATGTATAGCTCTTCACAAGGATTCAACCCCAATATTGCTAAGTTTTTCTGTTCCATAGAAGAAGCTGAGCTTGATAAAGCATCTGAGATCTTATTTTTCTTGTTAAATTACTATTAAACACACACTGGAAATGAGTTTTTAAAAAATATTGAAGACCTAGGTGATGGGTTAATAGGTGCAGGAAACCACCATGGCACCCGTTTACCTATGTAACAAACCTGCACATCGTGAGCATGTACCCTGGAACTTAAAATTTAAAAAGTACATATTGAAGAAAATCAGGATATACACATAGGATTAGTAAGAAGACTCTCTCCATTAAAAGGCATCTTGCATCGCTTCTTGGTCTTTTGGCTAAGATCAAGTGTAAAAGACATCCTGCTATGAATGTTTTTGTTAACTTCTAAGGTCCTAGAATGCATTTAAATGAGGTTTAATTTATAAAATGCATTTAGTAAGATCTTTAAAAGTATGTTGTTACATACAGTAAAATGATGTTTCTCAACTTCCCAGGTGAAATACCACTAAAGGCAGAAGAGAATGAAATCATCCCACCCACTGACCCGTTCCCAATCTGAGCATATGGATAGGGCCCAAAGCAGTAAGTTCTTAGAAGTTTAAATTCAGTGTTTAAAAATTAGTGTCTGTTTTGTATCCAACCTCATATCTGAACGTGTTAATTTTTTTTTTTTTTTTGAGACAGAGTCTCACTCTGTTGCCCAGGCTGGAGTGCAGTGGCACCATCTTGGCTCACTGCAACCTCCACCTCCCAGCTTCAAGCGATTCCCTTGTCTCAGCCTCCTGAGTATCTGGGATTACAGGTGCACACCACCATGCCCAGCTAATTTTGTATTTTTAGTAGAGACAGGATTTTACCATGTTGACCAGCCTGGTCATGAACTCCTGACCTCAAGTGATCCACTTGCCTCGGCCTCCCAAAGTGCTGGGATTACAGGCATGAGCCACCACGCCCTGCCTGAACTTGTTAATGTTTAAGTTTGCTTTTTTTTCCCAAATCTTTGCTGAAATTATGCTCTAAGGGGATATGTCAGGTTTGTCAAATAGCTACCAATACCTCTTCACTGGGCCTTCTCTCCCTCGTTGATAGAGTGCCCTAATTTGAAAAGTTTGGAAGAAAACTCCTTTTTTAGAGTTTAAAATCTCAATTTATGAATTTATGAATATAATTTAAGAATCAAAGAATGATCCCAAATACAGTATTACAGTTTCACGCAGAAAAATTCCAATGACTGTTGGAAATCATATTTCTTGCAAAATGCTTATGGAGGTAGCAAAAAAGCCCCAAATTATTCATTTTGAATGTTTATTATAGGCATGTTTGAATCTACCTCTTCCATAAATTTATTACAAAATTTGATATACCTATGTGACAGATAACTGCTAAGACATTTTGTTTTTTTTTTATTTTGATAGACTGAAAATGCCATGCTAAAAGTCAAACTGTTTATGTATTTTATGATTATAGGAAAAATTTTATATGTATAGTTGGGTATGGAGAAGAGTTAAATAGAATCTATTATCAGCATGACGGAGGCCAAAAAAACAAAGCAACATTCTGAATAATGCAAACACAGTAAACGTTTAACCTTCTGCTACCTTGATAAAACCTCTTAAATTATTAAATCAGTATACCTACACAAAACTGACACACTGTCAGGATAATGGAAACTTTAAATTTTCTAAGTCGGATGCCAGATAAATAACTTTGCCTTGATATAAAGAATTTTCCAACTTGTCCAATTCCTCTGGTTGCAAAGCTTGACCTCAGTAGCTGCTTGTGATTCAGAGAATTCTGAGGCAGTACAAGTAATGACACTTGGATAATGGGCAGCAATTTAAGAATGTCATGCTTCACAGAGCCAGCCCATGACAAGTAAAGCTGAGAAATGGTACCCTGTGGCCAGCCAGCCAAATTGAAACTGAAGTGGTAATTGATATCATGGGGTATCACTCTAATGGGATTGTCACCCATTGATCTGAAATATTCATTTTTTAATCATAGGCAAAGAATTGGACAACTTAAAATGACAGCTCTCTATTCTGAGGACTTGACACCCGGGCTACTGACATTGTTCTTTTCAGTTCTACAAATGTGACAGCATTTAATGCAATAGAAGCAATGAATGAAGTTACCCAGAGAAGGTCAAGTGAGAGGTTTCTTCTTGGTTCCTCTGTTATATTGCACAATCTGTTGAAACAATTCAGTCAGAAAACAGTTAGCTTGGAAAAGGCCAGAACAATAAATAGACTGACATTATGCAATAATTTTTTAAAAACTAAAATAGTGTTACATCTGTAACCAATCCATTTGAAAGAAATAGTTCCTGCTGCTGCTTTTTAAAAATGACACCAGACATCTTTGACACTAGATTTATTTCCACTCTGGTCAACAGCAGTGTTCTTTCATAGCCAGTGGGTTTTAAGATAGTTTTTTCTTTTCTTTCTTTCTCTTTTTTCGGTCCGGCTTCTTTCTTTATTTCTGCAGAAAAGGACACCCTATAGCCCTTCATGAAGTTAGGTCTACAGTGGTGTTATTTCAGAGAGTTCCTTTGTTTCTCTCTCTAACCCCCCAGCTTTATTGAGGTATAATTGACAAGTAAAAACTATATATATTTAAGGTATACAGTGTGTGAATTACATTATCAAACAATCGAGCTAGTTAACCTATCCATCACCTCACATTGCTATTTTTTTGAGAGGGGGTGGTAAGAACAATTAAGATCTATGTTTTAGCAGATTCAAGTATACAATAGAATTAACTACAGTCATCATGCTGTAATTAGCTCTCCATGACTTATGCATCTTGTATAACAAACTTTGTATTCTTTGACCAACATCTCACACCACTCCCTTTTAATTTCCTTTGTTTCTTGTGGTAAGTTAAATTGGGGTTTTGATCCTTAGCCTTTTGAATATGTTGGATTAATTAGTATCAAAATTATTTTTGTCTTTTTTGATATATAAGCAAAAGCCATAGTTGTTAAGCAGAGATAAGGAATACTTTGGACATCTATGTAATATAAAATATTTAAAAAATATTTTGCAAAAATTTTTTCTTCATTTACTTATACAGGTGGAATAGAATGCCAAACTTTCCATTTTGTTTTATTTTATAAATGAAAGTCATCTGACTTAATGACCAAATGGTATATAATGTATTATTGGAGAATGTTCTTTTGAATAGAAGACATTGATTTTATACTTTTTGCAGAGTTTGATTTGGGAAGGTAGGAAGTCACATGAGGGAAATGCAGGGCTGATATCTAAAGAAAATAAATGTTAAGATGCACTTATTTTTTTAAATATTTGTATAGCTTTCCTATGGGCATAGAAGAGGACATTTATCTCTTCTGCTATAATTGTATATGATTACATATAATTTTAATACAGCTGTAAATATTGGCAGGCTCTCATTTGGGGTGATTTTCATTTATTTTTATATTTGATACTTTCTGACTGCCTGGAAGTAGTAAAACGTTAGTCTACCACTGTTAGCTTTGAGTGAAGAATTCTAATATTTTGGAGAGGTAAATGCATTTAAAACATTGCACATTACCTTGTGAAACTAACATTGTATTAGTTACATTTAGGCATGGAAATGCAAAAACAAATCTGTAATTCTTCTGTCATATCATTTTTATGCCTCACAAACTCATAGCCAAATAACCCCAATTTCATATGTTAAAAAAGCTTTCATAAGGTCAATAATATAATATCTTGAAAAATATTTCAGTTTAAAAAGAATTTTCAGTACTATAGGATCATTCAGAGGCAGATGCCTTGCCAAAAATATATCATTGTTAAGTAGATTTACTGCTTAATGGGAAGAGATTTGTTGCTGCATGTTAGATGGCATTTTTCATGTAACATCTTTTATGTATCCCCACAACAGGAGGTGTTAATTACAATTCATTCAACAAATATTTCTTGAGCCTTTGTGCCAGGCACCATTCCAAGGTCTGTTAGCAGCCTCATTCTCTAGAGGCAGAGTATATAACAATAGGACTTGTTGTAGCCTCAGGCCAAGATGAATTATGAAAAAAATATTAAACTTGATCTTTTGGCATGGAATGATTTTTGATACAATACTTGTCAAGTTCTGTGACTTCCATAATTGCAGAGTGGGTCTGCAGTTGAATTGAACAAGATTTTGCCTGAAGTAGAAGTATCATTGCCATGATTTTATTTCAGTTTTGTTTTCCTCAAAATAGAATTTGCTGAACTTTTAGAAGGAAAAAATGTTTCTTCTATAGACCTAATCAAGCTTGTTAAATAAAATTATTACCTGCTTGCTCTGAGGTTCCAAACTATTCAGATACCCCTAATGATCATCTCCCCATGAATTATGAAACTGGTTTGGCTCTGATATATGGTTATTGACATTTGTGTAGCATTGTACACAGGCTGATTTTATGTGGCATAAAAGATTTCACAAAGGCTTTAAAATTATGTTCATTTTACTTGATGGGTGTGTGTTCAATTAAAAAAAAAAGTCCCTGTGATTGCATATAAAATATAGTATCCTGTGATGATGAGGGTGTTAGATTTAGTTTCTTCCTTTATAAATGAAAATAGCCATCTCCCATAATTATTATGAAAGCTAAATGAGAAAAATGTATATAATTTATAAAGTTAGATTCAAGGATTTAATTCATTTGTAAAGTTGGCTTCAAATATAGAGTATTACTATAATCTAGTTGCCTCTAAACCTCAGTAGCCAGCTTTTTATTGTGACAGGGAACCTCTATTGAGGTTTGAGGTAATGAGGGTAAAAGTGTAATTTCCCAGAGAAGAAGCTTGTGATGTTGATGACGTTAGGGATGTAAACAGGATTATGAGGGGGAAAAAAAAAAACAGACAACAAAACTTGCCTCCAGAGAGATGGAAACTACCACTTGGGCTCTAAGTCAGTGTCAAAATATTTTTTGGAGTTAGCCTGACTCTGGAGAGGTCAGTAAAATAAACAGTTGCACTGAGAGGCCAGATTAGCAAGTATGGGTTTCTAAATGATAAACTGCTTTTAGGCTAGAATCAGGGCTGAATCAGCCTTCCCACCACTTATTTGTTTCTAGGGTGTTTGAAAGGCCTAGTACTGAGTTCACGTGGTGCATGATTGTGGGCTGGGGTGTAGGGAAGTATTTTAGATTCTAATATGGGGGTTTGGTGTGAAGGGAAGTATATTAGATTCTAAGAAACTATATTTCAGTGGTTATCCTTTTTTTAAAATAAGTAATAATGAATATTTAGAACCAGAACAGTTTTGTAAGAAGGAAAATACCTAAAATCTGAACTGTAATCTTCTATGTTTTTATGACATTATGTGAATCAAAGGGGTTTTCCTTTTAAGTAAAAGAAAAGGTCAGGAGTATGAAATCCTAAGCCCTCTTCCTCCCCCTATAAAACCCCACAGGTTCACTTGTAGAAAAAAATTGCAAATGGGGAAGAAAAATGCTTTCAGCTAGAAAAGTTAGTTTTGGATTTGTGTATTCAGTAACAGAACATGTTGAAGTTTTTATTAAATGCAAGAAAATGTCTCTAAAGTAAAATCCTTTGTGTTGACATTAGATTTTTTATTGTATTATAGTAACTTTATTCAAACTTTTTTTTGTTTAGCATTTAACAGAAGAGAAACCTGATGGCCTTATCAATGAAGCTACTAGGTATTCATATTTAAAGTATATATTGATTGCTGGCTAATCGTAAAGAGAAAAATCACTAAGATGAAAACCAAAAACAAACTAAGAAATTTTAAAACATAGTCAAGGAAAATTTGTTTTCTTTTTTTCCCTTAGTTGAATTATTGCTATCTATTTATAATGATCTCATAACTAAACTTTTACTTGAAGTCATTTTTGTCGTAGCATAAAGTGAATGCTGAACACAGGAGTTCTGTAATTTTGAGGAACTCGGGAAATATTAACATTTAAAAATATTTTCTTGTTATACAATTTCTTTGGGATTGAAGATTATATATATATATATATATATATATATATATATATGTATAATAATAATTATTATTATTATTTTTTGAGACAGAATCTCACTCTGTCACCCAGGCTGAAGTGCAGGCTCACTGCAACCTCTGCCTCCCAGGTTCAAGCGATTCTCCTGCCTCAGCCTCCCAAGTAGCTGGGATTACAGGCACCCGCCACCATGCCCAGCTAATTTTTGCATTTTTTTATTTTATTTATTTTATTTTATTTTATTTTATTTTAGTAGAGATGGGGTTTCACCATGTTGGCCAGGCTGGTCTCGAGCTCCTGACCTCAGGTGATCCACCCGCCTCGGCCTCCCAAAGTGCTGGGATTACAGGCATGAATCCACTGCGCCTGGCGGAACTTAAGTATTTTTGTAACTTTTTTCCTTATGAAAATATGGTTATTATAGAAAATATAAATAAGCCAAATAGAAAATAGCCAAATTGGATTTGTGATGTACATACTGTTGAAACCTGCTCTTTCAGTGAACTAAAGTTAATTTAGTTTTGAGAATTTAGTTGTATTCTTTGAGATAAAGCATAAGACCCTGAATAATTGAGGAAAATTGAAAGAATTTCCAGTTTTACTATCCTGTTAATAGAAAATAGAGCTTCTGATTATTATCATCTACTTTGTTATCTAGCATTCAGTCAACTGGATTCTTTACAGAGATAATATACAGTATATTTATAGTGATAAAGAAGACATTTGTGCAATATCCTGATATATCTTCTGAAGTATAGCTTATTTTTTTTAAGAAATGGAGTCTTGCTATGTTGCCCAGGTTGGACTTGAACTCCTGGGCTTAAGGGATCCTCCCTCCTCAGCCTCCTAAGTAGCCAGGACTACAGGTGTGCTCTACCATGCCCAGCTCTGAAGTATAGTTTTAAAAAACCTGTTTAATACAGTTTTTAGTATTAAGTGAAGTTATTCTATTTCTTTGAAAATTTTGGTAAATATTACAGTATTTTAGTAGGTAAACTCTTCTTCTTTTTACCATATTGGATATCTGAATTTTATGCTTTTCTTCACAAAGAAAATTATGAGTTTAAAATCATCCTTTTGATTGTAAACTTTTTGAGACTTATCTTTGTAGCACAAGAGTAGCAAGTAACAGAACTTAGTAAATACTTTGCAAATGGGTAATGTGAAATCTGAACTTGCATAGTAATGAATACAATTCATTCACATTGAAAAATTAGCGGATTAGGAGTAAACTGAATCACTCCTATAGAGCACTATATAATCCTTAACTGATATATTGATCTACATGAGGTGTTTTTATTTATTTTTAATTTGTTAACATTTCTCTTTTGATGTATTAATCTGCATGCGTGTATATTATTTAAAATTTCTTAACATTTCTTTTTGTTTGCTATTTTAGGCAAGTTGCTTTGGCAGATATCATTCTCATTAATAAAACAGACTTGGTTCCAGAAGAAGATGTAAAGAAATTAAGAACGACAATTAGGTACAAAATGATAAGTGTGTTAAGTGCCTACAGATCCATATTGTATACACAGAATATTTTTTACTCTGATTGTTGCCCTGTAGAAACTTAAGGTATAAGGTTGACCTGCTTCAAGAACGTTAGGGAATCACATATATTGTTGATGGCTAATTGTTATATAAATGGTAATACATAAAATTAGTCCCCAGTGCTTGCAGAATATAGTTCACAGTTAATAGACTGATATTCAGGGTCTTCGCACTCCATCTTTCTTTTCCTGTCTTCTCTTTGACTCTTTCCTAATGTCAGTCTTCCCTAACTTTACCCAGGATGGTTAATTCACTTTCCCATGGATGCATCCTGTCAGTTCCTGTCTTTACTCATAATGTATTCTCACTCTGCCAATCCCTGAGTTCTTTCTTGTTCTGTTTTTTTTTTTTTAATTTATTCTATAGAGCCTATTCTGTCTCTCCCCGCTTCCTATGTGAAGTCTTCCCTGACTCAAGTGGTCTCAGTTTTCCCTGAACTCTTGTTGACTTCATCTTCCTTAACTGTCAACCATGCATTGTCTTCCAGCTTGCTTGTATATCTTCTTTGTCCATAGCCAAGGCTGATCAGCATAGGACAATCAGGACAATATGAATGATGCTCAAATATGTGCTAACAGTCATTTTGCTGACTGTTCTGGAGACTCCCATTCCTTTTGAAAACAAAGATGGACTTTTCAAATGAAGTTATAGTTCAGGGACTTTGTTTTGAATTATTTTGTAAGACCTGAACTAATAAAAGCCCTATACAGAGAGACATTCGGTAGCTATTATTATTGGTTATCTTTAATGTGTACAATGCTTTGAGCGTGATGGCTCAAAATTACTATTCTTAGTATTTATAAGTTCTACTGACTAGATTTTCAATCTGTCATCTCAGTTCATATAGTATATATTATAAATTGAATCAATAAAGGTAAGGCTCATTAGGAGATTATTTGCCATGATTAATGATTGTGGAAGAAAGAAATTCATATTTTTTCCACATATTTCATCTTATTTTAATAGTAATGTCCTTAAACTTTACTATAAAAAAATATAATGTCTCCATGTGGAGGGTAGGTATTGTTGCCTAGTGTTGAAGATCACAGACCTTGGAATCTGCTTGGGTTCTAATCCTTGGTCTGTTTCTCATTGTCTTCTTAGGGAGCTTATTTACCCTTTTAAAGCCTCCTCTGTAAAAGGCATAATGCCTATCATAAGTTTGCTTTGAGTATTACATGAGACAATGTTGGTAAACTTTGCACAGTGCTGACACATAGTAAGTGCTCTGTTAGCTATTATTATGTAATTTTTTTCTTAGCTTACATAGTAAGTTCAAGGTATAGTAAAAAAGGGAAGAAAGAAAAAGATGGCTGATTTTGAAAAGGAGAAAGTGATGAATGAAGATTGCTTTTACATTTTTTGACACTGGTCTTCTAATCTTGTTTCTCTTCATAAATCTTGTGCACCATTGTGATTGCTAAGAAGAACACAATCTATTTAGCAAACGTTTTTGGCATAAAAGGAATGATAATTATTACTTGACTTTTATATCCTTATAGAGACCTAAGCTAAATCTCTGACACTGACAATATTGACTATTAGCCAGCTTGTTAACAGTACTAGAAATGAATTTGGTAGAAGCAATTTGGTAAATTACACACCCTTTTGGCTTTTACCCTCCGTTTATATCAGACTTGTGACTGACTCAGAATGATATTTGGGGAGGTGAAAAAAGGTAAACATGTTTGAGAGGAATTAGCCATCAGACTAGAGTGTATTCAAAAAAGAAGATTTAAGAATTTTGTAAAATAGTGGAGAGACTTGCCTCAGAATCATTATATGTGGGAAGCCTTACCCATGAGAACAAACTTGAACAAGTAGCAAGAATCTTGGGTAAGTAACCCTAAAGACAATTGAATTCATGATAGAGAATTGATGATTGATGATAGGCAATGGAAAAGATAAATAGATGAGGTGTACAGTGTGTTGAAAAGAATTTAACAGGTACTTTTTGGTTCCATACAAAGCCATATTCTATAGTATCAAAAGAGGGAGAACAGGCATAACGGGTAGAGAGCCTAATTAGGGAACTGACGAGGTTATTCTATAAAGGAACCTGGGATGTGTGACTTAGAATTACTGTGAATACTAAGGACAGGCTGGGGGCAAAGCAACTTACAACTAGGTTTTTATTTTTAGTGTGTATATAGCCATTTCTACCATGTATGCCTGAGGAAAAAAGTGACCACCGTAAAAATTTTGAGTATCTACTCATTTTTAAGAACACTGGGATAACTGACTATTTATGAATGATTTTTTCTAAAGTGAAGCGTCTTTTTATTAACCACAAAGTAGCCCTTAATCTGACAGTTGTGTGAATTTTTGCATATATGTTTTATTGATGTATGAGTGGAATATATGTGATTTATTGTTTGAAGGAAAATCATAATTATTTTTTAAAGCAAGTTTTGTTTTTCTGTTTTTAATTTTTTTCTGGTTCCAGATGTATTTGGGTATGCTTATTTCCCGTTTTAGAAACAATATACTTTGTATACTTTTTTAAAAAGTTAATTTTTACTTTTAAACTTTGTCTTCCTCATTTATTATTTATTTCAGATCCATAAATGGACTAGGACAAATCTTAGAAACACAAAGATCAAGGTACTTTAAAAAAGCTATTCCTATTAATAACAAATCATTTTAGTTATTAATAATAAACATTAAGTAATTGACAAATATGCTTGATTCTGATATAAGAAAGATCTAAGTGCATTTAAAAAGATTTGGATCCAAAATGTTGTTTGGAATGCTCTTAATAAGTTAGTTTGGCATATTTGACTAGTACATTTGCCTGTCTTCAAAACTAAGATTACAAAGCCATGATAACACTGTGTAAGTGTTTGCTTAATGAGGAAGAAAAGACTTCCAAACACTCGAGAGGGTAACTCAGTACAGAAATCTGAAGTATATTGAGGAATCTTAATTTGAAGTGTTTAAATGGCTTTTTAATATTTAAAAAGCCTTCTTAGTGTTTTATAGTTGCCAAAAAATACATGGAGTCTTTACCTTGAAGTTCCTGACAAATTCTTTTATTAAATTTTGACTTTCATTTTCTCTAGGTTCTGTTCCTAAAACATCTGTGAAGTGTATTTCTGTAGATTAAATTCTGTTTTCCATTGAATGTTATCTTAATTTCAGAAAATTTCTGTGCAGGGTTATTTTATTAAGCTCATTTTTTTTTTTTTTTTTTTTTTTTTTTTTTTTTTTTTTTTGGTGAGAAAGGCTCAGCAGCTGATAGACTCAGCAACAGGCAGCCAGGAGCTCTGAGGCTCACAGCTGGCAGTCTAGTTCCACTCAGTCTCTACTTGAGAAATTCTTTCTTTGGAAGTACAGCAGAGGCCTTAGGTGAGTGGCTTGTCTGCTATGGCAGAGATTAGAGGTGCTGACAGACTGCCATAAGTATTAGGCAGTAACAGCAGCAGCTGCTTATATGCATGTGAACAGCTGGGGAATTAATTTGGTATGCATTCTCAGGAGCCACTCATCTGCTGGCAGAGGTAGCAGAAGAATGCCCTTAGTGTAAGTCCTCTACAACCATACACCAAATGTGCTCCCTGCGTTTCAAATTCCATTGTAGAGAGTCTCTGATAATCTCACTTATACCATGAGCCATTCCTCAGTATCTGTCCTCTTCCTGTTAGTGTTCTACAATTCCTTTCTCCTTAATTTTTCTCCGCTTTACAAAATGTCACACAGACAAGTGCATGATACTTAAACAAGCTTTTAAAAATAATGCTCATAAATAGCTTTGGTTCTGTCATAATATTCGTATTTATAAACATTTTAAGTCAATTCTCTTCTTTTATTTTCATTTCAGAAATATCCATGTCCTGAATAAAAGTTGTGTCTTGATTAGTTTATTATGTAACAATTTAGTGTGTTTGACATTTCTAACTTTTATTTCTAACATTTGCTTTATTATAGAACAATAAACATGCAGTGATTGATTTTTCTTACTTCAAGTGGATGAGTGAGCAAGTGACTAAAATCTTCTGTGAATTCTTCAGTGTATGGTGCTTGCCAATGCATCTGAGAATCTAGGGACTTTCTGAAATAGTACTTCCTTGCTATGAGGACTGAAGTTGGATTAGAATCCTTTTCAATGAAGATCAGATGTCCTGAGTAGAATTCTTACTATTGGGTCCTGAATCTTATATTAAATATTCTCTCAAATTCCTTGAGGCATAGCAACTTGAGCTTACCAGTTTAGAAACTGGAGATTTGGGCTGGGCACGGTGGCTCACGCCTGTAATCCCAGCACTTTGGGAGGCCAAGGTGGGCGGATCACGAGGTCAGGAGATGGAGACCATCCTGGCTAACACTGTGAAACCCCATCTCTACTAAAAATACAAAAAATTAGCTGAGGCTGGTGGTGGGCGCCTGTAGTCCCAGCTACTCAGGAGACTGAGGCAGGAGAATGGCGTGAACCCGGGAGGCGGAGCTTGCAGTGAGCTGAGATCGCACCACTGCACTCCAGCCTGGGTGACAGAGCGAGACTCTGTCTCAAAAAAAAAAAAACAAACAAACAAAAAACCCGGAGATATGGTTAACAAAATAGTCAAAGTCACTCTTATAGAAGTTTTGTTTTATTTTTTGTTTTTTAAAATTTTTTTACCATTTTGTAGCTGACAAGTACTGACAATAAACTGCTATAAGCATGTGTAGAAAAAGGCTCACCTTGAGTAGTTAAGAGTAAGGAAAAGGAATAGTGTGTAGCATCGTCTTAGTGGTAAGACTTAAGTTGATTTAGTAGCAAATGGAAGTACTAGTGAACCACATAGATTTCAGAAGTAGGAGTAACAGGTTAGAAGATGTGTCATTTTAATCTTCTCTAGACTTTTTCTTAATTTTTAGAAATGTAAGTGGACTGAACAGAGGAAAACCAAAACACAGCTGGTCAATAATAAGTTAAATTAATTTGACAAACTGCCTGCTATGCATTTCATAGCATTTTAAGGACTATATAAGCAATGGATAAGGCAAAAACTCTGCCTTTAAGGAGATCAGTCATTGGGGGGAAACAGAAGCAAACAAACAAAAAGGCAACATAATAGATATTAATATTAATACAAGAATTTTAAAAGCACAGAGTTCTATAATAATAGGAAAATAGAGGGAATGATTGCTCAACTTTTCTTGAAAAAGAGTCAGGAAAATATTGACCGAGAAGGCAGTCATTGACCTGAGTCTTAAAGAATGAATAAGGTTTTTACAGATGGAGTAGGGTAGGGATAACTTTCCAGGTATAAGGAAGATTTTGTATTCCAGGGACCTTTGAATATTTTAGAATGGCTAGAAAACTTGGTATTATGTAGCACAGAAAAAGTGGTATGACTGAAGAGATAGAGAACTTACCACAAAGGGTCTTGAATGCCATGATACATAGTTTGGATTTTCTTCTGTAGGGAGCAAGGAGTTAGTGAAGGATTTTAAAAGCAACATGACTCTTGGGAGGTAGATTCAATGTGAGACTAATCTCCGAGGTATAGGAAATACAGGAAGGAGGAGCAACAGGTCGGGTAGTGGTGGAAGCAGGTTTGGAAAATGTGATTGGTTTTGTAAACGTTTTTGAGTTTGAAGTGCCACTGGGGAAGGCTTTTGGAAATTTATTTCCAGAGTTCAAGACTGAGCTATCATTGCAGTTTGCTCAGCTATTTACTGAGCTATCTACTGTCAATTTGGATAGTATCTACAGTTTGCATTGTAGATACTGGATACTTGGATTGGCTGGTGCACCCTGTTTATGAGACTCACTGGAGTTTGAAGAGCTGACCACTGGAAAATATCCCTAAGCAGTAGCTGCAATTCCACCCCCACCGAGGAGAGCCAAAACCCTCTTCGTTTTCACTCTCCTGTCCTTGGTCTTAAGCTACTTAAAGCAGCCTTTAGACATAGGGAAAAATTGAAAGCCTCTCTTTTAAGAAAAACATTAGGTACTTCTGGAATAGAGAGTTCAAGAAATTAGGAGAAAAATGAACTTTTGAAGCTTTTTCTTTCCCTTTTTTGTTTACTTCATTCTCTTACTCAGTTTTAAAATGCTGGTAATGGTCTTTTTTTTCTTTTTTTTTTTTTTCTTGGCGATTTTAATGCTTTGGAAAAGATCTCATGGTTTTATCTCCAAAGGAGGAAATTAATTTGATGCCATGGAAATTAGTTTTCTAGTCGTATGCCTTGAATGAGTGAAGAATTTCTTTTTCATGGTGGTACTAAATTTGGGGAAAGCTATAGAAACTTTCATCTGGAAGCTTACACTTTTCCTCTTTTTTGAAAATTTGGTGAGAGACTTGGATATTTTATTATTTTCTGTAAAAGAGTGTAATTTGTTATACAGGTCTAATATTGATCCTTTTTTGGAAGTATGGAAAGAATCTGAGTATAAAGCAGAATTACCTCTGGATGGCATGTATTCTCAAGGACACTGTCACAGTGAAACAGTTTATTTAGAAGCTTGTGTTTCCAAACTGTTGAATTTGATATTCACAAAATTGGCATGTGTAAACTTTATTAAACTTTAAGCTATTTCCTAAGATGAAGATGACAAACTTGGAGGGAAACTTCATTCATTTGGTTTATTTTTATTTTTATTTTTATTTATTTTTATCTTTTTGAGACAGAATCTCACTCTGGTTTGAGACAGAATCTCACTCTGTCCCCCAAGTTGGAGTGTGGTGGTGCGTTCTCGGCTCACTGAAACCTCTGCCTCCTGGGTTCAAGCGATTCTCCTGCTTCACCCTCCGAGTAGCTGGGATTACAGGTGTGCACCACCACACCCAGCTAATTTTTGTATTTTTAGTAGAGACGGTTTCGCCACATTGGCCAGGTTGGTGTCAAACTCCTGGCCTCAAAGTGATCCGCCCACCTTGGCCTCCCAAAGTGGAGCCCCCATGCCCCTTGTTTGTGACCTGTCAATATAAATATGCTCAGTAGCGGGGGGAGGGGTGGGGGGTGAAAAAGGAAATATGTTTAATATTAAGACTTTGGCCTTTTAGTGTAAACTGATATTCAAAAATTTCTTCATAGAACATTTGCTTCTTTGCTTGATCATTTTTCTAATTCTGTACATCTAAAATGCCCAGAATTTGAGTTGCTGTTATAGTCTACTAACATAGAACTTTGGAGTAATAAGATGGGAATTTGTCTCTCTTTTGCCAAGACAAGCATTCATAATCTAACACAGTATTGTTGCCACGAGTACGAGTATGTGATAGACTGTTGAGAATAAAGAAAGCAGGCACAGTTGGTCAGTCCTAAGATAAAGGAGATGTTTTTTCTTATATGTTTGTGCATTAAAGAAAAAAAAATCTTGAATCTGACCAATGATGTTTTTTTTCCTTGTAAGAAAATTTAACAAATGTTTGGCAAGCTTCTGGAATCTAAATTTGAAATTATACATTTGTCATTTTCTTTAAATATTTCTTCACCTTAGCTTTGATTATGAGAAATCACTGTCCTCTGCTGTTCTTTTTTTTTTTTTTTTCTTTTGAGGCGGAGTCTCACTCTGTGCCAGGCTGGAGTGCAGTGGTGCAATCTCGGCTCACTGCAACCTCCACTTCCTAGGTTCAAATGATTCTCCTGCCGCAGCCTCCCGAGTAGCTGGGACTACAGGTGCGTGCCACCACACCCAGCTAATTTTTGTATTTTTGGTAGAGACAGGGTTTCACCACGTTGTCCATGGCCAGGATGGTCTTGATCTTGACCTTGTGATCCGCCCGCCTCGGCCTCCCAAAGTGCTGGGATTGCAGGCGTGAGCCACCGCGCCCAGCCTGTCCTCTGTGATTTTCTGGGCTTATGTTAAAATTATAACTCAATCACCAGTCTTTATAAATTTGCTTTTTTATATTTAAACCAAACCTAATGCTAATTGTGATATGTTATTTATTCTCACCTGATTTGAATCATTGGATTCAATTAAATGAGTTTAATTATCATTAAATAATTCTAAGAGAAATAATGTCTATTCGGATGGTGGGAATTTTCTTTCTACATGCAGCCCCATTCTGAATGAATGAAATCAAATCACGTGACGATCAGGGTCCTAGAGTAACTTAATATTTTGTACATTGGTTATTTGACTCCTCATTTTTATATTACATGTTATATCAAGGGAGGGGGTATAAAAGAAATACAAAAATTGCAGAGGTATCTGGAATGTACCTATTTGTTAATTCTATTTGTCATTTCTTTTGTTTCATCTTTTGAGTAATAAGCTGCTTGGAAAAGTTTCTGTTCTTTAGCTGATTTTTTAGCTATAAAAATGTATTTGAAAAGCTCATAAATTTCAGGATTGAAAAGATAATTGAAAGTTTAAAAAAAACCTAATTCATTGAAGTAATAACCAAATAATTTTCAATCTTGATTCAACTGTGATTCAAATCTTACACCATTTGCCCACTTCTATGAATTTTATGTATAAAATTTTTTAAGAGTCAGAGTTTTTTTTTCTTGATTAATTGGATGTATTTCACAGAATTTCCAACTGCTCACGTTAGTTTTCTTCCTTTTAGAGTTGATCTCTCTAATGTATTAGATCTTCATGCCTTTGATAGTCTCTCTGGAATAAGGTATGTTTTGTATAATTTGGTTACTTTTATTGTTATGTACCTTTTTTCCCCATAGTTAACAGGAATGATTTGCACAATTGCATCCATGATTTAAGCTTCCTGCCATTCCTTTGGCATACAAGACCATTCTTAATGAGGTATATTCTTGGAAGTTTTACTAATTGGTTGTTTGGAAATCATATTGCATTTTCCTGTAGAAATTATAGTGTAAATGATAGTTAACTTTAGAGGCTAATCGTTAACACTTCTACGCCAAACACTATGTCTAATACTCTTTCTATGAGAAAATGCATGAAATACATAGAAAATTTTAGCTTAGCGTTTTCACACAAATAACTCTCTTCACTTTATTTTTTTATTTTTTATTTTTTCTTGAGTTTTTTTTTAATTTATTTATTTATTATTATTTAAGTTTTAGGGTACATGTGCACAATGTGCAGGTTAGTTACATATGTATACATGTGCCATGCTGGTGTGCTACACCCACTAACTCGTCATCTAGCATTAGTTATATCTCCCAATGCTATCCCTCCCCCCTCCCCCCAACCCACAACAGTCCCCAGAGTGTGATGTTCCCCTTCCTGTGTCCATGTGTTCTCATTGTTCAATTCCCACCTATGAGTGAGAATATGCGGTGTTTGGTTTTTTGTTCTTGCGATAGTTTACTGAGAATGATGATTTCCAATTTCATCCATGTCCCTACAAAGGACATGAACTCATCATTTTTTATGGCTGCATAGTATTCCATGATGTATATGTGCCACATTTTCTTAATCCAGTCTATCATTGTTGGACATTTGGGTTGGTTCCAAGTCTTTGCTATTGTGAATAATGCCGCAATAAACATACGTGTGCATATAGTCCTTTAGGGTATATACCCAGTAATGGGATGGCTGGGTCAAATGGTATTTCTAGTTCTAGATCCCTGAGGAATCGCCACACTGACTTCCACAATGGTTGAACTAGTTTACAGTCCCGCCAACAGTGTAAAAGTGTTCCTATTTCTCCACATCCTCTCCAGCACCTGTTGTTTCCTGACTTTTTAATGATTGCCATTCTAACTGGTGTGAGATAGTATCTCATTGTGGTTTTGATTTGCATTTCTCTGATGGCCAGTGATGGTGAGCATTTTTTCACGTGTTTTTTGGTGGCATAAATGTCTTCTTTTGAGAAGTGTCTGTTCATGTCCTTCGCCCACTTTTTGATGGGGTGGTTTGCTTTTTTCTTGTAAATTTGTTTGAGTTCATTGTAGATTCTGGATATTAGCCCTTTGTCAGATGAGTAGGTTGCGAAAATTTTCTCCCATTTTGTAGGTTGCCTGTTCACTCTGATGGTAGTTTCTTTTGCTGTGCAGAAGCTGTTTAGTTTAATTAGATCCCATCTGTCAATTTTGGCTTTTGTTACCATTGCTTTTGGTGTTTTAGACATGAAGTCCTTGCCCATGCCTATGTCCTGAATGGTAATGCCTAGGTTTTCTTCTAGGGTTTTTATGGTTTTAGGTCGAACGTTTAAGTCTTTAATCCATCTTGAATTGATTTTTGTATAAGGTGTAAGGAAGGGATCCAGTTTCAGCTTTCGACATATGGCTAGCCGGTTTTCCCAGCACCATTTATTAAATAGGGAATCCTTTCCCCACTGCTTGTTTTTCTCAGGTTTGTCAAAGATCAGATAGTTGTAGATATGCGGCGTTATTTCTGAGGGCTCTGTTCTGTTCCATTGATCTATATCTCTGTTTTGGTACCAGTACCATGCTGTTTTGGTTACTGTAGGCTTGTAGTATAGTTTGAAGTCAGGTAGTGTGATGCCTCCAGCTTTGTTCTTTTGGCTTAGGATTGACTTGGCGATGCGGGCTCTTTTTTGGTTCCATATGAACTTTAAAGTAGTTTTTTCCAATTCTGTGAAGAAAGTCATTGGTAGCTTGATGGGGATGGCATTGAATCTGTAAATTACCTTGGGCAGTATGGCCATTTTCAGGATATTGATTCTTCCTACCCATGAGCATGGAATGTTCTTCCATTTGTTTGTATCCTCTTTTATTTCCTTGAGCAGTGGTTTGTAGTTCTCCTTGAAGAGGTCCTTCACATCCCTTGTAAGTTGGATTCCTAGGTATTTTATTCTCTTTGAAGCAATTGTGAATGGGAGTTCACTCATGATTTGGCTCTCTGTTTGTCTGTTGTTGGTGTATAAGAATGCTTGTGATTTTTGTACACTGATTTTGTATCCTGAGACTTTGCTGAAGTTGCTTATCAGCTTAAGGAGATTTTGGGCTGAGACGATGGGGTTTTCTAGATATACAATCATGTCGTCTGCAAACAGGGACAATTTGACTTCCTCTTTTCCTAATTGAATACCCTTTATTTCCTTCTCCTGCCTAATTGCCCTGGCCAGAACTTCCAACACTATGTTGAATAGGAGTGGTGAGAGAGGGCATCCCTGTCTTATGCCAGTTTTCAAAGGGAATGCTTCCAGTTTTTGCCCATTCAGTATGATATTGGCTGTGGGTTTGTCATAGATAGCTCTTATTATTTTGAAATACGTCCCATCAATACCTAATTTATTGAGAGTTTTTAGCATGACGGGTTGTTGAATTTTGTCAAAGGCCTTTTCTGCATCTATTGAGATAATCATGTGATTTTTGTCTTTGGTTCTGTTTATATGCTGGATTACATGTATTGATTTGCATATATTGAACCAGCCTTGCGTCCCAGGGATGAAGCCCACTTGATCATGGTGGATAAGCTTTTTGATGTGCTGCTGGATTCGGTTTGCCAGTATTTTATTGAGGATTTTTGCATCAATGTTCATCAAGGATATTGGTCTAAAATTCTCTTTTTTGGTTGTGTCTCTGCCCGGCTTTGGTATCAGGATGATGCTGGCCTCATCAAATGAGTTAGGGAGGATTCCCTCTTTTTCTATTGATTGGAATAGTTTCAGAAGGAATGGTACCAGTTCCTCCTTGTACCTCTGGTAGAATTCGGCTGTGAATCTATCTGGTCCTGGACTCTTTTTGGTTGGTAAGCTATTGATTATTGCCACAATTTCAGATCCTGTTATTGGTCTATTCAGAGATTCAACTTCTTCCTGGTTTAGTCTTTGGAGGGGGTATGTGTCAAGGAATTTATCCATTTCTTCTAGATTTTCTAGTTTATTTGCGTAGAGGTGTTTTTAGTATTCTCTGATGGTAGTTTGTATTTCTGTGGGATCGGTGGTGATATCCCCTTTATCATTTTTTATTGCGTCTATTTGATTCTTCTCTCTTTTTTTCTTTATTAGTCTTGCTAGTGGTCTATCAATTTTGTTGATCCTTTCAAAAAACCAGCTCCTGGATTCATTAATTTTTTGAAGGGTTTTTTGTGTCTCTATTCCCTTCAGTTCTGCTCTGATTTTAGTTATTTCTTGCCTTCTGCTAGCTTTTGAATGTGTTTGCTCTTGCTTTTCTAGTTCTTTTAATTGTGATGTTAGGGTGTCAATTTTGGA
Source organism: Homo sapiens (assembly GCF_000001405.40). Lineage (NCBI taxonomy): Eukaryota > Metazoa > Chordata > Mammalia > Primates > Hominidae > Homo > Homo sapiens. Next base: position 68,278,416 of record NC_000009.12, read on the forward strand.
TCTTTCCTGCTTTCTCTTGTGGGCATTTAGTGCTATAAATTTCCCTCTACACACTGCTTTGAATGTGTCCCAGAGATTCTGGTATGTTGTGTCTTTGTTCTCGTTGGTTTCAAAGAACATCTTTATTTCTGCCTTCATTTCGTTATGTACCCAGTAGTCATTCAGGAGCAGGTTGTTCAGTTTCCATGTAGTTGAGTGGTTTTGAGTGAGATTCTTAATCCTGAGTTCTAGTTTGATTGTACTGTGGTCTGAGAGATAGTTTGTTATAATTTCTGTTATTTTACATTTGCTGAGGAGAGCTTTACTTCCAAGTATGTGGTCAATTTTGGAATAGGTGTGGTGTGGTGCTGAAAAGAATGTATATTCTGTTGATTTGGGGTGGAGAGTTCTGTAGATGTCTATTAGGTCTGCTTGGTGCAGAGCTGAGTTCAATTCCTGGGTATCCTTGTTGACTTTCTGTCTCATTGATCTGTCTAATGTTGACAGTGGGGTGTTAAAGTCTCCCATTATTATTGTGTGGGAGTCTAAGTCTCTTTGTAGGTCACTCAGGACTTGCTTTATGAATCTGGGTGCTCCTGTATTGGGTGCATATATATTTAGGATAGTTAGCTCTTCTTGTTGAATTGATCCCTTTACCATTATGTAATGGCCTTCTTTGTCTCTTTTGATCTTTGTTGGTTGAAAGTCTGTTTTATCAGAGACTAGGATTGCAACCCCTGCCTTTTTTTGTTTTTCATTTGCTTGGTAGATTTTCCTCCATCCCTTTATTTTGAGCCTATGTGTGTCTCTGCACGTGAGATGGGTTTCCTGAATACAGCACACTGATGGGTCTTGACTCTTTATCCAATTTGCCAGTCTGTGTCTTTTAATTGGAGCATTTAGTCCATTTACATTTAAAGTTAATATCGTTATGTGTGAATTTGATCCTGTCATTATGATGTTAGCTGGTTATTTTGCTCGTTAGTTGATGCAGTTTCTTCCTAGTCTCGATGGTCTTTACATTTTGGCATGATTTTGCAGCGGCTGGTACCGGTTGTTCCTTTCCATGTTTAGCGCTTCCTTCAGGAGCTCTTTTAGGGCAGGCCTGGTGGTGACAAAATCTCTCAGCATTTGCTTGTCTGTAAAGTATTTTATTTCTCCTTCACTTATGAAGCTTAGTCTGGCTGGATATGAAATTCTGGATTGAAAATTCTTTTCTTTAAGAATGTTGAATATTGGCCCCCACTCTCTTCTGGCTTGTAGAGTTTCTGCCAAGAGATCCGCTGTTAGTCTGATGGGCTTCCCTTTGAGGGTAACCCGAACTTTCTCTCTGGCTGCCCTTAACATTTTTTCCTTCATTTCAACTTTGGTGAATCTGACAATTATGTGTCTTGGAGTTGCTCTTCTCGAGGAGTATCTTTGTGGCATTCTCTGTATTTCCTGAATCTGAATGTTGGCCTGCCTTGCTAGATTGGGGAAGTTCTCCTGCATGATATCCTGCAGAGTGTTTTCCAACTTGGTTCCATTCTCCCTGTCACTTTCAGGTACACCAATCAGACGTAGATTTGGTCTTTTCACATAGTCCCATATTTCTTGGAGGCTTTGTTTGTTTCTTTTTATTCTTTTTTCTCTAAACTTCCCTTCTTGCTTCATTTCATTCATTTCATCTTCCATCGCTGATACCCTTTCTTCCAGTTGATCGCATCGGCTCCTGAGGCTTCTGCATTCTTCACGTAGTTCTCAAGCCTTGGTTTTCAGCTCCATCAGCTCCTTTAAGCACTTCTCTGTATTGGTTATTCTAGTTATACATTCTTCTAAATTTTTTTCAAAGTTTTCAACTTCTTTGCCTTTGGTTTGAATGTCCTCCCGTAGCTTGGAGTAATTTGATCGTCTGAAGCCTTCTTCTCTCAGCTCGTCAAAGTCATTCTCCGTCCAGCTTTGTTCCGTTGCTGGTGAGGAGCTGCGTTTCTTTGGAGGAGGAGAGGCGCTGCGTTCCTTTGGAGGAGGAGAGGTGCTCTGCTTTTTAGAGTTTCCCGTTTTTCTGCTCTGTTTTTTCCCCATCTTTGTGGTTTTTATCTACTTTTGGTCTTTGATGATGGTGATGTACAGATGGGTTTTTGGTGTGGATGTCCTTTCTGTTTGTTAGTTTTCCTTCTAACAGACAGGACCTTCAGCTGCAGGTCTGTTGGAGTACCCGGCCGTGTGAGGTGTCAGCCTGCCTCTGCTAGGGGGTGCCTCCCAGTTAGGCTACTCGGGGGTCAGGGGTCAGGGACCCACTTGAGGAGGCAGTCTGCCCGTTCTCAGATCTCCAGCTGCGTGCTGGGAGAACCACTGCTCTCTTCAAAGCTGTCAGACAGGGACAGGTAAGTCTGCAGAGGTTACTGCTGTCTTTTTGTGTGTCTGTGCCCTGCCCCCAGAGGTGGAGCCTACAGAGGCAGGCAGGCTTCCTTGAGCTGTGGTGGGCTCCACCCAGTTGGAGCTTCCTGGCTGCTTTGTTTACCTAAGCAAGCCTGGGCAATGGCGGGCGCCCCTCCCCCAGCCTCGCTGCCGCCTTGCAGTTTGATCTCAGACTGCTGTGCTAGCAATCAGCGAGACTCCGTGGGCGTGGGTCCCTCCGAGCCAGGTGCGGGACACAATCTCCTGGTGCGCGGTTTTTTAAGCCCGTCAGAAAAGCGCAGTATTCGGGTGGGAGTGACCCAATCTTACAGGTGCAGTCTGTCACCCCTTTCTTTGACTAGGAAAGGGAACTCCCTGACCCCCTGTGCTTCCCAAGTGAGACAATGCCTCGCCCTGCTTTGGCTCGCGGATGGAGCACGCACCCACTGACCTGCGCCCACTGTCTGGCACTACCTAGTGAGATGAACCCGGTACCTCAGATGGAAATGGAGAAATCGCCTGTCTTCTGCGTCTCTCACGCTGGGAGCTGTAGACCGGAGCTGTTCCTATTCGGCCATCTTGGCTCCTCTCTCCTCTCTTCACTTTAATAATGGATTAGTTTTCTGCCTTCTCCTGTGGGGAATCTTTTTGGTAAGGGAGGGAAGAAAGATTAGTTATTCTTGTGCATCGGTATCTTTTTCTTTTTTTATTGTAGTAAGAACATCTAACATGAGATCTACCCTCTTAACAATTTTTTAAGTGTACAATACAGTATTGCTAACTATAGGCATGAGAATGTGCAGCAGATCTCTGGAACGTTTCACTCTTTAAAACTGAAGCTTTATACCCCTTGAATAGCAGCTTCCCATTTCCCTGTCTTCATAGCCCCTGGCATCCACCATTCTACACTCTTTCTGTGGGGTTGACTATTTTAATTACCTGACACAAGTGGAATCATGCATTATTTGTCTTTCTGTGACTGGTTGATTTCATGTAGCATAAAGTCATCAAGGTTCATCCATGTTTTTGCATATGGCAAGGTTTCCTTTTTAAGTCTGAATAATATTCCATTTTCTACATATACCACATTTACTTTATCCCTTTTTCTGTTAGTGGACATTTAACTTGTTCTCACAGCTTGGCTATTGCAAATAATGCTGCAATGAATATCTCATAAGTCTCATATATGTCCATACAAGATCATGAAAATGGACATGTCTCTGGGTATTTTGAATTGGTGGGACAATTTTGCTTAAGGGTAGGCATAGTGGGTGGCTCTACATTTGAGAGTTCTAATTCCCATTCCTATATATATTTCTTTTCTTTTTATTTATTTTTTTGAGATGGGGTTCTCTGTCACTCAGGCTGGAGTGCAGTGGCACAAACATGGCTTACTGCAGCCTCAGCCTCCTGGGCTCAAGTGATCCTCCCATCTCAGCCTCCCAAGAAGCTGGGACCACAGGCATGTGTCACCATGCCTGACTAATTTTTTTTTTTAATTTTCTATAAGCATGGGGTCTTGCTATGTTGCCTAGGCTGGTCTCAAACTCCTGGGCTCAAGTGATCCTCATGCCTCAGCCTCCCAAAGTGCTGGGATTACATGTGTAGGCCACCACACCCAGCCTTATAAATATATTTCTAATTTTGGCTTAGCCATGCCCTTAAAAACTAATTCTACTTTCAACTAGTTTTTTTTTCCACCTTCAGTCTGTAGTATTGTTCACATTTTGAAAACAATACCTACAGTAACCTGTGAGGTAGGACATGATAGTGTTTTATTGGACCCCTTTTACTTTATGAATTGGAAAAATTAAATTTGCATGTAGTTTGTAAAAAAAAAAAATAAAGAAAGAAAAAAGAAATTGATTGAGATTATTTCAGCAGCCAGAAGTGTGGGACAGGCAGGGCAGTTATTCCTCCTTCTCAGTTTGGAAACTGAAGCTCAGAGAGTAAACTTGTCAGTGACACAGTTATTCAAGAAGTTGTCTTCAGTTGAGAGATATGTTTTTCACCTGTAGCTTCTGGTATTGGAGGAGTACCTTTTTAGACTAAACAAATTACAGTTAAAATTATAAAGGTATTTTTGGAGTACCTGGAAAAAATCAGCATTTTGCTTTTCTAGTTCCATTTAGTAGGAAGGCAGGAAAGTTTGGTATACCTGAATTACATGTGAGTTATTTCTATTTTTCTAAAAATTCTTATAAATTGTGTAAGGTAAAAATGACTACTTCTTGTTTTATGGTAAATATAGTTATATCCTTTCAAGCCACTGCTGTACAAAGTTGTGAAATCTCCCTGAGGCTTTTTCCCTCATGTCAGCTTCAGGTATCCAGTATCACTTATGCTTGATAATGATTGTATGAAAATCATTCAGAATTATACTATGTTTTTTCATATAAAGCTTTTGTTTTACTAATTTTGAAATGACTGTTCCTCCATTAAGCGAATACAGCCCTAAGCATAAATTTGGTTTGTTCATTTAAAAATGGTCTTTTTTTCCCATCTTAGCTCTGGCTTTACTAGGGAGATAGATTGGCTGAGGTTGTCACCTAATTCTGGGAGGTTAAGAGCCTTTGTCTTTTGCTACCCATTTCTGAAATAACCAGAAGTCTAGCCCATCCTAACTTTTCTCTCGATGATCCTTTTCTTCTTTTTACTTCAAGGTTCCAGCCCTTCATTTGACTATCAGTGCTGTTTCACTAGTTAGCCATGATCGCTTTCATCCGCCGTGTCTGGATTAGAACTGTATTTTTAATTTGATGCTGTGGGCAGTTTTGATAGTTACAGATCCTGTGATACATTTAAATGTGTTTACAAGGGGAACAAATGAAACAATGCTGCATGAAATTTGCCTTTCTTTTTTTTTTTTTTTCCCCTTGGAGACAGGGTCTGGGTCTATTGCCCAGGCTAGAGTGCAGTGGTGCGATGTCAGCTCCCTATAGCCTCTGTGTCCTGGGCTTAAGCCATCTTCCCACCTCAGACTCATGAGTAGCTGGGACTATAGGCACGCACTACCATGCCTGGCTAATTTTTTATTTTGGTAGAAGATGAGGTTTTGCCATGTTGCCGAAGCTGATCTTAAACTCCTGGGCTTAAGTGATCTGCCCACCTCAGCCTCCCAAAGTAATGGGATTATAGGCGTGAGCCACCACACTTGGCCTTTTCTTTTTTTCATATTTATTTAATTATTTTATTTTATTGAGACAGAGTCTCACTCTGACACCTGGGCTGGAATGCAGTGGCTATCATGGCTCTCTGCAGTCGTGAACTCCTGGACTCAAGTGATCCTCCCATCTCAGCCTCCTGAGTAGCTGGGACTACAGGCTTGCACCCATGCCTGGCTAATTTTTTTATTTTTACTTTTTTGTAGTGACAGGCTCTCGCTACGTTGCTCAGGCTCGTCTTGAACTCCTGGCCTCAAGTGATTCTCCTACTTGGCCTCTCAAAGTGCTGGGATTATAAGCCTGAGCCACTGAACCCAGCAAAATTTGCCTTTCTTAAACTAATTTATCTCTGTTGGGTCCAAGAGCTTACAAGTTGGTTGTCATTTAATATGTTAAACACTAGAATATTTTTTAGTTGAAGTTTTATTTTTTCCCTTTACATATTGTATCCTTTAGTGCTTTATTTCACTAATAAGAATTATAGTATGCAATCATTTCCCACCTCTATATTCAGTATATCAATTTTTGTTTTTCCTTTCTACTTCTGTCTTTTGCTATAATTTGCTGTAATACAGGTACTTTCATCAAGGCATCCAGTTCTTTATATCATTCTATATTTTTACTTGGGAGAAATAGAAATGTTGCTAATTCCATCTTACTGACAATACCTAAATTATTGTTTGTTATAGAACATAATGATTTAAATATACAAAACACTAAACTGTTTGAGATTTTTTACATTTTATGCGTGCAGAATTTACATTTTATGTGTGCAGAGACAAAAATTGTTATAAGATTACAAGTTAATGTGCAAGATGATTTCCGATTCATGAGTTTCAGGTTTTGATAGCATATCCTTATCCACTAGATTAGTCTTTTAAAAATGTGTATGATAGGGAAAAAATCGAGGGCATGAAATTCTGAGACTTATGGGAACTAAACTTAAATGTTCGTTGTTAGATTTTTTTTTTTTTTTTTTTTTGCTGCGTATGAAGTTTTAGGCAGTCATTGTCCAACAACATTAAATACTGAACATATGGGAAAAGCATATGATTTTTCGAAATGTTTTTCTAAAGTAATCTCATTCTACATACACTTAAGAGCAGTTATAATGCTTTAGTGACACTTGAAGTAGCTATTTAATGTGATCTCACCACTATAGGGAAGGCCGTTGCATGACTTTTTTGTGTGTGCTTAACTGCTAAACAGGAGAATCTTTTCCTGAGCAACCAGCTGGGAAGGATTTAATTTGACATTCTCCCTACTAGGACCCCCCCAAAGAGACTCATTCCCTCCAATAGTTCCTACAAGTTCTTTCTCTTTCCTAAACTTGCTGTTACTAATTTACCCCTCACTGTTCTTCAAGGCAAAGCATCTGCAAGGTTTTCAGTCCTTTCCCCCTCCCGTCCTGTCCCCATCAGTGTTGAAATGTATGCTACAGTTATTATGGTTGTAATTTGTTATGCCATGTTGATCTTCTTGTGCTTTTCATATCAGAACAATGTATTTTTAACATTCTGACTTTCTTTTTCTCTCAATTGGTAACTGACTATATAGAAAATTTATATTTATGGATACTATTTCTTTTTTAATAAGTTCAAGGGAAAACATTGATAAAGGAAAATTTATCCTTTCAACTTTCTTTAGGTGCCAGCATTATTTTCATATTAGGAAGCAGGAGAAAGTTAAGGAACTCTAAGCAATACTAGAATGGTTATATATATATTTAAGTTTGTATTAAACCTGTTGGAATGGTAAAGAAATTTACTGACATATTTAACCATACAAAATAGTGTTGCTAAAAGACTAGTTTTTCTCTTTATTCTGTGCATATGTATATATATGAATGTGTGTTTTTTTTAAGAAATTTTAAAAAAACTTAATCTGCCAGCTTTTCTCTATTGGAATTTGCGAACAACTTGTAAAATTGGAATTACAGAATATTAGAATAGTCAGTTATGGAAAGTCACTTCATTATCCTTGTGTCACTAAATAACGTATAAAGTTAAATCAGAAGTGTATTCATCTCTGAATTTCTAATCAGTTGTTTTTAGTTTGCAGAAAAAACTTCAGCATGTGCCAGGAACACAACCTCACCTTGATCAGGTAAAGAAAAAAAATCTAAATCCAAAATTTCTAATCAATGTTTTTAAAGGACCTCTTTAACTAGATAGGCTATGTTTAGGACTATTTTATTATAAACTTTTTCTAAAATGGTATTTTTGAACTGTGTTGATAATTTTTGGAATCTTAAATGCTTTTGACATAGTCTAATTCTATTTCTTAACACATAATAGGAATTCATCAAACCAGATTTGTTTTAGAATCTGAGGAAACCATGCTTTCTAGCCTTTCCATTCTGTAGATTGCTTAGCATATTGGTTAGTTCTGATAGGGATTACTCCTTAAAAGCAGCCTGGGGGTTCTATAGGCAGTCTGTTTTTAAGTATGTTGAATTGTTTAAGGAAAGGTCTGATATAAGCATGGCTTATTTAAATAAAAATTGACTTGGAGTTTCACCTTCAGGTAGCACTATAAATTTGAACTCCTTAAGATGTTTTTCATGCTCTAAAATTCTAATCCCTAAGGTAAATATCTAAGATGCTAGGAACAATTTAAATATAATTTTACTGTACCTGCGTTTCTGTTAAGCAGATCATAGATCGTAGAGCTTTAGGATAACTTCTTTGTTCCTCTTAAAACCCTGAGGGGTGGAGTGGGGGATGTGTAAGTGAGCAGTGTGCCTAATCTTCCTTCCTCTCTCTCAAGTGATCACTCAATTTTTGAATTGCTATTGGTTGTAATAGGGCCAAGATAACAGCTACTTGCATTTGTATTCATTTTGGTTCACATTTATGAGCAGGTTTGCTACTATGTTTGTGGCACCTTTCCCTGTGAAACTTTTGTTAATAGGATATTCCTCTTCACTTATCTTTAAAATGAATAAATGAGAGAAATACAAGTCCTTGGAGATAGAATTTATGGTAAAAAAAAAAAAAAACTCAGTTCTTTATGATAGTCGGTATCTGTCATATAGTTGAACATGAAGCACATTTGAGCTTCTGGGTAAAGAACGTGATGCCAAGAATCATAGGGATGAAAAGATGAAGCAAACGCAGTACTCACTTACCATGAACATTTGGAGCAGCCAGTGTCTCCATCCATAGAATCTCGAATGAACCCCTATTGTGGCAGTTATGATGCCTTGTAGTTTGGTTGAAATGCTTTTGCCTTGCATTAGTCTATAAATTCCTTAAATATAAAATCTTTATTGCTTAGTACAGGGCTTGGTGGATACTCAGTGAATATTTGTTAAAAGAATGAAAAGCTGTGTTTCTCAAATGGGGTATAAATCAGAATCACATGTGGAGCTTTTTTAAAAAAAATTCGATAACTCAGTAGTTCTCACCCCTCAGTCTCCAGGATTGGGACTTGGGTATGTGTATATTAATGTATATTTTTAACATTTTATTATGGAAGATTTCAAAGATATAAAAGAATAAACAGAATAGTAAAGTAAACCCCTTGTATGCATCACCCAGTTTAAATGGCATCAACATTTAGCTGATTTTATTTCACCTATCCTCCCAACATTTCTTTTGCCTGGAGTATTTAAAAAAAACAAATGTATTTTAATAGGAAATTTCAAACGTGCATAAGAGTAGAATAGTATAATGAGCCTGTATGTACCTATTGCCCTTGGTGTAGTGTATTAAAGCAAATTCCAGACATTATGTCACTTTACTACTAAATAGGGCATATCTATATTTTTGTAGCCTCTGTAGGAGATTCTGATGCACTGTCCTGCTTTAGATAATATAAACATAGGGAAAAATAGTATCACAGCCAAAGGGCTATGGGATTCAGAGGCAAGAACAATTTCATTTGGTTTAGTGGATCTGAGGTGTAAGGGAGGAAATTTATCTTTTCCTCGCCTATCACTAGATTCATGGCTGAGGTCTCTCTAACAGAAGACCAACTATCAAGAGAAATTTCAACATAGAAATTTATTTAGTAAGTTTTACTTGACACAGGAGCCTTCATAAAACATACCTGTGTATGTTTTCTGTTAGTTATGGTATGGAAGAGGATAGTTAATGGAGAAGCATAATTAGATAAAACAGTATGATCTAATAATAAACTGGGAAGAACTTAGCAAGGCCTGTTTGTTCAGATTTTTCTCTGTGACCCTTCATATTCAGACTTAAGGATGTTCTTTTCCTCTGTGTATAGAGAGGGCACCTCTTAAATGAGGGTCTTATGACCTGCATCAGCGGAAGGTCAGAAAATCTTTCCTAGGTTTTATGACCTGCTTCAGGAGAGAAGGTGAGAGTGACCTTCCTGATTCTGCCATTTTCTCAAATATTGAGTTGCCATATTTTGGGATAGCATGTCCTGAACCCCATCAAATGCTTCATGAGGATAGTTTTTTGTTTGTTTGTTTTGGTTTTGGTTTATTTATTTGCATAAAGCATGCAAATGTGTAATTTTAGTGTACAATTCAATGTTTGGGTTTTGTTTTTGTTTTTGTTTTTTTGGTTTTTTCTGAGACGGAGTCTCGCTCCGGCTGGAGTCTCACCCAGGCTGGAGTGCAGTGGTGTGACCTTGGCTCACTGCAACTTCCTCCTTCTAGATTCAAGTGATTCTCATGCCTCAGCCTTCTGAGTAGCTGGGATTACAGGCATGTACCACCATGCCTAGCTAATTTTTGTATTTTTTTTTTTTTTTTTTTTTTTTTTTAGTAAAGATGGGGTTTCACCATGTTGGCCAAGCTGGTCTCAAACTCCTGACTTCAGGTGATCCACCTGCTTCGGCCTCCCAAAGTGCTGGGATTACAGGCGTGAGCCACTGTGCCCGGCCTCAATGTATTTTTACATATATTTGTACCTATATATCTGTCTATATGCACATTCAAACACATATCCTTCTAACTCCCACTCAGGTCAAGATACAAAAGATATCCAAAATTGTAAAGAGTTCCTTTTTGCCCCTTCCTAGTCAAAGAAGGGGTAAGTGCTATTCTGACTTACTTAACAAAAAATAACCTTGAACTGGTAGGATTTTTTTTGACGGTAGGATTTTTTTTGACAGGAAGAAGTAAGGAAAAGAGCAATATGGATGTTTAAAAATGAGAAGGTGAGAATCTTATAGATGAGTAGGTCTCTGGTACAGAAGTCTTAGTGGAGAGTTGGTACTGGAATCCTGGTCTAAGGTATTAGGTTTTAATTTGCTAGACAAAGAAAACTCAAGCAGTGCTGTCTAGGAGTGTTATGTAAGCTAGATTGGACTTTAGAGTCAGGAGACCATGCGGGAAGATACTGTGTGATAAGGGCCTGAAACATGTTGGTTACAGTGAGACTAGAAATGGGATAAATCCAGAGCTGTTTCACCAGTAGACTTGCCTGAATATCCTGTCTGACTGAGTATGGATCAGAAAGAAAAGAAGGGGTGATGGGAAACAAGCCTAGATTGACTAGAGAAACCTAGAAATAGAAAAATCGGGAAGGCAAAGTGATTTGGATGATAATGCCATATATTCAGTTGTCCCTGGTGGCCAGATATTATAGTATAGATATTATACAGGCAAAGAAGAACAGAGGGATAGAGTGTGAAGGTACAGATTTTGAGTTTAAGCACATTAGGGGGCTTAGTGTTCTGGATGAAGAAAACATATAAAAGTTATTGTATGTTAGGTATTGTTTGCAAAAGAGTAGAAAATGGAGAAATAACCCAGTGGGTTAAAGAAGAAACGGACTAAATAAACAAACCTGAGTAAGTTGTTCCTAAATTTTATTTTAGAGACAATTCCTCATTTTGCTTTAGTTTTCTCAATTATTGCCTCACTTTTCTGTTTCTTTCTGTGTCAGCATACATGGAAAAAGGAGTTAATTTTAGATTCAAAACAAAAACTGGAAAAAAAAAGTCTGAAATGGGTAATACCTAGGACCTAGTATATATGTGTTATTAAGGCTCTATCCCTGAATTTTTAATGCAGTTATCTATTTTTCATGGATTCTTTGTTTATTCCCCATAAGGAACACCTGGGTTTGGAGAGTGGGAAGGTAGATGAGAAAACCCAAGTGACAAATAATGTTTAGTTTATTATTAGAACCAACTATGAGTTGTGACCCTTATCTTCTGCACTGGGAATTACAGATTTTTTCAGGGTTTTTCTAACATGAAAAGAGTTTATTGGTGTAGGAAAACATCTGGTTCCAAAATGTAGATCATCCTTCTTGAGCTTTAATTTTTAAAGCCTTTTTTGTCTCATACTGGAGTTTATTGTACCCCTTAAAAATATTAAGTCACATATTTAACCTGTTAAAAGCAAAAATCATTATAAAAATCTTTAGGCTGGGTGTGGTGGCTTATGCTTGTAATCCTAGCGCTTTGACAGGCCAAGGTGGGTGGATTACTTAAAACCCAGGAGTTGTAGACCAGCCTGGGCAACATGGTGAAACCCCATTTCTGCAAAAAATACAAAAAATTAGCCAGGCATGGTGGCATGTACCTGTAATCCCAGCTACTCGAGAGGCTGAAGTGGGAGGATTGCTTTAGCTTGGGAGTTCAAAGCTACAGTAAGCCATGATTGTGCCACTCTACTCCAGCCTGGGCAACAGAGTGAGACCCCATCTCAAAAAAATTTATTCAGTTAAAATCTTTAACAATAAAGCAATTTTGAGTCGTATTTTGCGACATTCTCAATATAGTTTTCCAACTTGCATTAAAATACATTTTAAACATTTTTGAAGACTAAATTTATTTTTTTTTAACTGACAGTTATGTTTCATTTGACAACCTTTTGCTGTATATTTTTATGTGGACTTTTAGGTATTGTAGTGATTCCTTTAATGAAGAAATAAAATAATTGTCATTTAAAAATGCATATTATTATTACCTTATGCTATAAAAATAGTTTTAAAATAGAGTATGTTTATTAAGATTTAAAAATAAGTATAGTCATGCACTGCATAACAGCGTTTTAGTCAGACTGCATAAGATTACGATGGAGCTGAAAAATTACTGTCACACAAATACTTACCATTGTGTTATTATTTCGATACACTGTTCAGTACAGTAACATATATGCTGTACAGGTTTGTAGCCTAGGAGCAACAGGCTAATACAGCATAGCTTAGGTGTGTAGTAGGTTATACCATCTAGGTTTGTGTAAGTGCACTATCATGTTTGTATAACAACAAAATTGCCCAACAGCTCATTTCTCTTTATGTATCCATGACTGTATATTTTTTATTGTGGTAAAAAACACTTAACGTGAGACCTACCTTCTTCCACAAATTTTTAAGGGTACAATATAGTATTGTTAACTGTCTGTACATTGTTATATAGCAGATCTCTAGAACTTTTCATCTTGCATGACTAAAATTATACCCATTGAACAGCACCTCCCAATTTTCGTCTCCCTCTCACCCCTGGTAACCACCATTTTACTTTCTGATTTGATGAGTTTTACTGTTTTAGACACCTGATATTAGTGGATTCATGCAATATTTGTCCTTCTGTGACTGGCTTATTTCACTTAGTGTAATGTCCTCAAGATTCATCCATGTTGTAGTATATGACAGGATTTTTTTTAAGGATACATAATATTTGGTTGTATGTATATTACCACATTTATTTTATCCATTCAACTGTCCTGGACATTTAGGTGGTTGTTAGTGTCTTGGCTGCTGTGACAAAATAAGTAGTTTTAAAAGTCTCACATTTGCAAGTTCAATTTGAATCTTTTTTTAGTCTGCTTGTACTTCTCTTATCAAGCAAGAAAGCACTTTTCCGCTTTTCCTATTACTACTAACAGTGGAGATTAAGTATCTCATGTTTTTGGGCGTTCTAGAGCCCAACACATCACCTGTTCCTTTCCATACTACCACAACTGACACTCTCTGGAAAGTGCCACCTCCCTGCAGCAGGCCAACCAGCACAAAAATAGTACATTAAACCAGCAAAGCTAAGAACCCTCAAAGAGTACATTTCACCCTCCTACCACCTCCACTGGAACAGGTGCTGGTATCCACAGCTGAGAGACCCACAGATGGTTCACATCTCCCGACTCTGTGCAGACTACCCCCCAGTACCAGCCTGGAGCCTGGTAGACTTGCTGGGTGGCTAGATTCAGAAGAGAGAGAGCAATCACTACAGCTCAGCTCTCAGGAAGCCACATCCATAGGAAAAGGGAGAGAGTACTACATCAAGGGAACACCCCGTAGGACGAAAGAATCTGAACAACAACCTTCAGCCCTAGACCTTCTCTCTGACAGAGCCTACCCAAATGAGAAGGAACCAGAAAACCGACCCTGGTAGTATGACAAAACAAGGTTCTTTAACACCCCCCAAAAAATCACACTAGCTCACCAGCAATGGATCCAAACTAAGAAGAAATCCCTGACTTACTTGAAAAAGAATTCACTAGGTTGGTTATTAAGCTAAGGCACCAGAGAAAGGTGAAGCCCAATGTAAGGATATATATATATATAAAAAAGATACAAGAAGTAAAGGGAGAAATATTCAATGAACTAGATAGCATAAATAAAAAACAATCAAAACTTTAGGAAATAATGGACATACTTATAGAAATATAAAATGCTCTGGAAAGTCTTAGCAATAGAATTGAACAAGTAGAAGAAGGAAATTCAGAGCCTGAAGACAAGGTCTTCTAATTAACCAAATCCAATAAAGACAAAGAAAAAAGAATAAGAAAATATGAAGAAAGCCTTCAAGAAATCTGGAATTATGTTAAATGACCAAACCTAAGAATAACCGGCATTCCTGAGGAAGAAGAGAAATCTAAACGTTTGTTAAACATATTTGGGGGAATAATTGAGGAAAACTTCCCCAGCTTTGCTAGAGACCTAGATCCAAATACAAGAAGCACAAAGAACATCTGGGAAATTCATCGCAAAAAGATCATCATCTAGGCACATTGTCGTCAGGTTATCTAAAGTTAAGATGAAAGAAAGAGCTGTGAAACAAAAGCACCAGGTAACCTGTAAAGGAAAACTTACCAGATTAACAGCACATTTCTCAGCAGAAACCCTGCAAGCCAGAAGGGATTGGAACCCTATCTTCAGCCTCCTCAAACAAAACAATTATCAGCTGAGAATTTTGTATTCAGCAAAACTAAGCTTCATATATGAAGGCAAGATACAGCTTTTTCAGACAAACAGAGAATTCACCACTACCAAGCCACCAGTGCAAGAATGCTAAAAGGAACTCTAAATCTTGAAACAAATCCAGGAAACATATCAAAACAGAACCTCTTTAAAGCATAAATATCACAGGACCTATAAAACAAAAATACAATTAGAAAAACAACAAAAACCAAAAAAACAAGGTATACAGGCAACAAATAGCATGATGAATAGAGTGGTACCTCACATCTCAATACTAACATTGAATATAAATGGCCTAAATGCTCCACTTAAAAGATACAGAATTGCAGAATAGGTAAGAATTCACCAACCAACTATCTGTTGCCTTCAAGAGTCTCATCTAACACATAAGGACTCACATAAACTTAAGGTAAAGGGATGGACCGAGACATTTCATGCAAACGGACACCAAATGTGAGCAGGAGTAGCCATTCTTATATTAGACAAAACAAACTTTAAAGAAACAGCAGTTTAAAAAGACAAAGAGGGACATTATATAATGAAAAAAGGCCTTGTCCAACAGGAAAGTATCACAATCCTAAACATATGCACCTAACACTGGAGCTCCCAAATTTATAAAAGAATTACTAATAGACCTAAAAAATTAGACAGACAGCAACACAATAATAGTGAGGGATTTTAATACTCCACTGACAGCACTGGACAGGTCATCAAGACAGAAAGTCAACAAAGAAACAGTGGATTTAAACTATACCTTGGAACAAATGGAGTTAAAAGATATATACAGAATATTCCATCCAACAACCACAGAATATACGTTCTGTTCAACAGCACATGAACTTTCTGTAAGATAGACCATATGATAGCCAACAAAATGAGCCTCAATAAATTTTAAGAAAATTAAAATTATATCAAGCACTTTCTCAGACCACAGTGGAATAAAACTGGAAATCAACTCCAAAAGGAACCTTCAAAACCATGCAGATACATGGAATAACCTGCTCCTGGATGATCTTTGGGTCAAAGATGAAATCAAGATGGAAATGTAAAAATTCCTCAAACTGAATGACAATAGTGACACAACCTATCAACCTCTGGGATACAGCAAAGGTGGTGCTAAGAGGAAAGTTCATAGCCCTAAATGCCTACATCAAAAAGTTGGAAAGAGCACAGACAATCTAAGGTCACATCTCAAAGAACTAGAGAAACAAGAACAAACCCAGCAGAAGAAAGAAGATCAGAGCGGAATTAAATGAAATTGAAACAAAACAACAAAAAAATCCAAAAGATAAATGAAACAAAAAGCTGGTTCTTTGAAAAGATAAATAAAATTGATAGACCGTTAGCAAGATTAGCCAAGAAAAGAGAGAAAATCCAAATAAGCTCAATAAGAAATGAAACGGGAGATATTACAACTGACACCACAGAAATACAAAAGATATTCAAGGCTACCATGAACACCTTTACATGCATAAACTAGAAAACCTAAAATAGATGGATAAATTCCTGGAAAGATACAACCCTCCTAGCTTAAATCAGGAAGAATTACCCTGAACAGACCAGTAACAAGCAGGGAGATTGAAATGGTAATTAAAAAATTACCAACAAAAAAATGTCCAGGACTAGACGGATTCACAACAGAATTCCACCAGATATTCAAAGAAGAATTGGTACCAGTCTTAAAGACACTATTCCACAAGAGAGAGAAAGAAGGAATCCTCCCTAAATCATTCTATGAAGCCAGTATCACCCTAATACCAAAACCAGGAAAGGACATAACCAAAGAAGAAAACTACAGACCAATATCCTTGAACATAGATGCTAAAATCCTTAAGAAAATTCTAGCTAACTGATTCCAACAACATATCAAAAAGATAATCCACCATGATCAAGGGGTTTCATACCAGGGATGCAGGGATGGTTTAACATACACATGTGCGTAGCCAAAGCAAGACTAAGCAAAAAGAACAAATCTGAAGGCATCACATTACCTGATTTCAAACTTATACTATAAGGCCATAGTCACCAAAACAGCATGGTACGGTTATAAAAATAGGCACATGGACCAATGGAACAGAATAGAGAACCCAGAAATAAACCCAAATACTTACAGCCAACTGATCTTCAACAAAGCAAACAAAAACGTAAAGTGGAAAAAGGATACCCTTTTCAACAAATGGTGCTGGGATAATTGGCTAGCCACATGTAGGAGAATGAAACTGGATCCTCCTCTCTCACTGTATACAAAAATCAACCCAAGATAAATTAAAGACTTAAATCTAAGACCTGAAACTATAAAAATTCTAAAAGATACCATTGGAAAAATCATTCTAGACATTGGCTTAGGCAAGGATTTCATGAACCCAAAAGCAAATGCAATAAAAACAAAGATAAATAGCTGGGACTTAATTAAACTAAAGAACTTTTGCAGAGCAAAAGGAAAAGTCAGCAGAGTAAACAGACAACCCACAGAGAAGGAGAAAATCTTTCATAATATATACATCTGAAAAAGAACAAATATCCAGAATCTACAATGAACTCCAACAAATCAGCAAGAAAAGCAGTCCCATCAAAAAGTGGGCTAAGGACATGAATAGACAATTCTTAAAAGAAGATATACAAATGGCCAATAAACATATGGAAAAATGCTCAACATCACTAATGATCAGGGAAATGCAAATCAAAACCACAGTGCGATACCACCTTACTTCTGCAAGAATGGCCATAATAAAAAAATCAAAAAAATAGTAGATGTTGGCATGGATGTGGTGAACACGGAACACTTCTACACTGCTGGTGGGAATGTAAACTAGTACAACCACTATGGAAAACAGTGTGGAGATTCCTTAAAGAACTAAAAGTAGAACTACCATTTGGTCCAGCAATCCCACTACTAGATATCCACCCAGAGGAAAAGAAGTCATTATACAAAAAAGATACGTGCACACGCATGTTTATAGCAGCACAATTCGCAATTGCAAAAACGTGGAACCAACCCAAATGCCCATCAATCAATGCGTGGATAAAGTAACTGTGATATATATACATACAATGGAATACTCCTCAGCCATAAAAAGGAGTGAATTAATGGCATTCACAGTGACCTGGATAAGATTGGAGACTATTATTCTAAGTGAAAGAACTCAGGAATGGAAAACCAAACATCGCTATGTTCTCACTCATAAGTGGGAGCTAAGCTATGAGGATGCAAAGGCATAAGAATGACACAATAAACTTTGGGGACTCAGGGAGAAAGGGTGGGAAGGGGATGAGGAATAAAAGACAAAAATTGGGTGCAGTGTATACTGCTCAGGTGATGGGTGTACCAAAATCTCACAAATCACCACTAAAGAAGTTAACCAACACCACCTGTTCCCCAGTAACCTATGGAAAGAAAGAAATGTCTCATATGTTTCTGCCTAAATTGGTCTTTAATACTTTAGCGATTCTCTTGAGTTTGGATTATAAAATAGTTTTTGGTCTTTTTGTATTTTCTGCTGTAAGCCTGTATGATTATGTAATGGTGAGTAAAATTGCTAGGCCAGATACGCAGTTCTAGGAAGTTATGCAAAGATGTGCTTTAGTATATTATTTTCTACCTTTTTAAATTCATTTTGAGCTTGGCTTTTGAGCCTCTATTTTCCAAGGTGGGGTGTATGTTTTTATAATGTTATGCTTAGCCCTTGTGTATTTTCATCTCTGAGTTTGAAATTTGGGGTTATATTGGCAAAGGGAGGTTTGGGTTTTAATTAGGTGACCTGTTAGAGGAAATGTTAAGCTTCTGTTTCTTTAGGGTAGACAGTGAGAGATTTATCAAGATAAAGAAGAAAAATAAATCCTAAAGTTAATATTCAATACATGATGATGTCACCCTTACTAAAGCCAAAGAGGGCATTATCCTATCATTCTCATCGCTAAGAACTCTTCTCCTCTTGGCACATGCTTATTCAGTTAAAGATAAGCCAAGCCTTTCTTTTGTATTTTTTTTTTAAGAGAACAAATTTACTTTGGTTTTGAGTTTTATTCCTGGCTCTGGGTAGCTTATTTTTTTGACCCTTATTTTCCCCAATTTATAAAATGAAATAGTTATCTTCACTCCCCAGGATTGTTGTGAAGAGTAAGTCAAAAGATACAATGAGGTGACTCAGGCAAAAGTACCTGGCCCTGTGTAGTGAGTACATTGTATGTGTTACATATATTCTTATTCCTGAGAATCCACGAAAGAATGAATTAAATAATGAGGACCCTTTCATCAGGGTTTCTGAGTGAGTTTTTTAAAATACAAGGTAGTAGTTTGTGTAAATACTAAATCCATTGGTACCTGTGCAGAATGTAGGAAATGGAGTTGCTAATTCCAAAAAAACAGCACATATGCTGAGGAAAGTATAATACGTAATATATATGGTTTAAGCAATGTAAAATTCCATGAATATGTTCCTTTCATCTTAAAATTTGTGATTTAAAAAACATTGATATTACTATAAAGAATTATTATTATTTCCCTTGATTTACAGAGTATTGTTACAATCACATTTGAAGTACCAGGAAATGCAAAGGAAGAACATCTTAATATGTTTATTCAGGTGAATGCAATTTTTAACTGATTAATGATTTATCAATGGTTTTGTTACATAGTTGTTGCTATTAGCGATGGTTGGTCTTATTAAAATATGTCACTTGATACAGAATCTTCTGTGGGAAAAGAATGTGAGAAACAAGGACAATCACTGCATGGAGGTCATAAGGCTGAAGGTACAGTTTACTGTTGCAGACTTTTGGACAAAGTCCTTTTCTTGGCTGTTATAAAAACTATATTTGGTTTTAAACAGAAACACTGGTTTTAGTACAAATCATCTTTGTCTACTTTCATTTTTCTTTATTATTTTCATGACTGAAAAGGAGCTTTGGAAATCACTGCATAAGGCTTGATTTATTTGCACAACTTTCTTTAGGGTTGCAGCTAGAACAAACCTGTGTGCTTTGAAATGTTACCTTCTGCTCTCTGTTCCCAAGTACAGAGAAATAATGTTGCAAATCTCACTTCTGCTGAACATTATGCTTCCTGATGCATTTAGCAGACACTAAACATTTGTTGTACTCTAAACAAAGTTACAAAGGACTAGAAGAATTCTTGTTCTGTATTTAGAAACCCACTCACATTACTTGATATTTGGGTATTTAAGTCATGAAAGGTATTTCTTCTAGGAAGCAGTGATTCTAAAGTGTATGCTTAACCAGTCAGTTGAGTGTCTACTCTTGTGTGTTCACAAGTGTGCACAAAGTTTTTGGTAAATTAAGAATATTATTTCAAATAAATTAATTTCATCCCCATAGGAGCCAGTTTATCAGATAATTCGTTTCTCATTTCTGCAAATCAATACACAATGAGCTCATATTCAGATAAATTGAGCTCATATCCAGATAAATATAATAGTTTTTCTTTATTTCAACATTGTTCATTGATTGCAACCCATTTCTAAAACAAATTATTTAATATAACAAAACTCCTTTAACTTCTCAACTTTTCCCACTAAAACTGTGAAACATTATATAAAATCTTTAATCAATAGGATATGATACATATTTCATCATTTTGTTTCAGGTTTTGGTTGTGATAAATAACACTGAAAAACCATCCTAATATATGTATTAACTTTATCATTAGAAAAGGGGATTGTTCAAAAAAAAATCAATACACAGAAACCTTTTTTGAAAATTAAAAACATTAAGAAACTTCTTGTAATTCACAAATAATTGGAATTAAGTAATTTTCTCAGCTTAAGAGTTTGTATTTTTTAAGTGAATATCAGTAATTAATCCATTAACATTGATGCTCTATTTCTGCTTTTAAGTTTGAACTGAGGCTGATTAATGTTCAGTCAATTCTCCTTTGAGCAGGGATTGGTGTCAATCAAAGACAAATCACAACAAGTGATTGTCCAGGGTGTCCATGAGCTCTATGATCTGGAGGAGACTCCAGTGAGCTGGAAGGATGACACTGAGAGAACAAATCGATTGGTCCTCATTGGTAAGTCTCAAAGGATTCACAGTTTTGAAACAAAGTGAAAAATATATTTGAAAGGGATATCATGTGCCACTTAAACAGATTAACCATTCAGGTCCTCTTTTAAAACTAAATAAGCTTGTGGTCAATGTTTCATCTTTGTCACATTACAACGTTCGTAAAAGCTTGTTAGGACTTTTGTTCTTCTTCAATTTTAGAAAAGTGGTTAATCCAAGGACCAATGTGACTTTGATGTACTGACCTGGAAAGTTAAAGATGGAATCACTCAATTACTATTCTTTTTGTAAATTTTTAAACACCATAAAGCATTTAATGAACTGGAATTGATAGGTGAACTGTGTCATTTTAATAAGCATAATGTAATCACGTCATATTTTGTTTTGTTTGCAGGCAGAAATTTAGATAAGGATATCCTTAAACAGCTGTTTATAGCTACTGTGACAGAAACAGAAAAGCAGTGGACAACACATTTCAAAGAAGATCAAGTTTGTACATAACACTAGAGGCATTTCTTATCAAAAGGATTGGATAATAAAAATAAGTTTCTACTGGGTATATTTCAAGCATTTATTTATTACTTTAGTTACGAATTCCAATATACTTTAAAATGGTATTTGTTTTACAGCATACATAAAATGTAGCAAATCAGTACTGTAAAACATTTAACATTCATACAATTATATATAATATCCTTTTTTTTAAAGAATGGTATTTCACAAAAATATCTTTTGAAATTGGCTTTGGAGTTTACATATACTGAACATGAAAGTTTATAATAATGATGATACAACTTTCAACATTGTCATTTTTTCTTAGAACTTCAGCTGATTGCAGAGATATAATGATTACATTGTTATTAAATTTTTTTAACACAAGTAAGTGTCACCATTTTATGACATGAAATAAAAGGTTATGACTGTTATTGATGTTGATGTTGACGACCTGATCACCTGGCTGAAGGAGTGTTTGTCAGGTTTCTCCATTGTAAAGTTACTCTTTTCCCCCATTTCATACTGTGCTCTTTGGAAGGAAATCACTATGCACAGCCCACACTAAAGGAATGGGGAGTTGTAGTGTACTTTCTTGGGAGTGGTCTACATAATTAATTGAAATTCTTCTGCGAGGGACAGTTGTCCCTTTCGCTTTATTAGTTCGATCATTTATGTTTATCAGTGTGGACACATGAATATTTTATACTTTGGGTTACAATTTAATACTACTTTATTTTGTTGCTCAAATTATCCCAGCTTTGACCATTGGGAACTCTTTCCGTTATCTCCTGTTCCCCCCTTTGACATACCCCCATCAATGTGGGTTTTGTGTTTTGTTTTTGAGCGCCTCCTTATTTTTCTCCTGTATTTTTAAATAACCCCAATCCCTATTGAAGCTGGCTCTAGGAAAACTAACAATACTCCCTTTCCCAGGTCATCCGATTCCTATGCTGATGGAGGAAATTTGCCTCACATGCTGGGGGGCGCTGGGGAGGAGGTGTCTGGGATTATGTGGTTGAATAAGACACCTGGCCTGGCCCTCCTGGAGCTTAGTTTAGTAGGTCACACAAGCAGTCATTGGTAAATTTGGGATTCAAACAAATCTGTTAGGCTCAAACCTGTCTGTTATTTGTCCTCCAAGCTTCATATAAACTGAGGAGCCTTAAAGGGTAAAAACTTCAGGAGCAGCAAAGTTTCAAAAAAAGATCAGCAAGAAAGCTCTTTTCCAGATTTTATCCTGAAGGCACTAGCTACTTTAAGCTATTTTTTATTATATTTTGCCCTTGCAGTTGGCGTTTGATTTCTCACTGAACATTCATTGTCATAATTATAGACACTATGTGACTATCAAGGGCATAATATTCTTTCATGCTGCATTTTTATTAGATGGCACCTCAAAGTTTTCCCAAGTAGGTGGGTTTTAAATTATGAATATATACCGTGGCATAGTATCTTACTTAGTATTTTAATAAGATTCTTATTTATATAACAAATTTTTTTTATTCCTCTGTAGTGCTACTTTAGTCTCTGAGCTAATTTTCATGAAGCCAATCTAAAAATCGTGTTATTTCTAAGGATGTGGAGCGAGTGAGATGAACAGTTGTGCTGTCATATTGCCCCTCCCCAGTGCAGATAGTGAATGAGGACCCACTGATTTAAAGGCAACACTGCAGCCCCTTCTTGCCTCATTGAAGTCCCAAGTTTTATTACAGTAAAAGCACTTAATGTTGACATTTCTGAAAGAATGAAGAGGCTGGGCATGGCGGCTCACGCCGGTAATCCCAGCACTTTGGGAGGCTGAGGCAAGCGGATCATGAGGTCAGGACATCGAGACCATCCTGGCTAACACGGTGAAACCCCGTCTCTACTAAAAATACAAAAAATTAGCCAGGCGTGGTGGCGAGCGCCTGTAGTCCCATCTACTTGGGAGGCTGAGGCAGGAGAATGGCGTGAACCCAGGAGGCGGAGCTTGCAGTGAGCTGAGATCGCCCCACTGCACTCCAGCCTGGGCGACAGAGCGACTCCGTCTCAAAAAAAAAAAAAAAAAAAAAAAAAAAAAAAAGAATGAAGAGCCAGAGCCAGGCATAGTGGCACGCCTGTAGTCCCACCTACTCAGGAGGCTGAGGCGGGAGGATCACTTGAGCCCAGGAATTCAAAGCCAGCCTGCGCAACATAGACCCTGTCTCTAAAAATGAATTGGTTATAAAGGATGAAGAAAGGAAGGAGGAAAGGGAGAGAGAGAAGCCCTTATAGAGTGGGTGCATTTCTTGTATGTGGGGCCACTTTGTAAGAACAGGATTTTTCAAACTGGGCCCATACTGGTATGTGTGAAATCAATTTAGTTGGTTATGGCCATTTTTTTTTAAAAGGAAATATCAGTGATCACTATAGTGTAAGTATATTGTTTCGTGAAACCCATCTTAGTTATGTATTATGTCTGTATGTGTGAGATTGTGATATAAAATGTATTTCTGTGGTTAAATATTCAAAGAAATTGGAGAACCATTGCTACAAGGGGACAGAGGACTCCGTGTGAGCTCTCCTGCCTTCCCTGAGTAAACTTACACAATTTAGTGCTGGGACATTTGAGCCTTTTCTGAAAATTTGAGTCAGGGAGAGCATCTTGAGGAGGTGGGAAGGAAGGTAGAAGGAGCAAAGCAACACCCCCCTGAAGCCTGGGAATATTGTCAGAACCTTAAATATAATTCAGCTCACCATTCTGGGTAAGGACAGACTCTACCAATGAAAATGGGTGATTACCAGCTGTGAAACACAAAAACATACTTTTACGGTTACACATTCCTTTACAAACAACCGTGTACATTTCAGCCTCCTGCCCCACCATTTCTTTTCTCCAGGCGGGAAGGCTGCATGTTGAGGTGGTCATAGAATGTTGAGTATCATACTTTCCTACCTCGCTTTTATTTGCGCGGGTTTAAATGCGCCTTAACAGAACCCGTGCAAAGGCTTGCCAACTGTCTGGCTGCACCGGATGAGTAGAGCATCTTCCTTGGTGGCAGGTGGGTGCGAGGAGGAGGGGGCTGGGCTTTTCTCCGGACGGGTGTTTGCCCAGAAGACCATCATCCCTGGACTACGTTAGGAGGAAGTGGCACCGCTCCGAGGTAGGGGAAGAAGGGTTATAAAGGGGGGAGTCCACCACACATGGTCTTGAAGAAGCTTTTATAAAAGGCAAAGGCATCTTTGCCGGACGTTGTTGCAAAGGAGTAGAAACAAGCAGACGAAAACATCCCAAAGGGTAACCACTAGCGTTCCTGCTTCTTGCAACATTCATCCCAGGCTTCCAGCTCAGCCCGCCCCAGGCCAGGTGATCGGCCGCCACATCCCCTGCGACTGAAGCACCTGCTCCTCCATGAACCTGCCAAGAGCTGAGCGCCTTCGCTCCACACCGCAGCGCAGCCTCCGGGACTCCGATGGGGAAGACGGTAAAATCGATGTCCTGGGAGAGGAGGAAGATGAAGACGAGGTGGAAGACGAGGAGGAGGCGGCGAGCCAGCAGTTCCTAGAGCAGTCGCTCCAGCCGGGGCTGCAGGTGGCCCGGTGGGGCGGGGTTGCGCTTCCCCGAGAGCACATCGAGGGCGGCGGCGGCCCGAGCGACCCCTCAGAGTTTGGCACCAAGTTCAGGGCACCGCCAAGGTCTGCGGCGGCCTCTGAAGATGCCCGGCAGCCGGCAAAGCCCCCCTACTCGTACATCGCGCTCATCACCATGGCCATCCTGCAAAACCCGCACAAGCGCCTCACGCTCAGCGGCATCTGCGCCTTCATTAGTGGCCGCTTCCCCTACTACCGCCGCAAGTTCCCCGCCTGGCAGAACAGCATCCGCCACAACCTCTCGCTGAACGACTGCTTCGTTAAGATCCCCCGCGAGCCGGGCCACCCAGGCAAGGGCAACTACTGGAGCCTGGACCCCGCCTCCCAAGACATGTTCGACAATGGCAGCTTTCTCCGGCGTAGGAAGCGTTTCAAGCGCCACCAACTGACCCCGGGAGCCCACCTGCCCCACCCCTTCCCTCTACCTGCTGCACACGCCGCCCTGCACAACCCCCGCCCAGGCCCTCTGCTTGGGGCCCCTGCCCCGCCGCAGCCAGTCCCGGGGGCCTACCCCAACACCGCCCCCGGGAGACGCCCTTACGCTCTGCTGCACCCGCATCCTCTTCGCTACCTACTGCTCTCGGCCCCCGTCTATGCCGGGGCACCGAAGAAAGCAGAAGGCGCGGCCCTGGCGACCCCGGCACCCTTCCCGTGCTGCAGCCCTCACTTGGTCCTCAGCCTTGGGAGGAGGGCAAGGGTCTGGCGTCGCCACCGGGAGGCGGATGCATCTCTTTCAGCATTGAGAGTATTATGCAAGGGGTCAGGGGAGCGGGTACAGGGGCTGCGCAGAATTTGTCCCCGACCGCGTGGAGCTACTGCCACCTGCTCCAGCGACCATCAAGCCTGTTGCATCCCCAGACCGCTGCCCCTTTGCTGCAAGTGTCCGCCGCCGCCGCTGCTCGGACAATTTTGCAGCAATAGCAGCAGCATCAGGAGGAGGACTGCGCCAACGGCTGCGCTCCCACCAAGGGCGCGGTGCTGGGCGGGCACCTGTCGGCCTCGTCGGCCCTGCTGAGGTATCAGGCAGTGGCAGAGGGCTCTAGGCTGACATCGCTGGCTGCCCCTTTGGGCGGAGAGGGGACCTCACCAGTTTTTTTAGTATCGCCCACGCCCAGTTCCCTGGCCAACTCCGCAGGGCCCTCCTAGAGCCAGGTGGGAGTGGGGAGCGACCCGCAGCTGCTCACTCCACCTTGCGCGGCCCATACTGGGCGTGTGCATCTGAATCCCGCTGGAGAGCAAACACGAACTTCTGTTCGCTGCAAAATGGTTAGAAAGAAACAGCTGGATTACGTTCCTCTAAAAACCACCTGAACGTAACCTTCGCAGGGCGTCAAGTCATCTTTTCTTGCCTTCGGTTGTGGCTTCTATGGCTGTCCCGATTTGCGCATTTCCTGGGGTACTATGAACGTGAGTGGGGTATTTTGTTCTGGCATTAAAAGAAAAACAAGCAAGCAAACAAAAACACAGCCTCCGATGCCAAACATGTTCCCCCTTCTTCACTTCCTTGGAGCTGGAAGTATTATTCCTAAGTCTAGTGCAAAATGCTTCTACTCTCTGTGTCTTCCTGATAGGGATGTTTAATGTAAGTAGGATATTAATTTCAGAACATTGATTTCTTATCTGTGTGTCTGACGTGCCATCTTTAATGTTAAAATTAAGGTGTTAAAATTAAGCCTAGTTATATAGACGAAATAAAATGCTAAGTCACTACACTACATCGTTTATTTTCTATTACATCTCATTCTTCCCTTTCTAAATGGAACTTTTTAAAACCTACGTTATTTTCCCTCAAACAATTTATTTTCACAATTCATATTTATTATAGATAGCAGAAGTAATCCATTTTAATATGGCCTTTAAAAATTCCAAATATTTGAGGTTGAAAATGTCCTGGCTTTTAAAATAGGAAATTTACTATTTATGAGACTTCTAAAAGAAAAGAATAGGAGGGCATGTAAATATATTCTCCATTTATTTTTCATCACCCCTCAACAAGCTGGAAAACCATTTGAGATAAATTTGGAATGTAGTGGCCAACATGTACTCAGAGAAAATAAAAGGCTATAAATTATATATATATATATATATATATATTTTAAGCACTAGAATTTTCAAAACTTATTTCTTAAAAAAAAAAACAACTCTGAAAAGACTTTGCAACTAGAAAGGTTTAAGTGTTACTCGGCGTCAGGGGACGGAGTGGGGGGAAACCAGACAAGAACGCCCATCATGAATTGCTCCCCACAAAGAAAACAAATTTCTAGGAACTTGGCCGTTTTCCCCTGTCCTGAGTGGGGTTCCCGATTCCGTGCCGCTTTGAGGGAAGCTGCTCCGTGAATGTGAGAAAGTTTTTCCCCCAGCCCCCATCTACTCCCCACCCCCAGCTATGAATTTCTTATTTCAGGAGGGAGGACAAACATGGAGACACACATTTTTACAGGAGTCTAATTGGCCGATTTTTCTCCGGCTTCTCTTCTCCATCCCGTCTCTTGGAATTTCTTGGCACGCCCTACCTGAGATCCCCTACGGGAGATTTCCTCTTGGCTCCTGCGGTTCTGAGGACGTTCTGAAAAGTTCCCAAGCCCCACCTTTGGTAGCTGCCCAGACCCCAGCTTCCAATTCTTCCCTCTTCTTTGCACAGGTAGCCGTCAGCCCCATAGCACCACCAGCGTCCAAAATAGACCACTTTTAGCAAATCCGGCAGGGCTGGGGCAGTCTAAGAGTTTGGAAACAAACTGAGAATAGAGGGGTCCTATTTCATGCCAGGTTCTCGCTGGTTTACATTCCAACTCCCCTCTGTCCGTTGTGCGAAAACGTCTCCAGGCCGACCTTCATTCATTTATTGTCAACAAACGTCCTGGGAGAGCGGCTACAGCCGGCCGCTGAACCCAGAAGGGACTTTCTCTAGGCTTTCTTGGCACCCTCCCAATTATCTTCCTTCTCTTGCCCGAGGGCAGACCAACACAGCTACGAACATGGGTGACTGAGGGTCAGACCCCTTCCCGGAACCGCCTCCAAGCTCCTAATTTTTGCCTAATGTTAAACCATATCCAAAGATGAATATTTAAACAATCAATTCAGTGGCGGAGTAAATTAAACGTTATTCTCCGATCAAACAGGAGCTTCGGGTCCACCTGTTTGGAAGCACCCAGGCAGCTTGGAGAGGTCCGGCCTTCGGGTGCGACCCGCAGGGGTTGCCCTGCCCGGTTCGCGGAACGGACGTTTACCTGTCGCAGCTACGAACCCACCAACGACACCAAGCACTTGCCGGGCAGACCAGGCGTCGTGGAGGCGCCCCAGCCCCCCCAACTCCCCCGCAACGACGCGTCCCAGGGGTGCGTAGTGCTTGGCGCGGTGACCAGACCTGGCCGCCTTCCTGACTGCACAGAGCAAGAGGCCACACTCTGGATCCCAGGCCGGGTCCCTGTGGTTCTGGGAGGGAGGTCCCGGATGCCTCCCAGATCTCGGGCTTCTGTAACCCTGAGGCTGGGTTTTAAAATCACGGCTCTTCCAAGTTACACGAAGAGTCCATGGTCAAGGGTCAAGGGTGGTCTTCGACCCTCGGGATCGTCTTCTTGAGAAATGGCTGAGAGCTAAGCCTAGAGCTGCCCAGGGAAGGAAGCCAAAGAGCTGGAGCCGAGCGCGAAGGGCTGGGAGGCGCGGGGAGGCCCCTTACCCCCGCCCCCCCCCCCCACACTGTCCTGGCCGCTAATAACGCTGATAATAGTAACAGTATCGGCCAACTGTTTCCCCCCTGCTCCTGGTCTGCCAGGCACCGGATCCTCCTTTAGCACTCCCAGCACTCACTGAAGAAGACACTATGGAATTCTCCGTTTTCCAGACTAGAAATAAGTAACTCGGAGAAATTAAGAAACTCGCCCGACGACCCTCAGGCAGTAGCACCTGGCCAGGTTTGCTTTCTGAACCACTAACTCCACTCGCGCACGCCACCTTTCCTGCCTGGGCCTCTTGCGGGTCGCAGGGGTGGAAGCCTGACCTGGGCCAGGGCCCGGATTTCTTCCTCCTGGCCTCTGTCCCACCGCCCCCGGTGCCAGGAAGCGCTTTTCTCTCCCCGAGACCCAGACGCGCCGAAAGACTCGCGCGGTCAGTTCCCTACCCCACGCCCTGGGCTGTGCGTTTTCTTGCAAGCCTCTGCCGAGTGCGGGGAACGGCGCCGCCAGACTCCCCCAGACCGCGCTCCGGCTCACGCCTGACTAGAGCACTCTGCTTCACAGAGGGGCGTTCTGCGCGTTCTTCCTCCCTGGTGTGATTTTCGTTCTTTTTCCTCTCATGGTCCCCAAGAACCCAGGCACCCCTCGACGTAGGTGCCGGCGGTACCGGGAATCCCTCCCCTGGACTCCCTGCGGGCCCGAAGCCACCTTCTAATCCCAGCCGCCTTCCCAAGGCGGCGGAGGTGGGCAGCTCCGGGCTCCGCGCCGCCCCGCGAAGCCGGAATTTCTCTTCGGAGTCTTGATACAGCTCTCCACTTCGTCGCCCCGCACTGGATCCTGGTAGCGTGAAACTTGCCCAGGAAGCTGGGCTGCGCTGGCCTGGGGTGAAGGTCCAAGAGACGAGGGGGCCGGGACGCGGGGCTGTCGCAACGACTGGCCCTCTGCGAACCCTCAGGCCAGCAGGTTCGGGACTATAGGAGTGGGAGTGGAGGTGGTGGCCACTGGAGAGTAGAGAGAACGTCCAGGAACCGGTGGACTAGGGGTCCCCGGCGGCTGGCCGAGGGTTGCAAGCAGAGGGGACTATCGGTTGCCAGCAAGTCCCAAGCAGATGCCTTCTGGCAGGGCAGTCACATTCTACAGTGCCGATTCTGTGTACATTGAGTATCCAAAATGAATAAAATCTGTTTATACATTGGAATGTAGCTTATGATTCCAAAATCTCATCTCCAGGCTGCCTAGATCACACGGCCCCGTTTCATTCATTTTTACTTAATAACGGTCGTTAGACAATTTAGAGAAACAGCAGAAACCACGAGAAAAATAATGGAATCAAACGGCGATAAGGACTAACAAGGCTGGCGGGGAGATTTAGCAAATGGTGGCTTCTGAGAGTTTGCACCAGTCCTTCACCACATTTTATTGGAAGTGTGGAGAGTCATGATTCTCATTCCTCCCCAGCCTTCCGGAAAAATGCTCAGAAATTTCTTTCCACATTGACACCTGATTACAGTCTAAATAGTAACCTTATTCTGACTGTTAATGTAACCTTCTCGTAATTTCTACAAAAATACTTTAGTTTTTCTAGCTGTGTTTTCATGTAATCACTGAAATTATTTTTAATTGGTTTTAAGCATTCATTGATTCCATATACACCACCTGCAAAAAAGTTACATAGGTGATCGCTAACAATACTAGAATTCGCCCCATCCAAAGGAAACATTAGAGTAGAAAAAGAAAAAGGATTTGAGAATCCAGTATGAAATTCAGTTAATCATTACTTCCCTGTTACTCAACTACCTTAACATTGTCAGGTTTACCTGAACATAAACTTCATTTTCTTAGTTGTTCTTAGAACGAAGGGATATGTTTATTGAAATCAGTAATTAAGAATATTTTGGGACAGTTATGATTTACTTAGCCAGTGAAGCAGTTTCTATTCCCAAATCCAGGCAAAGAGAACAATAAGATTAAACGTAGCCTAAGAGATTTCCTTTTTGTCAAATAATGTGATTTTGCTATGTATAGAGGAGATGTCTATATGTAAGGGCATATTTATGACCAGTAGTTCCTAAAATTAAGGGGACTATTATTGTGTTACTCAAGGTATCAGTTGTATAGGATACATTATGTCATATTTCAAACAATGTTTATAAAGAGATTAGTATAATTAACCTGTATGTACTTCTCCTCTGGGCCAACCTTGTGTCTTCTTTATCTGCTGACAGTCCCCTCCCCACTGAATTATTTTGAATCAAATCCCAGATAGTCTATCATTGTATTGTATTTTTGAATATTTCTCTAAAAGATAATAATTCCATCAATGAGACTGGATGCAGTGGCTCCTCCCTGTAATCCCAGCTCTTTGGGAGGCAGAGGTTGGAGGATCACTTTAGGCCAGGAGTTCAAGACCACCCTGAGCAACACAGCAAGACCCCATTTATAAAAAAGAAGATTCCCATCAATGTAACCACAATACCATTATCACACCTAAATAATCCATTAATAGCATCGGTTTATCCAGGCAATATTTAAATATCTTCAATTGTCTAAAAACTTTTTGTTTAGTTGGTTGGTTTGAATTAGAATGCTAATAAGGGTTACGTATTGTGTTTGGTTGATATGGGCTATTATATCTCTTTTAGATTTCCTCAATCCTCTTTTTTTGTTTCCCTTGCATTTTTTATGGGAGAAACTGAACTGTTTGTTCTGAAGAAGTTGACATTCTGAACTTTGTAGCTGCAGGTAATAGTTTTTTGGCAAGATATTCCCAGGGATAAGGTCGTTTATTCAGACTTTTGAATATTGGCAAATAATAATATTGTTTGTAGAGGGAGAAGGATTAGTCAAGATATTTTTAAGAATCAACTATTGAAAAAACAAATTTTTATCAGAGTAAGCATGGATCTGGTAAAGATTATGTGAAATTTTCCTAAATGCAAATACAATCTAAAATTGTAATGTCTTAAAATTAAAAAATAGATTATTTTCCATATATTTATAGAAATATAAATGATCAATCAACTATTTCACTGACAATTTTAAATCTAGTTTTATCTTGAGGAGAATAAAGTTTTTTATATCTTTAGTATTTTAGTTGAAGATCCAAAGACATTTTATGTTAAAACTTTAGGTTTTATATTGTTTTGTGTTTTAAAACATAAAATCTAAAATGTGGTAATATCCATGAGGTGCAGATAGAGTAATAGCACAAATTCTGTGTTCATGAAAATTCATTTTAGGATAACTTAATTAAAAGGACTCAGGATTTGAATGATATTAGATTAGACAGAAAAAAGTTCACCTGAGTGTAAGACATAAGTAATAAAAACCAAAGGTAGCTAACTTTTTTAGGCTTCTTCTTTCTTTAAAGAGTATGCATATGAAATAAAATTTCCATGTCAATGTCCATTTTTCCATGGTACATAGGGCTTCTATAATTTCGTCTATTTCATCCTGCAGTTATTTTCACGGGTTTCTGTGTCCACCACTATCTGGAATCTCTGAGATGGTGAAAACGAAATCTTATTCTTCTTTATATTTCAAACAATTCCTAGCACATTATCAAAAATACCTGATAAAATTTATTGTGTCTGTAATACTGGTAAGCATGTAAAAGGGTGGTAAATATATAGGCTTTAAGTTTAGATAGATCTAAATATTATTAAAATTACCAAATTATTGTTTTTAAAAAGTATTAGTTTCCTAGGACAAATAGAGATTTTTCGATAAGGCTGGATTTGTAATACTTTAAGCAACAGGTCACAGTGCTTAAGTATTTAATGCCGATTTGGCAAGCAGCTGATGTTTTACATAATGCTGTCGGGTATTTTATATTTGCGTGTATTTTCTGATGCACTGGATCCAGCACTTCATGTCACGTCATATATCTGTTTATAATATATACAAATGTATTTTCATATATATTTGATGTTTGATGGCTTTGAAACTTTAATCTTGAAATAGATTTTAAATTTTTATTAAAACTATTTAAATAATTACCATAAGGAAAGAGCTCTTATTAGTTGAAAGAAAATGTAGATTCATGTTTCCTTGGAGACTAGTCTAGTTTCCAAGGATAGACGGCAGTGAGGAGTTGGGTATCTAGATGGAATTTCTGTTGGTTTGGATTCCAGCTCTGCTGCTTACCAGCTTTGTGACCTCAGGCAAACAACTTAACCTCTCCAAGCCTCAATTTCCCCATCTATATAATGGTGATATTTATAAGTTTCACCTTATAGGGCCATGGTGGGGATCACATGAAATAGTGTATGTGAAGTGCTTAGCACAGTGCCTGGCACATACTCAATGCTCTATGCATGTCAGCTAGTACTTAATGATGCTAATAAACATGTTGTGTCCCTAAGCACGGGTGGAATCTTGCCTGACGTCCTTCTCTCTGCGTCCTGGTCAGTCTTCACATGGTGGGCCTCCTTTATTTCCGGTCACACACGGGTGGTACACAGAGCATGCTGTTTCTTTCCTGCCAGAAGGTTCCTGCTGCAGCTCTCCTGCTAGTTTAGCTTAGCCTTCTGGTTTGAGGGATGAGTCACATGTACCATCACTTCCCAGGACCAACAGGACCTTTCAGGAAAGCTATCCCTGCTTACACAGAGAATTGCCCTTGCCTAACACTGAAGCCTGGCAGAGTAACATGAAATAACCACAGCAATTCTAAAATTAGAATTAGCATGCCTAGAATAACAGGTATAACCTTCTCTTGTAGTTTATCACTTGCTTCATTTCTGCTCAGCCTAATTTTCACTTGATGTGTAGATTTATTTTTTGTTCACCCATCCAGAAAATGTTGACTGAGGAATTACTCTGTGTTAGGTGCTGTTGTAGGAGCAAGGGATACAATGATGATCAAGGCAGATGCAGCCGTTACCTTCAGGTTGTGGAGTCCGGATACAGACTGGAGGCAGGCAGCTGTAAGATGTGTGAGAAATGCTGCGCTGGATCAGCCCATGGTATAGGAGAGCAGGTAAGGAAGGGTGGGGACAGGAGCGGACAACCTGGAGGAAGAGGCACCTAAGCAGAGTCCGGAAGGCTGAGGAGGAGTCAGCAGGTAAAAGAGAGGGGAATCATGACATGACATCTCAACTGTAGGACACGGCTAGCTGGCTGACTTAGCTGCTGTAACACCGGATTTTTGCAAGACTCCCTGAGTATTTCTCGTGGACTTGCGAACAAATCTGAGCAAGAAAACCACGTAATTTCTTTTATGCCTTGCCCAAGAAAGCCACCTGGAGGGGCAAGGGGACCTTAGCAGAAAGAAGCTGGAGGTGGGGGGAGAACAGGGTGATATTACTCTCCATATGGTGGGGGGTGGACACCTCCCTGTCATATGGCTCGTAATATCCAGCGGGGGAGAGGGGGTTGACTTTCCCCTACGTTATTGGTAATATCACCCCCCTCTCTCCCGCTAAATATTAAGTACAATATCACAGGTGGGGTGTACACCCCCGGCGATGTTTGAAGTAATATCAACTTCTCCCCCTCTGGATGTTAGAAACAATATCACAGGGGGGTGTACACCCCCCTGCGATCCTGGGAGTAACATCATCCTCTTTCCCCCGGATATTAGGAACAATATCACGGGGAGGGGGGTGCACACCCCCTGCGATATTGAAAGTCATATCATCTTCTTTCTCCCCGGATATTAGGAACAATATCACAGAAGGTGTTTACAACTTTTGCAATGTTGGGAGTAATATCATCCTCTCTCACCCTAGATATTCAGAACAACATCACATGGGAATTGTACCCTTCTGTTTATTGAGAGTAATATCATCCTCTCCCTTTCTGTATATTAGAAACAATATCACAGAGGGCTGTGTACACCCCCAGGAATGTTTTGAGTAATATTATCCTCTCTCTGCCTGGATATTTGGAACAATATGACAGGAGTTGTGTACACCCACTGTGATATTCGGTTTAATATCAACTTCTATCCCCTGGATATTGGGAGTAATATCTATCTTTAGCCCCTGGATACTAGGGACAATATCACAGGAGGGGTGTATACACACGGCGCTATTGGGAGTAATATCATTTTCTCCACCCCTTGATATTAGGTACAATATAACAGTGGGGATGTGTACCCCCTGGGATATTGGGAGTAATATTAATCTCTTCCCCTGTGGATGTTAGGAACAATATCACAGAAGGGGTGTATACCCCCAGCGATATTGGGAGTAAGATCATCCTCTCCCAACTTGGATATTAGGAATAATATCACAGGGGAAGTGTATAACCACTGCGATATTGTGAGTAATATCATCCTCTCCCAAAATGGAGATTAGGAACAATATCACAGGAAAGGTGTACACCTCTTCTGATATTTGTGGTAATATCATCTCCTCCCCTCATTGATATTAGGAAAGATATCACAAGGTGTGTACAGCCCCTGCGATATTGGGAGTAATATTATTCTCTCTTCCCCTGGATATTAGAAATAATATCACAGGCGGAGTGTACAGCAAACCCCCTGCGATATTGGGGGTAATATCATCCTCTTTTAACCTGGATATTAGGAACAATATCACAGGGGGCTTGTACACTTCTTTTGACACTGGGAGTAATATCATCCTCTCCACAAGTAAATAGTAGGAAAAATATCAAAGAAGGTGTGTACACCGCTTGTGATATTGGGAGTAATATCATCCTACCTCACCTGGATGTTAGAAAAAATATCGGGGGGCGTTTACACCACCTGCGATATTGGGAGTAATATGATTTTCTACCCCAGTGGATATTTAGAACAATATCACAGGGGCAGTGTACACCCTCTGAGATATTGCGAGTAATATCGTTCTCACCCCGCCGCCCCCACCCCAGATATTAGGAACAATGTAACAGGCAGATTATACACCTGCTGCAACATTGAAAGTAATATCATCCTTTTCCCCCTGGATATTAGGAACAATATCTTATGGGGGGTTTACAGCCCATTCCATTTTGGGAGTAATATCAACTTTTCATTGCTGGAAATAAGAAACAATATAGCAGTTCTGGTGTACACACCCTGTGATATGGGCAGTAATATCATAGACTCTCCCCCGGCATATTAGGAACAATATCAGAAAGGGGTGTATACCCACAGCGATTTTGGGATTAATATCATACTCTCCCCCCTGGATATTAGGAACCATATCAAAGAAGGAGTGTCTACCCCTTGCGATAGTGACAGTAATATCATCCTCTCCCTCCCTGGATATTAAGAACAATACCACAGAATTGGCGTACACCCACTACGATCATGGGAGTAATGTCATCCTCTAACCCCTGGATATTAAAAACAATATCACAGAGGAGGTGTACACCCCTCGCGATATGGCCAGTAACATCATCGTCTCCTCCACTGCGTATTAGGAACAATATCAAAGGGGTGTGTACACCTCCTGCGCTATTGGGAGTAATGTCATTCTCTTTTCCCCTGAATATGAGGAATAATATCACTGATGGGGTGTACAACTCCTACGATATAGGCAGTAATATCATCCTCTCCCAACCTGGATATTAGGAACAAAATAACAGGACATCTACACCCCCTGCGATACTGGGAATAATATCATCCTCTCTCCCACTTAATATTAGAAACCGTATCCCAGGAAGAGTGTAAACCCTCTGAGATATTGAGAGTAATATCATCCACTCCCTACCTAAATATTAAAAACAATGTCACGGGAGGGGTGTACACCCCTACAATATTGGGAGTAATATCATCCTCTCCCTCCCGAGATATTAGAAACAATATAAAAGGGGTCGCGTACACCCCCTGTGATATTGGGAGTAATATCATTCTAATCCCCCCTGGATATTAGGAAGAATATTATACAGGGGATGTACACCCCTTGACATATTGTGAGTCATATCATTTCTCTTCCCTTGGACAATAGGGACAACATCACGGGGGGGGGGGTGTCCCCTGTTATATTGAAATTATTATCATCCTCTCCCAAACTGAATATTAAAAACAACGTCACGGGGCTGCTGTGACCCCAGTAATATGGACAGTACTATCATTGTCTCCCTCCCTAAATATTAAGAACAGTATCACAAGAGAGGTGTACACCCCCTGCGATATGGCCAGTAATATCATCGTCTCTACCTTTGGATACTAGGAACAACATCACAGAGGGTGTGTACACCCCCTGCGATATTGGGCATAATGTTAGCCTCTCTTCCCCTGGATATAAGGAACAATATCCCTGGTCGGGGGAGGTGGAGTACATTAAGAACAATATCTGAAGGAGGTGGGTGTACACCCCCTGAGATATTGGGTGTAGTATCATCCTCTCTTTCCTAGGATACTAAGAACAATATCACAGGAGGGGTGTACAGCCCCTGCGATATTGGGAATAATATCACCCTATCCCCCTCTCGATATAAGGAACAATATCCCAGGGTGGGTGTACATCCCCTGCGATATTGGGCGTAATGTCATCATCTCCCAACGTGGATATTGGGAATAATGTCCCAGGGGGGTGTACACCTTCTTCGATATTGGGAGTAGTATCGTCCTCTCCCCTCGGGATTGTAGGCAAAATATGGAAGGGGTTTTACAGCTCATGCGATATGGGCAGTAATATCATCCTCTCCACCTAGATATTAGGAACTATATCACAGGCGGCTGTACACTTGTTACGATATTGGGAGTAATATCATCCTCTCCCATCATGGATATTAAGAACAATATTCCAAAGGAGGTGTACACCCCCTGCGATACTGAGAGTAATATTATGCTCTCCCCTTCGGGATATTAGGAACAATATCGCAGGAGGTGTGTATAACCCCTGTGATATTGGGAGTGATATCGCCTTCTCCCCCTGAATATAAGGAACAATGTCACAGGAGGATGTACACCCCCTGGGATATTGGGAGTAATATGATTTTCTCCCCCTCGAGATATTCGGAACAATATCACAATGGGTGTGTACAGCCGCTGCGACATTGCCACTGGTATCATCCTCTCCCTCCCAGGATATAAGGAACAATGTCACAAGGGGTGTACACCTCCTGCGATATTGGGGGTAATATCTTCCCCTCCCCCGCTGGCCATTAGGAACAATGTCACAGAAGAGGTGTCCACTCCCTGCTACATTGGGAGTGAGATCATCCTCTCTGTCCCTGGATATTAGGAACAATATCCCTAGGGAGTGTACACCTCCTGCAATATTGAGACTAACATCATCCTCTTGCCCCCTGGATATTAGGATCAATATCACAGGGGTGGTGTACATCCCCTGCGAAACTGGAAGAAATATCATCCTCTCCACCTTTGGATGATAGGGACAATATCACGGGGGAAGTCTACGCCCCCTGCGGTATTGGGAGTCATATCATCCTCTCCCACCCACGATATTAGGAAAAAAGATGACCGAAGGGATGTATACACACTGCGATATTTTTCATAATGTCATCCTCTACTCCCTGGCAATTAGGAATAACATCATAGAGGGGTGTACACTTTCTGTGATATTGGGAGTAACATCCTCTACCCCTCGGATATCGGGAACAATTGTATTAAGTATTAATATTCATAAATATAATAACAATTAATAGAAATCATCGATATAAATAATTACTATAAAGATAGTAAAAGTTAATACGGATTAAAAATATTAATGTTTACTATTAATAATTAACAGCAACCTCACTATTAATAATAACATAATGATATCGGTAATTAATGTTACTTAATTAAATCAATAAGTGATGTTGGTAATAAAACAATAATTAATATTAAGGTTAATAACGAATATTGAAAAATGACAATACTAATAATTAATTTTAACCATGCATAATCATATTTAAAATAATCATTAATGATTAATAACGTTATACTATTAATTAATATTACCATTGATAATTATTAAGACTGATGTTTAATAATTAGTAATATTATTAAGACTGATGCTTAATAATTAATCATATTATTTCTCCTAATACCGTAGGGGGTGTACACCTACCTGTGATATTGTTCCTAATATCCAGGGATGGAGAGCATGATATTAGTTTTAATATCTCAGTAGGTGTACACTCACCCTGTGACACTGATCCTAATATCCAGGGGATAGAGCATGACATGACTCCCAACATAGCAATTAATGTACAGCCACCCGGTGATATTGCTCCTAATATTCACGGAAGAAGAGTATGATATTACTCCCAATATCGCAGGGAGTGTACACCTCTTCTGTGACATTGTTCCTGGTATCCCGCCGGGGAGAGGATGATAAAAATTAAAGTATCGCAGGCTGTGTTCACTCACCCTGTGATATTGTTATAAATATCCTGAAAGGGAGAGGACGATATTACTTCCTATAACAGATAGATATTACTCTCCATAATAGAGCAGGAGGTGTACACCCACCGTGTGATACTGTTCCTAATATTCAGAGGCAGAGAGGTCGATATTACTCTCAATATCGCAGGAAGTGTACACCCCCGTGTGAGATGGTCCTTAATAATATTCCAAGGCAGAGGGGGTGATATTACTACATTTATCGCAGAAAGTGTACACCCCCCCCCAGGGATGTTGTTCCCATGATCCTGGAGAGAAGAGGATGATATTAGTTTAAATATGACAGAAGGTGTACACGCCCCAACTGATATTGTTTCTAATTTCAGTGTAGGAGAGGAGGATATGACACCCAATATCGCAGGGAGTAGAAACACACCTGTGATACGGTTCTTAATATTCAGGGTGGAAGAGGATGATATTACTCTCAATACAGACGGGTGTACAACCTGCACACCGAGGGTGTACACCCATCTGTCAAACAGCACATAATTTCCAGAGGGGGAGATATTACCCCCAATATAGTAAACAGGCTGTGAGTCCACCGTGGATCGTAATAACTCGGGGGGGGAGAGGAGGTGGCTCTTACTCCCCATATCGCGGGGGGTGCCTCACCCCACTGCGAGGTGGATCATAATAGCGAGGGGGGGGGAGAAGGGGTGGCTGTTACTACCCATATCGCGGAGGGTGCCTCACCCCCGACATGTGGATCGTAATAAATAGCCGGGGGGGGGGGAAGGGGGTGGCTCTTACTCCCCATATCTCAGGGGGTGCCTCACACCCCTGCAATGTGGATCATAATAAATAGCTGGGGGGGAAAGGGGGTGGCCCTTACTCCCCATACCGCGGGGGGTGCCTCAACCCCTGCGATGTGACCTGTGTCCGTTGTGAGCATTCTCTTTTTTCCTGCTATTAGGAACAATTTCACAGAGTGTGTGTACACAGCCTGCGATATGAAAACTAATATCCTCTGCACCTCCGCATATACGGACCATATCACACAATGGGTGTACACTTTTTGCGGCATTTGGGGTCATGTCATCCTGTGTTTCCCTAAATAGTCGGGGAAATATCACAGGCCTATTCGGAGGCACATCCTACTTTTGCTACTGGAAATTAGGAGTAATATCACAGATGGGGTGTAAAGCCGCTGTCATATTTGAAGTAATATCATGCTCTCCCCCACTAGTTGTGACGCACAGTATCACAGGGGGTATATACCTTCTGCGGTATTGGGAGTAATATCATCATCTCTTCCTTTACATGATAGGAACAACATCAGAGACGGGGTGTACACCCCGTGTGTTTTTGAAAGCAATGTCATTCACTCTTCTTCTAGATTTTACGATTCATATCACAGGCGGGGTGTGCACCCCTTCTTATATTGGGAGTCATCGGATCCTTTTTCAAGCTGTATATTTAGAACAATATCCCATGGGGCTGTACATGTCTTCGATACTGGTCGTAATATCATCTTGTCCTTTCCTGGATACAAGAAAAAATATCACAGACGAGGTGTACACCCCTTGTAATATTGGGAGTAATATCACCTCTCCCCATGTGGTTATTAAGGACAAAATCACAGGGTGGTGTACAGTTCCTACTTTATTGAGAGTAATATCATCCACTCACCCCCTGGATATCAGGAGCCATATCACAGAAGAGTTGTACACCCCCTTCGATATTGTCAGCAATATCACCATCTTCCCACCTAGATATTAGGAACAATACCCCGGGGGGCTTGGGGGTGTACACCCACTGCGAGATCCAGAGTAATATCAGCCTTTTCCCGCTGGATATTAGGAAGTATATCACAGGTGTGTGTGCATCTTCTGCGATATTGGGAGTAATATCAGCCTCTACCCCGCTGCATATTAGGAACAATATACGGGGGGCGTGGGGGTTACACTCCCTGCGATATTGAGAGTAATGTTATTCTCTTCTCCCTGTACATTAGGAACCATTTCCGGGGTCGTGGGGGTTACGCTCCCTGCGATATTGAGAGTAATGTTATTCTCTTCTCCCTGTACATTAGGAACTATATCACGGGGTCTGTACACCTTCTGCCATGTTGGGATTAATGTAATCCTCTCCCCCCACTGAATATCAAAAACAATATCACAGACGGGCGTACACCCTCTGCGATATGGCCAGTAATATCATCGTCTCTACCTTTGGATACTAGGAACAACATCACAGAGGGTGTGTACACCCCCTGCGATATTGGGCGTGATATTAGCCTCTCTTCCCCTGGATATGAGGAACAACATCCCTGGTCAGGGGAGGTGGAGTACATTAAGAACAATATCTGAAGGAGGTGGGTGTACACCCCCTGAGATATTGGGTGTAGTATCATCCTCTCTTTCCTAGGATACTAAGAACAATATCACAGGAGGGGTGTACAGCCCCTGCGATATTGGGAGTAATATCATCCCCTCCCCCTCTCTATATAAGGAACAATATCCCGGGGTGGGTGTACATCCCCTGCGATATTGGGCGTAATGCCATCGTCTCCCAACGTGGATATTGGCAATAATGTCCCAGGGGGTTGTACACCTTCTTCGATATTGGGAGTAGTATCGTCCTCTCCCCTCGGGATTGTAGGCAAAATATGGAAGGGGTTTTAAAACTCATGCGATATGGGCAGTAATATCATCCTCTCTCCCCCTAGATATTAGGAACTATATCACAGGCGGCTGTACACTTCTTGCGATATTGGGAGTAATATCATCCTCTCCCATCATGGATATTAAGAACAATATTACCAAAGAGGTGTACACCCCCTGCGATATTGACAGTAATATTTGGCTCTCCCCTTCGGGATATTAGGAACAATATCGCAGGAGGTGTGCACAACCCCTGCGATATTGGGAGTCATATCATCCTCTCCCCCTGAATATAAGAAACAATATCACGGGAGGATGTACACCCCGTGCGATATTGGGAGTAATATCATTTTCTCCCCCTCGGGATATTCGGAACAATATCACAGTGGGTGTGTACAGCCGCTGCGACATTGTCACCAGTATCATCCTCTCCCTCCCAGGATATAAGGAACAATGTCACAAGGGGGCGCACACCCCCTGCGATATTGGGGGTAATATCTTCCTCTGCCGCGCTGGCTATTAGGAACAATGTCACAGAAGGGGTGTCCACTCCCTGCTATATTGGGAATGAGATCTTCCTCTCCATCCCTGAGTATTAGGAACAATATCCCTAGGGAGTGTACACCTCCTGCAATAGTGAGACTAAGATCATCCTCTCGCCCCCTGGATATTAGGATCAATATCATAGGGGTGGTGTACACCCCCTGCGAAATTGGAAGAAATATCATCCTCTCCACCTTTGGACGTTAGGGACAGTATCACGGGGGATGTCTACGCCCCCTGCGATATTGGGAGTCATATCATCCGCTCCCACCCAGGACATTAGGAACAAGATGACTGAACGGAGGTACACCCGCAGCGACATTTTCAATAATGTCATCCTCTACATCCTGGCAATTAGGAGAAACATCATAGAGGGGTGTACACTTTCAGCGACATCGGGAGTAATATCCTCTCCCCCACAGATATCGGGAACAGTTATATTAATTATTAATATTAATAAATATATTAATAATTAATAGTAATCATCGATATTAATAATTGCAATAGAGATAGTAAAAGTGAATATGGATGAAAATATTAACAATTACTATTAATAATAGCAATATCACTATTAATAATAAAATAATGATATTATTAATCAATGTTACATAAATCAGTCATAAGTGATGTTGGTAATAAAACAATAATTAATATTAAGATTAATAACTAATATTATTGAAAAATGACATTAATACAGATAATTTTAATCATGCATAATTGTACATTTAAAATAATCATTAATGATTAATAACGTTATACTATTAATTAATATTACCATTGATAATTATTAAGACTGATGTTTAACAATTAATAATATTATTAAGATTGATGCTTAATAATTAATCGTATTATTTCTCCTAATACCGCAGGGGGTGTACACCTACCCGTGATATTGTTCCTAATATCCAGGGATGGAGAGCATGATATTAGTTTTAATATCTCAGTAGGTGTACACTCACCCTGTGACACTGATCCTAATATCCAGGGAGTAGAGTATGACATGACTCCCAACATAGCAATGAATGTACAGCCACCCGGTGATATTGCTCCTAGTATTCACGGAAGAAGCGTAGGATATTACTTCCAAAATCGCAGGGAGTGTACACCTCTTCTGTGATATTGTTCCTGGTATCCCGAGGGGGAGAGGATGATAATAATTCCAGTATCGCAGGCTGTGATCACCCACCCTGTGATATTGTTATTAACATCCTGAAAGGGAGAGGATGATATTACTCCCCGTAATAGATAGATATTACTCCCCATAACAGAGCAGGAGGTGTACACCCACCCTGTGATATTGTTCCTAATATTCAGAGGCCGAGAGGTCGATATTACTCCCAATATGGCAGGAAGTGTACACCCCCGTGTGAGATGGTCCTTAATAATATTCCAAGGCGGAGGGGGAGATATTACTCCCAAAATCGCAGAAAGTGTACACCCCCAGGGATATTGTTCTCATGATCCTGGAGGGAAGAGGATGATATCACTTTAAATATCACAGAAGGTGTGCACGCCCCCACTGATATCGGTTATAATTTCCACGTGGGAGAGGAGGATGTGACGCCCAATCACACCTGCAGTAGAAACACAGCTGTGATACTGTTCTTAATATTCAGGGAGGAAGACGATGATATTACTCCCAAAACAGACGGCTGTACACCCTCTGCACA
This sequence comes from Homo sapiens, assembly GCF_000001405.40. Lineage (NCBI taxonomy): Eukaryota > Metazoa > Chordata > Mammalia > Primates > Hominidae > Homo > Homo sapiens. The sequence goes on from NC_000009.12 coordinate 68,321,984, forward strand.
CCGAGGGTCTACCCCCATCTGTGAAATAGTTTATAATTTCCAGAGGGGGAGATGATATCACTCCGAATATCGTAAACAGGCTGTGAGTCCACCGCGGATCCTAAAAACCAGGGAGGGAAGAGGGGCTGGCACTTACTCCCCGCATCGCGGGGGGTGTCTCAACCCCTTGCGATGGGGGTCCTAAGAGCCAGGGGGGGAAGAGGGGCTGGCTATTACACCCCGCATCAAGGGGGGTCCCGTCGATGGGGGTCCTAAGAGCTAGTGGGGGAAGAGGGCCTGGCTCTTATTCCCCGACTCGCGAGGGATGCCTCCCCCCTCTGCTATGGGGGTCCCAAGAGCCACAGGGGAAGAGGGGCTGCCTCTCAGTCCCCGCCTCGCGGGGGGTGCCTCCTCCTCCTGCGATGGGGGTCCTAAGAGCCAGGGGGGGAAAGGAGCTGGCTCGCAGTCCCTGTCTCGCGGGGGGTGCCTCCCCCCACTGCGATGGGGGTCCTAAGAGCCGGGGGGGGAAGAGGGGCTGGCTCTCAGTCCCCGCCTCGCGGGAGGTGCCTCCCCCCACTGCGATGGGGGTCCCAAGAGCCAGGGAGGGAAGAGGGGCTGGCTCTCAGTCCCCGCCTCGCGGGAGGTGCCTCCGCCCCTTCCGATGGGGGTCCCAAGACCCAGGGAGGGGAGAGGGGCTGGCTCTCAGTCCCCTCCTCCCGGGGGTACCTCCTCCGCCTGCGATGGGGGTCCCAAGAGACAGGGGGGGAAGAGGGGCTGGCTCTCAGTCCACGCCTCGTGGGGGATGCCTCCCCCCCCTGCGATTGGGGTCCCAACAGCCAGCGGGGGAAGAGGGGCTGGTTCTCAGTCCCCGCCTCGCGGGGGATGCCTCCCCGTGCTGCGATGGGGGTCCTAAAAGCCAGGGGGTGAAAAGGGGCTGGCTCTCAGTCCCCACCTCGCGAGGGGTGCCTCTCCCCCCTGCGATAGGTGTCCTAATAGCCAGGGGGGGAAGAGGGGCTGGCTGTCAGTCCCCACCTCGCGAGGGGTGCCTCTCCCCCCTGCGACAGGTGTCCTAATAGCCAGGGGGGGAAGAGGGGCTGGCTGTCAGTCCCTGCCTCGCGGGTGGTCCTTCACCCCGCTGCGATGGGGGTCCTAAGAGCAAGGGGGGGAAGTGGGGCTGGCTCTCTGTCCCCGCCTCGCCGGGGGTGCCTCGCACCCTTGCGATGGGGGTCCTAAGAGCCAGTAGGGGAAGAGGAGCTGGCTCTCAGTCACCTCAGCATGGAGGGCCTTTCTGTTCTGGTTTTGCCCAAGAGTAAGCTTATTTGCATCTGGTTCTAGCAAGGGAATTGCTGCGAAGGCCCTCAAACAGGGGGGCCATCCTTTCGAATCCCTATCTAGTTGTTTAGAGATGTAGGCCACCGGCCTCAGCCAAGGCCCCACAGTTTGGGTTAAAAGTCCAGCTGCCATCTTTTCTCTCTGACGCATACAATGGAAAAGGCTTTGTGAGATCGGGTAGCCCCTCGGCTGGGGCTTTCAGAAGTTTTTCCTTTAAGTCATGAAAGACTTGCTGTTGTTGGAATCCCCATTCCAAAAGTTCCCGGTCCCCGCCCCCATTGTGACCTCATACAAAGGCTTGGCTAATACTGCAAAGTTTGGGATTCCCAGTCTACAAAACCCCACAGCTCCTAGGAATTCTCTCACCACCCTTGTGCCTTTAGGCTTCGGTAGATTGCAAATGACCTGCTTTCTTTCGGATCCCGGGCTGCTTTCGGACACCTGTCGAATAGTAAATCCCAAGTAAGGTACCTGCGGTCGTCGGCAGATCTGAATTTTCTTCTTGGACACCTAATACCCACAGCCCTCCAGGTCGGTCCTAAGGATCTTAGAATCCGCGATGGGGGTCCTAAGCCACGGGAGGAAGAGGGACTGGCTCTCAGTCCCCGCCTCGCGGGGTGTGCCTCCCCCGTGTGATGGGGATCCTCAGAGGTGGGCGGGGAAGAAGGGCTGGCTCTTAGACACCGCCTCGCGGGGGGTGCCTCCCCCGCCTGCGATGGGGGTCCTAAGAGCCAGGGGGGAAAGAGCGGCTGGCTCTCAGTCCCCGCCTCGCGGGGGGTGCCTCCCCACCTGCTATGGGGGTCCTAAGAAAAATGGAGGGAAGAGGGGCTGGCTGTCAGTCCCCGCCACGCGGGGGGTGCCTCTCCCCCTGCGATGGGGGTCCCAAGAGCCAGGGGGGGAAGAGCGGCTGGCTCTCAGTCCCCGCCTCGCGGGGGGTGCCTCCGCCCCCTGCGATGGGGGTCCCAAGAGCCAGGGAGGGAAGGGGTCCCAAGAGCCAGGGGAGGAAAAGCAGCTGGCTCTCAGTCCCCGCCTCGCGGGGGGTGCCTCCACCCTGCGATGGGGGTCCCAAGAGCCAGGGGGGGAAGAGCGGCTGGCTCTAATTCCGCGCCTCGCGAGGGGTGCATCCCCCCACTGCGATGGGCGTCCTAAGAGCCAGGGAGGGAAGAAGGGCTGACTCTGAGTCCTTGCCTCGCGGGGGGTGCCTCACCCCCTGCGATGGGGATCCTAAGAGCCACGGGGGAAGAGGAGCTGGCTCTCAGTCCCCGCCTCGCGAGGGGTGCCTCCTCCCCCTGCGATGGGGGTCCTAAGAGCCAGGAGCGGAAGAGGGGCTGGCTCTCTGTATCCACCTCGCGGGGGGTGCCTCCCCGCCCTGTGATGGGTGTTCTAAGAGCCAGAAGGCTTAGGGGGGCTGTCTCTCAGTCCCCGCCTCGCGGGGAGTGCCTCCCCTTCCTGCGACGGGGGTCCTAAGAGCCAGGGGGGGAACAGGGGCTGGCTCAGTCCCCGCCTTGCGGGGGGTGGCTCGCTCCCCTGCGATGGGCATCCTAAGAACCAGGGGAGGAAGAGGGGGAGAGGATGATAATAATTTCAGCATCGCAGGCTGTGTTCACCCAGCCTGTTAAATCGTTATTTATATCCTGAAAGGGAGAGGATGATATTACTCCCCGTAATAGACAGATATGACTCCCCATCGTAGAGCACGAGGTGTACACCCGCCCTGTGATTTTCTTCCTCATATTCAGAGACCGAGAGGTTGATGTCACTCCCAATATCGGAGGAAGTATACACCCCCGTGTGAGATGGTCCTTAATAATATTCCACGGCGGAGGGGGTGATATGACTACATACATGGCAGAAAGTGGAAACCTCCCAGGGATATTGTTCCCACGATCCTGGAGGGAAGAAGATGATGTTACTTTCAATATGACAGAAGGTGGATGAAGTGGTGGACTGCCCCTCCACACCTGTGAGTATTTCTAGTTGGGTGGGTGGGAGGAGAGACTGAGAAAAGAAATAAGACACAGAGACAAAGTGTAAAGATACAACAGTGGGTCCAGGGGACCGGCGCTCAGCCCACCAAGGACCTGCACCGGCACCAGCCTCTGAGTTCCTTCAGTTTTTATTGATTATGATTTTCATTATTTTAGCAGAAAGGAATGTAGTAGGAGAGCAGGGTGATGATAAGGAGAGAGTCTGCAGAAGACATGTGAGCAAAAGAATCTATGTCATAATTAGGTTCAAGGGAAGGTACTATGACTGGACGTGCACGTAAGCCAGATTTGTTTCTCTCCACCCAAACATCTCAGTGGAGTAAAGAATAACAAGGCAGTGTTACTGCAAACATGTCTCGCCTCCCGCCACAGGGCAGCTTTTCCCCTGTCTCAGAGTTGAACGAATGTACAATCGGGTTTTACACCGAGACATTCAGTTCCCAGGGGCAAGCAGGAGATAGTGGCCTTCCTCCACCTCAGCTGCAAGAGGCTTTCCTCTTTTACTAATCCACCTCAGCACAGACCCTTTACGGGTGTCGGGCTGGGGGACAGTCAGGTCTTTCTCATCCCATGAGGCTATATTTCAGACTATCACATGGGGAGAAAGCTTGGACGATACCCTGCTTTCAAGGGCAGAGGTCCCTGCGGCTTTCCACAGTGCATTGTGCCCCTGGTTTATTGAGACTAGAGAATGGCGATGACTTTTACCAAGTATACTGCTGGTAAACATTTTGTTAACAAGGCACGTCCTGCACAGCCCTACATCCCTTAAACTTTGATTTTATACAACACATGTTTTTGTGAGCTCCAGGTTGGGTCAAAGTGGCTGGGGCCAAGCGGCTAGGGCAAAGCTACAAATTAACAACATCTCAGCAAAGCAATTGTTTAAAGGACAGGTCTTTTTCCAAATGGAGTCTCTTATGTCTTTCCTTTCTACATAGACACAGTGACAGTCTGATCTCTCTTTCTTTTCCCTACAGGTGGACACGCCCCCACTGATATTCCTTCTAATTGCAGCGTGGGAGAGGAGGATATGACACGCGATATCGCAGGGAGTAGAAACACCCCTGTGATACTGTTCTTAATATTCAGGGAGGAAGAGGATGATATTACTCCCAATACAGACGGGTGTACACCCTCTGTACACCGAGGGTGTACACCTGTCTGTGAAAGAGTTCTTAATCTCCAGAGGGGGAGATGATATTACTCACAATATGGTAAAGAGGCTGTGAGTCCACGGAGGATCCTCAGAGCCAGCGGGGGAAGAGGGGCTGGCTCTCAGTCCCCGCCTCGCGGGGGTGACTCCCCCCAGTGCGATGGGGGTCCTAAGAGCCAGTGGGGGAAGAGGGGCTGGCTCTGAGACCCCGCCTCGCGGGGGGTGCCTCCCCGCCCTGTGATGGGGGTCCCAAGAGCCAGAAGGCTTAGAGGGGCTGGCTCTCAGTCCCCGCCTCGCGGGGGGTGCCTCCTCCCCCTGCGATGGGGGTCGTAAGAGCCACTGGGGGAATAGGGGCTTGCTCTCAGTCACCGCCTCGCGGGGGGTGCCTCCTTTCCTTTCTACATAGACACAGTGACAGTCTGATCTCTCTTTCTTTTCCCTACAGATGGACACGCCCCCACTGATATTGTTTTTAATGCAGCGTGGGAGGGGAGGATATGACACGCGATATCGCAGGTAGTAGAAACACCCCTTTGATAGTGTTCTTAATATTCAGGGAGGAAGAAGATGATGTTACTCCCAATACAGACGGATGTACACCCTCTGTACACCGAGGGTGTACACCCGTCTGTGAAGGAGTTCGTAATCTCCAGAGGTGGAGATGATATTACTCACAATATGGTAAACAGGCTGCGAGTCCATCGCGGATCCTCAGAGCCAGGTGGGGAAGAGGGGCTGGCTGTCAGTCCCCTCCTCGCGGGGGGTGCCTCCCCCACTGCTATGGGGATCCCAAGAGCCAGTGGGGGAAGAGGTGCTGGCTCTCAGTCTCCGCCTCGCGAGGTGCCTCCCCACCCTGCGATCGGGGTCCGAAGAGCCAGGGGGGAAGAGGGGCTGGCTCTCTTCGTGGATGATTCTTTTTCCATTCTCAGGCAGTTTTCTTTTTTCTTTCTTTCTTTTTTTTTTTTTTGAGACTGAGTCTTGCTCTGTTGCCCATGCTTTGCTCGATCTCGGGTGACTGCAACCACTGCCTCCCAGGTTCAAGAGATTCTCCTGCCTCAGCCTCCTGAGTAGCTGGGACTAGAGGCGTGTGTCACCACACCCAGCTAATTTTTGTATTTTTAGTAGAGATGGGGTTTCACCATGTTTGCCAGGATGGTCTTTATCTCCTGCCCTTGTGATCCACCCACCTCAGCCTCCCAAAGTGCTGGGATTGCAGGTGCGAGCCACCGGGTCCAGCCTCTCAGGCGATTTTCATACCTGCATACTCTGATCACTACTCTGTTAAACAGTCAAGGAGGGTAAGTATTATCTTCAGATTTCCAGAGCTCTGTCTCTGTACAGCCCTCTCCTCCTCAATATTCTGCCCTATGAATTCTAGCCACATTGGCCTTCCCAGGCTCACAGTTCTGTCTTCTCAACTCAGGAAGATCTCTGAGTTCCATCTGCATTCTTTCTTCCTGTGCTGTGGCCTGGAAAGTTTTCTAAGGTGTTAGGGAGGTCAATTGTGGGGCTAGCCTCATTTGTTTCTCATCTCTTGAGGATCACTGCCCTTTGATGCTTGATTCCAGTGATTGATTCCCTTTGTTGCTTGAGGGCCATAGTTTCATATATTTTGTCCAGTAGTTTTGTTGTTTTAGGTCAGAAAGTAATTTTGGTCTCTGTTACTCTATCTTGGCCAGAAGTGTAAGACCTAAGCATTTACACATCAAAATACTGCACACATAATTTTAGTTTAAGCTACTTTTTAAAAAATCTCCTTCATTTTCCATTTAGCATTCTATTTAGGGTATTACATTGGTTTTTTTGAAATTCTGTTATTGGCAGTTTCTATTGCCTATCAATCCCATTTAAAGATAGTGCATAGGGTATTCTAAAATAGCTGTTAAGCAAAGAGAAAATTGGGCCTGATAGGGTGAGAATCACAGCTCTAATACCTAGAGTGACCTTATAATGTATTGTCCAAAGGAGATATTTTTGACAGTGAAAGAGGGTGTTGTTAGTAATTATATCAGGACCATGGCCTAAACCAGGACTATCCCAGGAAGCCTGGGACATATTTGTACCCCATCTCTATTTAATGCCTTTATACAATTCTTTACTTAATTCTACCAGCCTTTATTGAGCCTGCTTTCTTTGTCTAGCTGAGTGCCACGTGCTGACGTCACTAAGATCAATACAGCAAACTCTGAAAGATGGACAGAGAGACAGGAGATGGTCCTTTATAATGCAGTGTGATCTGTGCTGCAATAGAGGTGAGCACAAGGGCCTTACGAAGGTTCAGTGAAGAGCATGCTTGACTGCAGGGGAGGGTACTTAGGTTAGAAAAGATGAGTCGAAGTATGTTCATAGGGAGCATGAGATGAGAGGTGGTGGGAAAGGTATTCCAGACAGTGTGTGTCAAGGCCAAGAGCCAGGGGAACACAGGTAGGGCTTTTTTTTTTTCTTCTAAGATGGAAGAGTGTTCTGATTGGCTGGAAAACAATGCACATGGGAAGCTGTACAGAAATGAGTGGGGAAAGGTAATACTTAACAGCAACAGCAGTTAATATTTAGTGCCCACTTACGACATGCTGGACACAGTTCCGGGTACTCTGAACATATTCGCTCATTTAATCTTTACAACAACCCTATGAGGTAGGTACTATTATTATCCCCATTTTCAGGTGAGGAATCTGAGGCACAGAGAGAGTAAGTATGTTGCCCAGGGCCACGCACCAAGTATGTGGTAGGTCCTGGAGTTGAATGCAGAGCCCCTCCACTCTAAACTCCTGAAAGCCAGATGCTACAAGGCATTGTTATTCCAAGTGGAGGAATGCTAAGGACATCATCCTGCAGGTGACCAGGAAACCCTGAAGCATTCGAAGCAGGGGAATGGCTTAAAACAAGGTGGTATAGGAAAGTGCTCCCAGAGCAGCATGAAAGTCTGGTGTAGTGGAGGTCTCCGCTAGCCACAAGAGGTGGTAAGAGGCTGAGCTGAAGCAGCTGCAGCAGGGATGCAGAGGATACATTCCCCAAACCCTTATGGGCAGAGTCCTTTGGCTTCAGTGACCACGGCCAAGGGTGCAGAGGAGAAGCCCAAGAAGATGCCAGGTGTCTGGCTTATGCCCCTGTGTGAACGTGAAGCCTCTCATTGACATGCAGGTTACAGGAGGAAAAGCAGGTTTATTTGGGAAGGAGGCTTCTAGACCATGACTTCCATTTTAGCCATGTAGTTTTTGAAGTGCTTGTACAAGTTCTAGGTGGAAATGTCCAGGAGGCAGTGGGGAACTCAAAGTAGATCTCAGGAGAGAGGCTTAGGCCAGAGGGCTTGGGGAATCATCAGCATGGGGGTGGGAGGAGAGCTGGTATTTGGATGAGATTGCAGTGGAGCATGAACAGAGTGGGAAAAGGTGGTGATGAACCCAGGGACTCCAGTATGCGGTAGCTGGCTGTGAGATTAGGAAGCAATGAAGGAGGCCGAGAAGGATGTGGGGGAGAAGCATCAATAAGGAATAAATGAGTTGCACGTGCTCCAGAGAGGCCAGCTAAAGACTGGATTTGGCTCTCGCAGGTCATACACGAAAGAATCTTGGAACCAAAAGGAAAACTGTGGTGGTTTGAAGGGTATATTCAGTTTCTAGGTCTGCTGTCACAAAATACCAGAAACTGGGTGTCTTGTTAAAACAACAGAAATTTTTTCTCTCACAGTTTTGGAAGCTAGAAGTTCAAAACGAGGTGTTGGCAGCACCATGCTCTCTCTGAAGATGCTAGGAAGAATCTGCTCCATGCCTTTCCATTCGCTCCTGGGGTTTCCTGCAAGCCCTGACATTCCTTGGCTTGTAGATGCATCACCCCAGTTTCCGCCCCCATCATCACATGGCCTCCTCTCTGTGTGTGCCTCTGCGTTCCCTCTATTCTTCTTCTAAGGACACCGACACCAGTCATAGTGGATTAAGGGTCCACTCCTAACCAATTACATCTGCAACAACCCTATTTCCAAATAAAGTCACATTCTAAGATTCCTAGGGAGAACCTGAATTTTTGGGGGTGTGTGGATACTGTTCAACCTGGGATATGGAGTAAATAAATGGCAAGGAAGATTACAGATGACTTTAAGCTAAAGAGGGAGATAGGGTTAAATGTAGGACTTTTTTTTTTTCCAGGACGGGAGAGGTTTAAACATGTTACTACATTGAATAAATGAAATAATCACGGACATGGAGTGGCTAAAGATTCTGAACTAAGTGCAAGTAATTGATAGCGCAAGCTCCCAAGGGGCTGGGGCCTGGAGCGCAGGTGGATGGATCCACTGTGGGCAGAACTGGGGCGTGGGAGGGGTGTGCCGATGCAGATGTGTTTGAGTGTGGGGGGCCAGAAGCTGATTGGGGCGAAGCGTGACAGTGCAGCTCCAAGCACGCTGGAGGTGTTCACCAAGCAAATCAAGAGCAGATGGCAGAACAAGCAGCTGAAATAACAGCTTGTGAAATCAACCCTACTTTGTGGGGAGAGGATGAGTTAAGGATTCTAGCCATGAGAACCAAGAAGAGGAGGATAATCTGTTCATGCCTATTATGGGGCTTTGCGGGAGCAGTTTCAGCCTCAACCTGGAGAATGTTTTAGAAGGCCAGAGAAAGGAACCCTGCAAATCATGTGAGCTGGCCCCTCACTTTGAGATGAAGTGTCCATACAGCAGTAACGCCACCCTCTGTAGTGGTTCTAGAGTGTGGCAATCTGGAGGGGTCATTATGGAAAAGGGCTGAAGCATAAGAATGTAGGCCCAATACTGAGATAGAAAGAGGATTCTCTGAGATGACTTAGGCAGGGTGATGGTGGTGGAGGTGGGTGTAAGAAGCCCTCTGCTGCCTCAGTCCGAGCATGGAATTCAATTGGTCAAGAGCAGAGCCAATCACCATTTAGGCCCCCTTGTTAGCCTTAATTTATTCCTCAGGTATGGAGAATACTCCTCAAGATGCATTCAGAGTGTAAGCTCCCTCTTCCTCAGCAGAGGACTGCCCTGCAGGTTTGCAGTTCTGTCATTTGGAAACTCCCTGATGTGTCCCTTGGCTCTTCCCATTCTTTTGCTTCAACACATTTTAAGACCAGGCACCTTAACTGCAGAAACAGCATGAAAAACAAGTAGGTTTCAGGAAAAATTATCCCAAGTGGAGTCTCTACTGTGCTCTGTTTATCAGATGTAAAGCTTAAAACAGTGTAAGAGTTTTTACAGAGTGTATTCATATCACACCAGTTTTGGGTCCATAGACAGGGGCTTTTTCTAGATCAAACCGTTCAATTGTCCTGTTGATCCTGGCCTAAAATCTGAGTGGATAAAAAATATTCTAGGAGAGATGAGATTCTAACCCTCAATGGCAAAAAGCAGGGCTGAGCCCTAAGCCCACGTTTTTACACATATTTTACAATTGAATGTGTTGCACTACCGCTAGAACACTAGTTCTCAACCAGGGGCGATTTTGCTTTCCAGGGGACATTGGCAATGTCTGGAGACATTTTTTTTTCCATTTTCAAAAATTGTGGCAAAGCACATAACATAAAATTAGCCATTTGAACCATTTTCATGTGTATAGTTCAGTGGCACTAAGCACCTTCGCACTGATGTGCAACCATCACCACCATCCATCCATAGAACTCTCTTCATTTTGCAAAACTGTAACTCTGTACCCATTAAACACTAACTCGCCATTTCCCTCTTCTCCCAGCCCCTGACAACCATCATTTGACTTTCTGTCTCCATGATTTTGACTACTCTAGGTACCTCAAATAAGTGGAATCATACTGTTGAGGGATTTTTGATGGTCACAACTTGGGATGGGGTGCTGCTGGTGTCTAGTGGGTAAAGGCTAGGGAGGCCACTTAACATCCTGCAATGCACAGGATGGTCCCCACAAGAAAGCAATAACTAACCCCAAACGTCAATCCTACCAAAATTGAGAAACTCTGAGCTAGAAAAATCCCATGACTAGTCTTACACCATGGAGTATCAGTCAATAGAGACTAGTTATGTTGCAATAAGAAACCACCTCCAAATTTCTGTGGTTTAAAACAACTTATATTTTTGCTCTAACATGGAGCATCCTTAATCAGCAATCCAGGCTGGTGGGAGTTCCATCCTGACCTGGGCTTCTACGATGACTGAAGCAGAAAAAGGATCAGTGATAAATTGTGCACTGGCTTTTAAAGCTCCCATTGGAAGTGTCCAGGTCATTTTCGGTCACACTTTCTTGGCCAGATCAAATCACAGGTCCACATCTCACTTCAAAGGGAGGAAGGAAGTGCATTTTTACTCTGAGGAAATACAACCACCACACCTAGCAATTAAAAATAAACCTCATAGTGTTATCACCTGCTTGAAGTGCTGATATCAGAGCAAGCCTACCAGTAGGAGTGGTGCAGGCTGCAGGTTTTTGGTTTTGTTTTGTTTTGTTTTTTGAGACTGCACTCCAGCCTTAGTCTGTCATGCAGGCTGGAGTACAGTGGTGTCATCACAGCTTATTGCAGCCTTGATCTCCCCACACAAGCGATCCTCCCACTTCAGCCTCCTGAATAGTTGAGACTACAGGCCCGTGCCACCACGCCCGGTTAATTTTTTGTATTTTTTTTGTAGAGATGGGGTTTCACTATGTTGCCTAGACTGGTCTTGAACTCCTGGATGCAAGTGATCCACTTGCCTCGGCCTCCCAAAGTGCTGGGATTACAGGCGTGAGCCGCCATGCCTGGCCTAGAAGCTCATTCTTATTGGCCAGAAGCTAGAGAGTGATCTAAAGGCTCCAAGCCAGGCCAGACTGGTTTCAAGCCTTAGGGCTAGTGTATTAATGAATGAGGTTCGAGCTTCTGTGGCATGGGAACTGAGGGGCACCACAACACTCAGCTTACTCAAGGGACCAATTCTAGCAGCCTTCGAAGGAGTCTGAAAAAGGTAGCCTTGAATTAGTTTCCAGGTGAAAAATATTTGTCCCAATTGAAGCAAGTACTACTAGTGACTGCCTCTGCTATGGAAGAAGGGGTTACCCGCTTGCCCGTGAGCAACAGGATTTCTTGGGGTTGATTTTGCAGGAACATGTACCTCCATGTGGCCAAACAAGCAGGCTTGCTTAGATTTGCACCACAGGATATTAAAGTGGAAAGGAATCTTAAACATCTAATTGAGGGATGGCAAATTGGGTTCATTGTAAGGGTCACCTCTGACCCTTTGGTTGTGGCTGCTAGGAGCATTGGGTGGGAAGAATTCCGTAGTTTTTTCCAGAGAGAGACAGCCACGCTTCATTAGAGAGTCTAGTGGGCATGGAAGGGAGGGGGTGAGTTGTTGTGCCTGTAACAGGATTTTGCCATCCCTAGTTCTAATCCAACACTTTGAGAGCTGAGGCTCAGCTCCACAAGTGATTTATAGAGGTCCTTCCTTTATTGCTTTTATGTCACCACATCTAGAATTAGGTCTTCTGCTTCCAAGAAAGTCAGCTGCCTCATTACCATGTAGCATAGTTAGATTCCCCATTTCATCTAGAAAATAAACATTTATTGAGGGCTGGCCAAGTGCGGTGGCTCACGCCTGTAATCCCCGCATTTTGGGAGGCCAAGGTGGATGGATCATTTGAGGTCAGGAGTTCGAGACCAGCCTGGCCAACATGGTGAAACCCTGTTTCTACTAAAAATACAAAAATTAGCCAGAAATCCCTTGAACCCAGGAGACGGAGGTTGCAGCGAGCCAAGATCGCACCACTGCACTCCAGCCTGGGCGGAAGAGAGAGATTCCGTCTCAAAAAATAAAATAAATAAATAAATAAATTCACAAAAATATTTATTGAGGGCCCACTTGGTTTTTAGCACTGAAATAGGAGCCGAACATAGAGCAGTGAATGAATAGGCCAAGTCCCTGCTCTTCTTGGCCTTACATTTTGGGGGAGGAGACAGATTAGTAATTATTAGGAGAATTATTAGTAATTATTAGGAGAAAGCAGGAAATTTCTGCTTTCATGGGTGGGATACCAGAAGGTAAATCATTATGAAAGGATATTTTGGGACAAGTTTCTATAGCATAGATGTATTTTAGGATGATTGGGGCTGTGTGTTGTGAGCACGGGATCTCTGAGGCAGTCAAAGGGCACCAGGAACCTCATCTCTTAAGACATGCATGCACCGTAGGCTGCCGTTTGTGTCCCTCACTTTGGCCAAGCTCCCTTCTTCATCATGGCCTTTGCACTTGCTGTTCTCTGTCTGGGGAAGAATGCTCTTTCCCTAGAGATCCAAATGGCTCACTCCTTCAGTGTCTTCAAATCTCTGTCAAATATCACCTAAACAGAGAGGCTTTCCCTGGCCTCTAGAGGACAAAGTAGCACATTTTCTCACCCACTTACCCTGCTCATCCTTCTTTATAGCACCCCTCACCACCTGCTGTATTATTTGCTTATCGTTCAGCTTTCTCTCTAAAATGGAAGATCTATGAGAACAAGAACCTGTCTGCTCATTGAGGTGTTACTCCAGAAAAATGTCTGGCCCATGGCAGGTGCTTAATCAACAATTTTTGAAGGAAAAGTGGAGGAAAAAAAGATAGGAGAAAGCAAACTCATGAAGAAGAGTGCTTGGGTGGGGTGGGAGGAGAAGAGGGCAATGGATCCAGGCCCTACAGGGATTCACTGTTCAAGCAGAAAGTCCAGGGAAAGCCACATGGCCTCCTTCAATCGGACGAGCTGGAGCTGCTGACATCCCCTGCAACCTGGGAGCCAGTGCATGCAATGCTCCAGCTGGGTCTAAGGACAGAAGGAGGCTAATGAACAGCCACCTTCGGAGCAACAGGGTCACTTCAGTCCTCCCTGTTTACTTCCAAGCTGCTGGGAGTCTTATGCACATTTCCTCTTCTCACTTGCCTCTTCACATCCCTAGCTGCCGCAGGAATTTATGGCTTAATTAAAGTGGGAAGCAGGGTTTATATATGTTTATATAAAGTTATATTTTCCTCCACCTCTTTGTTGGAAGAAAACTCAAATGTTAAAATTCTTAGGAGCCCAGGAGTTCGAGACTAGCCTGGGAAACATTGCAACCCCATCTCTACAAAGAATAAAAAAATTAGCTGGGAGTGGTGGTCCCAGCTACTTGGGAGGCTGAGGCAGGAGAATCATTTGAGCCCAGGAGGTTGAGGCTGCAGTGAGCCATGTTAGTGCCATTGCACTCCAGCCTGGGTGACAGAGTGAGATCTTGTTTAAAAATAAAGAAAGAAAGAAACACCTAGAAAGGACACTAGAGATAAATCTAGTTCATGCTCCTTGTTTTCTGTGGGAGGACACTGAGGTCCAGGGTCACACAACTCACAAATGGCCAGCCTACGGAAACCCTGTAAGAGGCACAGTGTGAGGAAAAGGCAGGCACTTGTGATAACCCCACTGGTGGGCAGGAGCTAAGCCTCCATAGGTGGGGAAGGGAATTAACCCCAGGACACAGGCTCCAGTCTGGGGGCTTGAGATGTTCAGGGGACGCCAGTTAGAACTAAGGCAGGAGGCCAAGGCAGAAGCTGTGCTCCTCTGCCTGGATGTATGAGGGCAGCAGAGGAAGAAGAGTTGGCAAAGCAGCCCAGAAACACATGAAGAGGAGGAGTGAATGTAAGTAGAGCATGCCAGAGATGGCAGATCAAGGCAGGGAGTTAAATTGAAGGAGGAGGCGGCTGCGGCCAAGGGTGCACAGTGATTCAAAGTTACAGTTGGTTATGGGCTGAGGAAACAGCTTTCTGTTTCACTGCTGTGAGAGGCAACCAGGTTGCAAGGAAAGGAGGGGAAGAGGGAGGCGTTAACATGGAGGAGTGAATGTAGACAGAACCTTCCAGATGTTGGCTGAAGATAGAAAGGAGAGGGAGGAGGGGTTCTGGAGGGAGAAAGAAGTTAAAGAGTATTTTTTTATATGGGGAGATATGGGAGTTTTGGGTTTTATTTTTGGCTTGTGAGAATGAGCTAATCTTGTATAAAGGGATTAAAGATTTTTAAAAAAATTTATCTCTGAGCCTTAGGTCTTTCAACTTTAAAACGAAGATCAAAAATCTATGTCTTTGGCTTATGAGGATTAAAATGTGAAAACACATTACTCCAGTGCCTGGCACATTATAAACACATAATACATGGTAGCTATTTTAAATATTTTATTATAAACTTATGTAGTGCTCATCTGGAGGCCTAGGAAAGTGTTATTGAAAGTATTTTAAATCTTAGTATCTTATATTTATCATTTATAGGGTATAGTAGATTAAGAAATACTTCACGTATTTTGAAAGATTGGGCTGGAAACATACCCGAAGAAGCATTCTTTTTATCTCTCATGTACATGTGGACATTATACATTTTAATTAAGTGTTATTATATGAGCCAAATTCCCTCCTCATGGGTGTTAGTAGGAGTTGACCTCGAAGGAGGGAGGATTTGGTTGTGGATTTATGACTCACATCTGCGAAAGGAGTAAGGGCGAATAAGAACAGGAAACTCTCTGATAAGCAATTTTACTATGTTTTCATTTTTATCTGAAACTCTGTAATCCAAGACTGGGGTAACTTTTCATATTTTTTAAAAATACTTTTTTATAGGCTGGAGTGATCTTGTGTAAGCAAGGATAAATCATAGATGTTAGAGAGACGTTTGTCTCTGTGCTGTTTGGTGCAAATTCCATGAAAAAGAGCCAAGGCAGGGGGTGGGGGTGGTTGTCAGGAAACCAAGGGATGAGATGTTTTTCTTTTTCAAAGATGACACCTATGATGCCAACTAGTGAGCATGGGCGAACAGAGCGGAAAGGAATTCGTTACAGTCCTAAAGAGGGATAAATGCATCTGGTGTCAGATTAACTCCAGCGAACAGCCTCACTCAGTCCTAAATACTGACTCAAAAGCATGTTGATTTCAGTGTGAGAAACAGATGTGTAAAGGTGACTTCTCATGAGGTAAAATATAAAGCAACATGCCTAGGTCTTAAAATCATGATGTTGAGTGCAACTATAAGAAAAAAATGGGCTTACTGATATAATGTTATTATGTAATTTAAAGCCACATTTGCATATCAAACAACCTTGCCTATTTCTACAGAGAGAGTTGTTTTTTCTTTTTTTTTTTTTCTTGTGACAGGGTCTCACTCTGTTGCCCAGCCTGGAGTGCAGTGGCACCATCTCAGCTTACTGCAGTCTTGACCTCCCAGGCCCAAGTGATCCTCCCACCTCAGCCTCCCGAGTAGCTAGGATTACAGGCACAGGCCACCATACCTGGCTAAATTTTTTTGTTTTTTATTTTTAGTAAAGATGAAATCTTACTATGTTGCCTAGGCTGATCTCAAACTCCTGGGCTCAAGTGATAGACCCACCTCCATCTCCCAAAGTGCTGAGATTACAGC
Source organism: Homo sapiens (assembly GCF_000001405.40). Classification (NCBI taxonomy): domain Eukaryota; kingdom Metazoa; phylum Chordata; class Mammalia; order Primates; family Hominidae; genus Homo; species Homo sapiens. The sequence goes on from NC_000009.12 coordinate 68,337,787, forward strand.
CACCGCGCCCCCGGCCAAGATATAAAGTTTAAGGACACATATCAAACATACTAGAGAGGTTGCTGATGGGATAGGGAGGATGAGTGTGAGCATCACAGACAAGGGAAAAAGCAAAATGAGACAGCGGCTTTGCCCAGATGGACAATGAAAATGTGCTATGAGTTAAAGAGCATGATTTTTAAAAGGAGAGAAATCTTTTAGTCATTGGTCTTCTCTTTGTTCTGGCTTAATGAATCTGCTGCAAAGGCAAATAGCTTTCAGGCAAACTTGCTGTCCTAGTGGTAACATTGGCTTCAAGGACTCCTCGAGCGGTTTGGGATGGCTTCCTGAGGGTGACAAAGAGGAGCTGTGTTTTCAGCCAAATATCAGAACCAGGGCCACTGCCTGCCGCCAAACCCCAGCGGGCACCCCTACTTTGTGTTTATCTGTGGTGGCTACGCTTGCCCACCTGGGTGGGAACCCCGAGAATGACTCCAGACTTTTCCAGGGACTGCATGCCAGGGTATTTTTACAATTTATGTGTAGACTTTGTTCAGGTGGAAAAGTTATTTTATGAAGACGAAACAAGCAACTGGGGTACCTACCTTATGGCATTTTTTACATTGAGAGTGTTAAAAATACCCCTCCCTTAACCAAAACCCTGACAAATAGAGCCAGGGAAGGCCATGCAAAAAAGGATTCTTGGGCTTGTATGCCTGATAACAAAAAATTATCACAGAAGACTGCAAAAAACACAATCTTGCACAAAGCCCATTGCAACTTTGCACACAACAATGCTTCTGAAGGATATTTGCCCAACAACTGCCTGTCCAACCTGGGCCTGGCATCACCTTTGTTATTGATCTTTGTAGCCAAGGATAATCATTTCCAAATGATCATATAATCTTCCTCATTTTTTCTTTTGTCTTCCTTTACCTCCGTGAATATGCATATAGTTTACTCTGGCTTGCCTATTGCTATTGCAAGGCTCTGTTTCCAAACGAATATCTTTTTCTTGTGGAGAGCCTCTCTCTGTTTGTTATTTAGGTTGATAAGAGAAATGTGAACATTTGAGAGCTCAGGTAAAAGGCCTTAGTCTACAGTGAAACTTTTTTGCACCCTTAGAGGCTTACTTCCACTACAACTTGCAGGTGGGCCTTGAAAAGTTCTTGGAATAAGTTTGAGCTTTGATCTTGTCCGGTTCATTTAGCATAGATTCTCAAAATGTGGTCCCTGGACCCACAGCATTAGCATCGCCTGGAGATTGTTAGAAATGCAAATCATCGGGCCTCATTCCAGACCCTCAGCTGGAAACTCTAGGGGCATGGCCAGACCCCCTGTAGCTGAACAAGCCATCCAGGTGGTTTTGATGCAGCTAAAGTTCTGGAACAACTAATGTAGCCCCATTTGGAAAACTTGGCTGTACAGGCCTCCCTAGCTGGTAAGCTGCTAGCATTTTTTGTTTGTTTGTTTGTTTGTTTGTTTGTTTTGATACAGGGTCTTGCTCTGTTGACCAGACCGTGACCTCCTGGGTTCAAGCGAGGACTCAGCCTCCTGAGTAGCCGGGACTACAGGTATGTGCTACCACTATGCCCAACTACTTTTTGTATTTTTTTTTTTTGTAGGGATGGGGTTTTAGCCCAGGCTAGTCTCAAACTCCTGGACTCAAGCAATCTGCCCACTTTGGCCTCACAAAGTGCTGGGATTATAGGCATGAGCCACTGTGCCCGGCCCTGCCAGCTTTGTATAAGCTGAGGAGTTTTTAAAAATACCTAGACTCAGGGCAAACCCCAGACACTTAAATCAGATTCTCTGGGAGGTGAAGCCCAGGCACTGGTATTTTTAAAGTCTCTACAGATGGTTCTAATGTGCTGCTAAGTTAGAGAACTGCTGATCTAGACCAGGCCTTTTCAAACTTAATGTGCACGTGAATTACCTGGACCTTGTTAAAATGCAGATTCAGTCTGCATAGGCCTGGGGTGGAGCCTGAGCTTCTGCATTTTTAACAAGTCTCTAGAGGATGCTGCTGCATCTGGGCTGCTAACTACACTTGGAGAGAGGAGGTTCTGGAGAGCAGAGGAAGGAGCATGAACCATAACCTAGGGGCTGGTAGTCCTGACTTCCGAGCCAAGGTTTGCCTTTATGTGGCTGGCAACTTGCTTGGACTCCTACCTCAATTCTTTGGGCCCAAGGTTTGTCCTGCCTCAGAAGGATGTCAAGAAAATTGAGTAATGCAGAATTGTTTCTTAAAGTGTGTGCAGATGCTCCATGAATTTAGAGAGTATGTGGATGCACATTACTAAATTTTAATAGTTGTGAACATGTTGTTATGAGTACTTAGAACAAGTAATAATGGCTTTTGATGTATAGTAGTAAAAAAGCTTCCTTTTAAAAGGCATGTATTTAAGTTTCAAAAGTGGGGCTATTTAAAAATATATGAAATAAATAATAGTAGAGGTAATTGACAGAGCAAAATTATGAAGGCAGGATGAGAATGACTCAAGTTTGGGAAATGCTGAGAAAGCAGATGCCCAAGGGCTATGAAAACTTAAAAAAATAGGTAGCACTTGATTTTGATTGGCTGAATGAGATGATGTGTTCGATCATTTATGGGGTTGGCATTTGGCAACATGCACTGGGTGGCTGGGATCACTGTTTATTAAAAAATATTTGAGTCTCTACTTTGCACTTGATACTCTTTTAGTCTCTTGGAAAAGGGATTGGGGGGGCAGGCAGGATAAAAACAAATCATTTATGCCCACAAGAAAATTGCAGGAAGATAAAAGTCATGAAATAAACTCTGTGCTTCTAATTTAATATTTTTTTATAGATTATGAGAAAAAAGTTTTGCTCACTATCAGCTAGGAAAGCTGTCTTAGCACAACCATTCATTCTTGCACAAATCAAAATCAAGACGAGCCAGATTTAATTTAATATTTTTTTACAGATTGTGAGAAAAAAGTTCTAATTTAATTTTTTTATAGATTATGAGAAAAAAGTTTTGCTCACTATCAGCTAGGAAAGCTGTCTTAGCACAACCATTCATTCTTGCACAAATCAAAATCAAGATGAGCCAGAAGGCTCCATTCTGACAGCTTCTAATGGAGAAGCTACATTTACTGGACATGGGGAAAGTTGCTGGGCTCTAAGGACTGTGCTCATTTCTTGAACTAGATAAATGGTCTTGGTGTAGCATAATACCAAAACTTCTTGTCGCAGCCCGTAAGGACAGAACTCAATCAGCCTGAAAAGGAAGTCAGTGACTCCGACTCAACACAGGAATGTTCTGTGATTCCTAAAGAAGGATGTAGGAGTGTGGCACAATTCAACCACAGTCTGTGGCCCTGTGCCTCTGCCTTGACATGAGTGGGATATCCCAGCTGGTCATTTTCTTCTTATCTAAGACATTGGGAACAAATTACTTGACCTCCTCTGGGCTTCAGTACTCCCACTCATCAAATTAGAGGACTGGGCAATCGCTAGGCTCTCTTTAGGCATCATATTTTAGTTTCTGTGATTTTAAATTTGAGAAGGGGTGTCTAAGGGAGAATACATAGGGGAGGGGGAAAGGCTTATTAAAAGTGTAGTTAGGCACTGAATTTTTAAGAATTGCATTTTGTAATAATACCTTTACCTAATCAGGACTGACAATCTTACCTGATGATAGCACCTGGAGGAATGGCTGCATTCAAAAATAAAAATGAAATAAAACAAGACCTTATTTGAACTTAGCAATAATGCTGATTCCTCTTTTTGATTTGAGGAGGTTATAGCTGTTGTAAATGCTTGAATTGGGTCTGCCCAGGCAAAACGGAGTCAAGAGTCCATGTCTGATGAATTTTAACAATGTAGACAATAAAAAGGGTTGCTTAAACTGCCCCTCTTTTACCAAAACACATTTACAAATGAAAGAACAACACTTCCATTTTTTAAAAACATTTTTTGAGATGAAGTCTTGCTTTGTCACCCAGAGTGGAGTGCAGTGGTGCAATCTTGGCTCACTGCAAACTTTGCCTCCCGGGTTCAAGTGATTCTCCTGCCTCATCCTCCCGAGTAGCTGGGACTACAGGCGCCCACCACCATTCCTAGCTAATTTTTGTATTTTTAGTACAGACAGGGTTTCACCATGTTGGCCAGGCTGGTCTCGAACTCCTGACCCCAGGTGATCCGCCGACCTCGGCCTCCGAAAGTGCTGGGATTACAGGCGTGAGCCAACACGCGTGGCCAAAAAATTTCCATTTTTAATTGCAGGGTCTGGGGAATTAAAATGCATCCATAATTTCTTGCATCTCTCCGCTCGGGCTTGCATGAATGCAGAGGGATGGGGAGGACTTCTTGAGGCAAGCATCCCCCTCTTGTCGCCTGCCATCTGGAGAGAGAGGGCTGTGATTTATCTCACTTTAATCAGGAAGGACCCGATGGGTGGATGGAGAGGTCTGATGGCTTTGTTGCTCCATGTGGGAAAGAAACGGACAGAGTGAATTTGTGTATGATCCCTAAGGAGAAAGCGTCTTTGTGCTCTATTTCTTTTTGACCTGGAGCCCCTGAAAGCAAGCTAGTTACAAGTTGAAATAGGCCGTTTCTAAAGTGTGATTTTGTTTGTGTATGAGCCTTGATTACAAAGGGGAAAAAAACCCGCTTAATTTACATACACCAGATGTAGTGCAGGATCCCCTGGGCTATCTTTTCAGGTATCAGGAAACTTTGATGAAAGTCACTTGTCTCATCTAGGAGTCATTTCATATTGTTTAGCAGAGCCTGGTATTAACATTTCCTTCCAACTGTTTACTGGAATCTGTGTGTTCCCTTCAAGTGATGCATACTAGGTGCACAGGCTTCCTGCCACTGTCATCCTAATCTTTCCGTGCAGACAGGAGCAGAGGGGAGAGCGCTGAGCCAGGCCCCAGCTTGCTTTTCTTTCCTGACTCAGCCCGGCTCCGCTGCACTTCTCAGCTCTTGCTGTAGGTGGTGCTGTTTGACCATTTTCTTCATGTGACCCTCCACTCGGTAATATAAATTCATTCGGAGGATGACCTGATATCAAAAAAAATTCCTTTTGATTAGTAGAATCAACTTATTTCTTCACACGATACTCTTCCCACTGAGACACATGGAGACAATTCTGACTCCAGGTTTGCAACCTTGAGATTTCTCTCAGATGCAATAAAAAACAAAAAAGCATTTTGAGTGGCACAGTGATGCCTAGTGCATGATCATGTTTGTCTGCTCAAACATAAAAGGGAAACTGGTGGGTTTGAGGATGCCCAGCAGCACGACAGCTGCCAATGTAAATGAGCGGTGTAGAGAGAGAGGGGGCGGGAGGGGACTACAAACTTCAGAATATGAGCTGATCGTTTATAAGTTAAAAAAAAAAAAAAAAAAGTCAAAAGGGAGCCCAGGATGGTGCAGGAAAAAGGAGAAGGGAAGATTTCCTTGCAGCTAATCAGGAGAGTTCATAAGGGCTGATTACATGTGTGGAAGCCTTCAGTTCTTTTTTTTAAAAATGTGAAAGTTTGCATGTATGTATGTATGTATAGCTTCGTGTATTACCATTATTATTGCAATCAGCAAATGGATTTACTTCCTTTATCTCATGGGCTCCTTCCCACTCACTTCTGGCAGCCCTTTTTCCTTTCTCCTTCATCCCAGAACACCAAAGAACAGATGCGCTTCCTAACCCTGGCTCCAGGGGACTTTATACAATGTAAACAGTGCACCTCTAAAGTGGTTCACCGCTTAGAGAACATGTGTCCCATTTTAAAACTGTGACTCCTTTATATTTTGCAGTGCTTATTTTAATAAGAGACATTGGACTTGTGACTTATTTTTCATGGAGGAGTGAGCTTAATGGTTGAAAGTAATCGATAAACTTGTTTTTCCTCTGATGCCATCAGCCAAGATCCTATGGCAATAGTAAGAGGATGACACTGGGCTGGCACCCCCTCCATAACATATTTGGACCATTTTTTTCTCCCAGAATGCACATGCAATAGCTTTGGTTTGGTAAGAGAGAGATGGTGTACTTGGTTTCCTTCTGTCACACTTTTGGTGAAATGAATCAGACTTTTAAATCAGGAAATTCAGCGAGATGAGTTAGATTTTTACACAAGAGCAGTGGAGGACTTCCAGCTGGTTGGGGGAATGATACGGAAATATCTTGCTAAATCAGGGTCTGGTGGAATGCTGCTCCCCTGGCAGGCTCCTCTTCACAGGGAGCAATCTGTGGGTTGCTTATAGAACAGAGCGAGCAGGAGGCATAGCATGGTCTTGCTCGTGGGAAGACCCGGTGTTCAGATGTTTGTCATTAGGAACTGGGTGTGGGCTTTTTCAAGTTAAACTGAAGCGGCAGTTCTATTAGGAAGAGCCTCCCAGATCAGCATCTTCTGTTTCTGGATACTCTCCCTTTGAAAAGCCAGATTTCAGCAAAAAGCTTTCCTAATGGTGAAATTGCACAACTGAAACCCTATGGGAGCAATGGGAAAGATGGAGAAAGAGGTGGTTATATCATGTACTTCAACAGTTTATTTAGAGGCTGTTGACATTAGAATAACAAGCCAAGACAAACAAAAATACTCATTTTGGATGAAAATATTGTCTTTTCATGTTATTATAGATAGCTGAGTCCTAAGACTTATACAGAAACACATTTTCCTAATGAGTGGCTGATTTTTCTGGTTGTGCAAGTAATATCCAAATTATTGTACAAATTTTTGGCTCAGGAGCAAACATTGTATTGCATATTGAGCTAATCACTTGCCCTTTCTAAGGTAAGCCCTTACCTCTGCTTTCCCTTCATCTTGTCATTTCTGTTTGTTGGGTACAGGTTTCCTGTTGGTTCTTTCTGTTGGCTCTGATGTAACATGAATGAAGTTCTTAACATCCTTTCAGACATAAACACAACTTAGCTCATTGTTTCTGAGTTCATATAGAGGTTTTCTTGCCCCTGAGACTTTCGTGTCAGACAGCTGGATGTTGCTGTGTTCAAGGCTCTATATGTTGATTTTGTATCCTACAACTTTACTGATTTCACCTATCAGTTCAGTTCTAACAGTTTTCAAATTTTATTTATTTGTTTTTGTTTTTTAAATATTGTATGTTTCATTTTAGAGTCAGGAGGGTAGATGTACAGGTTTCTTACACAGGTATATTGCATGGTGCTGAGGTTTGGGCTTCTAATGATCCCACCACCCAAGCAGTGAGCATAGTAATCGACAGGTAGTTTTTCAACCCTTGCTCCCACCATCCTTCCCTCCCACCTTTGGAGTCCCCCAGTGTCTATTGTTCCCTTCTTTGTGTTGAGTTCTAACCTTTTTTTAGTGAAGTTTGTAGGGTTTTCTATATATAACAAGATCATGCTGTCAGTAGAGACAATTTCATTTCTTCCTTTCCTATTAGGATGCCTTTTATTTCTTTCTATTGCCTAATTACCCTGAGAAGTGGTGTCCGTGGGCATCCTTGTCTTGTTCCTGATGGTAGAGGAAAAGTTTCAACTTTTCACCATTGATTATGGTGTTAGCTATGGGTTTGTCATATATGGCCTTTATTTTGTTGGGATACAGTCCCTCAATACGTGATCTGTTGGGTGTTTTTTTTTCACCATGAAAGTGTTTCGAAGTTTGTCAAAAGCTTTTTCTATATCTATTGAGATGGCCATATAGTTTCTATCCTTTATTTTTCTAATATGGTATATTATATGTATTGATTTGCTTATGTTGAACCATGACATCATCATGGTGAATGATTCTTTCAATGTGCTATTGAATTTGGTTTGCTAGGATTTTGTTGAGGATTTTTGCATCTATGTAGATCAAGGATATTGGCCTGTAATTTTCCTTTCTTGTAGTGTTCTTGTCTGGCTTTGGAATCAGGGTAATGCTGGCCCTGTAAGATGAGTTTGGAAGTATTCCCTCCACTTCAGCTTTTTGGAAGAGTTTGAGAAGGACTGGTATTAGTTCTTCTTAAAATATTTGGTAGAATTAATCTGGGAAGCCATCTGGTTTTGGGTTTTTCATTGATGGGAGACATTTTCTTACTGATTCAACCTCCTTGCTTGCTATTAGTCTATTCAGATTTTTTAATTTCTTCATGAGTCAATCTTGGTAGGTTTTATGTGTCTGGGAATTTATCCATTTCTTCTAGATGATCCAATTGGTTAGTGTGTAATTATACCTAGCAGTTTCTTAGGATCCTTTGTATTTCTGTGATATTGGCTATGATGTTTCATCTTTCATTTCTGATTTTATGCTATATTGAAAACATGAGGCATAGCAGGTAGGGGGCACTGGTCAGGACTTGGGGTATAAACTGGCAGATGTTAAGGTGGGTGATTCTGGTTAACTCAGAAACTCCAAAGTCCCGTGTGGAAGAATTAACTGCCTGTACTTGCCTAGTAATGTATATCCTTGGTCAAAAAAAGATCCAGCTGAGAATGTTGGATGAAGGGACCAAATCAATATTCATCATTATGTTGAAAACAAGTCAGATTGGCTGTGGTCTTTTGACAGCAGGTCAGTGGCTAAGTCTATTTGAACAAAGTTAGGGCAGGTTCAAGAGAGAATCCTGAGATCGGTATTCTTTGTTCCATACAACCTTGCCTTTCAGTTTCTTCTCCCCATGCCTCCAGGATGTCCCTGCACAGCCCGTAGGGCCCCCTCCTTCAGTACCTTGCCTTATGAAGGGGAGAAAATGAGTTTTCCAATGTTAGCATATATTGAGCCTTCCAAAATTTCTATTTTAGGGGAGCTCTAGGAAAATAGCAGATTACTCTAAATCCCCAGGTAAAAATCTGAAATGGTGGAATTTCATACGACCAGGAGACATATTTTGGGGCAAGTGGGCTTTTCACAATCACTTGGACATGAAGGCATCTGCTTCTTCTATGCCTAAAATATTCCTTCAATTTAGTAGTTTAATTCCTCTTCCTCTTTTTCAAATTTCAAGACAATACATGTAGTGACTGAACAATTTGAATCCAAGTTTCACTATTTAACTGCCAGTGTGACCTTGGGCGAGTCACTTAATCTTTTCAAGGCTCAATTTCATCATGTAAAGTGGAAGTACAAACAATCCCTGACTTACAATATTTTGACTTATGATCTTTCAACTTTAAGATAGTTTGAAAGCAATACACATTCAGCGGAAGCTGTACTTTGAGTACCCATACAACCATTCTGTTTTCCACTTTCAGTACAGTATTCATTATATTACATGAGATATTCAAAGCCCATTTTATTATAAAATGGGCTTTCTGTTAGATGATTTTGCCTAACTGTAGGTTAATGTGAGTGTTTAAGGTAGGCTGAGCTAGGCTATGATGTTTAGTAGGTTAAGTGTATTAAATGCATTTTCAGCTTACAATATTTTCATAAGTTTATTGGAATATAACCCCATTGTAAATTGAGGGGTATTTGTAATAATGATATCTCTTCAAGGAGACTTTGTGAGCCTCTCATAGGAAAATGCATACACAGATGCATATAAATATATAATCTTTCTTTTCCATACATATGATATTCTTTAAGGATATTCAAAAATCTGGAAACAGTTGCCTCCAGGGAGATAAATGGTAGTGGGTTGGGAAACTTTTAACTGTATACGCTTTTGTACCTTTTGCATTTTGAATCAGATGAATGTATAATCTACATAAAATATTAAGATTAAAACATCACCGAATAACTTATCAGGAGTTTGGTGAACATAAGGGAAGGCCACCTATGGTGGCTGTATTTTATTCAGTGTTGGTCACTGTTGGTCACTGTTGGTCACTTCATAGAGCTTATTTCATTTCATCCTCACAAGCGCCGTAGGAGGAAGGGGCCCCAGAGGGATTCATGGTTAGAATAGCAGAGTAGGAGCATTTGGCAGCTATATTCTGTGTAGGTGATAACTTAAAAAATATTTTTGTTATAAAATGTTTCAAACATACAAAAAATATAGAGAAGCAGTTTTCTATAGTTATTAAATATTCTTAATGGGTAGTCATAGAAATTATCATCCAAAGTGGGATATTCTTGAGAGAAAAAGGAGGTTCTATTTATAATTATGGTGGGATAACAAACTTAAGATGAACAGCTCTAGACAAACTGGGTTGTATGGTCCCTGGAAAACAAGGATTACTGTAAATGTGAGTCCCGCCTTGTGCTTCTCTCTGTCCCACCAAGAAAATATGATCTTGATACAGATGTTCATTGTGTCAAGGCAACCATGGCAACCATGATCTAGATACACTGTTCAAGTTTTATGCTGATCCTACCTATATATGTCTCAGGAGCTTTCCAGAGTTTCCTTTGAGTGCTTCTAAATTTTGCATAAATGGTATGCTGTCCCTTGTCTCTTTTTAAAACCCGTAAGCCATTTTCCCTTCTTTTCCTGGAAAATTAAAGGAACAAGGACCAGGAAATAACAATGTATTAGCTAAGGTTCTGTTGATTGAAAGCAACAGAACCTAATTCTGGCTAGCTTAAACCATGCTAGGATTTAATGAAGAATACTGCAGAATCTTAGATATCTTATGACTGGGAAAGAGGAGGTTCAGGTAGTTCCTAGGATGTCAGCAACAGGTAGCTGTCAATTAACTGCCCCCACACCACCCACTGCTGCCGTCATCAATATAGCACACCACAATGGCTCCCAGCCTCTGTACGTCTGGGTTCCGGTGTTCAAATTCTAGAGACAGCAAGAGAAATCCCATTGAGTCAGGGATCCTTCCCTGGGTCACCCTCCCTGCCTACGGTCAGAAATGCAGGATTATGTAGTAAAGACACAGCTAAAGAGGACCCACTTCACTGTATTGGGACCATTTGCAGGGGAGGCAAAATTGTGAGCTACGCACTTAAAGAGGTGATAACCATAAGTTTGCAGGAAAAAAAAATTGGAGAAGAGAAGGGTAACACTATGCTACGGTTTCTTCTGAAAATGGACGAAGGGAACAGCATTTCCATTTGGAAATTCTCTCCTGGCATTTCAATATTTATGGATTCTGAATTCTGAGAAAAATCAGTTGAGAAATTAGGAAAATGGGAAGGAACATTCTAATTTTCCTGTGAGAATTACAGCTTAATAGTCAGTATAGAGAACTTACTGGCTTGAAGAAATGCACTGACTTCAAGTCAAGCAAGATGAGGAAGCGCTGACATGTGGAGATGAAAGTTAAGGTGAACGGGACAGGAGCAGTAATGGAGCCTCAGTCAGACTTTCTTGTATCTGTTGCTGTGTTATAAGTGTGTGTTCATGGCCTTGTCCACTGCTAACAGTGAACCATTTCTGCAAATAAATATTAATGTGTTCATAGGCATAGTATATGTTTTACAAATCCTATGAGAGGTGTTCTAAGAAATGCCAAGTTTTAGAAACAAAATATGCCCTTAAATCAGCAATTTTGACAGTTGCTTCTTTCTAGTGCTGTTCATCTTGCCAGGAGATCAGAATGTTATGTTATTTAAATGGTATTGGAGGGGATGATTGAAGCCTTGTTTAACAATGTCATGTAAACAATGATTAAAGCATTAAGTATTTGTGGTGTTACCTTTCAATCTTTAAAGGACTTTTCTTTAGCATTTATTTTGTGATAATATTCATTTCTTTTTAATGTTTTCTCTATTAATGCTATTGGATTTTATAATCTTGTTACAATATGTTGGCTCATAATAATAAATCATCATTTGTTATCATATCTTTTTAAAACAGAAGACTACTAAACTTTTTCATGTAATCCTGTTACAGAAAAAATGACTATTTGCTTGTTATTATAGTCACTTATTATTTTTCAAAAACTTGTAAGTGAAGTGTTATGAAAATCATATGAATTTGGGAATTCCCAAGCATTCTCAGAAATTTTATTTCCTTGTTCCCAAATCCCAATGATTAATATCTGCCAGGAGTCAGAAAACAGTGAAAGGAAGTAACATCCTATGTTGGATACCTGGTAGGGTTAGTGAAGAAACGTTATTGCTGAGCTCTGTGTTACGCTCACGAATGATGCCATTGAGGAAGTCACACTTGTTGAAAGGAACGCAGATACACAAAGAGTTTTGCTGCTGTCTGTTGGATAAGAACCCCCTGGTCGATTTCAGCTCCTACTGCAAGTTAGAAAAATCAATCCAATGATAAATGAAAAGTGACCAGTGTGCTGGGAAATAACTTATTTTTTGGCTTCAGAGGAAATTTTAGAAACAGTGCCAAGTGAAACGTAAAAACAAACTACGAAGACGTTCATGAATTTCCCTCTGAAGCTGACAGCCGTATTTTAGCAGATGGAACTCCTACTATTAGCCCAACTCTTGGGTTGAAACAGTGTGTCCAGGAAACCCTATGTTAAAATGCAATGTGTTGGGGATATTGTTCCTCTTTTTGCTTGAGTTAATTTTCAAATTAGTGTACTCTTGCTTAGCTGTGCTCTGAGGGAATGAACAAAAGATTGGTAAACTCTGATGGAGAACACTGGTCAGGCAGGGCACATAGAATCCCTGGGGATGGTGGTTCCTGACAAATGGGGGAGGAGGACCTGAGCCAGGCTTGGGCTGGGCTGGAGGAACATGAAGATGGGATCTACTCACAACCCCCAAAACTGAGGGGTCCTGATAACACATTATTTCACCCTCAGCCATGCAAATTCATTATTTTTATGGATAAAATAGCTTTAAAAAACTAATTTACATTGAAATGTTAAAATATTTATATAGAGATTAGAAATATTTATATAGAGATTATTGGGAATCCCCTCCTAAAGCCCAAACATAAAAACTACCAAAAAAAAAATTCCGTGTAGGCTAAGATTGCAAATGACTGATGGAACGTAATTTAAATTAAACATGGAAAATATATTTCCTCTTTAATAAAGATCTGAATTCTATTCTTTTTAGGAGCCTTCAGAAATGAAATTCAACTATTAAAAAAAGTATAGAGAAGCCTTTAGAAAAGAAACTTTTCTTTTGCTGTATTATATAATAAAGAACTTTGATGAGAATAGTTCTAAAGTGTTTAATAATCGATTACACTGATGTTCCTAGGTATTGTGGGGAACACCTAGAAATTAAATCTTCATCTTTGGCAGATCAGAGGCCTATTATTTTTAGGTAAAACAATTAAAATCTGCTTTTAATAAATCACAAATTTTGCAAGTTAGCCATTAATAGTAAGTGCTTTCCAAAGTTGGGCCCAATACATGAAAAAGCCAGAAAAACATACCTGCATTAGTTTTGCCCATCACCTTCTTATGCTGGCCTCAGGAGATTTATTAACAGCATTCAATATTTTAGGTAGGCTGGATGTGGTGGCTCATGCATGTAATCCCAGCACTTTGGGAGGCTGAGGTGGGAGGATGGCTTGAGGCCAGGAGTTCAAGACCAGCCTGGTCAACCTAGTGAGCCCCTCGGTCTCTCTGAAAAGAAAAAAAAATTTAGGTATCCTGTGGCTACCTCCAAAAACAAGCTCCAGAGGAACTGAATTTTTTTTTTATTTCATGTGTTGGGATAATGGCTTCTTTTGCAGTTACTTACGAAGAATTTAAGGGTCAGTAAAAATATTTTTTCATCCTTAATAACATAAATTCTCTAATTTGTATGTGATATAATGCTAGATATTGTGCCAAAAGGGTTACGTAGACATAATCCATGCCCATTTTCAAAGATAATACTAATATAGAGAATAAGAATCATTATTATTGTATTAATTATTATTTTAGTAATAGTAGTAATAATCAAAACAATTACATCAAACACTTATTAAACCCTTATTATGTGACAGGTACTGTGTAAGCAATTTCCACATATTAGCTCCTTAAATGTGATCAGTAACCCCATGAGGTAGGTAGCATTATGTCCATTTTATAGATGCAGAAACTGAGCTTTGAAGAGGGAAAGCAACTTGCCCAAGGCCATGCAGGCAGTCACTGATAAGGGTGGGAAGCGAGAAGTTGAATTCTGAGATGTAAGTTCACAGACACGAGTACACAAACACGTACAAGATACTCGTATGACATGTGGGGTTGCTTGAAATATGTAATTGACTTTCCCCAGCACAAGAAAGTGTTTGGACAGATTTCAAAGGGATCTAACACCTCCTTAGAGGACTGCCCTATGACATTTTTCCATGTGCTTTTCTGCCTCTTGTCCTATACTTTTGGCATTTCTTCTGCTCTTAGAGGCAATGAGTCAACAGCATATTTTTAGCACCTCCTGTGTGCATAGAAGTGGCCCCTGACTCAATGGGAGTGTATAACTACCATGGGCCAAATCAATGTGCTTTCCTGTCAGCCAGGGGATTATAGAAGAACACGCTCCCCTGATTCCAACAGAACTTGCTGCCACTCTGATGTCTTCATGGTAAGGCCTCTAAATGAATGTTCCAGAAATTCATGTTAAAGGCACGTGTCATATGTGTAACTTGTAAACATTTGTGTACTTGTCTCTGTGTCCTTACACCTCAGGCTTCAACTCTTGTTTTTACCTTTATCAATGACTACCTGTGTGCTGTGTGGCTTTGGACCAATTGCTCACCCCCTCTAAAGCTCAGTTTCTGCATCTGTAAAATGGATATAATGCCATATATACATAGATATAGATATACATACACAAATATATATACACACATATATATGTGTGTATATACATATATATGTAATATACAAACTGAAATATATAGTTATATAAATATTTCAGTTTAAGTTTCAAAAATCACTGGAGGGTATTTTTATAATACCCTTCGGCAATTTTACCTGCTGCCTTTGCACATTCTGGTGAATTTCTAAATGGAAGTCTGATAGAGATTAATCTTTTAATGCATCATAAATAAAAAAGAAAATCACAGAATGATGTAGCTGGAGAGGACCCTGGGGATCTAAAGTGTTTCATGAAAGATTAATGTCCTTGATCTGTTTGTAAGTGTTTTGGAAAAATCTTCCATGGTCAAATAAAACTTGGCAATGTTGGATTAAAGTTAAATAGGTTTTTTTTCCTGCAGAACTTCATAGTCTTTAATATGCTAATGTGTTTTGTGAATCTACAAGGAATGAAGTGTTTCAATACTTATTTTACCCAGATTCTCATTTTGGGACAGGCTGGTCAAACTGAGTCAGCTAGTATATTCTCTAGATGGAGATGATGGCTGATGCCTTTTTGAGAGCAAGAGAGTCCCCAGGGGAAGCAAGGATATATCAGTTGCTCCTATTTCATGCCAAGAATCCTCAGTCTTTAGAGGCTCAGAGAAGGCTGAAAGGCTACTCTAGGCTATCAGGGCTACCATTCATTGTGACCCATGCTACAGAGAAGCTTTGAGCTCAGTGCAAAGGAGTGACCAGCCCTTGAGAATCAGGAAAATTTATTTATTTCTGACCTAGTCCACTGAGGACATACAAGGAATGGGGCAGGGGAATGTCACCAGCTATGGTTACAAGCTAGTCTGATTCTCTTTCATTAAGAAAACTGGTCCCTGTGAGTTTAGATTGGGAAGCACCAGGTTAAAAAAAATTTTTAGGCCAGGAGTGGTGGCCACTGTACTCCAGCGTGGGTGACAGAGTGAGAATCTGTCTTAAAAAAAAAAAAAGTTAATTGATGTCTTCTGTTGAGGACCTCTCAGAACTTTTAATATGAAAGTGTGCATTGTGAAGAATGGGAGTAGAGTGTACAGGAGTTTTAAAAGCTACTTGGTCATGAAACTCTTGCTTTGTGCAGGATTCGAGGGGCACTAACATTCTGAGGAAAATATTTTGGGAAACATTGATCTAATCCAAACTTCTCATTTTACCAGCAAACAACTGTGGGGCCCTCTAAGTTTCCTTTCTCCATCATTGTGACAAATTCATTGGAATTAATTCAATTAAACCTGGGGTCAGCTTTGAAGAGATTTATTTAGCAGGTAAATCTGTTTTGTACATTTTGAGGGAGTTCTGAGTTTCCATAGTCAAAAACCACAGAACAATTTAACCAACCTTTATGGAATATCACCTATGGCCCAAAGACCCTTTAGCTACAGTGATGGTCTACAAAAATATAAACTGTAATTCTTGCAATACAGGAGATTAGTAATAATGGTAAATATAATGATGATGACACCATGAATAGCTAACATTTATTGAATGCCTTTCTATTAGTCAGGCACTTTACTAAGTATTTTAATCCTCCCAACAATTTATGAGGTAGGGATTATAATAATTCCCATTTTATAGTGAGGACACTGAGGTTAGGAAATTATCCTAGCCTAAATGTTAGGTATAAGCATGAATAGAAAGGTGTTATCAGCCTATAAGACATTCCTTTATGAGTGATACAAAGTCCTATATAAATTCAGAGAAAAGACAAATGGTTTTAGAAATCCTTGATCAGTGAGTGTGAAGCACGTGGTGGCCCGGTTACTGTTTGGTTGCCCATCTGTCCTCCCTCTGGGGATCAGCACCCCCTTACTTTGGAAGACTTGTTTTCCTTGTCACTGTAAGGTTCTTTCTGGCTATGTGGTAGGGCACATTGCCTCAAACTAGCCCTGTTCCAGTCTTTGAGAACCTTGAAATTGGAACCAAGGGAAGAGGATTGCCTCTTGAATGGTAATTCTCTAAAATCTAGTCTGAGGTGCTGGTGCCTAATCCCTGGGTCTGTGGAAGGAGCTGGGCTGTGAGAGGGGAGAATGATGTTGATGTCAAGAGAGAGGCAGGTGCTAGGAGCAGAGAGATGGAGGCCTGGAGGGTTTCTGGGCTTCTCTGAGGCTTAGGGTTTGGATCATTGTCTTCGTTACTGGAACAAAGGATTTACCATACCTGCTCTTCTGGGAATGAAACTGTCCTGCTTTGCAAAAAAAAGTGTCATTAGAAAGAGATCTTAAAAACCCCACACCATAGACAGGTGCACAGATCCCTAGAAGTGTTAAAGTTCTGTCTGTTGGATGCTAAGCCAAGACTCTTAAGTATGTTCTAAAGAGAAACTGGTGTGTGTAGGCTGTGCACTCCCAGGGAGATAAAAAGTTAGGAACTTTATGGGTTGGGCTTGGTGGCTCACACCTGTAATCCCAGCACTGTGGGAGGCTAAAGTGGGCAGATTGATTGAGCTGAGGAGTTCGAGACCAGCCTAGGCAACATGGTGAAACCCCATGTCTACAAAAACTACAAAAATTAGCTGGGCGTGGTGGCATGTACCTGTAGGCAGGAGGATCGCTTGAGCCCAAGAGGGAGAGGGTGCAGTGAGCCATGATTGTGCCACTGCACTCCACCTGGGTGACAGGAACTTTATGGGAAATGGGATCTTGGAGACTGAGTAGAGACTAGAGGAAAAAAAAAAACTACCTCCCCGACTGGCCACACTATTCTTTTAAAAAAATGTTAATTGACAAATTAAAATTGTATGTATTTACGGAGGTATGATGTGATGTTATGATATATGTATACATTGTGGAATAATTAAATCCAGAGAATTAATAGATTCATCACCTCAAAACCTATCTTTTTTGTGGTGAGAACATTTGAAATTTATTGTCTTAGCAATTTTGAAATACACAATACTTCATTGTTAACTACAGTCACCATGCTGTGCTGTAGATCTCAACAAAATATATTCCTCCTGTCTCAACTAAAACATTGTACTCTTTGACAACATTTCCCCATTCCTCTCACCCCCTCCAAAAACACCCATTCTTTATGTTGAAGAGAATGGCTAAAAAGTCCCAGCAGGTTTCAACAGACGGCTTCAGTGGTTGTCCCATCACACTTCAATGTTATTAATAAAAAGGGGAGGGGCAATACATAATTCGGACAGGCTGAAAGTACCATTGTAACCACTTTCTTGACTTCACAGAAAAAGTCCTCTTGTTTTCATCTGTAAAATGGGAACTGCATGAATACCATTCTTCTTTTCTTCAGCCTCCAAAGAAAAAACAGATGCAAAGCCTTTAATCAATTGCAAAACAGTATACAATGTGTGTTATTACTCACAGTTGTCTTACTGTGACCAAACACTTTATAAGCCTGCGGCAAGTCAGCCTTACTCTCAGTAAGTGGACAATATTTGGGGAAGGAGAAGCAGCAGGATATTTCAGGACAGTAGCCTTGGTGGGTCCAAAAATTCCTTGAGAGAAATGGGAGATAGAACTTTCTTCCTGCTTTGGGTTTTATCCTGTTAGTCTTTTCTCTCTTCACTCCTATTTTCTATGGAGAATTTCCTGGTTTTGGAGTTTGGGTGCGTTTTATGGAGAGGAGGCAGAAAATCTTTAGCTCCAGCAGAATGAAAGGATACATGCAAAGGAACCTAGCACAGTATCTGGTACCCAGGTCTCCTTTAACTTGGCTTTATTCATTCACTCCTGGTAGGGCATTAATAAGGGATTTAGCCCCCTCCTATTGAAAACGATTAATTCAAGGAAGAGTTCAGACAGTGTGGACAGATACAGTGTAGGAAAGCCTATTTCTAAGGCAGGAGCTGGGTAGGGAGGGTGAGAAGGGCGAGAAGAATAGGGAAATATGTGTCGTCTGTGTTGCTGCTGTTGCAACCACCACAACAAACAAACAAGTGAAAAAAAAAAAAAAAAAAAAAAAGAATTGTCCATACCGGAAAGTGTGCTGTTTTGGAGGAGGCTGGGGAAAGTGTGGATGGCTCGAGTGGGTCCTGTTGGATTGAAGTCTGACAGTGGTGATTCCCTTCAACAAATGGTCGGGGTGGGAGGGTACACACACACACACACACACACACACACACCCCACACGCAGCGCCCAGCCTCCGATTTCAGCGCTGGCAGGAGATAACCATTCTTAGCTCGCCTTTCCAGGGTTATTTTTGGCTGAGGCTGTTCGCTGATGGCAAAAGGTTTCAGCCCCCTCCCAAATCCCTCCCCGTCCTTGTTCTAAAGAGAAACTGGTGTGTGTAGGCTGCGCACTCCCAGGGAGACAGGGAGACGGGCCGGGCGCCGGAGAGGAACCCGGACTCTGCCCAAAGTCTCGCCGCCCGCCGGCTGTTTTCTGGCGGAGGGTGTGCCCCGGAGGGCGGCGATCGCGGGTGAAGGCTGGGGCCAGGCGCGGGTGGAGGCGTCACCGGGGTCGGGCTAGCAGGCCCTGGAATCAGGCTTTTGGGACACCCCGAAAGTGAGTCCAACTTGGGGAGAAACTGAGGGCAGCTCGGGCGGTCTGGCAGCGGAGAAGGTGGGTGGGAGAAAACTTTACAGGAAGGCAGAAGCAATCTCTGCCGAGAGAGTCAGCCGAGCGGCCGCGCGGAGAGGAGGGGCGGGCGGTCCCCAGGCGGGCGGGTGCAGGGCGCAGGGCGCCGACCTGCTGGAGAGGGGGCCCGGGCGCGAGGCGGAGTCCCGGCGCGCAGCCAGGCTGGTGGAGGCCCCCGGCAGGCTGCAGATTCCCTCCGGCTCCGGGAGCCGCAGCAGGACCGGCCAGGAGGCGCCATGGAGGGGAGCCCCATCCCGGTGCTGACAGTGCCCACCGCGCCCTACGAGGACCAGCGGCCGGCCGGCGGCGGGGGTCTGCGGCGACCCACCGGCCTCTTCGAGGGCCAGCGCAACTACCTGCCCAACTTTATCCAGAGCGTGCTGTCGTCCATCGACCTGCGCGACCGTCAGGGCTGCACCATGGTGGTGGGCAGCGACGGCAGGTACTTTAGCAGGACGGCCATCGAGATCGTGGTGCAGATGGCCGCGGCCAACGGGGTGAGTGTCCGGATGCCCCTCGCTTCCCGCCGCGCCGCCGCCATGCCCTCTCCTAGCCCTTGTCCCCCTGCTGCCTCCGGGCCCAGTTGGGAGGCCCCTGCCCGGCCCCGGCTTTGCTACCTCACTCCCGCGTCCTCACCCTCCAGCGCCCCACTCCCGCCGCGCTCGCAGCCTCCCCGGTGCACCCCGGACACTGGGTTCTATTAGTACCCACCGCCCCCAAAAGCCTTGAGGGGTTTCCGTCGTTCCTGGAGCCACTCCGGGCGCCCTGGACTCTTCTCCGACTCTGCGCACATCCCGCACCTGCTCATTTTTCTTTCGGACATTCTCTTACCCGGCCCTGTAGATTCCAAGGCAGCTCCCAGTTTTCCATATTGTTCCCAACGCATTCACTGCCCACAGTCCCCACACAAACTTCTTTCGCAGGCTCACAACATAGTCCCTCTGCCCCGTGCCCTTTTTGCAATAATCTGCCAGTCCCCTAAGTCTTAGCTCTGCCTATTTAACAGTAGTGGTGTCTCAGAACACACACACACACACACACACACACACACACACACACACACACACACACACGATCCCTGACATATTTGGCAAGAGTAGGCCCTGAAGGTTTTTATTATTTTGGTTCTTTAACCCAGTGGAATTACTGAATGATTTATTTAATTAGGGTAGGGATGGAGTGGATCCATTTGTTTGATGCTAAACAGCCTGAGCTCGCAGTTCCCAGGGGGCATATCTCTAAATGGTCTGAAATGAGATTTGCAGTGGTTTTCTTAATGCAATTCCCAACTTCTCTCCAAATGCCTTTTGGCATTTGACAACATTTCATGCCTCTTCCCCTTTCGGTTTTCATCCTTGTTTTCTCTCCCTTCTCCCACGACCTCGGTAGTCTTCTGCAATCCAGATTCTCAGACTTCAGGTTTTTCTCCCTCTGCCCCTTTCCTCTCTGTCCTATAACTAGAAGCACCTTTTGGCATAGACCCATATCCCAGTTTCCTCTTTCCCAGGTCCAGCAGCATCTCAAGGACATCTACAAGAGGGATACCTAATTTCAGGGGTCTCTGAATTATATGTGGGAAACATCGTCTAAAAAAGTAATTTTATCCTTATTCATGCAACCAGACCCACACTCATAGAACTTTTCTTTAAGGAAAGTGTCTTGCAGATGTATAAATGAGTGTTAACATCTTTAAAAGCGAAACTGAACAATTCCCTGGCATTTGAATTCCCTCCTTCCTTCCCAACCCTCTCCTTTTCATTTTCTCATTTATTATTAAAAACATTTTTAAAGGATCTCCATGCTTCATATTTATCTACTATAATTCCTCCTTCTCGGTGTTGCAGGGATGGGGAAAGAGGATTTTTTTAAAAACATAATAAAACGCAATTGGGAGAAACAGGGCCAGTGGTGTTGGGGTGGGTAGTGGAATTGTGATTTTTGACTCCAGTAGACAATGATGCTGGATATATGGGGTTTGATTTATCTCTGGCTCCTCACTTGGGATTGATGAAGTTTGGCTAGAATCAGGGAGTTGAAGAGAGGTTGACAAATGGTCTTTCACTCTTCTCTGACAGGCTGTTCCTGTGGAGTGATGGAGAATAACGAGCCTTGGGAGAGCTATGGGAGCTCTCATACTTCTTCCCGAGCCAATTTTTTAGGGAGTGAGAGAAACATGGCCTGTCCAATACTTGTTGTGGGTCAGGATATTTTTGAAGCTACGGTTGTTGATTTGCATGGGAAAATTATTATGTCTTATTATTTCTTGTCCCACTTTACCATAAGGACTCCTCAGCTTCTTACTTCAATGGGTCTTCTATGACAAACACACTTTATTAACTCTAAGAGTGGAATTTATTTTAACAGATAATTAGCATAGGTCAATATATGCTTAAAATAGGGTCAAATTAAACCTACTAGCTGTTATAAAGGACAGATGACAAATTAAAATCCACATAGAAGCATCGACTCTTAAATAATCTGAAAGTACTACTTCTAAGAGGGGTGGGCATGGGTGAAGGGAATGGTGGACATGTTTCAGAATTTCAAACAGCCAACTTTAACCAATCTTTTCCTCATTTTGTTCACCTTCTTGGGGGCTTATGCTAAAGTGAAGTGAATAGCCATAAGGCTGGCTTCAGGAGAAAGGTGGTCTAAAAGAACTGGATAATTATAAGCAAAATTGGTCTTGAATGATTGAAAATTGATGAGAATGTGCTTGTCTCCTGATTTGGCATCCTGAATTAGACTCAGGAATACTGAACTTGGATCCCAAAGGCTTTGGTCTTTTTTGATATCCTATTGGATACTCATAAGCAGGCTAGAAAAATAGAAAACTAGAATTTATTCTCTTTGAACTGACAAATCTAACCAGTGGGCTGCATTCTCTATATCTGAAAAATCTTGGTTTTGATTGAAAAAGTTAATTTTACAAAGCAATTTTCTTTTTTTAAATTAAATTTCATTTTTTTTGAGACTGGGTCTCACTTTGTTGCCCAGGCTGGAGTGCAATGGCACAGTCTTGGCTCACTGTAGCCTTGACCTCCCCAGATTCAGGTGATCTTCCCACCTCAGCCTCCTGAGTAGCTGGGGCTATAGGTGCATGCCACTATGCACAGCTGATTTTTGTGTTTTTACTACTCATAGGGTTTCTCTGTGTTGCCCAGTCTAGTCTCAAACTCCTGATCTCAAGAGATCTGCCTGCCTTGGCCTCCTAAAGTGTCATGAACCACCATGCCCAGCCTACAAAGCAATGTTCTAGGAAAAACTACAGTTACTCTTTGATTATGTAATTGCTGGAGAAGAAAAACATGGCATTTCTAAAATGATGAACTATATTACTTATATTTTAATATCTCATAAAGTTTGAAATAGACATTTCAAACATAAACATGTATAAAAAATTTTATAAATTAAAAATATAATATCAAAAACATAAAATTATTTTATTATAAAATTATTATAGAATCAAAAACATTATAAATTTAAACAACTTTTTTAAAAATTTATTTTGGGATTTCCCATGGAGTGATGGAGAATAATGAGCCTTGGGAGAGCTATGGCAGCTCTCATACTCCTTCCTGGGCCAACTTTTTTAGGAAATGGGAGAAATATACCCTGTTCAATGTTTATTGTGGGTCAGGATATTTTTGAAGCTATAGTTGTTGATTTGCTTCAAACTTTAAAAAATTTATTATAAAATTATGGGATGTAAAAAAATTTATTATAAAACTTTGAAATTTTCAAACTTTCAGAAAAGCAGAGAGATGAGATTAATGGCACTCATAGGCAAACATAGAACATAGATTGTAAACATTTTCCTATATTTGTGTCATGATTATTTTTTGCTTGTGTTTGAAAGTATATTAAAGAAAATGATATTTTACCCCTAAATCTTTAGTACAGATTTCTAAAAAATAAGAACATTTTCCTGTATAGTTACGAAATCATCTTTTCAAACAAAATAAAAAATGGTTTTTTTATATCATTTATTACCCAGTCCACATTCAGATTTCCTCAATTATTATGAAATGTCCTTTTATTTTTTGAGACAAAGTCTTGCTCTTTCACACAGCCTGAAGTGCAGTGAAACAATCATAGCTCATTGCAGCCTCAAATTCCTGGGCTCAAGTGATCTTCCTGCCTCAGCTTCCTGAGTAGCTAGGACTATAGGTGCACACCACCATGCCCAGCTAATTTATTGTTTTTGTAGAGATGGAGGTCTTACTACGTTGCCCAGGCTGGTCTCAAACACCTGGCCTCAAGTGATCCTTCCAGCTTGGTCTCCCTGAAATATCTTTTGTGGCTGGTTTGTTCAAATTAGTTTCTTCTAATCAAGGGACACACATTGCATTTGATTATTTAGCTCAAGACTTTTTTTAACCTGGAAAATACCCTCACTCTTTGTTTATGTATTTATTTAATGAAATTGATTGTTGAAAAACTAGTCAGTTGTCCTGCAGAATATTTCCCCTTCTGGAATTTTCTGGTTGCTTTTTATGGTGTCATTTAACTTTTCACTCTGTTTTTTCCTGGTTAACTGGAAGTTAGTTCTAAAGGCTTTTAGGCCTGCTATAACAAAATACCAAAAACTGGATGACTTATAAAGAACAGAAATTTATTTCTCACAGTTCTAGAGACTAGCAAGTTTAAGATCAAGGAGCATGCGGTTTTGATATCTGGTTAGGACCAACTTTCTGGTTCATAGATTGGCCTTCTTGCTGGGCCCTCACATAGTGGGAGAGACTAGCTAGCTCTCTGGGGCCTCTTTTATAAGGGCACTAATTCCAATCATGAGGGCTCTGTCCTTATGATCTAATGACCGCCTAAAGGCCCCACCTTTTAATACCAGCACCTTTGGGGTTAGGATGTCAACATATTAATTTTGGGAAGACATACACGTTCAGCCCATTGCAAGGTTTAGTTAGATTCAGGTTCAACTTCTTTTTTTAAAGACTATTTCATAGGCAATAATGTGTATTCACATCCCATCATTAGTGATGGTGAGATGATCGCAAGGTTAGGGCGATCACTGCCTATCTCCTCTGTTATATTCCCCCTTGGGTCAAGCCAGTAGTCTGTGACGTGAACTTTGTACCATGTGTATATTCAGTTATATTCTGTATCAATATTTACTTGATTGTTTTAGCATTTATTAATGATCCTTGCTTGAGTTGATTATTTCATTAGGGGTTTCAAAATGGTGAATTTCTAATTCTCTAATTCTATATACATGTTTTAGCTGGCATTTTTCTATAAGCAGACCATTTTCTTCACAACTGGGTTATTTGGCTACCCTGAAACATAGTTCCTTCCGGGAAGGCAGAACATATGTTTATTTCTGTCTTTTAAAAATTACTGGTGTTTGGAGTGAAGATTTGGTGAGTTAACTACCTCCACAGGTGACAAATGAATTTTGTTTTGTCTCACTTTTGCTTTTTTGAATATCACTGTGGATGCTTGGATTTTTATATTTAATTTGAATGGATTAGGGAATAAATGAGAAGATAGGTTTTATCTGTTTCTGTAGTTTTTATGTGGCTGTGTGAACTTACATTTAAAAATTCCCAGAAATATTTTAATTCCCCTTTAAAGATATAAACTATGTCATACTATAAAGCAAAAGAAAAACCAATCATGTGAAGAGTAAATAGTATCTTTAAACGAATTGTGGTTAAGCTTAGTTTGTAACTAATTAGTTTTTTATTTTCTTTCTACTTTTATCTGCTTCAGAGCCTCTTCAGTGGTTTAGATCTTCTATGTGTCAAATTATTCTAATCTCTTAAAAAGTTTAAGAGCTAAAATACAACACAATGACTACAGGAATGCCTTTGTCCTTTTCTGGGTGGGTACACCTAAGGCAATTTCTTTTTCTCTTCTTTGTTCTCTGCTTCTTTCTTATTCTTAAATCATCTTCAATATTGGACAGATGTCAGCACTGTGCCTGCCTCAAGATGTTTCTGACTTTTTCTTTTTCTTTTTTTTTTTTTTTTTTTTTGAGATGGAGTCTTGCTCTGTCACCCAGGCTAGAGTGCAGTGGCACAATCTTGGCTCACTAGAACTTCCGCCTCCTGGGTTCCAGTGATTCTCCCAACTCAGCCTCCTGAGTAGCTGGGGTTACAGGCATGCACCACCACGCCTAGCTAATTTTTTGTATTTTTACTAGAGACGGGGTTTCACCATGTCGGCCAGGCTGGTCTTGAACTCCTGACCTCAAGGGATCTGCCTGCCTTGGCCTCCCAAAGTGCTGGGATTACACGTGTGAGCCACTGCGCCCGGCCGTTTCTGACTTTTTCTAAAGTCTTCTTTCTCTGGAGATGACATTATATAATAGCACTGTTCAATAGAAGTTTCTTTGATGATGGAACTGTTCTGTAATCTGCATTGTCCCAGCCACTAGCCATATGTGACTACTGAACACTTGAAATGTGGCTAGAGCAACTGAAGAACTGAATTTTGCATTTTACTTAATTTTAATTAATTAAAATAGAAATGCAAATAACCATAAGTGGTTAGTAGCTACCATACTGGACAGCAAAGACCTATAATTCAGCATTTAAAATCGATTTTGTTTTGTTTTCAAAAATGGAGTCAGACTGTTACAACCCAAAAGAACTGTAGGTTAAATTAAGGTAAATCACCAAATACTACATACACATTTGGGAAATCCAAACCAGATTTTTTCATGTGATAACCACACCCTCTTTTGACTTTAGCCTTGGAGGTAATGGAGTATGGCAGAAAAAACCCTGTATCAGCAGCTGGAAGACTCACCTTCTTTTCCTAGCTCTGCCATATATTGACCAAAAGAGTCAAAGTCCATTCAGATGGTTGAGGGGCCTTGGAATTTTGTTTTTGGTTTTCACATACAAGTTGGAGGGCAGATGCGTTAGCCTCTTGAAATACCCAGAAACCACTTGTTTCCTCATCTAAAAATCAGGTATGACAGGATCATTTAATTATCCTGGAAATCAGATGAAGCACTGCATATGAAAGCACTTTGTAACATCGATAGCACTGGGAAATGTAAAGACCTTTTACTGAAATATAAAGGTGTATGGTCAACTGAATATATCTCAGATAATTATGATTTGACTGTATGTATTGAATATAACCTGTAGTGGGCCCCTTGGTAAACAACTTACAGTTTTGTTGCAAGTTTTAGCCAAGAGAAAATGTATTTGTTGACTAGTCATGCCCTTTATTGGCCACATGATGAGCAGCAATGATATTAACACACAGTGCACCTTGCAGAATTCAAGAATGTCTCAGTGTCTTGTGAACTAGGAAGCTGAAATGCAGTGGTATGCAGAAGGCTGGCTCAGTAGGAGCCTTGGGAGTGTCCTCCAGATAGATGTTTGTGCAGGTTGTATTTGATTCCAGTTGGCCATGAAAAGCTGGTTGCTCTAAAGAATGAGAATATACTTGGTTTTGCATTTACTAGAACTATCTGGGGAACAAATTCTTGGGGTGGAAGAAAGAAGGGAGGGAGAGAAAGCTGTGCTTCAATACCTAGGGCTTCTTTCCTGGAATGGATCTGAGAATCTGGGATTGGGTGGCTAATATCTCATCTCTAGAAGGGAGAAAGAACTGGGTGGTGATGGCTTTGTATTTTCTACTGGAGTTCACTACAGAATAGGTGAATGGAATGGGCTGCTATGATCCAGACATTAGGGAGGACAGGTTTGTGATACATTAGAAGACTTGAATGAGCCCTTCTATGATTCTCTCTTCCCTCTTTCTGCTTCCCTTTCTGAATCCCCATCCCCAGGTTGTGGAATTAGCAAATCTATTATGTGAGCAATAGCAAACTTACAGGAGCCCTTGGCTCCATCTATCTCCCTGTTTGTGTCAGTTCATTCTGGATGCTTTTAGTCTGTGGTCTTCATTCACTCTTTTTATGGGGAAGTAAAAGGAGTGGGACAGATTATGAGAACAGCTGGGTCCTCCCAGTTGCTGGGGTGGTTATTTTAAGCTTTGTTTAATGTGTCCAGAGACCCAGATGGCATTTTTAACTAAGCTGCTTTATTAAATCTTGTGATAAAGCATAGTGATGTTTATTGAAAAGGCAGACACACATCAGCAACATTATGCGTGAAACTTGCCCTAAGAATTTTCTATAAAACATCTGTTCTCTTTGAGCCTTTTGTGAACTCTGGAAGTTTGCTAGTTTCTATACAGACTTGAGGACAAGAAGTTGGAACCCACTTTTGGAGATGTCCAAGCATAGGTATTGGAATCATTAATCCTAACCCTCTCAGTTTTAAGGCCCCGGATACCCTTCTGTTAGACAACAGTAACATGAGCAAGCACTGTAATAACATTTAAACAAGATTATTTGGAAATAATGGACAAGAAAAATTAGTATAAATTGTTTGGGGATTTTAAAATTAAAGATAAAAAGCTAGGGCTTCAATGACCTGTGCCAGCCTATAGCCTTAAGAGTCAATTTGCAAACACTCAAGATTTGGCCAATATGCCTCTACTACTTCTACTTAACACAGTCAAAGGGAAATTTTTAGATTCTTTCATCTGATTTGACTCTCTTAGTTATGAATAAGAGGATATCTAGAATATATATGTGACTTGTTAAAATGAAAATCCACCTTCTCTGAGTCTTCAAATATCTTACATATCTTACATTTTTAGTAACATCAACTTTTGAAGTCATGTCCGTAGTTGTATGAAAAGAAAAATTTCAGGAACATTCAACCTCAAAAGTTCTTTTTCTTAGTCTGAAGTCGTAGAAGCATTTGACTTTTACTTTCTCTTTTTAAGTTTGTACTAGTAGGTATTTTGTATAAATATAATATTTAATTATTGCCTTTGTATTCTTTTTCTCTAGTAAACATCCTGGTTTTTAGCTATCAATATGTAGTTTTACATTTAGGGATTTCTAATGGAAAGAGAAAGGAATCTGAAATCAGAGGACAAGAGTTTATTCTACTTGACCAAACACATACGAAATACTGGAAGGAGAGTTTTACAACAAATATTTAATATCTATGACATGTAAAAAGGTTTTCCAAATCAAGAAAATTCAAACAATTCAATACAAATATCATCAATAATAACACATGAACAGGTGGCCAACCTTATTAATAACCAGAGAAATATAAATTAAAACAATCCATCAACTTGTAAAAAAGATGAAATTACCCAGAGTTGGTGTAGGTGATGGAAAATTGTCATGTTTGTATACTGTTCATAGAAGTTAAATTGACATAACTTTTTGGTCAGGCAATTTGGAAGTATATATCTAAATTAATAGAGTAGTTTTCTAATAACCTGGGAATCTCTTAATCTAAGAATCTTTACTGTAGATTTTTCTAGAACAAATGTACAAACATCTATGTACAAGGGTACTCACTGCAGCATTTTGCTAAGGAAAAACTCAGAAAAAATCTATATGTTCAACAGAGAACAGGTACATAATTTATGACACAACTGCACAATATACACCACTAAAATAAAGGATATAAATTTATATGTAGTATGAAAAAGATGTGAATGATAGCTTGTTGGTGAAAAACAGCAATGACTGGAATATTGTGTGTAACGTAATCCTGCTTTTCTGTATATAATGTAGGCATAGAAAATAGGATTGAAAGGACATACTCTAGTCAACAGTGGATATAGCTTGGGTGGAGGGGGTGTATAATGGGGAAGGAGAGTCCCTTTTCCTATCTATTCCATATACATCTCTGGATTTAAAAGATCATACATGCATATGCATTACCTTCAAAATTAAAATGATAAAGACAAAAGGAGAAGCTTTGGATTTGAATCATGATACTACTGTTTGCAACTTATATGACCATGGGGAAGTCGCCTAGCCTCCTAGGGTTTATTTCCTCATTTATAAAAATAGGGAAAGTAATAATACTTGTCTACATATCTTCTAGGGTTGTTGGGAGGATTGAATGTGATAATGGGTTACAGCATTATGAATTATTTATTCATATAACACAATTATTATAAAAATATTTTGCTCTGATTAAAATAAAAGAAGGACGAGATCATGTGTGTTTTTGTCCCAGTAGCTTTACTAACCAGAAAGCGCCTGCTGATGTGGTGATCACAGTTGCTTTGGTGCAGCTTCCTCTTGACTTTTGGCATTTCTCCATGCTGCTAGCTAAGGCTGAGGTGGCGACTGTTGAAGGTGTGAGCTTCTCCCCCTCCCGGCACACATTTGTATGCGTACTCACACTCATGCACACACAAACACACACATGCACACTCTATCACAGTACATGAGGTGGCAGCAGCTGCTCCGGCATAGACTTTCACACAACATAAAGGACTTTTTTGGTGTGGTCTGTGCATTATTTCCTGTTAAGCGTGAGCTGAGTCAGTGCCCTGCTTTTCCATCTGAAACCTTTCTGAGGCTCAGGCTGTGTTAAGAGCAAACCCTCTCCCCTTCATGCCCACCCCATGGCCCTCTACTGAAGCCAGATCTTAATCTGCTCATTTCATGAGGATTTTCAAATCGAATGGACTGGGCCATGTGAGAGATTACTGAAAGGAACAGACCAAGCAGGGGCTAAGAGACTCCACGCTAATCTGCTGAGTCGTCTGAAAATGCACAGCTGTGGGAGCTCACGGTGCTTTAAAGTACTTTGGCAGGATGTTTGTTCAGGGGGCCTGTTCCTGCATCCCTGCTGAATGTTTGGTTAGGAGGCATAATCTTTTTTTGGACAGGATCTCCCAAATGTAAAGTGATAGATGCTAATGTGGAATATAATACAGAAGATCCAGCTTGGATGTCATAAATAACAATAAATTGTTTAATCTTGCTGAGCTGTAAATCTATGATTGCCAGAGGTCTTTAGTTCACTGGAACATAGTATGGGGGCAGGGGCACTTAGCAAATAGGCAGTTATTATTTTCCAACCAGACAGAAACTGGTCTGATGGAATTTATCTAAAAAGGCATACACATGTATTTTAATTAATTGTGACAATTACTCAGAGAAAACACATGGCCCTAAAGAGGCTGAGGGGTTTTTTTGTTCTACCTATAAATGTATATGTATATTCACCTATATTCTACCTATGTATAAGTAAGAGAATGAGTTTTTGTTTTGGGGATATATATTTATACGTATCTATACAGATAGATATACACATACTTAATTTCTGTCTACCTATTAAGGTGCAGTGCCAGATGGAAAGTATTTTTAAGCATTTAGATAGTTTATTCTATAGCATATGTGTGCATATAGCCCCCCCATAAAGCTTTGTCTCTTTTCTGGATATATTTAACAAGAGGCTAGAACAGAGTCCAAAATGTCAGAAATGTTTGAACATTCCATAGAAATGAAGGAGGTGTTTCCAAATGACCTATGTTTCTATGGCAATAAATAGAACTTGTGCTGCGTTGGATGGGTCAGGAGTAAGGAATATAAACAGTGTAAGTATGACTATTCCAGGCAGAAATCTACCTTGTAAGAACAGCTTTGTGCAGTGAGCTCAACAACATTGATCAGTTAGCAGTCCGGTTCAGTACAACATTGATCAGGTAGCAAGCCGGTTCGGCAGTGCCAGTCGGAGACACAGATGGGGACAATCAAAGAAGATGCAGGTCAGGACAAGGATGCAGACATGTACCTGTCACTACCATGGACTTCAGCAGCTTCTTAGTGAGCAGGTTTATGATTAAAGAAGAAAGACATCGTTGATATGTAAGCATGTTACAATTAATTTGCTGTTTAGTTATTAGCAAACTACATCCAGTTTTTAGTTTTTAGGTTTTTTTTTTCTTTTTTCTTTTTTGAAACAGGTTCTTGTTCTGTCATCCAGGCTGGAGTGCAGTCGTTATCCAAGCTCACCACAGCCTTAAACTCCTGGGCTCAGTGGATCCTCCCACCTCAGCTTCCCAAGAAGCTGGGACTACAGGTGCACGCCACCATGGCCAGCTAATTTTTCTTATTTTTTTGTAGAGATGAGGTCTTGCTGTATTGCCCAGGCTGCTCTTGAGCTCCTGGCTTCAAGCCATCCTCCTGTCTTGGTTTCCCAAAGTGCTGGGACTATAGGTGTGACTCACCATGCCTGGCCTACATCCAGTTTAATTTATACTACAGTGTGGGTTTAGTCCTCAAACATGTTTTTGTTTTACATATAAAAATTTGAGGTAAAAGAACATTTTTACATTGGTCAATAATGGTACATTTAAACAATGGACGACTATATCCATTAAAATCATGTTGTGGAAGAATATTCAGTGACATGGAAAGATTGACTCAAGGGCAAGTGAAACGTGTCAAGAGTCTGTTAGGTACTAGACACTGTAAACTGGGTCTTGGCTGTGCTACTTGCTTACATCCTCCATCATGTGATCTTTTAGATAACAAAATCGAGATACATAGGGATTTGGGATCTTGCGCAAAGTCACCCAGGCAGTAGGTGGCAAAGTCAATTCTTACATTCTTTCCCATCGAACACCAAAATCTCAGCTTACCTCAGGGCACTCAACTCTGCTTTCTTGACCCACACCCAGGTAGACCCAATGGACACTTGTAGCTCTTATCCAGCTGGGGTGGTCACCTCATAAAATGGCAACAAGTGGAGCCCTTTCTTGTTCTAGTGAGTCAGACTGTATACCTTAAAGATTTCAGAGCACTTCCTATGTACTGAAATAGCCTCATTACCAGGAAGGACATACTTCCAATTTTCACCACCTCCATTTTGCATCCAAGGAAGATTAGATTTCTTGATCTTCTCAATGAAATCTTGAGAAATGGGTGGGCCGATTGAAGAACAAGACTTGGGCCACACTTCTAGATGCCTGTGACTTTTCGGCACTTATTCAGATATTAGGAATTGATTATGAAATCCATGGTGGTTTGATGCTCATGAACTCTCATCCATCTCTCCAGCATGTGTGTAAAGACTTCCAGAGGTACAGGACGTTGAGGATGAGCTCTCTTACTTCCATCTGGTCTCCATGTAACAAATCATATAACTGCACAATTATCCAAATGCAAATGAAGGAGTCCCTTGATGTTTGGATAACCACATTCATGCCTTGAGTTTGTTATTTCTTGAAATTGCCCTTATCCGTCACCTGTTTACCCATGGACAACACTACTTAAGGACTGGCATTCTGCAACCCATGGCAGCTTGGCTTTGGGGTTCCTTCCAGTGTTTTGTTTTTGTTTTTAACCGAGAAGACAGGAAACAGGCATCTTTGTGTATATGGCTTGCCACAGCCCTTCGTAGATGGACATGGTGGAGGCTGTATGGTCCTGGAGAACACTTCCTCTGTGTAGCATCAGGGAAGTTTCTGTTCATTGTGTCTTCACTCTCTCCAATTCACTTGGGGAGTGATAGGGATTATAACACAGTGAGCAGAGGATATTGGGGAATGTCATGCTTAATTTTCTTTTCTTTTTTTTTCTTAAATGACATTTAAAGCTAAAAGAGAATCACAAAGGGTAAGTCTGATTTAAGACATTTCACACATGAAAGAAATCCTGCTTTCATGCGTGTTATGTCACAGGAAAAACTCATTTAGAGTCAACATTCTGCACCTACTCCGAAATTTTAGCCTGAGGGTTTAAATATTACCTCGCTGCTCTCTAGGACTTTAATTTGAGCTAATTAGAAATGGAACTCATACTAAAACTAGTTTAGGAAAGAAGCTGTTGATGTTCTGAAGAAAAACAGCTGTCAGAAATAAGATCATTAAAAAACCATAGTTGTATATGGCACAAAATGTAAAGGAATAGAAATGCTGGGAGAAAGCTTTTATAGAATGACATTTTATCTTTCTTTGGACACTGGTCTAAGGCATGTGAAAGGGCATATTGATTCCCTTGGCACCTGGTATGCTCATTTATGGATGAAAAAGCCCAATGACATAATTTAGGTGAGGTTTAAGGCTTGATGGGAGGCATTGGTGCCATTAGAAGGACGGACACAAAGAGTTCTTAAGTAACGGCATCATGGGAAATGATAATTGCACACTCCTTTCTACTATGTCTTGGTTTCCCCAAGCATTTAGAAGTCATGGCTAGGTAGGAACAAATTTATCATGAGTCTGTCTGTGTGTTTGGGAATGCATATGCCTCACAGATGTGTCTGCAGGGGTCTGTGTGATAATGTTCATATATGTGATAGATGTGGACCCTGGGATCTGTATCTGTGTGGACCCTGGGATCTGTACATGTGTGTGAGTGACAGTGGACTAGGGTCCACTTTGCCCCCTTTTCCGCGTGGGAGTTGAAGGAAATGCCCCTTAATGGCAGTAGCATCCACTTGGGTGTGTGCACCTTCTGGAGGACTGGGTGAGGTTGCCCTTCTTCCAGCCAAACCCAGACCCTATGGTGTGGGACGTTCAGCGGGGAGCAACAGAATGCCATGGCTTGGTCCTCCCTGGGCTGTGGCCTGGATTTCACTCAGGAATGAAAGTCAGATATTGCCTGCTTCAATGCTGTAAACATAACTAAGGATAATTATGTAAGTAGACCATCTTTTCCTTGCAAGGTAGCGGTCTGCTGCATTGACAGAGGGTAGTATTTCTAGGACTTTTTCAGAGAGTAAAATGGTACTTTAAGGGATAATCTGCTATCTAAAGATGAATTTTAAATGTTGGAGGGGGTTGTGGGATTTGGGGAAGACAATAGAATAATTTGTGTCATGGTTAATTTAACAAAGAGTTTTTGTTTATAGAATCTGATCTTCGGTGGATTTTAACAACCCTCTTCTTTCTTGGCTTTTCAGATAAAGATGCAGAGCCTCAGAGAAGTTAAATGATTGATCCTATGTCAGGGGATAGTCAAGACTCATACCTATGCCTTTTAACTTCAAGTTGAGTGCTTTTTCTTTATACAAAAGGGCTTTCAAAAGTTATATTTCTTTTTATCAATGACTAGATCTTGAAAGCCATACCTTTTCTGATGGCATTTATCCTGAGCTAATTGGTAGAGAGAGGGTGAACAGAAGAGAAGACATAGACACGCAGAGAAGAAGACGTGAAAACAGAGGCAGAGACTGGAGTGATGTGAACACAAGCTCGGAAATATGTGGAGGCAACAGAAACTGGAAGAGGCAAGGGAGGATCCTCCCCTAGAGCCTTTCGATGAGGCAGACCCTCACTGACACCTTGATTTTGAACTTCTGGCCTCCAGAACTGTAAGGGAATAAATTTTAATTGCTTTTAGCCACCAGGTTTATGGCAATTTGTTATAGCAGCCTTGTGAAGCTAATACAAACTTTGTATTAGATTACAAACTTTGTATTCATTTCCTAGGACTCCCATAACAAATTACCACATATTTGGTGGTTTAAAATCACAGAAATTTATTCTCTCACAGTTCTGGAGGCCAGAAGTCAAAATCAAGGTATCGGCATGGCCACACTCTGTAGATGCTCTAGGGAGAATCTGCTCCCGCCTCTTCCAGCTTCTGGCAGCAGAATACATTCCTTGGCTTCCCGGGTGTGGCTGCATCACTCCAATCTTTGCATCTGTCTTCATATCTCCTCTTCTTTGTGTCTATTCTAGTAAGGACAAAGTGCTGCATCTTCCGTGATGGAAGTGGCCCAAATTAACCAATCTACCACCACGTAGCTGGCTGATCATTTGGGGAATGGTACCATAAGGAGACTCAGTGTTGGCCCCTGCTGCTGGTAGAGTAGGCACTCTGCAGTGGCCATAGCCAGGTCAGCCTTGGTGAGTGAATGTCCATGTTGTTGAGCCCATGCATAGCCTTCACCCCTGCCATCACGGCCATGGTATTACAGCATTCTTGCATTGCTATAAAGAAATACCTGAGGCTGGGTAATTTACAAAGAAAAGAAGTTTCCTTAGCTCATGGTTCTGAAGGCTGTACAAGCCTGGTGCCAGCATCTCCTTGGCTTCTGGTGAGGCCTCAGGAGCTTTTACACATGGCGGATGACAAAGTGGGAGCAGGCATATCACACAGCAAGAGTGGGAGCAAGAGAACAAAAGAGAAGGTGCCACATACTTTTAAACAAGCAGATCTCATGTAAACTCAGAGCGAGAACACACTTATCGTCAAGGGCATGGTGCTAGACCATTCATGAGGGACTCGCCCCCATGATCCAAACACCTCTCACTGGGCCCCACCGCTAACACTGAGGATTACATTTCAATATGAGATTTGGAGGAGACAAACATCTAAACCATATCAGCCACTTGGCTCATGAGCCCATTGGACAATGACAGGAATGGCTGGGGGAAAGCCACTCATTGACATCCACAGAACTGGTCATCCTATTATTAAAATCCTCCTCTGCCTAGGTCACCATTTTGTGAGTGTCCATAAGGGACACACATATCTTCACAATTTTCCATGTCTTACCTTAGAAGCCCCATCACCCTCTCTTTCACATCTCCTCCAGTACTTATCCCCCAGATGATAGGACCATGTCCAGCAATACCTCTTCTCTCTGGTATTGATGGGTTAATGAGCAGATCTCACATAGGTAAAATTTCCAGATATCTAGAATTTAATCTTCTGGTAATTCTCCAATTATAACTAAAGTATTTCAGGTTGAAACTTTATTCAAGTGTAATTACTCACTTTAACCTTCTTAAACAGAATGTATATTACCTTTTCAAAAATAACTGAAATTTAATAAGATAAAAATGTATCTATAATTGTTCCTACTTAATAACTTTACATGTTTATTTCTGCATTTTTCTAAGTCCTTGCCCCAAAGTGGACATAATTTTATACTGTAATAGCATAAAATAATTTTGCATTTGACATTTTTGATTTGGCATTAAACTGTCGTTTATGTTTCTTTCGCTACTGCTTAAGAAAATGTGGGTGGTTGTAATAAATAAACCTGAAATGTAGGCAATTTTTATTGCCTTAAAAACAATAGAATGTTATTTCTCACTCACACCATAGTCCAATGAGGATGTCCCTGGTGGGCAAAGACTCTTGTCTACCAAATGGGATGGGGACCCAGTTTCCTTCCCTCTTGTGACTCTGGCATTGCCTAGAGCCACATGATTACCTGTACTGAATCTGTAGAAAGAGAAATAAGCAGTGTAGAGATGATATGTTTGTTTTCTGATATCCTCAGCCTAGAAGAAACACACATTACTTCTGTTCTCATTCTCATACTAGTTTATCACCCATTGTCCAAATGCACCATGTGGCCACACCTAGATGCAAGGGTGGGTTGGAAAATGTAGCCCCTGGCTGGGCAGCTGTTCCTCAGCATTGACTCTGTGCTATGGAAGGGCTTCCTAAGTTTTTGTGGACTGCTATCCCAGTCTGTCACCACTATACAATCTTCATAATTTTCCCTTTAAATGGCTGAGAGAAAATTTTGAACAAAAGCTACAAACATTTTTCAGATTCTTGATTCTCCAGACTTATTACTTGAGGGCAGTGACTAAATTATATTCAGTTCTATATCAGAAGGTTCTTCCATATTGCCAGTTTCATGGTAGATACTCAATAAAATAAGTTGAATGACTACATAAATTTTAGCAAGAGCATATGGAAAATAATTTATCATGACTTTGGGTAATACTATAGGTGTAATTATTGTCCTTTCTCTTTCCTGACTTGATTAATAGCACCACTATCCATTAAGTTATTAAAGGTAGAAAGCTGAGATTATTCTTGACTCCTTTTCTCACTGGTCCAGTATTAGTTATTTATTGCAGTGTAAGAAATTACCATGAAACTTAGTGGCTTAGTTGGGGCTTGATGGGGGCTGGAGGATCCACTGCAAGATGGCTCAGTCACTTGGCTGGCAAGGTGGTGCTGGCTGTTAGCCTCCCATCTGATCCTCCTCTTTCCGCTCCTGCCACTCTTCAAGGTATTTTTTCCAGAGCAGCCGTTCATCATTCATTTATTTTTTCCCATTAATTAATTCAACAGATATTTATTGTATACTTACCATATGCCAGATTTGTTCTAGGTTCTTGGAATATAGCAGTGAAAAAGAAAACAGTCCTTGGATCTTATATACAGTGGGGAAATAAACATATAATGTAGAAAATTAGATGGTAATATGTGTGAGCACATATATTTATTATTTCTCATCATTTCTATGAGACAGGAGATGGGTATTCTGGCTTGGGGACTCACATGAGGTCACAGTTACATGTTGGTATTGGTTTGGTCATATGAAGTCTTGGTGGGGGCTGGAGGATCCACTGTGAGATGGCTCAGTCCCTTGGCTGGAAAGTTGGTGCTGGCTGTTGTTGGCAGGCCTTGCTCCCTCTTCACAGGGCTTCTTGAGTGTCTTCATGACATGGCGGCTGGTCTCTCCCAAAATAAGCTGTCCAAGAGAGCAGGGGAGAAGTGTCCATGCCATTTATGGCCTCACCATGGAAGTCACACACAATCACTTCTGCAATATATACTGATTACCCAGATCTGCATCGTTCAGTGTGGGAGGGGACCACAAAAAGGCAAAAATGCCAAAAGGCAAGGACGATTGGGGCCATTTTGGAGGCTATTTACCACAGCCCCTCTCTTCAATATTCCAGTCCACCTGCATATTCTGTTCATCCTCCTTCCAAAAATGTATCTCAAACCAAATGACTAATTTTCATTTCTGTTGGCTTTAGCCTAGTCCAAGACTCTATCAACACTCGACTCGAAGAGTCTCCCATCTGATATTCCTCTTTCTGCTCTTGCCCCCCTTCAAGGTATTTCTCCCAGAGAATCCATTCATCATACTTTCATTATTCTCCATTCATTAATTCAACAAATATTTATTGTACGCTTACCACATGCCAGATTTATTTTAAGTTCTTGGGATATAGCAGTGAAAAAAAGTCCTTGGGCTTTACATACAGTGGGAAAATAAATAATATGGAAAATGTTAAAGGCAATATATGTGATCCAGAAAATTATAGCAGGGTGAAGGAAATAGGAAACAATAGAAAAGTTAGGGACTTCTGGCCATAGTATTATATAGGGCTGTCAAGGGTGCTATCTCTGATTAGCTTACATTGAAACAGAAACCCAAAAGACAGTAGAGGGCAGGTATGTTAATATCTGGGCAAGTATTCTAAGCAGAGGAAAAAGAAAATGCAAGGGCCCTGAGGCCGGATCATGTTTGGTATGTTTGAGGAATAGCTGTTCTGTTCCGTTGTGGCTGGAACAGAAGAAGGAGGGCGGGAGGGCGATGGAGAATGGTACATGATGGAGGTCAGATTATGTAGGGCCTTGTAGACTACAATGAAGACTTTGGCTTTGTTTTGGGTTGGTGAGGGACAAGGAAAGCTATTGGAATGTTTTAGTGACTTGATGTGACTTACTTTTTAATAGGACCATTTGGGCTGCTCAGCCCATGATGTTTAAAAATGCAATCAGGTCACTTCCACTGTTTAAAACCTTTCAATGGATTCTGGTTGTACTTAGAATAAAATCTAAGCTCCCTTAGCTATTATTATTATATTATTATTAAAATTGACATCCTTTATTCTCTATTATAGCAGTCTAATTCCTTCCTAATATGTACCTCACTAGTAACTATTATTATTATTGCTTATTTGTTTATAATCTGTCTCCTCTGCTTGAAAATATGTAGCCTGGGGATCTTGTGGATTTCCATACTAAATCATCCCAAGGCCACTTTGCTTTTGAGCTGTGTGTGTGTGTGTGTGTGTGTGTGTGTGTGTGTGTGTGTGTGTGTGTTTTGATCTCTTCTGTATCTTTTTTTCCCCTGATCTCGCTGATTGTTATATTTGGTCAGTGACGGACCTCTAGCAATGATGGTGCCAGGGCAACTTTGTTGTTGAACTGTATGTTAAAGTTTGTTTTGGCTTGTCGGTTATATCAGTACTTATCAAATGAATTATCTGGGAAGAGAGGAGAGGATCTTATTAAAATACAGGTTCTTATTCGGTAGGCCTTGGGTGGGCCTTGAGGTTCTGCATTTCTTTCTTTCTTTCTTTCTTTCTTTCTTTCTTTCTTTCTTTCTTTCTTTCTTTCTTTCTTTCTTTCTCTTTCTTTCTTTCTTTCTCTTTCTTTCTTTTTTCTTTCTCTTTCTTTCTTTTTTTCTTTCTTTCTCTCTCTTTCTTTCTTTCTTTTTCTTTCTTCTTTCTTTCTTTCCCTCAGACAGAGTCTCACTCTGTAGCCCAGGCTGGAGTGCAGTGGCGCCATCTTAGCTCACTGCAACCTCTGCCTCCCAGGTTCAAGCAATTCTCCCACCTCAGCCCCCGGAGTAGCTGGGACTACAGGCGTGCACCACCATGCTCAGCTAATTTTTGTATTTTTAGTAGAAATAGGGTTTCACCACTTTGGCCAGGCTGGTCTCGAACTCTGGACCTCAAGTGATCTGCCCACCTCAGCCTCCCAAAGTGCTGGGATTTCAGGTGGAGCCACCACGCCCAGCTGAGGTTCTGCATTTCTATCAAGCTTGCAGGTGATGCCCATGTTGCCAGCCCTTTGAGTAACAAGGGGGCTTTATTACTGAGCTTGGCTGAACATTGGAATCATCTGTGGAGCTTTAAAACTACTAATGCTGGGCTCTCAACCCCAGAGATTGCAATATAATCAGTCTAGAATACAGTTTGAGTACTAGGGTTTTAAAAAGCTTCGTAAGTGATTCTATTTTGTAGAAATATTGAGAACTACTAGATTGGATGATATTGAATCCAATTTTAAAACAAGGTGTAGCAATAAATGTTCTTCAGCGCTGTGTTGCTGACTTTTTAGAAAGTCAGTTTTGTAGCTCTGGAAAGAATCTGGCTGCATCCATGAATGACCTCCAGATCTCTGCTTAGCATGACTGGGTAATTTCTCCAATGTCTCCAGCACATGCTGTCACTTAACAGCAGAAAGAGAATTCCTACTTTCAGGAGAAAAGTCATTCCTGAAGATTACAGTTAAAATATGCCCACAGGTGATGAGGTTGTACTAAATCAGTCCCCTTGCTCTCTGAGCTTGTTCTAAGTTACAGGAAGCAGAAGAAGCAGAGAAGCACTCCATTTCTTTTTTCTTGTAATCTCTAGCATGTCCACATGCATAGTTTCTGAGTCAGTAGCAAACTAAGAACTTCTTGTGTGATTCAAGCTAACCCCTCGATTATCAGAAGCAGATGTTTCAAACTACTGAAGATCAATGAGGCATATCCTATTTACAGGTTAATAATTGACTACTAGATGCAGGTGCACCAAATGGTCTTAGAGACATTAGATAGGAGAGACAATGTCAGTGCTCCCCCTACCCTGCCTCCCCTAATCTAAAGCCTACTCTGTTTCTTTTATCAAGTTATTGGCTGTATGTTAACAGAGCCTGGGGCACTTTCCTGTTGAAATGGCTTTAATCCCAAGGAACTGGATTGATTTTTTTTTTTGGATGGTTTAGATTGGACGACTGATTATTGGACAGAATGGCATCTTGTCGACACCTGCGGTCTCCTGCATTATCAGGAAGATCAAGGCAGCTGGTGGAATCATTCTAACAGCCAGCCACTGCCCTGGAGGACCAGGGGGAGAGTTTGGAGTGAAGTTTAATGTTGCCAATGGAGGTATGTGGTTCAGCATATGCCTTAATAATTACGATTTCTTTCCTCTTATATTATTATAGTCTCACAGTGACTCTTTGATGATAGACAAGCAAGGTGCAGAGGACCTAGCTCAGAAAAATTCAGTGAGGTGCCCAAAGAGATCCAACAAAGAAGTGGCATGATGGGCTCATGAACCCATTTGGGTGGTCTCTTGGTCCCCTGTACTCTTCAGCATAAACTATTGAATAGTTGATGCTTATCTGATATGGAAGGACTCTGAATTTTAACATTAAAACATACCCTGAAGGTCGTTGTCTAAATGAAAATGACCCTCATTTTACACATGAACAAATCAAAGGCCTGAGAGGCTGAGTTACTGCTGAAGGCCACAGGGTTGATCAGGGTCAGATTAATGATTTTTAGCCCAAATCCTGGCCTCTCTTTTTCCTACAGTGTTGACTTTCTCTCAAAATCATAGAATTGTTTCACTTTTTCTTATATTCACAGCAATCTATAGTTTGGGGGTCCTTAGTGGAGGGGGTGGGATATATGTATGGAGTAAATTTCTTTTAAAATTGAACACACAAAAAAATAGGGAGAATAAGAAATAGATAACATGTACCCATTATCTTGTTTTTCTATTTTGCTTATCTTTTTTTCTGAAGAATTTTAAAGCAAATTATAGCACGAGAACATTTCACACCCAAATATTTTTGTATGCATCTCTAAAAAAGAAAGACACATTGCTGCATGACTGTGCTAACATACCTAACAATAATAACATTAATTCTCCAATATCACCTGAAAACTAATCTATAGTCAAATTTTTCAATAATCCCCAAAATATTATTATTTATAGCTGTTTTATTCAAATCAGGATACATCTAAGGATGCCATGCATTTGCTTGGCAAGTCTCTTAAATCTCTTTTAATCTAGAACACTGAGTTTGCATGAATGTGGGTAGGAGCCAAATTTTAACCAGCAACAGTTACCATTATAAATTATTCCTCATCCCAGGCAAAGCAGTGCAGTCTGAAGGGAAAACTTATTATCTATCCCTCCTTGCAGACGTTTTACACGTTATCCAAACAAGAAAGTGTATTCATGTTGAATATTTAAAAAACAATATTGTAACCACAAAGCAGAAAACTAAACCACCAAACTACAAAGGTAGACAACAATAGAGGAAGAAGAGAACAAATTATCTACAAAGTAACCAGAAAACAATTAGCAAAATGGCAGGAGTAAGTCTTTTACTATCAATAATAACCTTGCTGGTACATGGGTTAAACTCTCCAATCAAAAGATACAGAATGGCTGAGTGGATCAACAACAAGATCCAACTAGATGCTGCCTACAAGAGACCCATTTTTAAACTTTAAGAATAGGCATATATTGAAAGTAAAGGGATAGAAGGAGATATGCCATGAAAACAGTTACCAAAAGAGAGCAGGGATGCCTATACTTATATCAGATAAAACAGACTTCCAGTAAAAAGCTGTTCCAAGAGACAAAGAAGGTCATGATTTAATGATAAAGAGGTCATCTTATCAAGAGGACATAACAATTGTAAACATATATGCATCCAACATTGAAGCACTTAAATATGTAAAGCAAATATTAGTGGACATGAAGGAAGAAATATACAGCAATATAACACTAATAGGGGACTTCAGTACTCCACTTGCAACAATGGAGAGATCAACCAGACAAAAAATTAACAAGACAACACTAAATTTGAACTATACTTCAGACCAAATGGACCTACCAAACCTACATTCATCCAACAACAGCAGAATATACATTCTTCTCTAGCATACATAGAACATTCTCCAGGATAGACCATATGTTAGGCCACAAAATAAACCTTAACAAATTCAAAAAGATTGAAATCATGTCTAGTATTGTTTCCAACCACAATGGTGTGAAGCTAAAAATCAATAACAAGAGGAATCTTGGAAAATTTACAAATATGTGGAAATTAAACAACATGCTTATGATGAACTAATGGGTCAAAGAAGAAATCAACAGGGAAATTAAAAAATACTTTGAGATTAATGACAATGGAAACACAATGTATCAAAACCTACAGTATGCGGCAAAGTCAGTTCTAAGAGAGAAGTTTATAGCAATAAATGCCTACATTAAAAAAGGAAAAAGATCTAAATAAGTAGACTAACATTATGCCCCAAGGAGCTAAAGAAAGAACAAACTAAACCCAAAGTGAGCAAAAGGAAGGAAATAATGAAGATCAGAACAGAAGCAAATAAAATGTAGTATAGAAAAACTATAGAAAATATAAATAAAATCAAAAGTTGGTTCTTTGAAAAAATAAAATCTACAAACTCTTAGCTAGATTCACTAAAAAAAGCAGACTCAAATAAATAAAATCAGAAATGAAAGTGGAGACATTGCAATAGATACCTCAGAAATAAAAATGGTCATAAGGGATTATTATGAACAATTTTATGCCAACAAATTGGAGGACCTAGAAGAAATGGATAAATTTCTAGAAAAACTAACCCAACAAGATTGAATTGGGAAGAAACAAAAAGTTTGAACACTCCAACAACAAATAAAGAAATTGAAGAAGTGATTAAAAACTTTCCAAAATAGAAAAGCCTAGGACCAAACGGCTTCATGGCTGAATTTTATCAAACATTCAAAGAATAATTATTACCAACACTTCTTAGACTCTTCCAAAAATTAGAGCTACAGGGAATACTTCCAAACACATTTTGTTAGGCCAGCATCACCTTGATACCTAAAGCCAGACAAACATATTGTAAGAAAATAAAACCACAGGCCAATATCTCTGATAAATATTGACGAAAACCAAATTCAACAACACATTAAAGAAATTATGAATCATGGCCAAGTGGGATTTATCCCTGACATGCAAGACTGGCTAAACAGAATGAAAGATAAAAACCACATGATCATCTCAACTGGTGCAGGAAAGGCATTTTAGAAAGTTCAGCATTCTTTCTTAACAAAAACTCTTAACACTTTAGGTATAGAAGGAAAGTTTCTCAACATAATAAAGGTCGTTTATAAGAAACCCACAGCTAACATCATAATCAATTGGGGACAACTGAAAACTTTTCCACAATTTAGTACATGGCAGGGATG
Source organism: Homo sapiens (assembly GCF_000001405.40). Taxonomy (NCBI): domain Eukaryota; kingdom Metazoa; phylum Chordata; class Mammalia; order Primates; family Hominidae; genus Homo; species Homo sapiens. Next base: position 68,381,474 of record NC_000009.12, read on the forward strand.
CCCACTCTTGCTATTTCTATTCAACATAGTTTTGGAAGTACTAGCAAGAGCAATCAGACAAGAAAAATAAATAAAAGTCATCCAAATTGGAAAGGAGAAAGTAAAATAATCTCTATTTACAGATGATATGATCCTATATATAGAGAATTCTAAAGATTCTACACATGCACACACACACACACACACAAACACACACACAAATTTTTAGAACTAATAAATGAATTCAGTAAATTGCAGGATACAAAATCAACATACAAACATCAGTAGCATTTCTATACATAAATAATGACCCAGCTGAAAATAATCAAGAAAACAATGCCATTTATGATAGCATCAAAAAAATACTTAGGAATAAATTTAACCAAGGGGTGAAAGTATACTGAAAACTATAAAACATTGATTGAATAAGACACAAATAAATAGATATCCTGTGCTCACTGATCATGGATCAAAAACATTAATATTATTAAAACATTCATACTACCAAAAACAATATACAGATTTAACACAACCCCTATCAAAATTTCAATAACATTCTTCATGGAAATAGAAAAGCAATACTAAAATTTGTTTGGAGCCCCCAAAAACCAAAGCAATGTTGAGGAAAAAAAAGTTGGAGGTACCACACTTGCTGATTTAAAATTATATTACAAAGCTAAAGTAAAACCAAAACAGTATGATACTGGCATAAAAACAGAAACATAGACCAAGGGAACAGAATAGAGAGCCCAGAAATAAATCAAGGCATATATAGTCAAGTAATTTTGGACCAGGGCACCAAGAGGACATAATGGAGAAAGAAAAAAACCTCTTCAATAAATGGTGCCTGGGAAAACAAAAATGTAAAAGAATGAAATTGGACCCTTATCTTACACTATACACAGAAATAAAATGAATAAAGAACTAAATATAAGATCTGAAACCATAAAAATCCTAGAAGAGAACATAGGGAAAAAGTTATTTGACATTGGCCTTGGCAATGATTTCTTGGATATCACATCAAAAGCTCAGGCTACAAAAGCAAAAACAAATAAATGGGACTACCTCAAACTAAAAAGCTTTTTAGCTTTTCCATTTTTCATTTATTTATTTTATGCACTTTAAAATCTCTGGGTATTCTTTTTTAGCATCTTAAAATTTATTTTTATATGAGTGCCTGTAGATTTGCCGTATCCTTTAAAAAACAATTATTTTAATATATATTATAATTGTACATATTTTTGGTGTGCATATGGTGAAAGTCATTGGAGTGGAAGATATCAGGGAGCTTGGAAATTGAAAAGGAATTCAGAAGTTGTTGATGAACTCTGAAGTTATCAGCATGGATGGTTGAATGGCATCATAGACAACTATCTAGAGAGACAGTACTTTCTTTACTTTTGGAAATCAGTGTGCTTTGGCATTAAAACTCAGGGACTTGAAAATGATGGACACAGCCAAAGAATATAGTATGGTGCCTGGGGTGTAGGGAGTGGAGGGAGATATTCATGCATTCTATAATCTGGCAAGCATAAAATAATGCAAAAACGAAACAAGACTACCTATTCTTTAAGTTTTGTGAAGGGTAAAAAATGGTAAGGAGTGAAGAAAAGGGCTATGTTTATTTCTTTGAGGACTTCACTTTTCCCACACAACAAGAAAATTGTTGGTAAAATCTTCTGGGCTGTCTTCTCTCCCACTTACTAGAATAGGACTATTGCTATTCTTTTTTATGAGCATGTATTGGAATACGGTGATGGTGCTACACTCTAAGGCAGCGTTGTCCAACAGAAAAATATTGTGAGTCACATACATACTTTACATTTTTAGTAGCCACATTAAAAAAGTGAAAAGAAACAAGTGAAATTCACATTGTGTTTTATTTAAACTACTATATCTAAAATATTATTATACCATGTCATCAATATAAAAATTATTAATGCAATCGATTGCATTTTCTACTAACTCTTCAAAATTTGGTGTGCATTTACAATTGCAGCACACCTCAACTTGACTAGCCACATTTTAAGTGCTCAACAGCTAAATGTGACAAGTAACTATTGTATTGGACAATGCAGTTCTAAGGATTGAGATATTTTAAAAATCAAGAAACAATTTTTGTTCAGTAGAAAGTTACAGTATAGTTGACAAGTAAGATTCATACAGAAAGCTATCTATACATCTAGCGATCATTTATACTTTAGATCTTTCAATCTACTTATTTGTTTCTCAACCTTGTTGCAAAAAAAAAAAAAATCTGAAATGGCTTGCATTAAGATATACAAGGTAAAAAAAAAAAAAAAAAAAAAGCAAAACCCCAAAAGGTGAACAAGTATTGATTTCATGTTCAATTTATTTAAAGTCTAATACTACTTGTCAATTTGGTCTTCCGAGGAAATGCATCACATATTTTTAGTTGAGCTTCATTTTGGAAGTGACTAGAGATTGTGAGTTGGGGAAAATAATTAACTTACCCTGCTAAGCTCACACATCAATTAGGTAGCAGAGCTGGGAATAGAAAGCATAGTCTCCTCTTCTAGATGCACTGGGGAAGCTGCATGTAAATCTGGAATCCCTCACTTCTGTCAAATGCATATCCTGTTTGTGTCTCATAACCTGAATAAAGCTGATTACGTAACCAGGTTTCCCTGGCAGGTGTGAAACTATTTTTAGGAAAGATGTGTCATTGCTTAGAAGTGGATTAAAACAAACAAACAAACATATGGGTTGTTAGTCTACATAGAACAGGTGAGGCTGATCAAATTTCCCCCATAGTGGATGAGTACAGTATAAGAAATATCAAGGCTAATTGAACTGTGAACCATTGATCATTGTTTAGAGAACAAATGAATCTTTTTCTGCCTGGTGGAGGAGGATGGTAACATTTCACTGCTTGAAACTCACGAGACTTTCAAAAACATGTATTTTTGGTGTTCACATTTTAGGTCCTGCACCCGATGTTGTCTCAGACAAAATCTACCAAATCAGCAAAACGATTGAGGAATATGCTATATGTCCTGATCTCCGAATCGACCTATCTCGACTAGGAAGACAAGAATTTGACCTAGAAAACAAATTCAAACCATTCAGAGGTAACAGAGATTTTATTTTGAAGAAGTCAGAGTAACTATGTGGATGGGGCTGACTGGTTTCTGTAGGGAAGTAAACTCATGAAAATTATTGCATTGTTAATCTCAGGGGTGACTCGATAAATGTGTGTAAACTTAATATGGTGTAGAGAGAAGACATGAGAGCAGCCAAGATATTCAGAACTGGAAACTTTCAAAAACCACTTCCCAAACTCGATATCATTTTCAACATAGGAAAAGTTTTATGGTTGACTTCATTATAGCATTCCAAAAATAGGCTGTGAATTGCCAAAACTTGTCTAAGCAATTAAGGTGAAGATGCTGGAATGCCTTAGTTAAGAAGAAACCTAACAAGTCAATGGGTTATTAAATTTCTCATGAAAGGTAGGAGTTTCTTTTCCAAGCCATAACCAAGCTTGGAATAATTATGCATCAGCTTATTGAATGCATAATTATTGATCACCTGCCCTATACCAAGCACCGTGTTAGGAGATTTTACAAAGGAATTCAGTAACTATCAAATATATTTAGGCAAGTGATTCAAAAATTAAAGAACCAAAATGAGATTGTCAAAAATATTATCTTATATTGTAAAGCAAATATAACTTCTACAGTATTCAGAAGATAGCTTTTTGTTTTATAGATTAATTTTAGACCATATGACAACAACATTAATAACATGTATGTATACATTTTCCCCCTGTATTTTATCATATTGCTTTTTCCTAGAAGGCATAGAATAGCAATAGATCTAACATGTTTTACTTTTTTAGTGCTTCTATAAGCTTGAATGCAGTTTGTGTTAAGATGGTATCCTCATTTTAGAAGTAATTTAACTTAGCCCAAAAGAGGAAATACCTGGTTTGTGTCCATGTGATATTTTAGGGATAGAGAAAAGATTAAAATGGATTGTGTGGGGGGTCACAGTATTTGCCCAATGTTACCAAATCTTTCTTGAGAAGTTTTGAGTCAGTTGTTTGCTTAGGTAATGAGCAGAAATTTACAGAGAGCCATGATACTCACTGGAAGCAACAGTGCCTGCTTTTGCTAATCTAGCTGGGAGAATGCATAGGCATATGTGTGCACATGCATGGGATGGCTGGACAATTAAAGGCAAGGGGTACATTATATTAAGCAAAATGATTTCAATATGCTGATTACATATGGTTGGAAGGACTAGGCTTATTTTTGGCATCTTCACAATTTTTATAGTTGTCCGAGAGACCCGAATCTTCGTGGGCTCTCATTCAGGCTCATTGCTGCAGCCACATTGCTAGTTGAATGAGTTTTCTAAAAATGTTACTGATACCAGGAGATAGGTAGAGAGATTCCCTGGCTTCCAAGAATTTGGAGATAATCGTTTGGGATAATTTATGTGCTGTATTCTTGCTGGTTCAAGTGTTGAGCAAAGCTTGAGTTAATTAGGAACAAATAATTCCTTTGCATTTCACTTTAAAGTGTCAAGAGCATGAACTATATGATGTGAACTTTCAATTTTTACTGACTTCTTGTTCCCTCGTTTTTCACATTTGTTTGGTACTGTGTGTTACCTATTGTAAATACCAAATGTATTTAGGCAAGTGGTTCAAGAATTGAAGAGCCAGAATGAAATTGTCAAAAACATTATCCTATAATGTAGAGTGAGTAAAACTTCCAAAGTACTCAGGGCATAACCTTTTGTCTTACAGATTAATTTTTTTATGGTGGTAAAATATACATAACAAAATTTACCATTTTAACCATTGTTAGGTGTACACTTTATACAGGTTAATTTTTAATTACTTCATAGATTATTATGCTCCTCATGTAAAAAGATAATTTAAAAGTATCCATGTTACAAATATAATTATATTTGAATGAACACATAAATTACATTGACTTAAGTGTAAGAAAAAATATTTTTAGATATGTATTTGATCAGATGAAGGAATAATATTATATGGCATATTAAGATCTCATCCATTAAATATCACACCTGGATTTACTAAAAATTATTGAAAGTGGGTTGGTAATATCTTCAGTGCAAGTTTAAAAGTATTTCAGGGTTTCAAAGTAGTATGTATTTGAAAAATCTGAAAACAATATACGTAAGTTTCAAAATTTAGCTATGAATTTAAAAAAGCAGGGCTCCTGGACAAATTTTAGCACCTAAAGAATTGATTTACTACTTCTTGGAAAAGTACTTTCTGAGCATTAATTATACACTGATTGACAAGTATGAAAAATGTATTCTGAGCTTTTTGGTATGTCACATAAATGAATAAAACTTTTTGGATTATTGGTTACTGGGTGGTGCTAGATACTGGAAAGCATTTGTGTTTAATGAGAACTTCTAGATATTTGCCATTCATTTGGAAATTGGGTGCTAGATTGGGCATGAATGAGATTTCACGCAAACCCAGGAATATATTCATCACCAATTCTGCACTCGAATCTGGTAGGCACAATGGCTTTTGGAAAATAGGGGTCACTACTGAGGTCACTTGCTGATTTGTTTCATACCAGCTGAGTCAGTCTTTGGCCAGCCCCCACAAGAAAGGCAACTGGATATGCCAAAATGCCTCTAAACATTGAGATGTGTGCTGTGTGCATTTTTTTGGGAGGGAAAGTGGGAGCAGGAGTAACAGGGCACATTTTTATCTTAATTTATTCTTGTGGTTGATATTTTCCTTGCAAAGAAGAATTTATAACTTGGTATCATTTATACCCATTGAGCACCTGAAAAGCTTGTAGTATCTTGATTGTGCCCTGATTTGTGATTTTTGTCAACAAATGGGCACTTCGCTTCCCACATCATGTGCAGGGATATGATGGGCTTGTGACCAGAATTTCATGCTCTTAAGGTAGTGATTCTTTTTATGCTTCCAAGTATCTTTCATGGGTACAGTCAATGACATTTTCCTTTGTTTTTCTATCTTTAGTGGAGATAGTGGACCCAGTGGATATCTATCTTAACCTCCTTCGGACCATCTTTGACTTTCATGCCATCAAGGGTTTGCTGACTGGACCCAGCCAACTGAAGATTCGCATTGACGCAATGCACGGAGGTAAGCTTGTGATTTTCTCCAAATCAGTGGGCAGGAAATATTGAGACCTGTACACCTGTTGGGTTTCAGAGGTTAAGAGGAAAGTTGGATTCATAGATATTCACACAACATGTGTATGTTCAGATATTTGGAATGCTCTGGAAAACTTCAGGACCCTTATTTCTGTCTTTGGATGTAAATGAAAACAAAAGTTGAACAAATGAGTTTGAGGCTATGCATGTTCAAGTGTGGAGTATAGTAAAACTGTTATTTATTTGATCATATGCATGGCATAGTTTAAACAGTCAAATAAATAGTTCAAGATTTATTGTGAAAACAATCTGTACCCAACTCCTATCTTCCCCCAATTTGTTACCTTCCAGAGTTAAATTTTTCCATTTTTTCAGCTGTTTCTTTTTTGTATTTATCTCCCTATCATTAAATATTATGAATATACAGACCCTTGTTGGTTTTTCAGTTTTGAGCATTACTGAATTCATACTACAGGAACTGGAGCTGCAGCTCTTTTTCACCCTCTCCACCCACCACCCACCTCTCCACCCACCCTTTCCACCCACCAGTTAGGGAATCCTAGCATGCTTCCCTAATTATATCACCAGTTTGGTAAGATCATTATCTAGTGTTTACATTACCACAACACTGCTGAGCCATGCAATATGCTATAATTATATTTCCTTTACAGTACAACTTTTTGATTTCCTTGGAAACAGCAATTATCTTGTTTTCTCATTGCTTGCTTTTAATCAAGTATGTTTACCACTCTTAATCCTCAAGCTCTCCGCTAGTGTCTAAATCTTCCTTCACTTCATTTTCCTGGAGACTTTGATCTGCCCCACTCTGCCCTGGTTGCTCTCTGAGCATGCTGTCATCATGAAATCTCCCTTTATCACCATGGTAGTAATTCTTTTTACACATCTCTTATGTTAAATGTCCTGTTCCCTGGTTTCTTTGTCTGACACCTTGATTTACTCGTACATTTTGGAGGAACACATTCTCCAGGAACTCAGTGAGAGAAAGCTCATGGTAGGTAAATATTTTGTGTATTGTATATCTGAAAAGGCCTTTTATTCTACACTTGCCCTTGATTAATATTTGACTGATATGGAAATCTAAGTTGGATATTATTTTTCTTCAGAAGTTTGAGGGCATTGCTCTACTGTGTTATAGCTATTATATTAAACTTGAGAAATCCAGTGCTATTTTGATTTTTAATCCATTGTCTTTCCTTTTTCTTCTCTGGAAGCTTTTAGGACCTTTGACTTATCTTCAGTGTTCCTCTGTTTTTCAATAATGGATCTTAGTGTGGGACTCTATCTTTATTATATTGGACACCTGATGGACCCTTTCAGTCTGAACACTTGTGTCCTTTAATTCTGGAAAAGTTTTTGAATTACTATTTAGTAACCATTCTGGTTATTTTTACTACTGAATTGATCCTTTAATTATTCTATTTCCCCTTCTCCTCCCCAGTTTTTCATCTCTTTATTTTGTTCTACTTTCTGGGAAATTTCCTTGACTTTATCTTCCAGTCCTTTAGTTCTACCATTATATTTTTAATTTCCCAAAACTTTTGTTTGTATTTTCCAAAGATTCTCTCTTGTAAAAACGCATCCTAGTTATGTTTCATGGATACCATATCTTTTTAAACTTAGGTTTACTGAGGTATAATTTATACACAGTAAAACTCACTCCTGGTAGGTATACAGTTTGATAAGATTTGACCAACATATACAGTCATGTAACCACTATCACAATCAAGACTGAATATTTCCATCACCCCAAAGAGCTTTTGGCAGCCCTTTGTAGTCAAACCTCTCCCCTTATCCCCAGCCCCTGGCAACCACTCATCTGCTTTCTGCCCCCATAGTTTTGCATTTTCCAGAAAGTTATGTAAATGGAAGCATACAATATGTCACCTTTTGCTTCAAGCTTCTTTCACTCAGCATAATAATTTCGATATACATTCCTGGTGTTGCATGTATCAGTAGTTGTTCCTTTTACTGCTGAGTACAATTTTATTGTGTTGTCGATATACCACAATTTGTTTATCCATTAACTGGTTAATGAAAATTAGATTTCTTTTTCTTCTAGTTGTTGGCTATTATAAAGAAAGATACTGTGAACATTCGTGAACAAGTCTGTATGTTTTCATTTGTCTTGGGTAAACAGCTAGGAATGGGATTGCTGAGTCATATGATACGTGTATGTTTACCTTTATAAGAAACGGCCAAATCATTTTCCAAAATGCCTGTTCCATTTGCACCACTGGCAATGCATGAGGGCTCCAGTTTACCTGTATCTTCACCAATACTTGGTACTGTCAGTCTTTTCCATTTTAGCCATTCTACTCTATCTTGTTAATCTCTATTAGGATATTACTGATATATTTTAAAAAGTTTTCTTTTCCCTGTATAATTTTTGTTTCCTCCAGGTTTCTCTTTACTTTTTGTTTATTTTCACCTCATCTCAAATACATTCCTCAAAATTTTGGTGATCCTTGGCTTTCTGGCATATTTAAGAATGAGGCACTAAAAATCTGCTGGGAGCTCTGAGCCTGCTATGGGTCTTCTCCATGGGCCTTACTCTAAGGGCTTCTGGCTAGGCTGTTCTGTTCTTTCTTGTTGGGCTGATCATATTCCTCAGGAAAAGAACTTTCAGGTTCTTGCCTTAGCATTATCTGGCCTACAGGGAAGACAGCTTTGCTTTTTTTCCAAATAGTATGAGCAATGTTTCTGGGTTTCAGCCTCATTGCCTGGTTTATATTGTATGTCCATCTTTGAATCAATTGCTCTGGCTAGAAGATGGAGGACGCTGATTGCGCAGACATAGGTCACCTCCTTAGCCTTGGGGAGGTGGGATTTAGCCATACCCAGACCCCATGAACTGAGATGGGGAAGAGAGTTTTTCTCCAAACAAATCCCAAATGCTGTATCCAGAGGAAGAGGAAATGTGTGCTGGGCAGGCACAATCAAGAGATGTTCACTATTGGAGGATTGTGTGTTGTATTGGTGGAAAATAAGTGGAAAGCAATATCTTTCAGATATTTCAGCTAGGAGGATTACATGCTGTTCCACAGATGTGCCTTATGTTCTACCTCAGGCTCTGTTCCCTTGCTCATAATGTTCCTTCGATTTAGATGGGCTTCCCACTCTAAACCCAAACACTTGCCAACTTTATATTATTCCGTCAAGTTCCACCAGAAATGCTGCTTCTTCCTTGAAGCCTTATGTGTGGTTATTGCTTCTCTGAAGCCATTGGATATAATTATTTCATCAATGTGCATTGTTTAGTCTTACCACTGCAGTCATTCATTTGCAGCTTTGACTCATCCCACTACTAGATTACAAGCCCAGGAATGTAGAAACTATGTGCTTTGCATCCCTTCAATATGATCCCTTCATTTCCTAGCAGAGCAGCTCCATATTGCATACTCCATAATGTTCATTGAACTGGAAAATACTATTCCTTGGCATGTATTTTGGTAAAATGTGCTTGTTTTTATATGCTTCAGTGGTTTATAGTGTTTAATTATATACTTGGCAGAGTCCAAATGATTGCAGAGACAAAGAACATTGCTAGAGCCCTTTAATGCTTTTGCATATATTCAGCTAAAACTTTTAATACATGAAAAGCAACAGACAATGAATCATTATTATGTAGCTGATTTCTTTCTGGCAACCTTTTAGAAAAATTTCAGGTGAAAAAATTTATGGAACTAGATGACTGAATACATCTTCTGTATTCCTACCACAGTAACTGGCACATAGTAGATGCTCAATAAATAGTAGTTCAAGCAAATATTGTTCTATATTGTATCTTTAAAACGATTGTAAATTTATGTTTTTCTTCTGGGTTATTAAATGGTGTTTCCTGTACTATTCAGAACAAAATACTCTGGGGAGAAGGTTCTGCAAATATTTAATATTGCTGTGTATCTATTTTTAGTTATGGGACCTTATGTGAGAAAAGTTCTGTGTGATGAGCTGGGGGCCCCAGCCAATTCTGCAATAAACTGTGTTCCCCTGGAAGACTTTGGAGGGCAGCACCCTGACCCAAACCTGACATATGCAACGACTCTTCTGGAAGCAATGAAAGGAGGAGAATATGGATTTGGAGCTGCATTTGATGCTGATGGGGTAAGTAGGAAAGCTGTCTGTCTGCTGACCCTTTGATCATATAATGAGCCATGCACTGGAAAGCAGAGAATTAATGAACACATCTGGAGCTAACATGTATGGGACATGTGTGCCCTAACTGGCTCTGCATCTGCCCTTCTGTTTAATGACTAAGTATTGCAATTAAATAGCGATTACTTTTCTTAGTTCCAGATTTACGTTATGGCATACAAAGGTTGTTTATTTAAAAATATATATTATTCCATAAACCTTTATTTATGGCTGGTGTTGTTGAAAGCACCAAGTTAAGAAATCAGCTATTTCTGCAAGAACCAGTGTTCTCTATTATGTTTGGGAGAAAGAAAGAGTTAGGTATTTGGGGACTTCTAAAGCTTGAGCCACATTTCAACAGGTGGAACATATTCCTGGTGTGTCAAGATTCTGGGCCCTTGGTACTCAGAGATTTCGAAGAATGTTTCCCATGTTCTCTTTGGCCTCATTCAAGTTGTTAGATTGTTAAATATAAGATGGCAGTAAAGTGGATTGTGATGATTATGGGAATGGGCTGCTAGCAGATGCTTCTGTCCGATCATTTTTACGCATTCCTTCCTACAGGACCGTTATATGATCCTAGGCCAAAATGGCTTCTTTGTGAGCCCTTCTGACTCCCTGGCCATCATTGCTGCCAACCTCTCTTGCATTCCATATTTCCGTCAGATGGGGGTCCGCGGGTTTGGGAGGAGTATGCCAACCAGCATGGCCCTGGACAGGTAAGCAAGGATGTCACCGTGAAAAACTTTATGGTAGACCTTTGGCGTTGATGTCTCCTTTGTTGGTTGCTGGCGCTTATTCTCCCCTGCTCCATTTGGGAATGCGTTGAAAGCATGGGAACACGGTATAGTGTACTGGGTAGAAGCTGGAGAATCAGGTGGCCTGAGCTTAATTCTTGGTTCTGCCACTTACTAGCTGTGGGAATTTAGACTTATTTAGTCTCTGTGCCTCAGTTTTCTTATCTGTAAAATGTGGATAATAATAGTGGTATCTTTATATGGATTGTCATGAAGTACAAATGAGGTGCTTCATGTAGAACATTTAACATGGTGCCTGGTACATAGTAAATACTACATAAATGTTTAGCAACAGAACTTATTAACCTGAAAGTGTGTATGTATAAGTGAGGGAAAAAAAGCATGGGTTTTGAGGTCAGATTATATTATGTTCAAATGCTAACTTATAGCCTTATTAGCACTGTACAAATAGAAAAATGATACTTCATAGGTTTATTGTAAGAATGAAACGAGACAGTGCATGGAAAATACCCAACAAGAGATTCACTCAGTAGGGCTCTAACTAACCCTATTAGGTTTCATTCTTCTTGCTCTATCCATCCCTCTTGTCTATCACCCTATATTATAAAACATTGAATTTCAGAGTCTGACATGTTCAACCAGCACGTGTTATTATAGAAACAGTGTATGTGCCTGGTGGAAAGTTAGAAAACACAAATAAGAGAATGTAAATATCATATCCCCTACCTTGGGTTACCTATGTTAATAGAAAAACTTATATTCCTTACTGTATCTCTTTCTATACATATACATTATATGCATATAATTAAAATACATAATATAATATACATAATATATATACATATATAATTTATTTGCCTGTGATAATACCAAAGACATCAAAAAGCACATTGCTTGTAACCTGCTTTTTCTTTTCCATCAACAATTGCCAACTACCAATTAATAAATTTTGGCCGGGCGTGGCGACTCACACCTGTAATCCTAGAGCTTTGAGTGGCTGAGGTGGGAGGATCACTTGAGGCCAGGAATTCAAGACCAGCCTGGATAATAGAGCAAAACCCTGTCTCTACAAAAAATTTTCTTTAATCAACCAGGTGTAGTGGCATGTTCCTGTAGTCCCACACCAAATGTTGATTAGGATAGGAAGCAACCAGAACTTTCATACATTGCAAACAAAAGTGTAGAATGGAAGACAGTTTGGCAGTTTCTTGTAAAATGGAGCCTACAGCTGACCAACATTCCATTCCTAAATATTTACCCAAAAATAATGGAGATGTGTCCACAAAAGACCTGTATAATAATATACATAGTTGCATGATTCATAATGGCTAATAACTGGAAACAATACAAATGTCCATCAACAGGAGATTGCAAAAATAAATTGTGATATATTTATATATTTGTATACTACACAATAACAAGAAGGAATGAAATACTGACACATGCAGTGGGTATGGATGAATAAAAAAATATTAAATGATAAAAAGCCAGTAACAAACAAATACATAATATATAATTCCATTTCTGTGAAGTTTCAGAACAGGTAAACATATATGTGGCAATAGAAATTATTACAATGTTACTGTATGAGGGGTAGGAAGAAGGCACCGGGAAACATTCTGAGGTGACGGGAATGTTCTGTGTCTTAATCTGGGTGGTGGTTACATGGATGTACACACTTTTCAAAACTCATTGAATTGTACCCATAAGATGCATTTCACTGTATATAAATTTTACCTTATGAATGAATCAACACCATGAAAAAATAGCCACAAAATCCAGAAGATGAGATTCTATGGGACAAATTAGCTAGGTATGATGACGCATGCCTGTAATCCCAGCTACTTGGGAGGCTGAGGCAGAAAAATCGCTTGAACCCAGGAGACAGAGGTTGCAGTGAGCCGATACCATGCCATTGCACTCCAGCCTGGGCAACAAGAGAACAAGAGTGAAACTCTGTCTCAACAACAACAACAAAAAAATACTGAAGGGCCATAACACGTGGTTCTAAATGAGATACTACATTGGGCAAACCATTCAAAAAAGACATTCTGGAGACACTGAGGGAAAATTTCAGTATGATCTTAGTTTCAGATGACATAAAAATTATTTATTTGTTTATTTTAGAGAAAGGGTCTCACTCTGTTGCCCAGGCTGGAGTGCAGTGGTACGATCATAGTTCACTGTAACCTTCAACTGCTGGGCTCAAGCAATCCTCCCAACTCAGCCTCCTGAGTAGCTAGGACTACACATGCGCCATCATACCCAGTTAATTTTAAAAACATTTTTTGTAGAAATGAGATCTTGCTATGTTGCCTAGGCTGGTATCAAATTCCTGGCCTGAAGTGATCCCCCTGCTTCAGCCTCCCAAAGTGCTGGGATTATGGGTATGAGCCACTGAACCTGGCTACTTTTAATCTTCTTATTAGTATCTTTTAATGGGCAGAAGTTTTAAATTTTGATGAAGTCCAGTTTATTTTTCTTATAATTAATGGATTATATGATTATTATATATGTCTTTGTCAACTACAAGAAATTTTTGCTTCCTCCAAGGTCAGAGAGATATTTTCTCCATATTTTCTTCTAGAGTCATTGCAGTTTCAACTTTTACACTTATGTCTAGAATGATTTTGAATTAATTTTTGAGCACGGTATAAGGTAGGGGTCGAGGTTCACTTATTTCCCTTATCCAGTTTTTCCAATCCCATTTTTAAAAAAGAATTTTCTTTCCCCTGAATAGCCTTGGCACCATTATTAAAAATCTGTTGACCATATATATGTAGATCTCTTTCAGCATTCTCTATTCTATACCACTGATCCATTTGTTGATTCGTATGTAAATATTACACTGAAATTAGGTGAGCTTCCCAATATGTTTTTCTTCTTTGTCAAATTAAAGGGAAATTATATATTCTAGGTCCCCTGCATTTTATTTCATTTTAGAACCAACATCTCAATTTCTACCAAAGCCTACTGGGATTTTGATTGGGATTATGTTGAATCTATAGAGCCATTTGGGGAGAATAGTATTTTAATAATCTTGAATCTTCCATTCCATGAATGTGGTATATCTCTCTATTTAGGTTTTCTTTAATTTCTCTTACATGTATTTCATAATTTTTAATGTAGAGATCTTATACAATTTTTGTTAAATTTATTTCTGAGTATTTTCTTTATTTTGACGCTATTATGAATGTTTTATGAATTTAATTTTCCAATTATTTGCTGCTGGTGCTTTTTTGTAAATTGACCTTGTATTCTTCACTAGAGGGGAGAAGAATCACCTACCTTTTGGATGCCTCCCACTCTACTTGTCTCCCTGAGGTGATATGGACCTTAAGTCCACGATGGTGAACTAAACTCAGTTTAAAATTCTTGCCTAGCAGCACCAAAGAGTGGTATGTGATTCCATGTTTTCTCCCATTTACCTTTGCCTACACCCTTCCTTTAAAAAAAAAAAAGACTCCGTAGAATTGTAGGGAACAAAGCAAAAATGGGACCATTTCTAGAAATTGAGAACTCAGAGTCATATAGGATCCTGAGTGATATGTAGGGTATTTAATAATATGGGAGTATATTTAACCCTTCCACTTATACAGAATCTTATAATTTAGAAATAATTTGTAACATATCAACTCACTTGATCTTTGCAATAATTTTATGAGGTAATTGAGGTAGGTATTACTCTCCTCATATTAAAGATGTTGAACCAATGATCAGAGAGCTTAAGTGACTTGTACAAGGTCACACAGTGAATTAGAAATTGACTCAGGATTTGAAACTAGGTCTTCTGATAATAGGGTACTACTGTATCTGCCCAATAATTATAATTGGATCAAAAGGGTCCCTGATAAACCAGTTGAGAATATTGTCCCCTGTGGGCTAGCAAATAACTTTCCAAACCATGGCTAGGGGAGGCTGGTTTTATTCTGACAACAAAAACCATTTGTCCTTGTTTCTTGTGGAAATTTCCCAGTAGTTCTTGATTTCACTTTACCCCTCCTTCTCAATAAATCTCTGTTTCAGTCAGAAACCAGAGGCCTTGCTTAGAAATTTCACAAAGGACCTGTTCTGATATGTAAGTGACCATTTAAAAGGATTATTCATGCTTGCTGGTTGGGAATCAGAATTCTGTGGGGCTCTGACTTGGTGATTTGTTCTGGGTATTTGATCTGTTGTGTAGGTCCCAGGTGGATTCTCATGATGGACACTTTATAAGCTTCTTTCTTCCTAGGTAAAATCAATGCAGCTTCAAAATTTCGACCTTGACAGTGGTTTCCCATATAGCTTATTTTTTCTTTAATTAGTAAAATTATAGGAATGTGCCCATAAATGCCAGGCCCTGGAATAATAACAACTGAGGACACAGTTGAGATCCATTAAATGACACACTTGCCTAAACTCCTGGGATTCCAGAATAAGGGGAGGCCTGTACCCTTGAGGCTGATGAATTATTCAGACAAACTTTCATTGTTCACAGATAATTGTGGCTCCCCAAGGGAAGATTTTCAGTGTCTTTAATTTCTACTCTTACAGTGTCACTAAAACAAGGATTCCATTTAGCCCAGAATAATACAGTTTCAGCCTTGAAAATGGCATTCTTTTGGGGCTTTGTCATTCTGAATGTGTCTGATTTGTGGTTGCAGATGAATCTGTGTTGCTGAAACATTTTGGTTCAAATGATTTCAGAAGTAAAACACATTGAAAGTATGTTTGTGGCCTGAGGTCCGTCTCCACCCCATGTAGAGGTATTAAATAATCTTTTGTGTCATCATCCTTCCATAATATTTATGAAGCACCCATCTGTGCTTGGGGCTGTGCCGAATTCTGTGCAAAACAAGGCAAACACACACAGCCTGAAGCCCTATTCACTAGACATATTTACAGTCTCAAACATGGCTAGCATCCTTGAATACATCCCAAGAAGCCAGATCTAAAAAGTATGTTTTGACTATGAAAAAGGCCATCCAAGATCCATCACCCATAAACAGGGTGGTGAATGGATTAGTGCTCATCTACCCTCTATTTGCTCTTATGCCACCCCTATGGTTCACCATTTATCCACTCAAGAAATATTTATTAAGGACCTCCTATGTCCTAGACATGGTCCCCGTGGCAGTGCTTTCAGTCTAATGCGGAAGACAAAGAATAACAAGTAAGGGAAACATACAGAAACACAAATTGTAACACAGGCTAGTGGAAATGAACTTGGTGCAGTACTCATTGGTGGGCATCGAGCATCTTGCTTAGATAGGAGATCCAGGGAAGGACTCTTGGAGGAGATTAGGCATAGGACCAAAGATCAGAAACAGGTATCTGGACCTGACTGTGATGCTGGGATTAGAAATGACACCCACACATGTGAAAACACTTATTCCTCAGAAGGTAGTCTACAGCTATTTGTTGCCAATCCCCAATCTAAAATATGTACTATAGCTTTATCTTGAACATACTCAGCTGATCGTTGGAATCCAGACAGTGTTAATCCTGCAAGTATGCAAGTATCTACTGATCTCTGGTGATCTCGATTCTTACCACGTCCTTTAGATCTGTGCTGTTTCATCTCCCAGATCAGTCATGATGGATGACAGTGGTGGAAGAGATAGTGATGTGAGCTTATATGTAATTACTCAGTCTCCCATACATTGCTTCTGCTATAGAATGATGGGAATTATTTTGCTTTAGCAGATAAATATGTTCAAATGTAACCTATATTAACATAAAAGAAAAAAAGAAGAAAGCCCTTTATCCTGTAAGTTTTTGCCCTGAAACTCTGTATAGCTGATTCTGTTAGGATCAAGGCAGGAAAGAGATGGCACCCTCAAAAAGGTCTTACTAAAGAGAATTTAGTAATTGTAACTTAATAACCTGGTCTAAGGAACGGATGAGGTTAAGGAAACCAAAAAACACAAGAAGGAATGGGGAGGTACCTTAGCATCAGCAATAGCAGGAAGCTGTTAACACCCCTAGGACTAAGAAGGGTCCAGGGGAGAGGTCAGGGTGACCACAGCCTAGTGAGGTCTGGAGTTGTGAAAAGTGGGCTGTCAGACAAGAGCTGAACTTGGCAGGGGGGAGAAATGCCCCAACTTGTCTCTTCTCACCCTCCAACCTCCTGCTGGTGCCTCCTATAACCAAACTGCACTGGAAGCCAGAGGGCAGCCTATGGAGTTCTGCCTCCTGGGGAAGAGAACAGGGCATTTGATGAAGTGGGGACTTTGGGGTAGAAGGGGACAAAAAGCCACCAGCATAAATGGCACAATGGCCCATCTTTTTGCTTATTTCTACTTGCTTATCTCCTAGTCTCACCCTCTTCCCTCTTTTTTGGACCTCAGGCATAGAGAGTTGAGTTAATCATACTCATCGTTGAACAATCCTTTAATAATTGGTCTGATTGAAGGCTCATTTCTTATTACTTTAAAAATGATAATGCATTTCTTTTCTCTCTGTTTGACTGCCCCACCATAGACAACCACAAAAAATGTGTTTATTGGGTATTGTGTATATATTTTTTGCATATATTTTTACTTAATGTGACTAGTACTATATAAGAGATTGTATTTGATTTCTTACCTTTTTTTCCACTAAAGACCACACTTTAAGATCCTCTTGATGGCTGTACATCCATCTAGGTTGTTGCTTCAAACTGCTGCTTATTTGTCCATGAGTGCATCCATGATATTTTGCCCTTGATTCCCTCAGCAATGAACACTCAGACTGCTTCTCACTTCCTATCACAGTGAATACTGCTGCACAGGCACCCTGTGGATATGTGTGAGAATCTCTTCAACACGTGTATTCAGAAGCAGAATTATTGGGCCAGAGGGGGTGTCTATACTTAATTTAGTCAATTTTAACCAAATACTGTCAGATTGCACTCCAGAATGCCCATCTCTTGCCTGCTTCTCCAACCAGTCTCTAAATTCCTGCATCTTCAAATCCAGGCCAACACTTCATGTTGTCTAACTTTCTAATTTTTATCCAGTAGACTAGATAGAGAGTAACATACCATTGCAATTTTAATTTTTCATGTCTCACATTACTAATGAGCTTAAGCATCTCTTCATATGCTTGAGAAATTTGGGAGTTTCCTTTTCTATTAATTGCCTATTCCTGTCCTTTGACCATTTTTTTTTTTCTATTTAGGGTTCTTCTTTTTAGTCTGATGAATTTGCGGAAGTTCCTTGGATGATCTAGATACCAGACCCGTTGTCAGTTTTAGGCACTTCTAATTTTCATCTTTTATCTTTAGACAAAATTTTACTCCTGAGTTCGATAGCCAAATTGTTATCAGTAGACAGATCTGTTATAGACAACTCAAATTTAACATGTATAAATAGCAACTTTTCTAATTTTTCCTGAAAATTGTTTTTCCTGTGTTTAGTCTCTGCATGAGTCACCTATTATCTAAATAATAAACCTTGGAATAATCCCTCATTCCAGATGTACCACTAATCACTGGGTTTTGTTAGAAGGATCCCTTAAATGTTTTTAAATTGTTATTTCTTCTCCATTCCTACATTTCCTTTTCTACTTTATGTTCTCATTATCTTTTGCTTGGACTATTGTAATAGTCAATAAACTGTTCCCACTTCCTCTAGACTTCCTCTTCTTCATTTCCTCTTCTGTACTGTCCCAAGGGCAGTTGTTCTAAAGCAGAAAGTCACGCATTTTCTTCCCTTGTTTAAAATGGGTTAGTGGGCTTTGAATGCCTGCAGGAGATTCCGTCTCCTGATTATACAACATGCACAATCTCCTGATTATAGAACACGCATAATCTCCTGATTATGAACACTTCACTCCTGCAGACATTCTTATCCTGCACTCTAAACATGTCATGCTGCTTACAGTTTCCCAAATTTGATGCCCTCACATTTCTGTGCCTTTGCATGCACTTCTGTCCCTGAAATGTATTCCCTTTGCCCCACCTCATTCCACTTTGTTCTTCTTTATCTTTTATGGCTTGAGTCAAGCATCCCCTTCTCAGTAAGTCCTTTGATACCATGTTCCCTCCACCCCAACAGATATTTCAAAAAGTTAACTACTATGAGCTATCAACATGCTTCTTTTGACTTTTTTACAAAGAGACATCTGGTGATACTATCTGTTGATTGCAAAGAAAAATATACCTGACTAATAAGAAGAAAATGAATGGTGCATAATGACCCAATCTCCTTTGGATATAATAAAACTATGCCTGATTTGTGGTTTTCGTTTACATTTAGGTGAGTTTGTAATGAGTTGGATTTTTAGTAATGATATGTGGGTACTGACGCTCTTAGCAAATACAGCTTAATCAATGTGAGATGAAAGGAAGCAACTGCATTGTAGTTATTTCCTAGTCGATAATGAACTCCCCACAGCCTGAACTTAAGCGCAAGGTTGTTTATTCCTTGCCCTGGCAAATTGAATGAGGACTGGATTCATTACCAAGGCATTTACAAGACGCATAAGGTGGCCTTCCTTTATGGTTTGTGTGTTGACCTACTGGAAAGGATGCTGAGACTGGTTCAAGTCTGTAATTGTGTGTTTCTAAGAGTTGGTGTCTAATGGGAAAGTGATCTCAGGCCTGTAGTTGGTAAAAAGCATTTATGTATTAAACTGGCTAGAGTGAGAGGAATAAATTGTTAACACTTAAGACTATAAACTGTAGGAGATTTGGAGATAGTGGTTAAATCCTCTTGGAAATGCTGGATGCATCATCTTTTATTCAATTTTTCTGAGCCATCTTGGGTTTCTGCTATCTGAGTTAGTCAGAAAAACACTTAGATGAATGTTAAGTAACCCAAGTGCTAAAATATATAGTCGTCATCACTCTCCCATGAGAACTGAAAGACGAACCTTTTTTGGAAGTCAGCTCTCTTTTATCTGCTGTATTTGTGAGGACTCTTTGATACTCAGATTCTGTCTCGGGAAGGGCATTGTCGTTATTTAGGGTGTCCAGCAGCCTATTTTCAGCCCTCCCAACGATGTGGCCCTTCTTGGTCTAAACAAGTCACTTTGACCAGTGGTGGATGGATCCAATACTGAAAGAAGCTCCTTAGAATCGCCCTGTCTGATTAGGGATTCAAGGCTACTTTAAACTGGGGTTTCAATGCCATCCAGTCTCAGTGCCACCCAGTCTCGAACATGTGGCGTGCTGTTGTTCTCCAACGGGAACATTAACTTCATGGCCTGCCTTTGTAATCTCAATTTTGGTCTTCCGAGGCTACATTTGGTTAAATAACCTCTCTCTTTTATTCCTTGTGACTTAAAATACTTATTCAATTTAAAAATCAATCCCATTGATTACTGCAAAGAGGCATGAGGTATATGTTTTGAGCTGATAAAAATGTTCCATATCTTGATTACAGTGGTAGTTACACAGCTATATATATATATGTGTGTGTGTGTGTGTGTGTGTGTGTGTGTGTGTGTGTGTATATATTTGTCAAGGCTCATGAAACTGTACACTTAGAAGTGATGAATTTTGGCTGGGCGCGGTGGCTCACGCCTGTAATCCCAGCACTTTGGGAGGCTGAGGCAGGAGGATCACTTGAGGTCAGGAGTTCAAGACCAGCCTGGCTAACATGGCGAAGCCCCTGTCTCTACTAAAAATGCAAAAATTAGCTGGGTGTGGTGGCGCAGGCTTGTAATCCCAGCTACTTGGGAGGCTGAGGCATGAGAATCGCTTAAACCTGGGAGGCAGAGCTTGCAGTGAGCTGAGATCCTGCCACTGCACTCCAGCCTGGGTGACAGAGTGAGACTCCTTCTCAAAAAAATAAAAAAAGAAGTAATGAATTTTATTTTATATAAACTATACCTTGATAAAGGTGATAAAAATAATCAAACTCTATTTATTTAAAAATAAAACAAAGCATCTCTCTTGGAACTTCTTTTCTGACTAGGGGCAAGAATCATTGCTCTCTTTGAATGACTCTAGTTCCCAGCATAGAGGTTTGTATTTACTAGACCACCAATAAACATTGGTTAGGTTCAGGTGAGTTGAATTGTCTCTGGAATCACTGTTTACTGCTTTCCTTTTTGTTTGAACCAGGACATAAATATATAGCCTGCAATCTTGTCTTTGGAAAAGACATAACTTACAGAGTTGGAGGTTTTCAGATATCAGTCATCAGTCAAATTTATTGGTGATATAAAAGATATAAGGAAGGTAGTTTAGCCCAGCCTAACTCTCAATCATATGCTTTGTGAAGCCACCAGAGAAGTTTGGTGCTTGACAACGTTTTAAAATGAAGGAGGATAATGTTAAGTCATCTTAGGCCTGAAGGTACTTCTGGAGTGAAAGAGCATTGCAGTTCTTGTGTGTGCTTTATATTTCAAAATGTATTTTGTAGCTCTCCCCACCAAAAAAGTCTTAAAATGGATTTCAGCTTCAACTTTCTAGGGTAGTGTTGAGCTGGGTCTATTGAAATACTGCTTAAATGCTTGCTAAATATCACTGATTTCACTTTACCTGTCATGCTGAGGGAAAGATAGTATCTAAGATACATGTGCAGGGTGAATCAAGATGCTGCCTGAAAGTTTTGTGTGCTCAGGAAAGCATTTTTATTTACAAGTGAACTCTATTACAGCAGAGATCCCCAACCCCAGGCCACATAGCAGGTGAGTGAGCATTACTGCATGAGTGCCACCTCCTGTCAGATCGGTGGCAGCATTAGATTCTCATAGGAGAGCAAATCCTACTGTGAACTGTGCATGTGAGGAGTCTAGGTTGCATGCTCCTTGCGAGAATCTAATGCCTGATGATCTGTCACTGTCTCCCATCATCTCCAGATGGGAACCATCTAGTTTCAGGAAAACAAGCTCAGGACTCCCACTGATTCTACATTATGGTGTGTTGTATAATTATTTCAGTATATATTACAGAGTAATAATAATAGAAATAAAGTGCACAATAAATGGAATGTTCTCGAATCATCCCCAAATCATCCTCCTCCCCCAGTCTGTGGAAAAATTGTCTTCCACAAAACCGGTCCCTGGTGCCAAAAAGGTTGGGGACCACTATGTTATATAGTATGTTGTTTGATTGTCATACAAACCTTCAGAAGTATTTGAGGCAGGCACTATTATTGACATTGTATTTACAGAAAAATATGATGATGAGATGTTAAGTAATTGCCCAAGGTCACACAGAATAAATTAGTCAATATTGGTACCAGATTATCTGGCTCAAGCCTCATAATCTCTTCACTATTCCTTATTTGTGAGGGCAGGAAAAGTTCTGATTATACTCCGAGTGAAAGTCATTCGTGTGGGTTGGTGTGGGGGTAGGGGTGGGGGTAGGGAGAGAGACCTGTATTACCCCCAAGGTGGTAGATGACATCAGATAAGCAGAATTAATTTCAACCCAATACATCTGTAATTTTGACGTTGAATATCACTACTGTTTAGTAAAACTCTGAAAGAAGCAGTCCTGGCTTTAACTTAAGACTTCCAGGAAAATGTTGACCGTAGTTCAAGGTAAGGTTGGAAATTTACATCTTTGCCTCAGGATCTGCTTGAAGATCATCAGCAGCAGCTGCACTAAAAAGTATTTATTAGGCTTCGGCAGCTTTTCTCCCTTATATTCTGGGTAAAGTGGGTTAAGCAGGTATGATTCCTTCTAGAGGTTGTTTTGTTTTGTTTTGTTTTGGAGATGAAGTCTTGCTGTGTTGCCCAGGCTGGAGTGCAGTGGTGCAGTCTCGGCTCACTGCAACCTCTGCCTCCTGGGTTGAAGCAATTCTCATGCCTCAGCCTCCCGAGCAGCTGGGATTACAGGCATGTGACACAATGCCTGGCTAATTTTTTTGTATTTTTACTAGAGACAGGGTTTTGCCATGTTGGCCAGGCTGGTTTTTAACTCCTGGCCTCAAGTGATCCACCCACCTTGGCTTCCCAAAGTGCTGGGATTAGAGGTGTGAGCTACTGCGCCCAGCCTAAGTTTTAAATCTGAGATAGACAACACTGATGACCAGAAACATAAAAGATATCAATTAAGTACAATGAGATCCTCTAGTAAATAATATGTTAGCAATTGGATATGAGATGCCCGAGCCTAGGAAAAAATGAAAACAAATCTTGTCAGCCCTATCTATATGCCCTACACAGGTGAGGGTGGAATCCAGACCTGGGAATCCAGTCATCTCATCTCTGATCAGGTTGCTGCCTGACGATTAAATTTGTCATTTGGAGTTCCAAGTTCTTTTAGAGTCCCTGATGGCATTGGTGGTTTATATTCTGGCATGAGGGAAAACTCCTTGTAAGTTGATGCCTGTATTTAAGAATGCAAGATCCACCAGGACTCACAGAGAGATCATATCACTTGGGATCTTTGTGCAGCAAATTAGAGAAAACTAGCTGAAATGGGGCCTAAATAGCAAAAGGAATGTGTTGGCCCACATAACTGAAGTAGATTGGCCTCAGGTGAACCGTGATCCAGCAGCTCACATGATACTACCATTTGACCTGGTATTCCCTCTTGTCTGCTTTGCCTTAGATGGTATCACTCTTATCCCTAGGCTCTGAGCCTCTGACTTTCTGGTCCAGGTAGCAAGTGTCTGCAGGATTTCTAGACCCCATGCTCTTACACCAGCTTGTCTATGAAGATGGAAGACAAAGCTTTTCTTTCCAAGAAGAAACTGAAAACATCAACTCAAGTCTTGACTTTGGTTGGGGTTTGTACTTTCACTGACTCATTGATTCTCTGGGACTATAGAAGATGGGATAGACTGACAGTCTTAAGCCTCCTTCCCCTCATTAGGTAGAGCTAGGAGGAGGGTCATTCCTTCCCAAACTAAATGACTAAGAATGCATACATTTGTCCTCCAAAGCAAGATCTTTCTTTTTTCCTTCCAGAAAGAGTAACTGCAGTAATTAGGACCCAATTGATGGCAAAGGGGTATGATCTAGGTGAGTCCATTGGGGTGCAGTTCTGGAGGGGGAATTCAGGACCTTCTTCTTACCTCCTCCTACCCCTGCAAATAGTCTGAGACTCACTAATAACTGACAGTGGTATTCAAATTGGAACAGTGGTTCTTGCCTCTGACCTTTGCATGTGCTCAAGTAGCCATCTGTCCTTCTTTCTCATCCTCTCCTCTTTATTCCTTTCTTCCTTCTTCCCACCCTTTCCCTCCATCTCTATTCCTCCCTCCTTCCCTTCGCTTCTCCTTCCCTTCTCCCTCCTTCCTTCCTTCCTTCTTTTCTTATCTTCCCTTCCTCCCCACCTTGCCTACCTCTCACATTTCCATTTTCCAAAAACCTTTTTTAGCCCCTTTTGTGTGCCAAGCACACTGCATGGTACTGGATATTCCTGATGGAGCTCATCTTCCCTTCCATGTTCCCTTTTCCTTTAGCAAACTTCACTGCCAACAAAATGTGTTAATATTCTCTGTGTAAGGTGTTCTGCTAGATTCAGGGAGGTCCGTGGCTTCAGCGTGAATCTCAAGGATAGAGCTGGGGAGTGTTTTTAAATCATGATGACATTGTTCATAAAGATTGTCTCACACAGATTCTACTACCTATATTTTGGGGTGGGAGGGAGAGACAGGGAATGTAGTTTAAGAAAAGCAAGCATTTATGTCTGCCAGTGTACTCAAATGAGCTCATGTACGAAGTGGGACATGGAACTCGCTGACCTTTATTGGCCTCTGCATTCAGACTACCTGGGGTTGAATTCTAACTCCTCTGCCTTCTGACTTTATGACCTTGGGCTGTTTACCTAACTTCTCAGGGTGTCTTAGTCTATTTTTGGTTTCTTATAACAGAATACCTGAAACTTGGTAATTTATGAAGAAAAGGAATTCATTTCTTACAGTTATGGAGGCTGAGAAGTCCAAGGTCCAGGGGCATAACAGGTGAGAGCCTTCTTACTGTCGAGGACTCTGCAGAGTCCCAAGGTAGCACAGGGGGTGAGGGGGCTGAGCATGCTAGCTCAGGTCTCTCTTCCTCCTCTTATAAAGCCACCAGACCCACTCCCATGGTAACTCATTAATCCACTAATCCATGAATGAGTTAATCCATTCATGAGGTCAGAGTCCTCATGACCCAATCCCTTCTTAAAGCCCCCACCTCTCGATACTGCCACACTAGGGATGAAGTTTCAACAGAAATTTTGAAGGGGATAAACATTCAAACCATAGCACAGGGTCTTGTACTGAGGATTAAATTAGGTATATATATATATATATGTATATATATATATATATATATATATATATATATATATATATATATATGTATATAGTGCTTACAGCAGTGCCAGTCCACAGTATGCGTTCAATGAAGTTAGCTATTATTGTCATGGCGATGGGGCTTTATGGATAAGAGAGTGAAGCATAGGCAGTGGATTCTCATGAGTAGTCTCCCGTGCTTCCACATTAAGGACTAAATGTTGGCCAGTGGCTGTGCTCAGGCCCCGTCTTCCACATGTGGATACTAGTGAGGCAGGGGTGCTTTCTTGCTGTGTATATTCACATTTCAGAGTCCATCAGAGCTTCCAGAGGACTCTGCTGTGTGAACCTCACATATCTCTATTTTATAGTTTTTCAGATTACTTTGTAAATAATTATTGTTAATTTTCTTTAGCTTTTTAAAAATATGTATTCATATATTGAGCCTTTCAGTTAGTGACCTAGGAATAGACGTACGTTTTTTTGGGGTGGGGAAGGGGTCTGTCTGTTGCCTAGGCTGGAGGGCAGTGGCACAATCACAGCTCACTACAATGAACTTCCAGGCTCAAGTGATCCTCCCACCTCAGCCTCCCAAGTAGCTGGGAACACAGACATGCACCACCCTACCTGGCTAATTTTTTATTTTTATTTTTTGTAGAGACAAGGTCTCACTACGCTGCCTAGGCTCGTCTCAAACTCCTGGACTCAAGCAATCCTCCTGCCTCGGCCTCTCAAAGTGCTGGGATTATAGGCGTGAGCCACCATGCCCAGCCCCTATTGCCTTTTGATCCGTACTTTTTGATTAATATCCTCTAAAACACATGAAAATTCACTGTTCCCTCTGTTAGGTGCTCCCATAGAACACATATAGGACCCTAGAAGTCCCATCTCTTTAGAAAAATTATCTTTCTGGGAAAATACAGAGTTTCTTTTATAACACATCTGTGTCTCTGTATGCTGGCCAAAAGCCTCAAACCCCCAAACAGACCTGAAATGTTTATCCCTACCACTACTTCTGATAATAGGGGTTTGACTTTGTATTGCCCACACATCCCATTAAAACATATAATGTGATTTGTGTGCATATTGTGAGCATTTGTTCATTTTATAACCTGTTTAGTAGTTCAGCCAAAAGCAGCAAAAGTGAAATAAGAGAAACATCCTGAGCAAAAGAATTGCTCTTTGATATACCTGTGCACTGGCATGAGAGGACAGAGGAGAGATTTGTGAAAGTGGACTCCTTTGTTACTAATATAACACCGGCTACTTTCTTTAACAATTAACATCTCAACCCCAATTTATCATTATTATGGCTGTTTTTTTGCTTTCATAATGACTTCAGAAAAATTCATAACATCACCTGGAGTCCCTTTATCTGCAAAGCCATTAGTCAATTTCACTGGTACTCTAGGGAGAGACTTGGGAAGTGAAAGGTGGACATTTCCCCCCAGATGGGGTTTCTTTACATGACTCTTATCAAATCAGGTGGGTGTTAGGAGCCTGAGAAATGTGAGCGTGAAGAAATGTGAAATGTGAGATTTGGATAAGGTCGTTTGGATTTAAAGAGGAAATTTCCATCAAGGGCCAACTCCTAGAGGAGATCACAGAGCAGAGGCTGGGGTGTGGCTGCAGGTAGGCATGCCATTGAGCCAAGGTGGGCTGACTCGAGGAAGAGCTCAAGCAGATGCTTTAGAACAAAGCATAAATGTCTTCTTTTGAGAAGTGTCTGTTCATGTCCTTCACCCACTTTTTGATGGGGTTGTTTGTTTTTTTCTTGTAAATTTGTTTGAGTTCATTGTAGACTCTGGATATTAGCCCTTTGTCAGATGAGTAGGTTGCGAAAATTTTCTCCCATTTTGTAAGTTGCCTGTTCACTCTGATGGTAGTTTCTTTTGCTGTGCAGAAGCTCTTTAGTTGAATTAGATCCCATTTGTCAATTTTGGCTTTTCTTGCCATTGCTTTTGGTGTTTTAGACATGAAGTCCTTGCCCATGCCTATGTCCTGAATGGTAATGCCTAGGTTTTCTTCTAGGGTTTTTATGGTTTTAGGTCGAACGTTTAAGTCTTTAATCCATCTTGAATTGATTTTTGTATAAGGTGTAAGGAAGGGATCCAGTTTCAGCTTTCTACATATGACTAGCCAGTTTTCCCAGCACCATTTATTAAATAGGGAATCCTTTCCCCATCGCTTTTTTTTTCTCAGGTTTGTCAAAGATCAGATAGTTGTAGACATGCGGCATTATTTCTGAGGGCTCTGTTCTGTTCCATTGATCTATATCTCTGTTTTGGTACCAGTACCATGCTGTTTTGGTTACTGTAGGCTTGTAGTATAGTTTGAAGTCAGGTAGTGTGATGCCTCCAGCTTTGTTCTTTTGGCTTAGGATTGACTTGGCGATGCGGGCTCTTTTTTGGTTCCATATGAACTTTAAAGTAGACATTTATGCAGCCAAAAAACACATGAAAAAATGCTCATCATCACTGGCCATCAGAGAAATGCAAATCAAAACCACAATGAGATACCATCTCACACCAGTTAGAATGGCAATCATTAAAAAGTCAGGAAACAACAGGTGCTGGAGAGGATGTGGAGAAATAGGAACACTTTTACACTGTTGGTGGGACTGTAAACTAGTTCAACCATTGTGGAAGTCAGTGTGGCGATTCCTCAGGGATCTAGAACTAGAAATACCATTTGACCCAGCCATCCCATTACTGGGTATATACCCAAAGAACTATAAATCATGCTGCTATAAAGACACATGCACACGTATGTTTATTGCGGCATTATTCACAATAGCAAAGACTTGGAACCAACCCAAATGTCCAACAATGATAGACTGGATTAAGAAAATGTGGCACATATACACCATGGAATACTATGCAGCCATAAAAAATGATGAGTTCATGACCTTTGTAGGGACATGGATGAAATTGGAAATCATCATTCTCAGTAAACTATCGCAAGAACAAAAAACCAAACACCGCATGTTCTCACTCATAGGTGGGAATTGAACAATGAGAACACATGGACACAGGAAGGGGAACATCACACTCTGGGGACTGTTGTGGGGTGGGGGGAGGGGGGAGGGATAGCATTGGGAGATATACCTAATGCTAGATGACGAGTTAGTGGGTGCAGCCCACCAGCATGGCACATGTATACATATGTAACTAACCTGCACAATGTGCATATGTACCCTAAAACTTAAAGTATAAAAAAAAAAAAAAAAGAACAAAGCAAAAAAATGTGAGTGTGTGACTGAGGTGGTACATCTGACTTCGCCATTGATTCTCATCACTTCTCAGGGCCTCGCTTTCCCCATCTAGAAGGGCTGGGATAGTGGCTGTTCTGCAAAGAGCCCCCAGGGGCCACATTGCGTCTAGCTCATAGCTCTGCCTCCCTAGTAGGATGCAGCCCTTGTCCTCAGGGTTCCAGGCAGTGGGAGCTCCGGCCACCATGCCCATATTTAGGCAGCAACTAGAGAGAGGATGAAGAAGAAGGGCAAAGGACTACACTATCTTTTAAGGAGATTCATGGAAGTGGATAGTTGACACTTTTGCATATATCCTATAGGCCAGGACTTAATGATGTGGCCACACATAGCTCCAAGGGAAGTTGTGAAATGGGAGTCTTCATTCTGAATGGCCACGAGCATGGCTAAAAATGAGGGGTTGTCTTATTAAGATAGAAGGGGATGAGAGTTATAGAGGGACAACTAGCTGTCTGTACTGTGGGTTTAGATGATGTCCTAAACATTCAGTGTAGAATATTGCAGTCTTCAAAGATGTAAAATATCTTTAATATTTGATCGTTAATTTTTTTCTTTAGACTAAATAATTTAGGATGCTGACATAAACTATCATGATGATATTTTTGATGATGGTGATGAGGATGATGATGAGGAGGAGGAGGAGGAGGAGGAGAGGAGGAATATCTACCAGAGAAAATACTCCAGGGTGTAGGATATGACAATTTACAACCCAATAAGAAAAGTATTTTTCCCATTTTACAAATAAGTAAATTGATGCTCAGAGTGGGCAAACCTCTGAGGCCAAACCAGGTCTTACCTATGGAGTCATGATATAGCCACAAAGATTGGGAACAAGGTTTTTGGGAAGCAATGTGGCTCTCTGTTGCAAGTAACAAAAACTGAATTCCAAATGACATAAACAACAAGGAAAAAGTTACATCTCGTATTAAAATGTCTAGAAAGGGCAGCAGCAGAGGTGGGTAATTCATTGCCTCAGCAATGTCTTCAAGGAACCAGGTTCTATCATTCTCAGGATGTGGTCTTTGACCTTGATGAGATTTCCTCATGGAAAGGCCCCAGCAGTGCAAGCTATTACCCTCACATACGATGTGGTCTTATGGCAGAAAAAAGACTGCCTACTGTTTATGTGTCTTTTTAAAGTCAGGGAAACTTTTCCAGAAGTCCTCCTGTGCCATATTTGTCCTATTTTGTGTAAATTCACCTTTGCTGAGGACTAGGTACCTGAATAAAGTCATGATTCTCTTAATATGAAAAGCAGTGGGAATGATTTTGGGTAGGCAACTGTCAACACCTCTAATTCATTCATAGGTTATTTGCCCATTAGCCGGGTGTGCCTGTAGTCCCAACTACCCCAGAGGCTGAGGCTGGAGGATTGCTTGAGCCCAGGAGTTCAAGACCACCCTGGGCAACATAGAGACATACAGCGACCCTATCTCTTTAAAAAGTATATATAAATATATATATACACACACATATATACACACATACATGTGTGTATATATATACACATATATGTAGTGTGTGTATTAAATATATAATGTGTGTGTGTGTGTGTGTGTATATATATATATATGATTTTCCCAATATTTAAGGACAATCTAGAATTCTAGAATTATGGATATTTCCCTGAAAATGTCATTACTTTTGGATGTCCCTTGCTTATTACAACTTACTCACTTGCTTATCAATAAACATTTATTGAAAACCTTCTCTGGGTCAGATAGTGTACGAATAATGAAATTCATGCTTACTGTCAAAAAACATTTTATGATTTAGTGACAGAGTCAGATATCCTCAGCAACATTTACAAAACAATGCATGGAATGCCACAATAGAGGCAATGAGGATGCTTAGAGGAAACCACTTATATTGGCCTGGGGAATCGGAACTTGTGGCTGTAATAAAGCTTTCTTCTCTTAGATTATGAATGTTGCTCATGGGGAGCACTTAAATGAGCTCCCTGAGAACAGGGACCACAACTTCTTTGTTTTTATTTTTTAGTCTGAGTGTAGTGCTTTGACTATAGTAGTTGATCAATGTGGTGAGCAGAAAAGGTAGCTTCCCTACATTACAGCTAGTAGTGGTGTTTGCTGGACTTCAGCAGGTCTTTGTAAATTCAAAGCCCAGGCTCTCTAACACCATACATAGCACTTTGTTACTCACAATGAATGGTTTGCTACAGAATGCTTTCTCTTTTCTAATCTGCTTCTTGTCTGATTGTCATGCAAACTTGAATGGGATAATAAATGTAAAGTAATTAGCATAGAAGAAGCACTCAGTGACTATTACCTGCTATTATTACTTTATAATGTAGTCTGCATTATTTTTCTTCCTTTATTTAAATCTTCAACTTTGCTGAATTGCTTATTGAAGAAAATGCTGTCTCTAAACATAACATTACTGGCAGCTGAAAGTGAACCTTACACATGATGCTTCATGGTATCTGAGAGTCATGAAGTTTACAAAGACATTTCTGGTCTTATTCTGATAAATATCACATGCTAATATTTCCTACATTCCCATTTACTCAGTGTTCCCTACTTCCTAAATGAGGGAAAAGCACTGTCGAACAGTTGTCAAATTTTCTTCACAAGCAGCTTGGTTTTCCTTAATGGATGAAATCACCCTTCGTTGATGGATCCATCTGCACAGGAATTTCTAGATCATCTCAGGGCTCACACTCTGGGTCCCACCTCCTGCTCTGCTACAAACGGTTAGGTATCTTTATGCATCAGTATCCAGCTGGCCATAGCGGCCCTGTGTCAGAAATTATATTTCCTCTAATTGGCTAAAGGGACCATTTTCTTAACAGTTTCTTTCTTTTATAGGGCCATGTGCTATGTTCCATTTATATACACATTCTGGAACACAGTATTCCAGAGCATGTTAATTGTTTAGAGATAATGGACCTAATAAATAGAATGGTGCGGTTAAGGAGAAATCCAGTTGCATGGAGGTCCTTGGTCTTTTGTGTGGCTTGAAGAGGTTGAGGATGCTGATGTGTTCTTTGGGAAGAGATTCACAGTTGACAGGAAACATCTGCTTTAATTTGCTCCAACATCAACAAGATTGATGTGGTAGGAAACCTGTTGTTACTGTGTGAGTTCCATTTATCAAGGCAGGGCTTGGCCCGAAATCAGGGCTATTTGGACAGGTACCACAATGGGTCAAAATATGGACATAACAAAGCAGCATTACTTGAGAGTATCATGTGGCTGTTTCTCTATTTAAAGGGAGTCATGTTCCTTCTATACCTGTCTGGCTATCTTCATTTCTTTCTATGTCTTTCTCTTTATGTTTTTCTTTCTCAGCACATTTCCATTCAGGGCCTCAATTACGAGTGTAACAGTTCTCACCCTAAATTCTGCCTCCATATCCTCTCTCCTGGGTAAGAAAGGCTCCCAGTGATGGTGACTCTCAATGGAGGGAAATTCTCCCCAAGGGTTTCCCAAATATTTTCAGAAACAGCTATGCAAACACACAGACTCACACACGCAAGTACTCACCAAACCTTGGAGATTATCCACTACCCCTAAGGTATACCTGCCTTTTCTGGCTAACTTTCAGAATCACTTACCTAGAATTAATTAAAGATGCTCTTACCTTCAGGAAAACTGCCTTGGTTTTCATTATTTGGAAAAGTAAAGTTTGTATCTGACACTTAAAATATGCCTCTGGAGAACTCAAAGAATTCAAAGCATTCTTATATCAGTGCATCTGTGATACTAATCTTTTAGAAAATTATTACACTGCTAATAAAATGTGAAGTGTGGATTCATGCCACTGAGCTTAGGTTATTGCCTCCACTATTTTTGAAATGCTAGTGCCCATGATGTCCTGATGCAGGAACTCATCTCTTAACAAAACAACACAGCCATATACAGAAAAAATAAGGTCCTTTTTCACCCATTCTGGTGTAGGGTAGATCAATCAATTAAAAGAAATTGCAAAGGCTATATGCTATGGTTTGGGTGTTTGTCCTCTCCAAACCTCATGTTGAAATATGATTCCCAGTATTGAAGGTGGGGCCTAATGGGAGGTGTTTGGATCATGAGATGAGGACAGATCCCTCATGAATAAATTAATTGTGTCTCTTGGAGGTGAGTTCTTACTCAGTTCCCATGAGAGCTGGTTGTCACAAAGAGCTGGTATCTCCCCACCTTCTTGCTTCCTCTCTCTCCATGTGATCTCTGCACATGCCAGCTCTCCTTCACCTTCTACCATGAGTGGACACAGCCTGAGGGCCTCACCAGAAGCTGAGCAGATGCTGGCACCAGGCTTCCCGTATAGCCCGCAGAACCATGAGCTAAATAGACCTCTTTTCTTAATAAATTACCCAGCCTCAGGTATTCCTTTATAGCCACACAAAATGGACTAAGACACCCTATCACTGGAGTCCACTCAGACTACCAGGTGAGATAAATCCAGGAGCTTCCAGGTTCTTTGTTCTTGATTCTGGCAATGGGTTCAAATAAAAGACAATGAAAGGATATGCTATTGGCTACTTTGTCATTTCATCTTCCTGCTTCCTACCTAATGACCTGAATGCACATGTGCTCCCGCTGTCAGTCTCCCCACTGTGAACAACCCTCCTTTCTCTTTACGAACCTCCTCTGCCCTGGGCAGGCTGGTGACCACACTGCTCTGGGCCAGATACTGTGCCCAGTACAGAGAGGAGGTGCACGAGGAAATGATAAGGCACATCTCTGCTTTGGAGAATCTCATTGCCCAAGAAGACATATAGACAAGTAAACCAGTTACAGAAATAATGGTTAAGGTACACTGGTGGTACGAAGAAGGGACGAATCAGTTTTGCCTAAGATTGGAGGATGCTGGGCAAAAAAGGCTTCAGAGAAGAGGAGGTATTTGAAGAGTGCATTGAAGGTTGAATAGAAGGTTTAGAGAATCAGAATTTGCCTAGTGTACAGAAAGAAAAATTGAAAGGCAGTGGACGGCCATCAGTAGAAGGGTGTGAGGCACAAGTTATTGAGGTACATGAAGAGACTGACAGTCATGATCATTATGAAGCATTAGTTGAAGGGTCACTGAGGTACACATAAGTATACCAATGGTAATGCTGCTGGAAGAGTAGCCAGGGGACTGGGGAAAAGAAGGCACCATGTTATGTGCTGGGACCTCATTCATTCTTCATGTCATAAGGAGCCAATTCTTCTCTGGACTTTTCCACATTCCATGCAAAGTCTGTCTGGCTTCCTGTCCATTTACTTTCTGGTCATTCAAGGCCTACCACTGTCCGGTGTCCAGTTGCTCCTCATATGCAGATGAAAAACCTGGGCCAGGTCAAAGTCTGAAGACCTAGAGAACTGGGCAGAGCTCTGGGCAGTGTGGGATCTGCCCACACCTCTCAGAGAGAGGAACTGAGGTGGTTGTTCTGAGAGGCAGTGAGCAGGGAGACCCTGAAGCCAAAGGCTGGCAGGATCCAGCAGGGCAGAGGCCAGCAGGGGAATTCAGGGAAGAGCCTCAGGGCTGACAATGGGGACACCTGACTACAGTCAAGGGGATTCAAAGCACAGCCTGGAACCTGGAGGAATCCCCTGGAACATGGACACAGAAATGTGGACAGCTGAAGCCATGACCTTGACCACAGGTAGGGAGCTTGCAGTTAGGGACAGGAGCCAACTTTACTTAGACATAACTCAAATTCATGTCATTTCTGAAGGAAATGAAATTTCCTTCATTTTCACCTGGTTGGAATTTATTGCTCTCTCCTTAATGGTGCATAGCACCTTGTTTATTTATGCTTTGAGTAATTGTAATATGCCTTGTTTTATAGTATTTTTATACATTTCTACTTCAACTCTTGATTATAAATTTGTTAAGGCAGGGAATATCTATCTATCTATCTATCTATCTATCTATCTATCTTATCTATCTATCATCTACACACACTAATGGTATTTTAGCTATAGCATACATAAATACATAGGTACATTTTGTTGAATTGAAATTAATTGAATTAATCCCATCCTCTTTCAGAATAGAAATTATGTTTTCTGGGAGCTAGAAACTATTGTGAGAGATGTTAGTATTGTTGAAATTTAAAAGGGGCTGTCCAGTTCAGTTGTGGCCTGGTGTGTACTGAATGACATCCAAATTCTAAGTAAGTGGAATTGCTATCAGATCTGAGATAAATTAACCATGCTCATGAGAAGATGTAGAGTGAGGAATTCCTTCCACAAATGCTCTGCTTATCTGATTATTGGTTAGCCAGTGATTTCCTGTCATCCACAAAAAAAGATGAAATAGTAAGAGAAAAGTAAATACTAGGTGAAGTGCTTTGAGCCAAAGGGAGTCCATCTAAGAAGTGATGGATGGCTCTGTTGGGATTCCGGCAGTAGTGCATGATGATGTTGGTGTATAAATACGTCAGCTCCTTTAACCCTTGGGGGACCCTGAGGCATGTGTTTTTCATGGGCCCCTAGCGTGCTCATGCAGGATTAAGTTTCAGTTGCCTACTGTGGTAATTGGCTTGAGAAGCCTATCTTTATTAATTTTCTTCTCTTCCTTGTCTTATTTCTCTTCTTCCCTACCTGTGTTCTCTTCATTCCCTTCCTCCCTACAAAATAAACTATGTGAGTTTGAATTCTTCTTTCAGGATTCAAGTTTACTCCTGGGGAACCAAATTAAGACTAAAGAATATGTATTCTCTTTCTTCTCATTTGGCGTTGAGACATTTTAAAGCCTCAACAATTTTCCCTATATAAGCAGTTCCAATTATTTGTGCCTCACTTATAAAAAGTAGGTAATGAGAAAATTAAGGCTTGCAGACAAATCTTACACAATTGCAGCAGAATATCTCAGAAATGTGCTCAATTCTCGGGCTTTCTGTTTGGTCTCTTTAAGCAGGCAACCTCAAAGAGGTGATTCTAGCTTTTGTGATTATGTGTGATTTTGTTATTTTACAGCCTACTGCTGTGGAACTCTATTGAGAAAAGACACTGATAAAGCTAATAAAATATACATCTGCTACAAAGAAAATTTTATCTCAAAAATGCTATTTCCTCTTCAGCTCTGAATGTTGACAGATTTTTTTTCCTAACGGGGTTCAGTAGGTTGGCTGGAAAGCCAAGATCAAATACCAACGGGAGGTGTGAAGACTGGCCAGCCTATGTTCAACGAGTTCACCATCCAGCTGCTAAGTTCTCCATGCTGATAAGACAAACACTCTCTGAATCGGATACGGGCCTACTGGTATCTTTAGGACCATCTGCAGCACAGCTAGGTAAAGTAGGCACAATTTTTAAGTTAGGTTTTGCAGAAGGTCCCATGAAACAGGGTTTCCTTGTCAAAATACAGTGAGACATAATAACAGAGCCATGTTTGGAGGTCCCTTCATTGACAATGGGTTATGCCTTCAGCTTTCAGGCTGATCCTGCTGAGAAGCATATGTGATTAGCCCCAAGAAGCTCTTTACTGCCCCCTAGATCCCTGTCAAATCTAGGAGATCTTGAGCTGTACTTCCCCTGGGCCCGGGGGACGTGTGAAATGCTTGTGTTGTATCTTCATTAGTGGAAATTTTTGATCAATTATCCTGGATGATCCATGTCATGGAACATTGAGCTGCGTATCCTTTCATTTCCATCATTCAGGGTGATATTCAAAATATAGGATAGGCATTTTTAACCCCAAAGTATATTGAGAAGTAAAATTAATGTTGGAGATTAGTACATTACACACCTCATCAAGCAGGAAGAGACAAGAAAGCATATAAATGCGACACAATTCTGGGGCAACTCCTGTCTTCAAAACTTATTTGCTTCAGCTATAGCCGCTGAGGCCTTACTCCTTTTCCTGCCTGTCTTGAAAGATTGTTCTATGCGGCCACCCAGATTTCTTGGGATCTGATGCTAGACCTTGGAGGAAGTCAGGTAAAGCTTTCTAGCTCTGCCTCAGTTGGACCATGTCTCTCCCCTGTCTCTGGTTTCTTGGGCTACTTTGATTTCACTTTCTGTGTTATGGAAACCTCTGGCAGTAACTGTTCCCTGTGTGCCTTACACTTCAATTGAGATGCACAATTGCCAAAGCTCTCTCTGATACCACCAGGGAGCAGCGAACTTAATTCTTCTGTCTTTGATCTCTCTCTTGTTTTGCTGTTTCTCCCCTGACAAGAGGCTGAGCTGCTTTGGGGGCCACCAAGGGCCATTCTCTCCACTTTGTCCTTCACTATATCACATCCCCATATGTCTTCCTATAGTCACCTGCTGGCGTGATTCCATTTTGTTTGTTGAATTTGACTAAAGGTGTCTTGAGCTTAGGAGTCATATCAGCCTGCCCACAAAAGTGTCCCATTTCACTGGGCAAATCAACTAGAATGTTGTTGTATTTACTCTGTGGACTTAGGAAGGGATCCTCTGGGAATTAGCCCCATGGGGTTTCTGTCACCTCCCATTCTACTTTGGCTTAGACAAGGTATCTGAGTTCAGAACCTGACTCTGTTCCTGCGCTCAGCTTTACAGACAAGTGGTATTATTTTTAGCCTGCAGACCTTTTAGTTAACACCCTGCTGCATTGAGGGTGTGAGAGAGAAGTGCTTTGGAAATCAGACTCTGTTACTGATAGCTTGTCCTAAACTGAAAAGGCGACAGGAGAAAGGATGCTTTGTGTTCAAGCAGAAGAAATCTCCGATGCTGCAGCTGCTGCTGCAGCCTTCCCCTGTGTTTCTCACCTTGCTGCGGCCTGCTGTTTGGCAGGACGACTTGACTGGCTGCGCTGTGGTTTCTGCGCCTGTGATGGCTCCTTCTGAATGCCCTCTGAGCCCTGGGGGTCTTATCAGCTGGCTGCGGCGGGGGTGGGAGATGAACAGCTCCCTTGTCAAGCCCGCTTTCTCCTTCTCCTGGGAACCCCTGCCGGGTCACCAGCCTAAACCCCCTCTAGCACCCCATGGCCTCTTGCTTGGGGTGTCAGAGTCAGAGAGAGTAAGGAGGTGTTGGGAGATGAAGTTCAGAGGGTAAAATGATACCGCAGGAGGAACCAGGCTTATGCGAGCTTTATAGTCGGCTGAAAAAGAGAATGTGGTAAAGATCAGGTGGCCCGTTTCAAAATGGCTGGAACTTTTACTTAATACTTTACAAGGTGCGCCCCTGCCCCAAAGTATAGGTGGAAATAAACCTCTGCTTTAAAATCTCAACAGAAAAATCAGATCAAAGAAATCTGGTGAAATACCTTTGATTAAATGTAACACACAATTGATCTCAATTCCATAGCTGATTATTAATTTTTAATTAGGAGTAAGATACAGGCACCATGATGTGTAGATTTTGTTGTCTAAGAAAGAAGATGAATAGAAGATAATATGTTTTAACTTTTTTTTTCCACCAAGTTTTAAAGTTCTAAGACTGCTGGCAATTTTCAATGAATATATGGGGTCTCCATCACTGGCCATTTTATGGGCAAAACAGCAAAACACAAATAGGTTTAATGCTGAGCTCCCAGCCCTTATCTTTGCTTCTCCCCCTCCATTTCCACCAGTCAGGTGTCTAGAAAAGAAGGGCATCCTGGTTGGGAGGAATTGGTTGTGGGGAGGATTTGGCCATGATCAGAGTAGGTACTGCTTCAGACCGAGCTGGGGCATTTTAAAACTGAGGCAGAAGAAGCCATACTTTAGGGGTCCGGGGAAAGAAAGTAGGACTAGGATGGCTCCACAATTCCTCTGCTGATCCTCTCAGAGACTTAGCTTTGCTTAGAAGCATTCCCTGGTAACCAGCATCTATTGCTGTCTTTACTTAGCATTTAAATGCCCCCAGTCTGGCAATGTCAGTTATCTCAGAGCCAAGACAGAATAATTTTGTGGTAGAAATCAAAGAATTTTCAGTGTAACATCTAGGGCAGGATTTGTGCCTCTTTTGCAGTGGATGGCCTTTTCCCCTCTTGACAGAATTCTGTTAGAGCCTCACATTGTTGAGATATCCCCCTCATCTCCATTCTACAGAGTGTTAATGCTGCTGGAAGACTGTCTGTTAAAATCAGATTCCCATCAGGCTTTGAATGCTCCCTACCAAATGGCGTAGCTGCCTTTGATCTGTAGTCTCACTTAAGGAAGCTTTTCAAGTGCATGGAAAATGTCTTGACCCCAGTGTTTGGACCTGTCACTGCTTGCACACCAAATCAAGGTATCATCAAGCTGAAAACGTACACCTAGAGGAATTCCTGCTATTTAATGGGCTCAGCCATTCCTGCTGTATTGATGGCAGTCTCAGCTCAGCTCTCCCTCTGGGGGCTCCGAAGACCCTAGAGTTATGTTCCTCCCAGCAGCAAACCTCTGAGGCTTGGTGTGGCTCAAAGACAGAGTCAGAGCTGCTTTGTCATCTGTGATTCTGTGGGTTGGAGGAGTAGTCAGAAGTAGGTCACATCTGAAGAAAAATTCTCTGCTTGTGATCTTGAGTACAACTGAAGGAAACTGACCCCTTTGAATTCATGAAGTAGGATGCAAGGTTCATATTATCTATGAGGACTGTAAAAATGGCTCCACTGACCTTGAGCTTATTCGCTCACAATGCATGCCAGTTAGATATGGGTATTTAGCATGCTGTATTTTAGGAATATTACATCAAATGTGGAAATACGGAGGCACATGGTAAACTGTCACGTACTATACAAATGATCATTGTGATGACATTTTCTTAAAATGGGTTATATGAAGTATAAAGAATTGAGAGGCTGACTATTGCCAGCAATTAGTTTAGTATAGCCTTGTTTATTAATCTATGGCCAGATGTGGTACCTTAGAGCCTATAGATCTTACTGTGCACACCCATGACCTTCAGATGTTCGTCGGGAGACACAACATAGAGCCTGGTCTTGGTGCTTGAGGAATCTGGGATGTCATACCTGACTCTTTGATGCATTATTTGGATACCTTAATCTCTCCAAATTTCCTTGTTTATAAAATGAAGATGTAAATGCCTCAATTGCCTCATGTGGTGGTTATGAAAGCTAAAATAAAAATGCACAGATGGTTTTGAATGTGCTTTGGGTCAGTGAAGTGTTATAAAGTGTAAGGTGTTATGATGATCATAGATGTAACTTGGGATGTATGCTTTGTCCATGGATGGTTTCTTATCTGAAAGGAAAAGCTGATGAAAGCTAGGTCGACGAATAATGTGTGATGAGTATATGTGTGCATATGCACACGTGGACATGTAGGTGCACATGTCCATGTCAGGGTACATAGTGTTACAAAGGGGAGACGAGGTGTGTACTGATCATTTTCACATTTGCACTCTGCCCCGTTCACTGATCTTCCCCTAATCGGCCCTGTATCTCCAGGAGTTCCACTGCATAGGCCTCTGCCTAGGGCCTGCTTCTTCTCTCACCCCTGGTGGCTGGCTGGGTCCTGTTGGGTGGCTCCAGCCTCAGAGGCTACAGCAGTTTCCTGATGTTGTTTATCTATAGATGGTCTCTCTTCTGTTTGGTGTCTGAGCTCTTCCATCTTATGGGCAACGGATTCTCCATATTAAATTCCTTCTGTTTGAAATACTTAGAGCTGGCCAGGCATGGTGGCTCACGCTGGTAATCTCAGCATTTGGGGAGGCTGAGGGAGGCAGATCACCTGAGGTCAGGAGTTCAAGACCAGCCTGGCCAACATGGAGAAACCTGTCTTTACTAAAAATACAAAAATTAGTCAGGCATGGTGGTGCGTGCCTGTAATCCCAGCTATTCGGGAGGCTGAGGCAGGAGAATCACTTGAACCCGGGAGGCGGAGGTTGCAGTGAGCGGAGATCATACCACTGTACTCCAGCCTGGGTGACAGAGTGAGACTCCGTCTCAAAAACAAAGCAAAACAAAACAAAACAGAAATACTTAGAGCTGATTCTGCTTTCCTGACTGGCCCCTGACTGATTCCAGATGCTTACTTTGTAGATGGATACTAGATTAAGACATGCATAGTACAATTTGTAGAGAAGAAAGATAATGTAGAATCTAACTTTATACTGTTTATAAGAGATATGTCTAAAAAATGTGATTCAAAATGGTTTAAAATTAAAAATTAGGCAAATATATAAAAAATGAAGAGAAAAAAGCAAAAATCAAGGTAATAAAATGTTAAAGCAATGAAGATCACTTTTATTTATTTTAAATAACTATCATAAATATTTATGTATTGAATGACAGCATCAGAATATATAAATAAATAATTTTTAAATGTAAAAAAAAAAATTTAGAAGCTATATATTAAGAGACCTTACTGTAATTTTCCTAACTTTTGATAGACCAAGTAGCCAAGTAGGAGGAACAATCTCAACAATAAAATAATAATTTATTGACCTGAAAAAACATTTAGTAGCATTGATTGGCTCAAAACTATCTATATGGGGGGTTTGCCTGGGAACTCCATTTGCATAGCAAACACTCAGTTTTTATTCATGTTGAGTTATATTATTGGGAGGAGCTGAAGGAGATTACTGTTGGGGCTAATGTCCCCATCCCCTACCTCTTGGTAACAAAACTGACCCTCAAGAGTCACTCCTTGTGTGGTGGTTTTTTGTTTTGTTTTGTTTTTTGTTTTGTTTTGTTTTTTGTTTTTTTGAGAGGGGTTTCACTATGTTGCCCAGGATGGTCTCAAACTCCTAGGCTCAAGTGATCCTCCTGCCTCAGCCTCCCAAAATTCTGGAATTATAGGTGTGAGCCACCTAGCCGGGCCCGGTGTACTTTCTTCCCCATTCATCTAGAAAAGTAAGAAGGCATATTGTTGATGAGGTAATTAAAATAAATTAATTAGCACAACAATAAGAAAATAAGTAATGTGATAAAAGCAGTCTGCAAAGGCATAATTAAAAAAATTTTTTTCCCATAGGTTATTGGGAAACAGGTGGTGTTTGGTTACATGAGTAAGTTCTTTAGTGGTGATTTGTGAGATTTTGGTGCACCCATCACCTGAGCAGTACACAGTGCATGCTATTTGTAGTCTTCTGTCTCTCATCCCCTTCCCACCCTTTCCCCCGTGTCCCCAAAGTCCATTGTGTCATTCTTATGCCTTTGCATCCTCATAGCTTAGCTCCCACTTAGGAGTGAGAATATACCATGTTTGGTTTCCCATTCCTGAATTACTTCACTTAGAGTAATAGTCTCCAGTCTCATCCAGGTCCCTGCAAATGCCATTAATTCATTCCTTTTTATGGCTGAGTAGTATTCCATTGTATATATATACCACAGTTTCTTTATCCACTCGTTGATTGATGGGCATTTGGGTTGGTTCCATGTTTTTCCTATTGTGAATTGTGCTGCTATAAACATGCATGTGCAAGTATCTTTTTCGTATAATGACTTCTTTTCCTCTGAGTGGACACCCAGTAGTGGGATTGCTGGATCAAATGGTAGTTCTACTTTTAGTTCTTTAAGGAATCTCCACACTGTTTTCCATAGTGGTTGTACTAGTTTACATTCCCACCAGCAGTATAGAAGTGTTCCCTGTTCACCGCATCCACACCAACATCTACTATATTTTTTTATTTTTGGATTATGGCCATTCTGCAAGGGCGAAAATTTAAAAGAACACACAAGAACCTGAATTTGAAAGAGTAAATGGTGGTGAGGCACCTTTGAAGGGAGAGTGCTCTGAGGAGCAGGACTGAAGAGCTTGGTGTTGAGAATGGCATGCAGAGCTGACATTAGGTTCAATCAGGTTGTTTCTCTTCCCCTGGAATGGCAGCCTTTGGGAAATAACCCCAAGAGCACAAAATCTCTCTCTCTCTCTCTCTCTCTCTGTCTCTCTCTCTCTCTCTCTCTCTCTCTGCCTCCCTCTTTCTCTCTTTCTTTTGGGGGCTGAGGCCCTTGAAGACCCTTTGCAATTCCATAAATAGTCAGAGACATCCCTCAAATACTACACCATGTTCCTCTGCATGGGAAAAGTGTGGTCACGCATACACGTAACTCCATTCCCTCCCCTCCTTTCCTCCTTGCAATGGAAGGAGCAGGAAGTGGACAAGAAAACAGAACAGTATTAGAGAAACAGAATGTACCTAAATGGGGAAGACTGGGCTGAATTTGAGGAGGCTGAGTTTTACTTCCAAACCCACCCAATTCACTACTGCTGTATCTCTTGACAAAATAAGTAGACATAGTCTGTGGCCAATTTTCTTCTAACTTCATCTCAGAACTCCTCTCTCCTCTCTATGCATATCTGCCCTCCGCAAGCCTCAGACCTCATGATGAACGAGGAAGGTAAAGCATCTGGAAAAGTTTCCTATGAAGAGCTGCTGAAAAAGCCTGAG
Source organism: Homo sapiens (assembly GCF_000001405.40). Classification (NCBI taxonomy): domain Eukaryota; kingdom Metazoa; phylum Chordata; class Mammalia; order Primates; family Hominidae; genus Homo; species Homo sapiens. Next base: position 68,424,162 of record NC_000009.12, read on the forward strand.
ATGTTGTTTAGTGTAGAAAAGACTCAACTTTGCATTTCCCACAAAGTGTTTCATGGAACACCCTTTGTCTTAGTCTGTTCCAGCTGCTGTCACAAAATAACACAGACAGTGTGGCTTATGAACAACAGAAATTTATTTCTCACAGTACTGAAAGCTGAGAAGTCCAAAATCAAGGAGCTGGTGTGTTGGGTGTCTGGTGAGGGCCTGGCTTCCTGGTTTATACATGGTTTCTTCTTGCTGTGTCCTCACATGGTGGAAGGGGCAAGGCAGCTCTCAGGGGCTTCTTTTATAAGGGCTCTAATCTCATTCACAAGGGATCTGCCCTTGGGATCTAATCACCCCCAAAAGGTCCCACCTCCTAAAATCATATTATTGATAACTAGATTTCAACATGTGAATTTTGGGTCAACCAAAGCTATAGCACTACTCACAAGAAATGTTAATGGGTGTTCTTAAACAAGGCAGAAGGGTTCCATGGACAAAATAAATTTGGAAAAGGATGAAATAAATATAAAGCAAGTTTCTTAACTTCTTCACTTTTCATAGCTTTTGACAGATTGTTGTGATTCTCCAGTAAGGACTACAGAATGTAGCATTTCCCAAACATATTTGACCAATGAACTACCATCCCAGGTGTACCTATTAATGTCTCTTAGGGGACTAGTGGGAGGTTGCACTGTTTGATTTTAAAGAACGCTTGCAAAACCAGACACCATGACTTCAAGTTGCCCTTATTAGTTAGACCTGTCTTCTGAGGTCCAAAATTGACCTCCTTCTTCCTTTCTCTGAAATTCATATAATTATATGATTAAACAAATTTCTACTAAGACAAATTTGGTATAATCCTCTAGCTCTTCATTTGTTATTCATTGTTTTAAAAGTTTCTTATTTGAAATAAACAGTTAGATAATTATAATGGGAGATCATCTTTTTTGAGGGCTTTTCTGTATGCTCTTTCTAGTATAAGTCACCTCTTTCTCTTTTACTGTTCCTTGGCAAGCAAAAACACAAGTTTAGGAACAAGCCAGAGTTATCAAAAGTTCTACAGGAGTGAGGAAAAAAAGAGCAAGAGGAACGCAGGAGAGGCAACTCACTTGATGACATGGCAGAAGCATCCAAGCTGCTGAATTGTTTTCAAAAGATGGCAGGCAGGGCCCACAGTGAAAGCATCCCATCTGGTTGTCCAATCCACCATGAAAGGGGTCGAGAGTGGTAAGGATTAGAGTAGAGGAGATTCCCAGGAGCTATTGCTGGTGATGGAGGGATGTGGAGACTTTCCATTGTTTATGTACATTAGAGAAGATTGACTTGAAATTTCATAAATATATATCTTATCTTATATTCCTTAATGTACATAATGGAGAAAAAAACCCAAGAGAGCACTCCAAGAGGAGTTGAGTTTGGATCAAATCCTATCCTAAGCATTATCCTATTTTGGAGTTGAGATACCTACATTTTAGAAATATTTTTAATCCAGAATAGGTCACATGCTAAATATTCTGGGTAAATGGTGTTTATTTGTTCATTGTTTTTTTTCTTGGCATGTGGAAGAGAAATCATCTTGAATCAATTGTGTTCATTGGCCAAACAGTATGATAATTTGTTAAATTTTACTGATTAATGATGCAGAGTCTTGACTTTCATTGTAAGTAAACTCAGGACACAAAAAGCACTAAGAGATGCCCAAAGTGGTTTTCTATAATTTAAATGGAAATAAATTTGTATCGAAAGTACACTAGATTTCACATTTCACATCCTTTTAGTTTTAGATTTAAAAAAAGAGCGATACTTTCTGACTTCTCAGCTAAGATTTTTATAGTGGTAGTGGTTGTTGATATTTGGTGTGTAAAACCTCTTTATGCTGCTTTAGCTATATATTTTTTAAGCTGACTTTACTATCAAAAGCACTTGAAATTTAAAAATTATGTCCATGATTAAAAACTTGCAGAAGTTGCCCAGCAACTATTTTCATTCCCCAGAGGCAGAGAGTATAATGGAAAGGAGGAATTTGGGGTGAGATGTCTTTCTTGTGTTTAAATTTTCTACTCTGAACTTGGACAAGTCACTTATCTTCCTAAATCCCAATTCCTCATGTATTTAAAAAAAAAAAAAAGAGGATGTCACAATCATACTGCCTATTTTCCAGGATTATTGTGAGTATCCAGTGAGGAAAATATATAAAAGACTCTTATAACCTTCAGATTTCTTACACATACATATAATTGTTTTTAACACATTTCTGATCTTTGTTCATATGTATATATGGTTTCAATCACAGGACCCTATACACATTTGTGTTCCACTTTTCATATCTAATGTTATAGTTGTGCCATAATTTACTAGCCCTTTCCCTATTGATGGACATTTAAATGGTTTACAGTTGTTCCCTATTATAATAGTGCAGTAATAAACATCTTTGTACATTCAGGCTTTTGTCTTTCTCTCTTTATTATTTTTTTTTTTTTTTGGCCAATTTCTCTGGGACTAGTTCCAGAAGGGAGGTTGTGGAGTCAAAGTGAATGACCATTTTTTTAACTAACCTGTCTTTTGAGCTTTTCACTTCATCCAAATATCTTTCCCTTGGTAACTTTCCTAGAAAGTCACAGAGCACTCAAATGCCTTCTTGAAGTCAGCCAGAAAGATTCAGAATCTACATTTGGTGGCCATATTTCCATTTTCAGGCTCTTTCAGAACCACTGGCCTGTGAGGCCTCCCCTAGACTGCAAGGCCCTTCAGGACAAGATTGTGCCTTAATCATGTTGGCATCCTAGCATGGCCTGGCTTGTCACAAGAACTCGGTAAGTGATTAATCAATGGAGCTAAACAGAGCAGATGCCTAATACATGATAGGCTCCTTATGGTCACCTGACTTGCCAAAGCATTCATTCATCAAAGAGTTTTTAACAATGTCAGGCACTGGTGCTAGAAACTGGAGACAGAGAGGCAAATGTGACACAGGTGGCCTCATCAGCCTAGCAAGCAGAGCCCCCCTGGCAGTGGAAGAGCTTAGTCTTGAATCTGAGAATTCCTTGAGAAGGGGTCCAAGAGTGGAGTTGACCTTGGCCCATGTAATGTGATTGCAGGGAAGGCCCTTGCTATGCCTAAATATTTTAATCATCTACCCCTTAATATCAGTCATTCTGTAACACAGATCTTGTTACAGAGATGGAGGTGACAGAAGGGGCCTCTGCAATGTTATTTGACAACCATATCCTGTGTCAAAGAACCTCAAGCTCTGTTGTCTGAGCCAGGATGTGAGAACAGAGTTCCTTGACCCAGCAGGGTTAGGGAGGGTTTCCAAATCCCCTCTGGAGCAGAAAATCCCTGTTTGATCCTATCCAGCATCATAAGGCCACCTGCTGTGGGCATGAATGCTGGGGAGGGTGGGGTCTCTGGCCAACTCAGGAAAGATCTGATTCTGGGCTTTTCACTTGTGTATAAATGAATGTGTCTAAACATTATATGCTTTCCATTTGCCTATTGCTGGAAAATTTGATAAAGGGTGCAGAAATTGAGCAAATAGTTCTGCAAGGGGATGTAGAAAGTTTTCCTTGGCCTCAGACTCTGGGCTGTCTTGCAACTAGTTCCTTGGAAGTCTGTGTAATTTACTTAAGGCTGGATGAAAACCAATCCTAGGTTTTCCATGATGCCTCTGGTAGTGCTGGCTTAGCTTGAACTCTGTGGGCAGAGATTGTCAAAGAGGCAGCTCTGCTCTAAATTTCTTGTTATTGTTCTCTGTGGAAACTCACAGAGAACACTGACAAGTTTCTGAGACCCTAGGTTGTTTTATGTTGAACACTGCACTGTTGAGTAAAGACTTGGAGTTCTCTTTATGAGTTAGAATGTTGTGGCTTTCCTTTTATAATGCTCTGTAAAGAGCTCTCCAAATTTGGCTAAAAATTTATACACTTTATGGCTATCCATTGTGGTACAACCATATGTTCAGTTTAGAACAAATAAACACACTTGAACTTATAAACAGATGAAACTCAGTTTGGTAATATTTATAATTTGTTTTAATTTGACCAGAAAAGTATTATGTGCCCAAGCCTGTCACTTAGTCAATGGTCATCGCTGGGACTGAGCACTGTTTCTGGGTGTCAGATAGAAACATTAATGATTTGCGAGTTTCAAATGTCCCCAGGGAGACGGCTCTAGCACTGTTGTGTTGCATGGGATATTGGAGGCAATTTCATATGTGCACATATAGTTAGAGGTTTGCGAGGTGTTTATTTTTTGGCTACCTGTAGATGGTTTCATTATCCCAAATTTGTATTGATGAGCAAATTCAAACTTTTTCATTTCAGTTCCTATTTCAAAAGCGCCTGTGTCTGTTTTTTCTTTGCCTCTGTTAACTGGCTCTGAGGTAGGCATCCTAATGCCTGTTTCCCCTGAGCCAAGATCACATCTTGTGTTTCAGCTGCAAGCTAATAGCCTGTCAGGAGTATGGAAATATATATCTGAGGTTTGTGATTCTGCATGGGATCAGGATTTCCAGGAGTGCCTGTTGGAGAACACTCTGCTCTGTGCTTCTCATGTCTTAATGTTGGTTCTTAATGTTAATTCAAACCAGCTGTGGCAGACCCAGTTGTTCCTAGAAGTTGCTATCTCTGTCTTTCACATTCTGCAATTTTATATGCACATACATTCTATGAAACTTCATGAAATTTCTATGATATTTGTGTTTCGGAGAATGCTCCTTATAACTCTGATTTCATGCAAAAAGTTACTGCCACATAAATGGGGAGGTGATATCAATTATGCAGTACTGGATTCAAACATCAACTCTGTTACTTACTAGTTGGGTGAGCCTGGAAAAATCTCTTAACTTTTATGTCCTTCGCTTTCTTGATCTGCAAAATGAAGATGCAAATGATCTTGGTTTGGAGTCTTCTAGTGGTCTACAGTATATGGATGCAACACTTTTAGGGTCTGCTCCAGTTACAGTACCAGGTTATAAGGATTGTACCATCTTGTTTTAAAAATGATATGAAGTTAAACTCTGAAGCACTTAGAACAGGTCTAGCACATAATAAACTTTTCGTATGTATTAGTTACTACGATTACCATAAAAATCTCAAGAAAATATTAATTCTCTGCTTCGGATATTGGACAGAACTCTAATTAAATCTGATATATGCCTACCGTGGGAAGCTCACTTTTTTTCTGCATTGCTAGAGCAATAAATACAATCAAATGTTAAAAAAATCATCAACCAACCAACCAATCAACAAAAAAACCAATCCAGATTCTAAAGCAGGAGAATGGCAATCATATTCACCACTAACACAAATTTCACAAAACACAAGCTTATATCAAAGAGTCAATTCAAACTTCCAATTTAATACTCTCCCTTCAGGAAGTGCTCATTACTCTTACAGCCTTCAAAAGACAGAAACTCCCCACCTGACCATGGTCTTTGTCAATGTTTTTGGAAGCTAAATGAAATAAATATGTTTTAGAATGAAATAGGGGGTGACAAATATCCCCCTCTGCAATTTTTCATTGATTCCTACCAATTGCAGCATCTTGGATTAAGAAGCATTCCTTCTATTTGTCCTGACATCTGGAGAACAGGCCACAGATTTTCTCAGGCCTCCATCCTGGAGTTTAACAGCTATCACTATATGGAAATCCTTCTTAGAGATAATCTCCACTGATGCGATTTACAACAGTTTTCTTCTTAGCCACTCTTCCATGCTCATCCTTTGAATGACAGCCATGTATGGACTTGAACCTCACAGTCCTCTGTCGCACAGGGAAGAATGCCAGTGATCTTGAATAAGACTCAGTTTTTGTGTTGCTGGAAGAAGGAACAGTATCTGGGTATCTGAGGTTGGTTTTGTTTCCTTTATTTTCTCAACATCTTTGAGCTTTGTTTGAAATGCAAAACCTAATTTTAAAAATTCTGCTGTTGGATATATCATTTGAAATGTAGAAATACTCTGAAAAAATAAACATAATTGAAATAGCTTTCAACTATTAATAATTTTAAAAATACATGGTTTCCTTTGTCTCCTCTATGGTTTTGAAATTTAACAATGGGATATTTGTCATCATTCTGCAGGTTGAGTTTTTCAGTCCAGCGTAGAGTGATTGTTTCTGTTTTTATTTTATTTCTAAATTTTTATGCCTGCAGTGGATGTGCGTGAGCTATGGCCTTGGGGCCTAAACAGCTCTGGGTCTCATGGAGAGCGAAATGAGTGCATTTCATGCTTTCGCTTTCCACAATGTTTATTCTGTTAAAGTAAACTCAACTTATGGATGTATCATTGGTTGTAATTATACCATTCACATAAAAGGTAAATAATTTCAAGTAAAATTAGAATGGTATTTTTGTAAATCCTTGTACTTTCCTCACTGACTTTCAAATTTTCCTCTTTCCTAATTTCATCCTAATTTTCTCCAGGCCCAAGGACATTAAAGGCATCCATCAACTTTTCCGGAATCAGGTTTCTCTGGATACCGTTTCTGATTTGGAGGCTTGCAGCCATTTTTTTCCAAGCATAAAAATGGCTTCAACTTTCCATAGTAAGGGAAATCTCAGTAAGGGAAATCATATACCCCTAAGTATATGCATTTTAATTTTCCATGTCTTGTCACTGTTATGATAAAAAAGAACAACAGAGTTTGAAAACTTTCAGTGATTGTAATTTTCTAGTTAGAAGTTTATTTTGTTACATGGTTCTTTCTTTGAATCTCAGCTGTCTTTTGTAATTAGAGTATTCATCATAACATGCATCAACTATTTATATTTTCTCAATAAATAGTCCTTAGCAACCAATTTTGTGCCTTGGTCTCTTTAAAGACAGTCATACAGGTGTCATACCCACCTTTTCCTCTAGAATATATTATAACCTGAATAAATCCTGGGCCTTATGTCACCAAGTTTCAGGGCAGTGTAACATTCAAAGAAACAACCAAAAGCAAATGAAACTCTAAGTTTTGCTTGCAGTCCTCAGAACGCATTAAAAGAGATTCAATTTACAGATCCTAGCCACATCGTCTAAGGTTCCCCCAACTCCACTTCCTCACTGTCACAGCCCATCTGGAGCCCTTGTTCTCCACTGCCGCCTTCCCACTACTCGCCAACACTGTCCACTTTTCTTTGCCTCTTGTATTCTGTTTTTCTAGTCCTACCTCTTTCTTCGCATTCTCCTGTTTCTGTATCACAGGAACCCAGGAGTCAAGTTGGGGTAGACAAAGAAGAGAAGCTGATCAGGCAAAGACAAAATTATCTTTACTGGGAAGTGGAGGCCTTGAGGGTTCAGAGTGAGGCTGCAAATACTCAGATAGTAATATTTTTTTGTAATATTACTGTCACCAAGGCATTTTTACAAAGAACACCAGGATTTAATGCAGCTATTAAAGTTCTTAGTTTACTTTGTTGAACTTTCCAAAAGAGGCAACCTGTCCACAGTTCTGAAGGCTGTGGCAATGGAGTGTGCCCTCAGAGAAACCTCAGGAGATAAAATCACAGTCTTCTTCTAGAATGATCTTATAACAGCTAGAAGGGCAAAATACACTTTTAAGAGTTGGAGTCTATTCCATCTTATAAGGATGGGGGATTTATTAGGACTCTGTGCCAAGATTTTCCAGAATTTCTCTCTAGGAGTAGCTAAAGGAGGGAGCTGTCTGAGAGGGGATTGCTGGGGACAATGAAACTTGGGTTTGAATAGCACTTCATGTAAGATGGAAAGAACATCATTTCTCACAGCAAAGTATTAGGGGTGGGGATGGGGGTGGGTGATCAAGATCAATGCAGTGTCAAAACCTCAGCCCTCCAATCTACTCCTGGAATTTTTACAGAGTGTGAGATGTTTGCAGACCAGGAGGCTTTCTTGCATTTATGCCTCAGGAAATGGGTCGTTTTATAATTCTTGTGGGGTTCTTTTTGTTGTGTTGTTTTTTGTTTTTAAAAAAATCCCTCTTCCTATACAGAATCACTATTAACAGTGGTATGTGACTTTTCAGACATTGTATGTGCATACATCCCCACACACACCTTTATGTTGTTTTTTATTTATTTGTTTTTATTTTTTAATTTTTTTTTTTTGAGACAAAGTCTTGCTCTGTTGCCCAGGCTGGAGTGTAGTGGTGCCATCTCAGGTCACTGCAACCTCTGCCTCCTGGGTTCCAGCAATTCTCCTGTCTCAGCAACCCAAGTAGCTGGATTACACAGGCAAGCGCCACCACACCCAGCAAATTTTTGTATGTTTTGTAGAGACAGGGTTTTGCCATGTTGGCCAGGCTGATCTTGAACTCATGGTCTCAAGTGATCGGCCCACCTCAGCCTCTGAAAGTGGTGAGATTACAGGCGTGAGCCATTGTGCCTGACCATGTTTTAAACAAAAAAAAAAATTGACGTTATATTTACACTTTAATCTGAAATTTGCTTTTTTCAATTTACAGTTTGTCATGAATATCCATGTCAGAATATTTAAATGTACCATTTTTTTTTTGAGACAGTATCTCACTCTGTTACCCAGGCTGGAGGGCAGTGGTGCAATCTCGGCTCACTGCAACCTCTGCCTCCTGGGTTCAAGCCATTCTCCTGTCTCATCTTCCCGAGTAGCTGGGATTACAGGTGCCTGCCACCACACCTGGCTAATTTTTGGTATTTTTAGTAGAAATGGGGTTTCTCCATGTTGGCCAGGCTGGTATCGAACTCCTGACCTCAGGTGATCCGCCTGCCTTGACCTCCCAAAGTGCTGGGATTAAAGGCACGAGCCACTGCGCCTGGCCTAAATGAACCATATTTTTTTAAACAGTTATTTTATTCCGTTATACCATGATGGAATCTTGTACACAATAATTCCCCTATTGTTCAATATATAGGTTGCTTCCAATTTTGCACTATATATACAATACTGCAGTGAATACCCTGCTATGTATATTTTTGACACACCTGCCTTAGTGTTTCTATACTATTGATTTCTAAACTTGTAGTTTCTAGGTCAAAGAGTGTGCTTTCAAATTTTTAATTGCTGATGCTACAACCCCCCGTCTTCCCCAAAGTTAAAAACCCTTTGTCCCAAAAGTCAGGGGACTTAATCTGGATTCTGTCGCTGTTTAGTTATTCATGTTGGGCAAGCTGCTTCTTCACATCTCTGTGAAATGAGGAAAGTGGAACAGAAGATGACCTCTGTGTTCCAATGTCCCATGAGCCTTTACCTTTACAAATTGATTTGCCCAATTTCAGAGAATTATTTAGGGCTGTTTCAAACCAATATGAAAATCTGCTCTTTAAAAGATTGTTGAGAGCGGAGCTAATTTTTTTTCTGATTAAGCTTTGATTAGTAAACAAATCCATTAACCTCCTATAGGATTATTTTGACATATTCAAGCTGTGACTTTTTCTTTCACAGTTTTTTGAAAGCTGAGAGCCACCACTGAGCAAACTCTCATTTAGGCCAGATTTTGTTTTATTTTGTCCAGTTCGAATCAGTTTGATGGCTGTGTGTTTATGCATGATCTTAAATGTTCCCCAGTACTGGGACAGGGCACATTTGACCTGTTGGCCGATGAACAGATTTGGTTTTAATCAAGTTCCAAGTCAGATAACAGCACTCATGTGATAGTGATCTTTCACTTTAAGGCCATGTTTTGTTCACTGAACCTTGTAAAAATCAAATACATAAATAAAATGAAGAGGTCAGGAAAGATGGTTTGGTTTCTTTCAACCTACTGCTTTTTGAAGGCTCAGGGCCAAAAGAAAAGGAAAGTAGAATGATAGGGATTTTGTTATTTACTATACTTAACTGAATAAGTCTGCAGATGTCTGGAACTATCCTGTATAAAACATCCTATTCACCAGTTCCTAAGAGACCCTCAAAGAGACAATTCGAGTTTAACGCATAAAATATCAAAGTGGGCCAGACGCAGTGGCTCACGCCTATAATCCCAGCACTTTGGGAGGCAGAGGCAGATGGATCACTTGAGGTTAGGAGTTTGAGACCAGCCTGGCCAACATGGTGAAACCCTGTCTCTACTAAAAATACAAAAATTAGCTGTGCATGGTGGTGGGTGCCTGTAACCCGAGCTACTTGGGAGGCTGAGCCAGGAAAATGGCTTGAACCCAAGAGGCAGAGGTTGCAGTGAGCCAAGATTGTGCCACTGCAGTCCAGCCTGGGCAACAGAGTGAGACTCCGTCTCAAAAAAAAAAAAAAAAAAAAAAAGAAAAAGAAAAAAAGAAAAAAATGTCAAAGTGAAGATTTGAAATCTGTTCACAGCAATACAGATATGGTTGAGAATTTTGCATTGATAGGGTACTTTGAGGTCCACTCTGCAAAATATTATTTGTAAATTATTTTGTTTGCTAGTTAGCCAAAGGTGTGAAACCTGGTGTTAAAATTGTGATCTTGGCTTGGTGCGGTGGCTCACGCTTCTAATCCCAATACTTTGGGAGGCCGAGGCAAGTGGATCACCCGAGGTCAGGAGTTTGAGACCAGCCTGGACAACATGACAAAACCCATCTCTACTAAAAACACAAAGTTTGGCTGGGTGTGCTGGCAGGCGCCTGTAATCCCAGCTACTCAGGAGGCTGAGGCAGAAGAATCGCTTGAACCTGGGAGTCGGAGATCGCACCACTGCGCTCCAGACTGAGAGACAGCAAGACTCCATCTCAAAAAAAAAAAAATGGTGATCTCTCTGTGATGTAGGGTCCTGACTAGAGTGACTACTGCACACCACATATAAATTATTCCTACTTATAGTTAAGGTGCCAAAGACTGGTGTTAATTTGATTTTTAAATAAATTGGAATTAATTAAAAATTATCTTAAAGTCACTCGGAAACACTTGCATCCTAAGTGGGAGAGAAAGTGATGGCCATTCTCCTGATAAGTCCTGCCTGCCTCCAGGCCTTTGCTCAAGCTGTTTCCTCTACTAGGAGTGCTGTTCTCACAGCTGGTTCCTATTCTTCCTCCAGTTCTTGGGTTCTGTGCCACCCACTTAGAGAGGCCTCCCTTGAGCACACTACCTAAGGAGAGCCCCTCCCTTTTATTCTTTATCTCAGTCTCTTGTTTCCTTTATAGCCCATGCACATTTAATTTTATTAATTTTCTGCATGTGTTTAGTTTTTAGAATTTTAACAGCTTTATTGAGATATAATTCACACACCATACAGTTTGCACATTTAAAATATACAATTTAATAGTTTTTAGTTTATTCACAGATACATGCAACCATCATCATAATGGTTGGCAATTTTCATCGGGTAAAAAAGAAATCCTGTACCCTTTAGCTATCACCCCATCATACATCCATCACCTCTCCATCCCTAAGCAACCACAAATCTACTTCCTGTCTCTGTAGATTTCCCTTTTCCAGACTTTCATATGAATAAAATCATATACTATGAGGTCTTTTGTATCTGGTTTCTTTAACTTAGCCTCATGTTTTTAATGTTCATCAGTGTTGTAGCATGTATCAGAACTTTATCCCTTTTTATGGCTTAATAATATTTCACCATATGGTTATAGTGTGTTTTGTTTATCCATTTGTCCATTGATGGACATTTGGGTTGTTTATATTTTTTGTCTATTATGAATAATGCTGCTTTAAGAATTTGTGTACAAGTTTTTATGTGAACATGTGTTTTCTTTTCTCTGTATCCTGTATCTAAAAGTGGGCTTGCTGAGTTGCTTATATATATTTTTGGATGTCTCATTTACTACAGTAGAAACTCCATAAGAACAGGGACCACATCTGCCTTGTCACTCTTACTGCCACAGTACCTGGCATTCTACCTTACAAAGTAGGTGATTTGTTAGTAACTTGGTGAACTTTTCGGTAAACTAACATGCATTGCACCTACCAGACATCTGGCATGGTGCTGGATGCCTATATTAGATATGGCCTGAAGGAGTTACTGTGCCAGAAATGTCAGCCCCAGCACCAACATCCTCACACTTACTAAGGGAACTAACCCGGAGACCCACCTGCCTATTTCACACCACATAACTTAGCTCCCACAGCAAGACTTCACCCTTGAGCCATAACAGATTAGCCCAAAGGTGGGCAACCAGCACAAATGTAGCCTATTACAAACTGGTCAGTGTCCTTTGAGGTACAGCAAAAAGCTCTACCCAAACAGGGAATTACCAAGCCTATCATGTCTTGTTTTTAATAATCCTGAACCTAGTAATTTGAATATATAAGAAGTAGGTAAGACTTAGTGGGAGTAGTTTACAGGTCATTGGCGGAGGGAAGCTGGTAGGTCAAGATGATCGTGGAAGTTATACACAACCAGAATGATGAGAAAGCAGGACCCGGAAGATAAAAAATGTACTTATAGAATGAAGACGAGCAGCCAGAGAGAAGGAGTATCTGGGTCAAGGTGATGACAAGCCAATGACAAACTGTATACACTCCTTAGTTCTGAACAACATGAGGCTTTTTCTCTTTCTGAGACCTGGTTGTTTAGCATTTCCTGTATGTCTTTGAAGGCTTGGCCTCATGATTGAAATTTCTGTGTCCTCACTGCCAAGTGTATTTGTACCAACCACTTCATCTCACAAAATCCTGCCCTGTTATTCAAGGTTACTTGAGTTGAGGCTTTTTTCCTTGCAACCAGGAAAGCTGATTTTTAAAATTCGATATTAACTACATTTTACAGAAGATGAAACCAGAGCTCAAGGTCATGTTTTAGTAAAGTGAAGGTTGTGGAATTCAGAACCAGATTTATCTGACTCCAAGGTCCAAGCTTTTTACCCTCTACCATCCACCCAGATGTATTTCCTGACTCATTCAGGAGTTTAACTTTAATTGTGATAGCAATATTCTCCCATCAGCTAAGTGAACCAGCTTGGAAATAAGTGTATTAATGAATTTCTTCACTAAAATTTAAAAATGCCTTTGTATTTATGCATAGCTAACTCCTGAGTTTCCATTATTGATAATAATTAAGAACTGGTTTGTATATGAAAATGTGTTTGTAGCATACATTTGGCTTCATTATCTCCATCAGTTCACATCACTTTGAAATTAAAATCAAATGAGATCATGACACATACCTGTCAGTGACATGCAAATTAAAAATTCTTGGCAACATAGATTAATGATCATTTTTGAGATTTTTCTCTCTTTTATTAATTTTCTCCTCTTGTTTTATTACATCTGGGTACTTATTGAAGGAAGAGACTCTGATAGAGGATATTGTTAGTGGAGAAAAGGAAGCTTGGCAACTTTCGTGAAATGGTGTGCCTTAAAGAGGAAGGAATTTACAGTAAAGCCTCAGGGAGCCCAATGCTTAGGCAACAGTCTACAAGTTGGTGAATATCTCTTTCAGATTGGTGTTGTGCTTTACACGATACTGTATTACAAAGCTGCTAAACAACAAATGGTTTTTCTACAGATAGGGGATCTCTAGGCATCTCAAGGATAGGAATCAATTTTTCAAAGGGACACACACACTCACACACACACACACACACACACTCTCACACATTTTACCCACACATGCATATACTGTATATACACACCCACAATACTTTGTAGAAATGCTGCCAGTATCTCTCTAGACTAAAAGTAGTAAACATTCTCTGCAGTTTTATTTTTGAATTATGTTGCTAACCTTTAAAAATGGGGATATTTCATATAAAAATCCAAGTTGTTGTGGTATTATTGAAAAATTGCAGTTCTGGCAGTACTGGGCCTACATTTCCCTATAGCAATATTTGTCTGAAGCTGAGTGGAGGCTGTTTCTAACAGCCACACAGGCTGTCTAGTTCATCATTGTCCCCATAATTCTCTGTTGTCACATATCCAGCTGGCTGCTTTACCACACATCACGTGCTTGGCTCATGGAGACATTTACTCTCTGATTAGGAACCCAGAGTTCCTGGCCAGGCGAGGTGGCTCATGCCTGTAATCCCAGCACTGTGGGAGGCTGAGGTGGGTGGATCGCCTGAGCTCGGGAGTTCAGAACCAACTTGGGCAACATGGCGAAACCCTGTCTCTACTAAAAACACAAAAAATTAGCTGAGCGTGGTGGCACACACCTGTAGTCCCAGCTACTCGGGAGGCTGAGGCAGGACAATCGCTTGAACCCAGGAGGCAGAGGTTGCAGTGAGCCGAGATCGCACCACTGCACTCCAGCCTGGGCGACAGAGGGAGACTCTGTCAAAAAAAAAAAAAAAAAAAAAAAAAAAGATAGAATCTGAGCGGTTGAAGGTAATCTGTAGCTGTTTGAACATATTTTGAGACATGACTGTCAACCTCAGATGTGTATCAACATTTCCTGTGGAGCTTTCCAAAAATCTACCTTTTATCTCCCACTTCCCAGCTCCCCTTTCAGATTCATTAGGTCTACAGTGGAGTCAGGGAATCTGAATGTTGAAAAAGCTTCCCATTTAGTTCTGATTTTGAGTAAGATGGAGTAAGCACACTTCATCCACGGTCTTCCCCATTGTATGTGGCTATAAAGTCTAGACAAGATGTACGAAACAAGCTATTTGAGGACTCTGAAAAAGTAAATAATAGTAGATAGATTGGAGAAGACCAGAATTTAAGACACCAGTGAACTGATGATGAGTTTCTCTTTTGTCTGTCCAGTATTCTTCCACTTGAACCCAACATAGCCTGCAACCTGGAAGCAGGCATGAATGCAGACAGGAAAGTCCTCTAGTTCTGTTTCGAGGAACTTAACAGTCAGAGAGAGTCTCTGTGTGTATGTTGGGGGAGGAGGGAGAGATTCCTCATTTTTCATTTTGTTTTTTTCCCTTTCTCTTCTTTACTCTCTGTGCCATAGCTCCCAAACAATCCAAGATGGCCAAAAAGAGCCTAAAACTTGGAGGGAGGAAAGCCTTCATTGCCACTTGGAGAAGTGGTGGTCCCAACAGACTAGGGAGAAACACTGTTGCCTCTTTTTTCTTCTGTTTTCCTACTCATTAACCCCATTTCTTTCAAAACGTGGGTAGACTGAGCATGGTGGCTCATGCCTGAAGTCCCAACACTTTGGGAGGCTGATGTGGGAGGATTACTTGAGCCCAGGAGTTCAAGGCCAGCCTAGGCAACAAAGTGAGACCCTGTCTCTGCAAGAAAACTGAAAAAATTAGCCAGGCATGGTGGCAAACACCTGTGATCCCAGCTACTTGGGAGGCTGTGTTGGGAGGATTTCTTGAACACAGGAGGGACAAGGCTGCAGTGAACTGTGTTCATGCCACTGCACTCTAGCCTGGGCAACAGGGCAAGATGCTGTTTCAATATATAAATATATATATATCTTTATAAGTCTGCTTATATATATAAATATATATAATATAATATATAAATATATATTATATATGTAAAATATATATATATTCACTCTGTTCTGCCATATACTCTCCATGTCTGCCCATATATATGAGTGTATATATATAACATATATATATATGACAGCTGTTTCTCAGAAGATGATCAAACAGCTACAGATTACCCACAACAGCTCAGAGTCTACCCCAGCTCATTCTAATATTTTATATAAAATATTAGACATGAACATATATATACATATATACACATGTGTATATATAATACACATGCACACATATATATATATATACACACACACATATATATATATAAATATTAGACATGGAACGTGTATGGCAGAACAGAGTAAATAAAGCCCCAACTTTATTTCTGGTCAGAGAACCAAAAAGAGTCCCAGGGAAGCTGAAAATTATCAGGGATATCAAGAAAGAGGGTGAAGTTAGGGAAAATGACTTTTAAAGTTTTGTAGAAACTCCTGGGCTCACCTCTGATCTGGGCATGAATAGATCTGACCCTCAACAGTATATACAAAACTTGAGAACTAAACTGCACTGCAAAGTCTTTGAAAACTGAAATCATGTTGGGTCAGTTTACCAAAAAGATCCAACGGTCCTAAATGTATATGCTCCTATTAGGATAATTTTAAAGTACATAAGCAAAAATGGACAGAATGGAAAAGAGAAATAGACAAATCCATAATTATAGTTGAAGACATCAACAGTCTTCTGTGAGAAACTGACAGAACAGACAGAAACAGATAGATCTGATGGAAAATCAGTAAGAGAAGGAAGTACTGAACACCATCTATCAGCTAGATTTAATTTACATTTATAGAACCCTCCAACCAACAGCAGAATATACACTTTTTTCAAGTGCATGGAGCATTCACCCAGGTAGACCACATCCTGGGTCATTAAAACAAACAAACTAACTAAATGTAAAAGAACGGAAACCATGCAAAGTATGTTCCCTGACCATAATAGAATTAGACTAAAATTTAATAACAGAGAGATAGCAAGGACATCTCTAAATGCTTGGAAGGTAAACAATATGCTTCTAAATAATCCATCAAAGAAAAAGTTTCAAGGGTTATTGTAGATGTCCTTTATTTGGCTGAAGAAGTTACCTTTTATTCCTAGTTTGAATGGATGTTGAAATTTTGTCAAATGATTCTTTGAACTAAATTAAAGATATTTTAAATTAAATTAAAATGAAAATACATCAAAATTTGTAGGATGCAGGTAAAACATTGCTTAGGAGGGAAATTCTTTAATATAAGCATTAAGAGCTTATATTTATAAGAGAAAGGTTTCACATCAATAAACTATGCTTCTACTTTAATAATGTAGAGAAAAGAGAATAAATAAACCCAAGGAAGGAATGGATAAAGATAAAAGTAGAAATCAATGATAATGAAAACAGGAAAACAATTTAAAACACCAATAGAAACAAAAGCTGGTTCTTTGGAAAAGTAAATAAAATTGATAAACCTTTAGCAAGACCAACAAAGATGAAAAGAGAGAAGACACAAATTATAAACATCAGGAGTAAGAATACTACTGTAGACCCTTTAGACTTTAAAATAATACTAAGAGGACACTACAGACAACTCTTCATGAATAAATTCAACAACTTAGATGAAATGGGCCAATTCCTTGAAAAATACAAATTATCAACACTCACCCAACATGAAGTAATTTGAATATTTCCATGACTATTAAAGAAATTGACTTCATAGTTTAAAACCTTCCAAAAAATCCTAGTGCAAATAAATATATTGGTGAATTATTGCAAACATTAAAAAAATTCTAAATAATATCTTCCAGAAAAAGGAAGAAGATGGAAAATCCCCAACACATTTTATGAGGCTAGCATTACCTGACACTAAAACTAGACAAAGATAGAATTTTTAAAAAAGAAAAATATAAACTGATATTCCATAAATATAGATGTAAAAATCATTAACAAAATATTAACACAATATATCTAGCAGTATATAAAAAGAAAAGTCAGTGGGATTTACTGGGAAAGTGAGGCTGTTTTAATATTTAAAAATCAATCAATACAATCTACTTTATTAGCAGTTTAAGGAGAAAGACCACATGATTACATCAATTGAGGCACAAGATCATTTGACAAAATTTCAACATCCATTCAAACTAGGAATAAAAGGTAACTTCTTCAAACAAATAAAGAGCATCTACAATAACCCTACAGCTAAAATCATATTTAATAGTAAAAGACTGAACACCTTTCCCCTAAGATCAGGAACAAGACAAGGATATCCACTTTCACCACTGTTATTCAATATTGCACTAGCAGACCCAGCCAATGCAATAAGGCAAGAAAAGGAATTAAAAGGCATATAGGGTGAAAAGGAAAAAAAATATGGATTCTATTCATAAATAACGTAATTGTCTACATAGAAAATCCAAAGTAATACACACACAAAGGTCAGAGGATACAAAATCAATACTCAGAAGTCAATTTTATTTTTATATACTATCAGTGTTCAATTGGAAACTGAATTGAAAAAAGCAATACTATTTAGATTGCTCAAAAATTAAATACTTAGCTGTAAATTTATTAAAATGCATACATGATCGATATGCTGAAAACTACAAAACATTAATGAAAAAAAGTCTAAGAATACCTAGAAGGAGAGACATACAATGTTCATGATCAACATAGTAAAGATGTCATTTATTTATAAATTGATTTATAGATTAATACAATTCCAATAAAAATTTCCACAGGATATTGATAGATATAAACAAACTGGTTCTAAATTTATATTGAAAGGCAAAGGAACTAGAAGAGGCAGAACAATTTTCAAAAACAAGAAAGCTACAGGAATCACACTTTATTTTTTTCTTTTTTTTTGAGACAGAGTTTTGCTCTTGTTGCTGGGGCTGGAGTGCAATGGCACCGTGTTGGATCACTGCAACCTCCACCTCCCAGGTTCAAGTGATCCTCCTGCCTCAGCAGGAGCCACCACCATGCCCAGCTAATTTTTGTATTTTTAATAGAGATGGGGTTTCACCATGTTGGCCAGGCTGGTCTTGAACTCCTGACCTCAGGTGATCTGTCCACCCTGGCCTCCCAAAGTGCTGGGAGTAATCACACTTTCTAATTAACAGAAAGCAATGTGTTATTAGCAAAGGCAGAGATAATGAAGCAGAATAGAGAGTCCAGAAATACACCTAAATAAATGTGGCTGACTGATTTTTGACAATGGTGCTAAAGCAATTCATATGAGAAGGTATAATCTTTTCAACATATTTAAAGAGTTAAAACAGTTAACCCAATTAAAATTATATAAAATGTTTTAACAGATACTTCACCAGAGAGGATATATGGATGTCAAATAAGAACACGAAAATGTGTTCAACATCATTAACCATTAGAAGATGCAAATAAAACTGTGATGAGATACTGCTACATAACAATTAGAATTGCTAAAATAAAAATTACTGCTAATACCTTAGTGTTGATGAGGATGCATATCATCTAGAGCTGTCATATAGTACTGATGGAAATGCCAAATGGGCCACTCTGGAAAGCAGTTTGTCAATTGCTTATAAAACTAAACAGATGCTTACCATATGACCCTGTACTCCCACTCTTATTCTATAGCTACAGAATTAAAACTGTACACAAATATTTATAGCAGCTCTATTCATAATAGCCCCCAAAATGGAAACAACTCAAAGTCCTTCAACAGGTGAATAATAAACTGTGATATTTCTATACAATGGAATACTACTCAGCAATTAAACAGAAGTACTGATACACACAACTTGGATGCATGTCAAATGATTTTGCTGAATGAAAGGAGCCCAACTCAAAATGTCACATACTGTATCATCCCATTTGTATTATGCTCAAAAAGACAAAATTATGGAGACAAAAACAAAGCAGTAGCTGCCAGGGGCTAGGGGTGGAGGGAGGTGTGTGACTTCATGAGGGAGTTTCTGTGGTTGATGGAAATGTTATGTTTCCTGATTGTTGTGCTAGTTCCATAGATCTACACATGTCAAAATTTATAAAACAGAACACAGCAAAAAGTCAATTTCACTGTAGGTTAATTTAAAACCTTAAAATATATTTCAAAGCTTCCCTCTTAATCCTAATGTGCTGTGCAGCTTGCGTACCACTTCTCTGGAGCAACTACCAATGCTAGACCTCTTTATCAACTCTCCTCCAAAAAGTTAGAACTTATTTTGGAGAATCACAGTAAAGGGCAAGTAACTTGCAGCAGAAGATAGACGGTCATTTCAAAGCAAGAGCAGTAGAGAGTCTGAGAGTCCTTTGTTCTGCCAAGTCAAACAGAAAACATAAATATTTGTATAGCTTTGTAACAAAAGAGCAATATGGGTTTTGGCAGAAAGACCTCTTAATCGCATTTAAGACTTTAAAGTAATGGAGCCCTGCTCCTATTATGTGGAAATTGCATGCAGATGTAGTGTACATCAGGGATCAGGGTCCTGTCTGAGGGAGACAATGTTAAAGGTAAAACCCAGACTGACAAGGAGGGCAATCTGTCTACTTGTGCAGATATGGTGGAGCCCATTTGCTTTTTGGCACTGGATCTTGAGGAGATTGCATGTGCTACTTAGAAGAGTCTCTCTCTTTCTTTCTTTCTTTTTTTTTTTTTTTTGGATCACTTTGCAGTTGTGAGTTCATGACTTTCTATTTTCAGTTGCACAGATAGCCTTTTAGTTCAAGGATGGGGTGTTTTGGGATCAAAGACAGAAATATTGAGCTATTTGGAATAAGTAGAGTGGTGGGCATTGAGGGAGACTGGGATTTCCAGTACTGCCTCATCCCCACCCATCCAACTGCAAGTCTCACATCCTCTCTGCTTCCAAAAGGGAGATATTTGACCCTAACTTCTCTTTCCATAGGATTCAGTCAAATGCTAGTGCATATGGTTATGATATAAGGAAATGGGTCAAGTAGAATTATTGGGGTGCTAGAAGCAAGACCAATTTTAGATTACTTAAAAGGAATGCAATGGAAGGATAAGGAGTAACCCAGAATCAATGAAAAAGCTGGTCTCAAAAATAATAGGAACCTAGGTGGTAGGAATTATGTATGGGCAATCTCTCCAGAGAATTATCTTCCAGATCAAGGAAGAAATGACATACATTTCCCCCATTCTCACTTCACTCAAGATTCAGCATTTTCTTAGTATGAGTTGAGTCGCATGCCCACTCTTTGGCCAGGCAAGAGGAGATCACCTTGAGTGACATACACTGGGGAGGGGAAAAGTTCTACAAAAGTAAACCAGTGGTCTCTTGTCTTCAGCAGGGGTTGGGTATTTGAAAGGCAGAAACAACAGCTTTCAGATCACCATGGTGGGTTATTCTACATTTTAAACTAAACACCCCTGGAGGGTGTACAGATAAGCAAAGAAGGGGTACAGGAAGGAGTGGAAAAGGTGGTGGGTATTATGGCAGAAAGAGCAATAGTTTTGGAACTAGACCTGGACCAGAACTCCCACAGGGATTGGCCTTCAGCTGGCATTACGACCCCAGGGCAAGTCAGTTACTCTGCCTGGAGCTTTGCTTTCTTCATCTAAAGACTGAAGAGGCTGAACTAGCTGTCCCCTAATATCCCTTTTTGTTACAAATCTTAAGAAATATATACTTTGGGTCTAGGGCCATAACTTAATTTCTTAGCTGAGTATAAAACTGTGTTAAACTCAATAGGATTTTTTTTTTAATGCTTATAGCAGTGGTCTTCAAATGTTAGAGTGCGTAAGAATCTTATCAGGATTAGATAGGTGGAAAAAAAAATCCCTTGTAAAATGCAGATTTCAGGGCCCCATCCCCAGAGATTCTGATCCATTCTTTCTGAACAGAACCCAAGAGTCTGCATTTTTAAACAACGTTGTCAGGTAATTCCAATGCAGGTGATCAAAGCTAAAGACCTGCACACCATCTGTTTGATTCCCAGTCCCTAGAAGGAAACCCCATCCATTGGAGCTGCAAGCACTTAGAAAATGTTTAAAGTTGAACAACTGGACATACCCTTTGAAAGCTCCCTCCTAGGCTCCCTAGATAGTGTGAGGATGCTTGGAATACAGCAGACACCAGGGTAGCCAGGGGCTCCACCGCCTGCATATTGGGACACAACGTGGAGATCTTGCATTCTCTCCTTACACTTGCTCACTCACTCTGACTCAAGTGTAGCCATTCAATAAACCCAAAGGGTAGAGAGTCTGCTGTGAGTACCTTGTGAGTTTTCCTTATTGTTCTGATCGTATGAAGACCTTAAATAGAACCTTTTCAAATTCTATGTATTTGGGCTCAGCAGTGCCTGCTTTAGTAAATTTCTGGTTGTAAGAAGTTTAACCTTCAGGCTAAACATTTACACTAAACACCTCTCATTTGGGGAGTTACACTGAAGGGAGTGTTGTCCATTGTTTTCTTACGTGTAGTTATTTGTGCTCTACCATGTATCTGGGGATCTCCAAGTGCCTTTTAAAAGTAATCAGTTTCGCATCAAGGTGTTCCTTACAGACATGTGGTTTACAAATGGTGAAGGAATATTTTTTATGTGTATAAAATGCCTGAGTCTTTCCCTGTCCACTACCTTGTATGATGCTCCATTAAAATGTAGCATGGATGCCAAGAGTTCCTTGGCTTTTTGAGGCAAGATAGAAGAGATTGGTCATTTGGCCCAGTATGTCCTTCCAAATATATCCAGAGGCCTGACCAAATGAAAGTGAATTATAACAAGGGTGAAAGTAATTTAAATAATGTCACAACTTATACTCAGTTACATCCAAGGAAACCAGTTGTGTATTAAAACCAATAAATAGTAATTTAAAAAGTAATAATTCAAGGAGGACATTACCACAATGTTTGAAATAACTATGCATATTATATGGTTTACAATGTGCAACACACTTTCCCATACATTCTCATTTCATACACCCTCTTGTCTTCGTTGCGTCCAACCTTAGGATAGAGAGTGAATAGGGAAACTTGGTCTATAGCCTCTAACAACATGGGCAAGGCCCATTAGGGAGAAGAACTCTTTGTAGAGGACTGATCCCCTATTTCTTTCTGTGTTCTGTTTAAAATGAAATTGTTGTCTCTGTTCAGAAGCCTGATTGGTTGTGTACGTGCTGTGCGTGTCTCTGTGTGTATATGTGTTTAATGGGGAAACGAAGGCTAGGAAAGGAGGGAGATAAATTTATGAAGGATGAAGTCTACAGGTTTTTATTCTTGCTTTATTTTTCACTTTCTCTAATACTGGGGTGGAGAAGCTCTGCATATACTTTGGCTTCATGAAATGTTGACATTCGAGAGAGGAATAAAAGTGTTTATTCTCTAGAGTTAAAAAGAAACTCAACTCATCAAGTGTGTGTTCTGTTCCACTTGGTCTTATAAGTCATTTGCCAGCAAGATGAGCTTTATATCGTCTCTCTGGTAAAACATCCTCCCATCTCCTGATCGGCATTCCTCCACTCTTTTGCTTCATAAATTAGAAGGGAGGATGCCATTGTAATACTTGACCTTATAAGGGGGAAGAGTGGCCCAGCCGTTCCTTAGCTCTGCCCTCCTGTCAGAACTGTATACACTCTGGAGGCCTTTTAAGGGAACGTGGTGCGTGCAGGGAAAACATCCCAAGGCAGACCATCCATTTTCTTTGCTACTGCAGAGTTGGTGCCTGCAAGCTCTGTGTGACTCTGAAGCATAAATCATAAGGGGTTGCTGGTGCCAAGCCGGAGGGAGGGACATGTCTGAGGATCATGCTCACTGCCAAATGCAGCCGACCTCTTAGTTTTCACTAAAATCCCATCTCACCACTGGCCTTCTGACTTTTAGTGAAAATTTCACAAGTTGCACATCCTGACATTACTTGTACTTGCCTCCCTGTTGTGAATTATAATGATGGCTGCAGAGAAGCAACCACTGCCTCCTTAAGGTTTCAGTTTATCCTTCCTGCGCTGTACCATTCACTTCTGTACAGTGAGGCTCGAGTTTGGAGAGAGAGAGAGAGAGAGCTGGCTTTGAACCACAGGGCTTTTTTGTACTAGCTCTGAGGCCTTGGACAAGTCATATAACCTCTCTGAGTCTCAATATCCTCTATTAAGAATGGGGAGGATAAAGGTGATAACATCCTTTTATAGTGTTTAGCACAATGCCTAACACATAGTAAATGCTGAAATGTTAGCTGTTATTATTATTATTATTACTACTAGAAGAAGGCTATAGTTTTGGTGTTTGCAGCAAGTATTTCCTACAGTTCCACTATTTCAATCCAGCACGCTTTTTATAAACAATTTTTTATAGGCAAAACATATCCAGAAATACCCATAGAGGTCCCTAAGAACATCTTGGCATGATTCAGTGTACAGAGAATGGGTTCTGGAATTGGACAGGACAGGGCCTGACTCCCTGCCCGGCCACTTACCAGTTCATAGCTTTGGACAAACTATTTAATCTCTTGGTAATTCAGTTTTCCAGTTAGTAGTCTGAGGATACTGGTTGTTTAAATACAGGCATTTGGGTTGCCAGGGGCAGAAACAAATTAAATTGGAGCAAAGAAAAAGAAAGGGTTTGTTGCAAACCTATAGAAATTTCACTGAAATAAACTATGGTTTATTTTACAAGATGGGGAAGAGGGAAGAGGAAAAGGGGCTTTGAGGGGAGGAGGGGCTTCTACTTGTAGGCAAATAGGTTGTCTTCTCCAGTAGCTTCTAATCCTAGACTCACTTCCTTCTTTGAAATCCACCTTTTTGAAGTATATTTCCCAGTAAACAAAAGTCTGCAGGAGAGGCTAAAAATCACAGAAATGTGACAGTATGTGTCCTCCAAAGGTATGAACCCTCTGTTCTGGGACAGGTCTAGCAGTAGCAACGCTCTTCCCAGGGCACCCAGGTAGCCGAGTCACCCAGGGAGGGGTTGTTTGGGGAGACACTTAGGGAAGGCTGCGTGTAGCCTCTCTTGAGACCCCTGCACCTTCATGCACAGCCTGTTCCCACTTAGAGGCTTCCACCCAGCACCCAAGAGTCATGCTAATTTCATTAACAAACCTGCATTAACCAGGACCTCTCTTCTCTTCTCAGTTAGCTCAGGGGTTCTCAAACTCTTTTTCTGTGTGCAGCCAAAGTCCACTTGCAGCAGGAGCACCACTTGCTACCTGCAGTGATTTTCAAAGCAGCTGGGGCTCTGTATATTAGAATCTCTTCACTCCTGAGTTTTTGATAATCCTTCTTACGCCCATTGGAATATAGTCCAGAGATCATTGTTCAATCAATAGGCACCCCTCAAGCCCTGTTCATTGCCAGACCCTGAACTGAGTTGATATTCAGAGAAAGACACAGCCCTTGTCCTCCTGAAGCTGCTGGAGATGCATGCAGGGGACAGCATAGTGTGAAAGGTGTTGTGGCAGAAATGCTCTAGGTGCTATGGGACAGCAGATTGTGGGCTGATTGTGTCTCTCTGGGGAACCCCAGGAGGGGCCTCTCATTCTAGACTTCTTCACCCACTTGGGCTACTATAGTAAATTACCATAGACTGAGTGGCTTATAAACAACAGAAATGCATTTCTCACAGTTCTGGAGGCTGGGAAGTCCAAGATCAAGGACCCAGCAGATTCAGTGTGTTGCAAGGGCCTGCTTCCTGGTTCATAGATGGCTGTCTTTTTGCTGTATCCTCATGTGGCAGAAGGGTCGAGGGAGCTCTCTGGAGTCTCTAATGTAAGGGCACTAATCCCATTTATGAGGGCTTCACCTTCATGAACTAATCACCTCCCAAAGCCTACCTCCTAATAATATCACGTTGGGGGTTAAGATTTAACATATGAATTTGGAGTGGACACAGACCTTTAGTCTATAGCCCTGGGGCTCTAGCTTTGCTTCCCAGAAGCTGAGACTGAAAGGACAATTAAGACTCAGCTAGCCGAAGTGAGGGAAGCAGCATCACCAAGCCCTGGAGGGCAAAAAGAATGGCTTGTCTGGGAATTGCAAGCCTTTGGAGTCCCTGGAAAGTAAAATTGAGGAGTATTTCCTCAAGAGAGGAGAGATTCTTTTCCTCAAGGTGAACTTCAGCTATGGGTGCCCTCTGATGGGGACCCCATGGTCAGAGAGCTTTCAACTCACACAGGCACCTTCCCCTACCCAAGGTAAGGATTTCTGCCTGTTAAGTGATAGCTGCATTTATGGAGTGTTTATCATGTGTCGCAACTGCCCCCATCTCTGCCTATGAGCACGTGAAGGCTTGTAGAAAAGCAGTGACTTACCCAAGTCCCCAAAGCTAGTGAAAGGTGGGCATCAGGATTTGAACCCAGGTTTGTCTACCCAAGGAGCCAGAGCTTGTTTCACTCTACTGCACAGCCTCTTTAATCTTAGATGCAGGAACTGAGGATAAGAGAGGATAAATGACTGGCTTACAAGTGTCGCAGAATTAATAGTGTAAGAGTGCAACTTCAAACCCCAGTCTGTCAGATTTTAAATCCAGTGAGATGCTTACAGCTATGGGGGTAGGGTGGGGAGGACAATTGCTTTGCTTACATTTAAGAGAGATGTCCAGGGGAGGCAAGAGTTGGACCTCAGCCTGCTGGGGTTTGACCAGTATAGTCAGCATGCTCACATGGTAGACTCTCATACCAGCACCAATGTTCAATGTCAGTTCAAGTGTGAACCCCTTTTGAGGACCTCTTAAACACTGTATGATACATGAATCAAAATTCAGCTATTAAAATTGTGAATAGAGATATACAATTGCATATGTTAATTGATCATTGTCATTTGTGTACAGTTTGTCTTAACTATTTTAAACTTGCCTAAAAACAAGAATCTCTAGAAATAAAAAATAAAAACAAAAACAAAAACAAAACAAACAAAAAAACCACTGCTTTTAAGTACTGACACCTGGGCTCTAACCAAGACCTGTAACCCAGAATATTCTAGCAAAGAGGCCCAGGAATTCACATTTTTAATTAGCACCCCAGGTGGTTCTTATTATCAAGAAAGTGTAAAAAACTTTAACCTCTTCCGAAGGTGAATGATCAAGTACCTCCAGCTCCCCCAACTCAGAATGTTTTACAGCTTGCCAAAAAGAGGGGGAAACACTGTCCAAGCTTGTTTGCTAGGTTAGGCCTTTAAGGCCACTATCTGGGAATTCCATATGTGTAATCATACTGTAAGTTTAATAAAAGTTTACATCATATGAAGTAAATTTGCCACTTTTATTTGGATTGGATATGCACATTTGGTTTCATGAGGGGGGAAAAATCCACTGTCATATTTCATCCAGCTAGAAAATATGTTATAAGTGAAGGATCATTTCTCTTTTCTGACTCTTGGAACATTGTTTCAAGATTTTCAGAGAAACTCAGTCAATAGCTTAGTGCTGGGTTAGTGTGCTGGGATTGCATGTGTCTGTATCTCATATTCGAAATCTGCATAATTAACTGCATTGGAAATTGACAGAGAAAATGTGAGCTGACTGAGAGAATTCTGGGATGGAATGTTCGGAAATAAATTTGTAGAACCTTATGAAAGCAAAAACAAGATATGCAGAATATTGTAGGAATGGTGGAGGATTCTTCCTGAAACCTTATTGTGCGAGAAATAACCTAAGGTCCTGCTGAGTTAAACTATCCTTCTGTGTCCCCAAAATACACAGCCACCTACCCACTTGAACATCCATACACAAACACATACAAGCATACACACACATACACACATGCATTTTATCCCTCATTGGCACTTTCAACCCCTTGCCTAGGACTGTTGATATTCATGAACCCACTTAAAGACCTGAAAACAATTATAAGCTCCAAAATGAAGACATCCGCAATGCCAACACGATTAACTGCGTAATTGAATATGTATAAAATACCACATGTTGTCACTTTATTCTTAAATTTAATATTCAAGAAATCACTATAACACTTTAGAATAATTTGTAGGATATATTTTCTTCTTTTGAAAGGTTTCCAGAGTGTGCGTGAGCAATATCATTGCCAATAGTTAATTAAATGAGTGACTTGTAGCCTCGTCATTTCAAAAGCAAAATTATAAAAATTCTTTCAAGTTCTTTTGGAGCAAAAGTAGATTTTTATGTGAGATGTGGACATATTTTAATATTTTTGGTATGATATGGGATGGGGCCTCATAAACACACATTCAGAGAGTTTACCACCACCGAATGCTTTTGCACAGGGCACACAATTGGAAAAAATAAAATATGCCATTCAAAGTTGGGTCTTTAACAGCTCAAAGATGGTGAAAGGCTTTCAGGGCCTCTCTCCATTGTGTGACTGTCTCTGAAGGGTGTAGTCTACTTCCTGCTACACCAGAATTGTCCTTAGGGAACTTGAGGACAGTAGATTCTACTCTGCCTGAATTCAGGTGAGGCCAATGGTGAGCTGCTGCATCCAGTTGCATAGGATGTGCACTGTGTAAGGGCACCACATACCAAGGGGGCATTATTCCCATTGCAAACACCCTACACTTGAATATTTATTATGACAGCGCTTCAGCAGATGGCATTAAAGTGTTCTGTTCTGAGAAACTCAGTGTGCTACAATACTTTTTAATAGCCATAAATTACTGGATCTTGAAGAAGGGATACCTTTAGCACAAAAGGCACAGCTTGGGCTTCAGCCCTGGCCTGACAGAGAGAGAGGTATTCCTCCTGCTCCATTCACCTTTATCTCCCTCCACTGTAGGCTGTGGGATTTTGACCTAAAGGGACTGCTCACCAACCCCCTGCCCCACCACAAGACTGTGCCCCTGAAGCAGTTCCAAGCTCAGAAGCCCTGGAGTCTTCCATTCCTACCAGCCCTTTGCCCTTCTACCACCAGCAGGCTTGCTTGTTTTCTGGCAGTTAGTCCCTGAAGTAAAAGCTCCCTGCCCTTCTCTTAGTAGGAAGTTTCTCCTAAGCACCAAGAGCCCCTACACGGAATGGAACCACGCAGACCAACATGGCCCTTGCCTCAGTCTCCAGAGAAGGGGGGAGGGTCAGTTAAGTGGCCTTCTCATCTCCCTGGGGAGTCTCTGCTTCTCCAGTTGATCTCAGGAACTTCCTGTTCTCACCAACCTATTTTGGTCTCTGTCTCCCATAGACGACTAGAACCTCTGAGAGAGGATCGGTCTCAGTGCAGGTAGCACTGCACGGGTGATCCTGAATGCAAACAGCTGCTGTTCCCATCTCCTTCCTCTTCCCCTACCACATCCTCTGGATCTGAACCCCAGAACAAGACTGCTCAGGGGAACAGAGAACATGTCACTCAGATACCAAACAGACGTACTGTCAGCCACATTCACTAGCCATGCCTTCAGCTGTCCCCACTAGGCTAGTCCCAGAGTGGATGCTAAGGCAGGGCTGCCCTTCCCTGCTGAGTTCAGAGCTTAGTGCAAACTAGGACCTGGAGGAGGGGTATCTCTGCTTCCAAGGCATCACCTTCCAACATCTCCTTTCTCAAGGCTCTTTGGACAAGACATCTTGCTGGGAATCCTTGATGTGAGTTAAAAGCATTTAACATAGTCCTTCTTCTCCCTTGCTCTTCAAAAGTGTTCAGTAGGAGTAAATTCCCTTGGACCCCACCACTATCATAGTCCTATGAAGAAAATATTGGTTGGTAAATCTTAGCCAGCATTTTCCCATGTGTGCTGAATGAAACCACCAACTCCACAAGGTGCTCTGTGTAAATGTGAGAAATGTATACTCTACCCTCTTTGTGAAGTTTTACAATGAAATGAGCATTTGGTTTTGAAATATCCTGCCAAAGTAGAGAGTCCACTTTTACCATAGTCTCTTACCTTTTCATAATAAATTTATAGCACTGGACTTGGTAAATTAACATATAAGGTTATTAACCTTTTCAGCCAACCCTTTGTATGTAATTCCTTTGGAAATTCATCCACCATCGCTTAATTTTATCTTAAACTTTCTGGTTTGGTTTTGTTTTTTGAGACAGGGTCTTGCTGCTGCCCAGGCTGGAGTACAGTGGCATAATTATAGCTAACTGCAGCCTTGAACTCCTGGGCTCAAGCAATCCTCCCATCTCAGCCTCCCAAGTAGATGAGACTACAGGTGCACACCACCACAGCTGGCTAATTTTAGTATTTTTTCTTTTTTTGAGCCAGGAGTTTTGCCTAGGGTGGTCTCAAACTCCTGGGCTCAAGCTATCCCCCCTCCTTGGCCTCCCAAAGTGTTGGGATTACAGGGGTGAACATGCTGTAATCTCCCTCCTTATCTCAAACTTTCAATCATCCCATGTATTTGCTTCCACTGGTATTTTAAGACCAAGTTCTGGAAGCACCTTTATATTAATGTAGGAGGAGTCCATGTTCTGATGGGCCCCATGAAGTTTGCATGAAATGAGCAAGTGTCTTTAAGCACTTACCTTCAAGAGACTAACGGATTAGAGAAGGAGTTAGGTGTCCCAGCATCTAAGGCAATATCCTGTGCTGAGTGTCTAACTCCTGGGGTTTGCAGTGGCAGTACAAAGAGAGGACTGGCCAGATAAACCTGGAAAGTAAGGAAGCGGCCTAAGTCCAGGAGGGGGTGGATGAAGAGTGTACTGGTGTCTTTCATTTTCCTTCAAGACCTCCACTCCATCTCTTTCTCTCTGCTCCCCGTCCTGTAGACTGACCTATAGGGACTATCAAGAGATCCCCACCCTTCCCTCCAGATTTTAGTTGGGCTTGGGCAATTGGGAGCACTGCAGTTACTAGACAGAAGGAGGAGAATGCAAGCAGGGATTTCTTTCTCTCCCTATAGGATTTCCATAGGCTGGAAACATGACTCTTCTGAAGGTCAAGGTTCCTGCCAAGCAGCCCTATCCACACAGATCTGTCCCTGGATTTCAGTAATGAATCTAGGGATGGGACGCTGGTAGCCCTGATGTTACTTGCCCTCTCCACTAGCCACACCTGTGTAAACAGTTCCTGTATTAAACTCTCAAACTACTCAGTTTTGAGTGTGCCATCAATTCTGTTGGGGACCTCATTGATACAAGGAGTATCCCTACCTAAGTGAACGATGTGTGCAAAGAACTGAAGTGGCCTGGTGCTTGAAGGGGGCTCCATCTCAAAAATAGTTTGTTATGGCAGGATGATGCCGCAGTAGGAGAGTTCATGAGGCCGATCACTCTTGCCGATGCCCACGGAGTGCTCTGGGGATCCAGGGCTCCCAGGCCTCATCGCATTTAGTCCCCACTGAGTAAGGAGACATATTATCATTCCATTTTGTAGGTAAAAGATCCAGGCTTATGGAGGTTAAGTAACTTGGCCAAGGTTGCACTGCAAGAAGGGGTGGAGCTGCGTGGGGACTGAGAGTCCCTACTCTCCTCCGTGCTAAGACATTAAACTGGATTCCACAGGCAGCGCATGTTTGCCTGCCTTTCCTGCTCACTCAGCCTTAGCTTTTGCTGTAAAACTCTCACGTCCCACAAAAGAACATTGACCTTTCCAATATTCCCTTTCCTCGTAACTATGTGTCATTAAACTGAAGTGTTTCTTTAAAAGACATTAGAGCAGAATTAGTATGGCATGACCTTTCCTTATGCTTCCTGATAAAATTAAACTCAAACCTGGGTGACCGAAGGAAACCCTGGGAAGGTAAATGCAGTCTTGAAGATGGTTCCTTTCAGGCAGGGTGGCTGCCTGTGCATCCCTTGATATATGCTCGTCTTCTCGGAACCATGCAGAGAGAGCTGCCTGTGACCTGATTTGGCTTCATAGGAAACAGCAACCTGCGTCATCCATTGGGTCACAGATCAGAGTTACACGATGAAATGAAACAGGTGGAATGTGGTGTTCAATCCATGGTATTCTGAACCCACCATGGACAGCTGACACTCACATTCCCAAAGGGAATGCAAAGTTTTGCATGTTGCCCTGCTCAGGGCATCTCCGCCTGGAATCGGTAGAGTTTTGGCCCTGAGAGATATTAATCTATTGTCCAAAAAACAGGAACTCCCTAAAGAGAGCCAAAAATAAGAACCATACCCAGGACTGATGAATTCTTTTCTGTGATATTGGTGGACAGGTTAGCAGGAGAAAAGGAAGGGGAAATGTTCATAGTACACAAAGTATAAGCATCATCTCTTAGTTAAAAAAAAAAAAAAACAGGAAAGGTTTTGAGTTCTATTCATGTAAATAAAAGGCACTAAGAATCTTGGGAAATGTCCAGGCTAATTAATTACAGTTGGCTTCAGGAGCATGCACAGACTTGCCTTCTGCCATCAGAGGCATAGTTATCGGGGAGGGTAGATCTTCCAAGTTCCTCCACAGCCCTGGTGGCATTGGTGGGTTCTGGCTGCTTCTCTGAGCCAGGTGGTGGTGTGTCTCTTCATTTAGTCTCATTAATTCTTCAGTGTTGCAAATATCTGAAACCTGTTATTAAAGAGCTGGAACGATATCCCACTAGGTTTTCAATATGGACTATTGATGAAGAAACAGTAATTGGAATAGCAGGGGTCTGAGATAATATTGCAAGACAAAAGAACATACAATTTCTTTTTTGTGGCTCTTTTGCATTCTATAATTTGGTGGCCTTGGACTATGGCTGTTTGTCGCTGTAGAAATAAACTACAGCTTGTCTAGTGCCTTTCTGATGGATAATAGGTTGCTTCTGATTTAGCTCTATTTCTCTTTCACATATAGTGTGGTAATAAACATCCTTGAACCTCATCTTCTTGTGCGCGTGTGTTCAAGTTTCTCTAGGAAAGATACCAGAGAGGGGTTTGCTGGATTATAGGGCATGATCAAGTCTACTAGGAATTCTCAAACAACTCTGAGTGTAAAGTGAGTGTACCAACTTATAATCTTGCTGTCTTTTTTTTTCTTTTCTGTTTTCCCATGATACTTCACCAACATTTGGTATTAGATTTTTTCTTTTTTTTTCTTTTTTTTTGGGGGTGGGGGGGTGGCAGGAGGGACAGAGTCTCGCTGTGTCACCCAGGCTGAAGTGCAGTGGCGAGATCTTGGCTCACTGCAATCTCCGCCTCCCAGGTTCACACCATTCTCCTGCTTCAGCCTCCCGAGTAGCTGGGACTACAGGTGCCTGCCACCACGCCTGGCTAATTTTTTTTTTTTTTTGTATTTTTAGTAGAGATGGGGTTTCACCCCATCAGCCAGGATGGTCTCGATCTCCTGACGTCATGAGCCGCCCGCCTTGGCCTCCCAAAGTGCTGGGATTACATGCAAGAGCACTGTGCCCTGTCCTTTTTTTTTTTTTTTTTTTTCCTTGAAACAGAATATTACTCTGTCACCCAGGCTGGAGTACAATGGTGCAATCTCGGCTCACTGCAGCCTCCACTTCCCGGGTTCAAGTGATTCTCCTGCCTCAACCTCCCAAGTAGCTAGGATTACAGGAGCCCACCACCATGCCTGGCTAATTTTTTGTATTTTTAGTAGAAATGGGGTTTTGCCATCTTGGCCAGGCTGGTTTTGAACTCCTGAACTCAGGTGATCTACCCTCCTCGGCCTCCCAAAGTGCTGTGATTACAGGCGTGAGCCACTGTGCCCAGCCTCTTTTTTTCTTATTTGGCTAATGTGATGCATGTGACATGATACCTGGCTGTTATTTTAATTTTCATTTCCCTGATTTACTATATATTTTCATATTGGCCAATCAGTCTTCTTCTTCTGTGACTTGCTTAGGTCATCTGAGTTTTTCTTATCAGTTTGTAGGACTTCTTCATTTAGATTAGCCATTAATCCTTTGATTTTATGCATTGCAACTATCTTCTCTCAATCTATGGCTTACTTCTTTTTTTTAGTGTCTTTGACAAATAGAAATTTTATAATTTTTAATGTGATTACGTTTATCAATCTTTTTCTTATATTTAGACCCAACTTATAGAATATTCTGCCCATTCTTTATTCCCCCCTCATAGAACATGGGACAGACAGTGAGGTCCCTGTGGCCTTGCTGAAACAGAATCCAATATGAAATACCATAGCAAGGAACAGGTATTTGCTTTGGGAACACTGATAATGCCATTGTATTTCAGTGGATACCCATGCCTCACAGAATTACTCTGTTACTCATAGAGTAGTGAAGCAGCATTATACAAATACTAGTCTTCTCTGTTCTTTCTTCTTCTTTTAGAGTGAGTATCCATTTATAGTTGCTGTATATTCATTTAATGTCCAGTGCCTAGATGTGTCCTTTCCCTCATGTCTTATGACATAGATTCAATAAGATTTCTATAATACTATCTAAGAAAACATGCTAATTGGATATAGAAAAGAGAACAAACAAAAATAGTTTAAGAGACATAAAAAGCTTTGTTTTACAGAAATGCTTTATCTCCTGGGTTGGAGCTGTCATGTCAGTAATTATCACTTTTAGTTTATAGGAGTGAATGAACTGATTTTAAATCTTCCAAGAGTATTATATAAGTCATTTTTTTTTAAGCTTCAGTAAGAGGTCTGTATAACTTGGAAAATACAAAGCAAAGCAAAACAAAACAAACAGATAAGAAGATGATTCATGTCTTGCTAGTCTGGGAACAATCTCATGGAAGCCTGAAGGATAGCTGACAATTAGCTCTTGACTATCTCTCAACTTAGCTGGAGCACTTGAGACTTAAAATTCCCCAGCCCTAGACCCTCGGCAATGTATTTTCTTTGAAAATAACCAGAGCCAGGAACAGCTTACATTAAAGTGCTCAAGCATCAAGGCTGTAAACACAGACAGTTGTTAATTCCCCAGATGTAGGGGTCCAGATTATTTAACAGTTGAAGAGAGTGAACCTGTGGTAGTTTCAATTTTACATTTTTTTTTTCTTGGATCTTTGGTCAATTTCCTAAAGCCAAGTTTTTCTTCTTTCAATTAAAGTTAGGATTTTCAGAAATCTGCCTGCCTATGTTGCCTAACAAAATTTAAGATCTAACTGGGAAGAGTCCTCTTCTTTTCCCCATGACACCTACCTAAAATGAAAGTGGAGAAGCTTCTAGGTAAAGCGGCAAAGGCCCATGGGGTTGGGGTCCACCTTTATTTGTTTTATAATTGGTCAAACTCTAGAAGTTTAGAGATACTATGAGACATGCAGTTATCTTTTGCTTTTTCTTTTAAATATTCTTTAAATGATATATTTAGTTCCCTTTGGTTTAAGTGAAATGTCCAGTACTAAGAGCAGTGATAATATCGCAACTCTGTAGGCCATTTTGCAAAATTATATACTATCCCATTTGAACCTCACAACCTCTCTGATAAGACAGGCAAGGCAGGGGTTATTTAATATGTGGATTTTGAAGTTTAGACCAGGCTGAAATAATGGAGGCCCCAGGATTGAATAGCACTGTGCTAAAATTTATATATATGGTTGAAAAACTTTTGTAGTTATCTTATTTTGATAGCCTCATGTTTTATGTTCATTTTATTAATACCTGAAAGTGTGAGTTGTTCCATCCAAAAAATGGGTTTAAGAGTAGATTTTAAGATTGCTATTAGAAAACCAGGTTTAGCTGAACTCTGCCTCATTCATATATGAACCAGGTAGGCTTTCTTGAAAAGGCTTTTAAAGTGCAAACTCATATAAGCCTTTTACCATACAGCAGCCCCAGCCAGCAGTGCTAGACATCAAAGAAGGGATCTGGGAGTGAACTCATCAATGTGAAAATATTGAAGAGCTAACTTGAGGGCTGTTGTGTTTAATGTCTGTTAGACATTAACCAGCATATCCAGGATGCTATTAAACTCCATCTTCAGTAGTTTGTTTCTTGGGATTGTGTAAACATCACTAATTCAAACATGCACTTAGTCATAAACACTGCAGAGAGCTTTTTCTTTTAAATATACTTTTAATTGAAGTATAATGGACATACAGAAAAGGCACAACTCATAAATGTTTACTTCAAGGAATTTTTCACCAAATGAACACACCCGTGTAACTACCATCTGGATCAAGAAACAGAATAGCACCTGAAGCTTCCTTGTTCCCCATTCTGATCATTTATTCTCTCTCCTCCTGAGACGTAACCACTATTCTGACTTTTCCCATCAATGATGAGTTTTGTCTATTTTTGAATGGTACATAAATGAAATCATAGAGTGTATATTCCTCTGGGTCTGGCTTATTTTACTCAATGTTATGAGTATGACATTCATTCTTGTTGTTTCATCTAATGGCAGGCAGTTCATTTTTGTTGTTCTATGGTACTCCTTTGTGTGAATACACCACATTAAATAAATACACCACAGTTGGTACTAATTTGCATCCCTTCAACAGTACATTAGGGCTCCACATCTTTACCAGCACTTGGCCGTACCACTCTTTCCAGCTAGTCTTGTGGATACATAGTAATATTTCACTGTGGTTTTAATTTGCATTTCCCTGATCTCTAGTGATGTTGCATTTCCCTGATCTCTAGTGATCTTTTCATATGCTAATTGTTATTTGAATATGGTCTTTTGTAAAGTGCCTGTTCAAAACTTTTGCCTATTTTTTTAAGGTTATCTGCCTTTAAAAAAAACTAATTTATAAGAGTTTTTAAAATATAAACTGCATGTAAGTCCTTTGTTAGATATATACGATGCAAATATCTTTTTCTAATCTGTGTATTTGAGGGTCTTAAAAGGGGTCTGAGAGTTCAGTGTGTAGAAAATAGTACCATGGGCCCTTCTTGGCTCTTAAGAAAGTGGACATTTGAAGATAGAGGAATGGAAGAGAGACCTGGATCTTGTGCTCTTTAAATCTATCACAACTTTCTTGAAGTAGGATTCCAAGAGCAGCTGGATATGCCTCACACACTTGATATGATCAGTCTGTGTTTTTTTGGCTACTCTCTTGCAAGGTAAACAGAGCCATCAATATATGATATTCTGGTAGACTCTTATCATACATAATGATATAGTGCTTTGGGTTAATAAATATTTGAATACCTACTATGAGCAAGCACTGGCCAGGACACTGGAGGTGCAAAGGTGGATATGTCAGCACCCCTGTGCTTAGTGAGCTTTCAGGGCACTTTTAAGGTACTTTTGTATCTACTATCCTGTTTGATCACATAAGGGTAGGGTGACCATCAGACTGGTCAGATAAAAATAATGTATCCTTTTGCTCCTCAAACCTTTGAGGATCATTTAGTCACTGCCCCTCATTCTGTAAGAACTGTCTTTCTAAGATATGCCTTTGCCACATCCTGATAGCCTCACTAATTCATACCTGGAGAAATTCTTTTTTCTCAAAGTGACTAATTTAGATAAAGCATGCAGAAATGACTTTATATTTTAAAGAAAGCTACAAGAGTCAAAGACCATAAAATAGATTTACTTAGTCCCCTGCTATTTAACAGCCCTTTTAACAACTCCTTAAATAATATTTATTAGTCAACTGAAATCATATAGCATTTATTGAGGGCAAGTCTGGAGAGGCACTGTTTTATTCTAGACATTGAAGGAGCCATGAAGACATACAAGATGCAATTCCTGCGCTCATGGAAGTTCTAGCACATTGGTGGTGGTGATAGTGTTTGTGTGTGGAGGGAAAGTGTTCAGTAAGCACACAGCATATTCAAGAACAATGTGAACATAAAGACCCATACCACGGAAGCTCCGCAGCAGGAAGGGTCACGTTGGATTGATTTCAGTGATGAGGAAAGGACTATACTCATTAAGATAGTGTCGCTGCTACTATAAAAATATCCCCAAGATGTATAACCACTCAAACACATAAAAAGGTGTTTTCAATCCCCTAAAGTTAAAAACAGGTGTTCCTGATTCATAGTTGACTCTGTTCCAAATGGTGATTCAGAGATCCAGGTCCTCCCCTCTCGTGGGTCAGCCGCCTTCAACACATGGCTTTTAAGATTGCTGGGCTTGTCCACATCAAGCTGGCAGAAGGAGAAAGAACATGGAAAATGGAAAGATCTTATAACCAGATCTGAAAGAGGAGTTCCATTGGCTAGAACTTGAGTTTCATTGGCTAGAACTCAGTCACATGGCCACAGCTAATTTCAAGGGAGGTTGAGAACTACAGTCCACCTGTGTGTCTGAAAAGATGAGATGGATTGTTGACCACGTAGCAGTCGTTGCCACAGGTTTTGTTATGGTCTGGATGTTTTTGTCACTTTCAATATTCATGTTGGAACTTCAGTCCCTCCAAAATTCAGGTGTTGCCAATGTGATAGTATTCAGAGATAGGGCCTTTAAGAGGTGTTCAGGCCAGGAGGGCTCCTTCCTCATTAATGGCATTAAGACCCTTATAAAAAAAGCCTTTACACAGCATTTGGCTAGCTTTTCCTGCTGCCTTTGCCATGTGCAGCAAGAAGGCCTTCACCACACCAGATGCTGGTGCCTTGATCTCAGACTTCCTAACCTCTAGAACTGTGGGAAATAAATTTCTATTTTTTATAAATTATCTAGTATCAGCTATCCCATTATAAGAGCACAAAATGGAATAACAGGCTTTATGCTGGAAAAGCATTTAAGGTAGGTCTTCAGGCAACTTGAAGTATTCTGACAGACGTGGGAAAGGAGGATTAATCCAGGAAAAATGAATAGCATAAAGAAGGACTGGGCAGTATACAACAACAAAATTTAAGGGCATATTTGGAAAATAGGAAATCATTCATCTTGTTAGCAGCATAGAATACATAGGGAGTAGTGTGGGAGAAACTGTTGGAAAGCTAGGTTGATGCAATTTCCAACCTACGTCACATTTTAGGAGGTTTTAAAATTCTGACTAAAGAGTTATATCCAGCATAGTTTTCAGGCTCCTTCTCACTCGCAGGAAAAAATGTGGCCCAGGTTACCTTTCTTTTTTTCCCTTCACACTCTGGCCTTTCCTAGGAAGTGAGTTCTCATGTTTATCTCCCCGACACAATGGCAAGCAGTTAGGGAGAAGGGTTCAGCCCCTCAGCATGGGCAGCTTCGTTTTCAGCTTTTGTACTAGAGAATTTCAGAGATTCCAGGGGCTTTCTGCCAAAAACCCATCTAATGCATGGTATCTGCTGAATGCTGTGTTTGGGATGAATCCCAAGTTCAGGAGAGGGAGGAGAGAGGGAAATTCCTTTTTGACCCTAGGACACAATTAACTCATACCCAGGATCCTGGAATTTGATTACCCATATTGTTATTTTGGCTTGGATAGCTGCAACTGTGGCTCATAGTTATAAAAGTATCCGGTCCTTTAAAATCCAGCCGCAGCTTTCAGCTTGATGACCTCCTGACTGATTAATTGGAAAGGGTGGGAGCTGGGGAAATCCTTTTCCCTCCCTTCAGACCTGCCAACTTGGCTTTGAACCTACAAGAATGTTTTGGTCAGAGAACATACATCCCCACACCCCGTACCCTCCCTCTCACCCTCACCTCTGCCCCATGTTGCGCATTTTATTTGTTATCCATATGCATTCATCTTTGTTGAATTAACTTTGACCCAGGCTTGACTATGTGCTGCCCCAGAAGGCTTCTGTGTGACTTATTCTCTCTTCCTTGAGTTTCTGATGATGAAATTCATGTTATTCTGACCTTCCATAGCCTTCTGACCATGAAAATAATGTTATTATAAAGGTAAATGAAAATTTACCTTTG
This sequence comes from Homo sapiens, assembly GCF_000001405.40. Classification (NCBI taxonomy): domain Eukaryota; kingdom Metazoa; phylum Chordata; class Mammalia; order Primates; family Hominidae; genus Homo; species Homo sapiens. The sequence goes on from NC_000009.12 coordinate 68,462,935, forward strand.
CTGTATAGTTTGTGGGTGGTTTCTTTCATTGTTCCTACCAGAATGTAAGCATGATTCTATATCTTTCTTAAACCATTGAAAAAGAGAGAAGACGGAATATTTGAAGTAACAGCTGACCACCTGAAAAGTGCTTTTCAATGCAAACTGGAAGAGGCAGCCCACAGTTTTTCAGTCCTGAGCACATTCATTGTATTTGGGGTTTGTGAAAAGGGAGGTGTTCACCTTCCCATGGCAAGAGTTTCTAGATGTTTTTTTTTTTTTTCCTTATTTGACCACAAAGCCAACCTAAAGGAATCATTACTATGCGGCGTATTTTATCCTGTGTTTGTCTTTCTTCCTCTTCTTTCTCAAGACCCTCATTGATCCCACTCTACGGTCATCCCCTGCACTCACAGCCTTCAAATAACTAAATCTTGCTGTTCGTAGGCATTTGGTGTTTTTCTCTTTCAGTTGCTAGCTCTGGGGAAGATGAAACTCTTCAGGCCAATGTCTGTGGTACCAGCTCATTCCCTAGCCTGCTTTGAGATCTACATCCTTCATGAAGCACTAAGACATTTGAAGAGACAGGATGGTGTAATGGAATGGAACATGAGGAGAAATTAAGCAGATCTGGGTCCCAATTCTAGCACTGCCCCTTACCTCTGTGAAACTTTGAACAAAAACTTGACTTCTCTGAGCCTGAAACTTGACAGCATTGATAAGTTTTCGCTGTTTTTTAATTTTATCTAAGTGGAACAATACAGTATATACACCTTTGTTACTGATTTCTTTTACTTAATACAGATGCTCTTTGACTTAAGATGGCATTGCATCCTGATAAACCCATCTTAAGTCAAAAATATTGTTAAGTCAAAAATGCATTTAATGCTGGCAATACAGCAGACAGTCTCTGACATATGACGGTTCAACTTAAGAATTTTGACTTTATGATGGTGCAAAAGTAATAGCCATTCAGTAGAAACCACAACCCCACCATAAGTCATAGGAGCTCCTCAACTTACGATGGGATTGTATCTGGATAAACCAATCATAAAGGGGAAAAATTGTAAGTCAAACCATCATAAGCCAGATCCTGTCTGGGTTATATTTATGAGATTCATTCAAATTGTTGCATGCGGCAATAGTTTGCACAATAGGATTTATGGTATTACATTGTATATCACAAATTATTTGTCCATTCTACTTTGATGGACATTTGGATTGTTTCAGTTATTACAAATTGTGATTCTATGATCATACTTGTAAAATCTTATATATACACCCTGTTGAGCAACATTGCACACTAGGTTCCCCAGGAAGCAGCTCTAAGAGATATTTGCTTTCAGGAAGTTTATTCCTTTCTGCCTTTAAGATCAAAGTTGCATTCAAGATCAAAACTTATAGGGGAGTGAGGAAGGAGGATTGAACACAGAGAAGTTGGATTGAAATGCAGTCACAACAAAGGCCTCAGCCAACTTGTGGGGAGCTCTGGAGCTGAAATGGCCCTCTAGAGTTGTGCAAAATTTGGGCAAGGAGGCCAGGCCTTTATATATCCCTTTATACCAGTCATTGCATGTGGATTAACCCAGGCATGGGAACATGATTTGGGGTGACACATTTCTCTTTGGCAGAGAACAGGGGCCACATCTGCGAGCTGTCAGCAATCAGCCTTCCTAGTAGCTGGTAGAATGCATATTTTTATCCTAAAATGTCTAAAGTGTGTGTGTGTGTGCACACGTGTGTCTAAGGGGTAGTAGGTGAGTGGGTGGGGGTAAATCTGAGCAGTGCATCACAGTTCATCTTTAGTAGATACTGTTAAACAATATTCCCAAGTGTTTATGCCCAAATACCCTCTTAATTTAGATTCTGATATCCCCACATGGACTCTTTCCAAAAAGATAAAGAAAAATGTATAGAAGTGAAACAAATGTAAAAAATATTCTGTATATTAACTTATTATTTTCTATATGGTGGAGAAAGCAAAATTGAGAACCATTGAAATGGGTTGTTTATTATTTTCTAACTTATGGCTTGATATCCTGAAATCTGTCAACACTACCCAGGTTGTTCTGAAATCTAGCTATGGATTTAGTAGATCCTAAAGACTTCCTACTGTGCTGAGAAAAAAAAACAGAAAATGAAATATATGAATTGACTTTTCTCAAATTTCATTTTTCAGAGTGGCCAAATCAATGAAGGTCCCTGTATATGAGACCCCAGCTGGATGGAGATTCTTCTCAAATCTGATGGACTCAGGACGTTGCAATCTGTGTGGGGAAGAGAGCTTTGGCACTGGTAGGCTTTGTTGGGTTGATATTACTGGGGAGGGCGGCTGCAGCCTTTTGTGATCTCAGTTTGGAGATCTGTGAACTTTCTGTGAATTACAGAGGAACAGTTAAGTAGAGGCAAAAAATCAGAGAAACCTAGTAGAGTATGTGCTGTGATATGCTTACCTCTTTTGTCCATTTTGTTTCTTCTTTTTAGAAATTTCTCTTTCTTTAAAAATTTCTATTATGGAAATCTTTAAAGTGTATAAGAGTAGAGAGAATATCGCATTGAATCCCCATGTTACTGTCACTCCCATTTCAACCACCATAAACTTGTGATCAATCTTCCTTTATCTCTACCCTCATCCGCAGGGGAACACTCCTCCCTGATTATTGTGAAGCAATCCTCTGTAGCTCATTGTTTTATCCGTAAGCATTTCAAGATGAATCTTTAAATATAAGGGCTCTTGTTCAGAAAAACCACATAACCACAGTACCATTATCACACCTAAAATGTTAAAAACGTTTTCTTTTTTTACATACTTTAAATACTTCATCCAGTTGTTTTCTGGCTTGCATCATGTCCAAGAAGTCGGATTTAATTTTTATGTTTATTCCTCTATGTAAAGTACTCTGTGTAAAGTACCCCCCAGTCTCCTGCCTTTGGCTGACTTCAATATTTTTTAATCTTTGATTGTCAAAAGTCTAATCATATTAATAATGTGTCTAGGGGTGTATGCATGTATGTATTTAACCCTATGTGGGATTCTCTTGAATTCTTGGCTCTGTTGTTTGTTGTTGTTCATTAATTTTAGGAAATGCTCAGCTATTATTTTTTCAAATATTTCTCCTTCCCCATTCTTTGTCTCTTGTCCTTCTGAGGCTCCAATTACACATGTGTTAGATAATTTGTGATGACAAATGAGCTCTTACATTCATTTTTCTGATTTATTTCTCCCCTTTTTTCTTCTTGTGTTTCAGTTTAGATCGTCTCTATTGGAACATCTTTAAGTTCACTGATTCTTTCCTTAGCTGTGTCCAATCTGCTGATGAGCCTGTTGAAGGAATTCTTCTTCTCCGATACTGTGTGTTTTTTTTTTTTTTTTAGCATTTCTCTTTGACTCTTTTAAAATAGTTTTTAGTTCTCTGAAATTCCCCATCTGTTTATGTAATTGTTTATCTTTTTCATTAGATCATTTAACATATTAGACATGGTTGTTTTAAACACCCTGTCTGATAGTTCCAATCTCTGGTTCATCTCTGACTTTGGTTCAGCTGATTGCTTTATCTCTTGACAATGGTTTGGGTTTTCCTGTTTTTTGTAGATCTCATAAATTTTTATTGAATGCTGAATAATATGTGGATAAGAACAGTAGATATTCAGGTCAATTGTATTTATGCCTAGAAATGGGTACAACCCTTTTTTGGGGCAATTAGTGTGGAAGGTTAAGTTAACCTAGTCAAGCGGTGATCTGGGTTTGGGTTTTACTGTTTCTGTTTTAACCTTCAGTGTACCACAGGCCTCAAATTCCCCCAGCAGTGGCATATTTTTACTGGGTACTGGAACTGGGGAAGGGTACTGGAGAGGTTTTTAAGTGTTCCTGTTTCTCCCTCAGTTTTCAGTAGTGACTGCAAGTCTGTAACACAAAATACAGTTCTATCTCCAGGGTCTTAAACTTTCCCTGGTAGCAGAGACCTCTGACTAGTATTGGTGCAGGATTCTGAGCACAAGTTTTCCTACCCTCTCCCCAGAGGCAGAAGAGTTTTTACTTTTGCCCGTCTCTCAGAGACAATAGATCTCTTTCTGGACCTGGGGATGAGAAGGTTTTTAGCGTGTACACCTAGGAACATAAAGCATTTGTTTCATGTAAGAGAAGGGTTTGGGGGAGCAGAAGGGCTTCATCCTTGTCTCCCAGTGACAGCTGATCGTCGCTTGCATACCTGTACCACCAAGTTTCCTTCTTTGTTCCTAATTTTTTGTGAGGACCCAGTGGAAATCTGTGGAAAAGAACTTAAAAATGTGCCCCTTGTATCTGGAACCCCAGGTGATTTTAAAGTAATGTAAAGGCCTATACTAGGCCTTTAAGAATTTTTTAAACTCTTACATGATTTCTTATTATCTGGTTTTTATGGCAGCCTCCTCTTTCTCCTATGCTTTGCCAAAGCTGAGAGAATTTTCAGGATCTGTCTCTCCTTGGAGTGGCTCTTTGGAATTCACTTGACTGTGTGGTCATCTCAGATCTCTGAGTTCAAGAAAACTTACCATGTTTGAGATTTCCTGGCCTTTTACCATTGCTAGGATGGGAATAGCTTTCTCTTACTGATTTGCATATCCTAAAGAGAAGTACACAAGTGGAACTCTAAAAGTAATTTCTTAATAATTTCCTCTATCCTCATTTTCCCCCTCCCCATTAACAGTTTGTTCTAATTGGATCTAAAAGATCTTACACTGTAATTGGCTGATATGTCTCTTAAGTCTCTTTTAATCTACGTTTCTCTTCTTTACATTTTGCCCTTATTATTTATTCATTGAAGAAACTGGGTCATATTTCCTATAGAGCTTTAAAATTGCTTTGATTTTGATGCTGCTGTCCTAATTTTCCTTTCTAATTTGCTTAATGTTTATATGAAGAGAAGCTATTGATTAATATGCTTTTTCTCTGGTTTGCAACTTCCTTAGTTGCAATTATAGTAATTATTAATTTAATTATCATATTAATTGTAGTGGATTTTTTTTCCAAAAACTCTATATTCTCTTGGGATTTTAAAATATATAATCACATAATCTATGAATAAAATATTTTTTGTGTTTTTCCCCTAAAACCTACAACCCACCCTCCCTTCCTTCCTTCCTTCCTTTCTTTCTTGGCTCAGGTGCACATGTGAATGTTTGTTACATGAGCAAACTCATGTCACAGGGGTTTGTGGTACAGATTATTTCATCACCCAGGAATTAAGCCCAGTACCCAATAATTGTCGTTTCTGCTCCTCTCCTTCCTCCCACCCTACTCCTCAAGAAGACCCGGTGTCTGTTGTTTCCTTCTTTGTGTTCATAAATTCTCATCATTTCGCTCCCACTTATAACTGAGAACATCATGCTTATATAGACTATTGTTCCCATTCCTAGTTACTTAGAGTCTTATATATTGTATACAATAATTCTGCCACTAGTTAGTCAAATAAATCTAGCAACTGGAATGAAAACTGGTAAGTACAGGTTATCCCTTTTCTCTGTCTTTATAAGCATTTATTAAGTGTTTACAATATATTATAGACTTTTAGTTTCCAATTAAAGGGGTAAATATTCCATGTGTAAGCCATGTTACGCTTTTAGTAATAAGTATTTGCCTATTTCAATTCAATAAACATTTACTCAGTGCTGACAGAGTACCAGGCATTGTGTTGGATGGTGTGTAGAATACAAAATGCTCAACACCACACCCTTCAGAATTTTCTAATAATTTCCTCTATCCTCATTTTCCCCCTCCCCGTTAACAGTTTGTTCTAATTGGTTCTAAAAGATCTTACACTGTAATTGGCTGATATGTCTCTTAAGTCTCTTTTAATCTACGTTTCTCTTCTTTACATTTTGCCCTTATTATTTATTCATTGAAGAAACTGGGTCATATTTCCTATAGAGCTTTAAAATTGCCTTTTACCATTGCTAGGATGGGAATAGCTTTCTCTTACTGATTTTCATATCCTAAAGAGAAGTACACAAGTGGAACTCTAAAAGTAATTTCTTAATTGCTTTGGAGATGGACTCTTGCTCTGTCACCCAGGCTGGAGTGTAGTGGCACTATCTCAGCTCACTGCAACCTCTGCTTCCTGGGTTCAGGTGATTCTCATGCCTCAGCCTCCCAAGTAGCAGGACCACAGGCGTGTGCCATCACTCCCTGACTAATATTTGTATTTTTAGGAGAGACAGGATTTCACCATATTGGCCAGGCTGGTCTAAAACTCCTGGCCTCAAGTGATCCGCCCACCTTGGCCTCCGAAAGTGCTGGGATGGCAGGCATGAACCGCCATGCCGGCCACTATTACTTTTTACTATGTGTTCTTTAAAAACTAATGTCAATAGTCATACAAATTTGCCAACTAAAATCAAGCGATGTAACAATGTTTATTATTTCCAAGAAAGTACTCTGTTGAGTCTTTCACAGAAATAATAGTGTTTTTTAAAAAAAAAATGAGCACTTAGTATGTACCTTTTGTATGTATTCATCTTTTTCTAGAAATTTGGAATTGAATCCAGAGCTGCTGGCATTAGCATGAGTTGTCCATACTTGTCACACCAAATTTTTCCACTGTGAACTCTGAAGTACAGCCTGGTGCTCTTGAAGTTGACTGTTTTCATATGTGCCCAATTTCTAGCACAAGAAGGGGCCCTGAGTGTGTGTGTATTCTGTGTCACAAGGACTCTTGAGTATCTTTCCAGTCTTTTGAGGTTTGCTGGATGCTTCCATGCATGGATTCCATGCCAATATTGTAAATGCCCTGAAGACAGGGCCCATGTCTATCTTTCTCAGCTCTATTTCTTTGATGAATGGTAGGCCCTAAGTAAATGCTTGTAGGATGGGTGGAAAGATAAAAGGATGAATGGGAGAAGGGAAGGAAGGTTGGAAAGATGAAAGGAAGATAGGTGGGTGGAAGGAAAGTACAAAGAATTTTCGTTTTGTTATCTCTTCCTTGTATTATTAGTAGTTATCTTTTTGTCATCCTTAAATGGATGTATTTCTGAAGATCTGGGTATTTGGGTATCCCAAGATTTGGGAAGATTTATAAAACAAAATCACACAAATACAGACCATTTGGAAAGGGATGGGGAGAGATGTTATGAATGATAACAAAATTAGAATTATATAAAATATAATCTTTAAATATTTTCAATCATCATAATTATTAGCACAAACTAATAGCTAACAACATGCTTCTAGGGAGATCTCCCTTCCTGGAACTAGTGTTAATAAACAGATTTTAAATTATTTATAATTTATTATGTTAACTTGTTTATTTCTTATGCCTGTAGTTGTTGACAATAACAGAAATAGCCATGTTCAACAGTGGGCTAGGTTCCAGCTTTAGTGATCTTTTGTATGCACCAAATTCTTACTGACTTTAGCATAGTCATTTTGTGCTCTGTTGTCTTATGGTTTATGTTATCATTCTCCAGTTACTTTGTGAATGAGCACTTTATTTCCCCTGAGAGTTGTAGAGTTTGTAACATGTTTAGGGCCATGCCTCTTTCTTCATTTATATTTCACATATGAATGATGTATATCCTAACTGAAGATTGGGTTCACAATAGTGCTGTTGCACAAATACTGAGTAAGTTTAACTGTCTCTTATTTATACAATTATTACATTTACTATTTTATATTCCTCAAAAGGTAAAATATAGGAAAACTTTAGTCCATTCCCTATCTGGATGGTTATTCCCTCTACATTTGTCTCTTTTCGCATCTGCCGATTCTAGTCTCTAGGAGAGAGAAAGAGGCCATATATCCATGCATTTCAGATTACTGAGGTCCTACTGCACTTCTTTTTCTTATTTGTGGCCAGTGTGTATAAATTTGGCTGGGTTGCAGATGTGCGGTGTGGAGGCCATGATGACAGCATTATCAGTGCTAGATGAGCAGTTTCTCTGTGGGGCTATTTGAAACAGGCTGAGTGCATGTGTGCATTTCAATCTAGGCTGGGCCAGAGCACAGAGGTGCTATGATTGACACCCCCGTGAGCCTTCTTATAAAGCCAGAAAATTGAAACTCCCTTCTGGGTCCTCTGTGAATGATCAACCCCTGTGCCGGGAAACAGAACTCTCACTTAGCATTGGAAGAATGTCTCCATCACTAAGATCCTTTTCTTGGAATCTCAATGGTCCCAGTTCCATTGATCCTTCTATTAATCCTCCAAGCTAATGAAAAGTGGTAAGAGGGAGTGTTGTGTGACACCTAAGGGTGGAGCAAAAACAAAGGAATGGGGCTTCTGAAACCACATCTGTACTGACCAGAGTATCCTGGGACTGACTGGGAGTCCTGAGACATCATGGCTCTTAGTCAGAGACTGAAGACTTCCAAACAGACTAAGGGGTTCTTTTCCCAGTGTCTAGTAAGGGACTTTTAACAAGGAGAACTGTCCCTTGGGATTTAAAATACAATCCCTAAAGTTGTGCTTCGAGGCTTCCCAATCTGCATTCTAGGAGACTACTGGTTGCTAGGTGGCCCCACTGAGAACACAGTACAGTGACTGTAGAAGTGACAGGTCTTCAACCTTAAAAGCCACTGGAGAGATTTTTGATTCAGTGTATGACCTGTCAAGAAACAATTCTTAAACAGGTTATGGTGGTTTGTGCCTATGTGGGAAGCTGAGGCAGGAGGATTGCCTGAGGCCAGGAGTTCAAGGCCAGCCTGGTCAACACAAAAAGACCCTGTCTCTTAAAAAAAAAAAAAAAAAGAGAGACTCGGTGCAGTGGCTCATGCCTGTAATCCCAGCACTTTGGGAAGCCAAGGCGGGTGAACTCCTGAGGTCAGGAGTTCAAGACCAGCCTGGCCAACATGGTGAAACCTTGTCTCTATTAACAATACAAAAATTAGCCGGATGTGGTGGCGGGTGCCTGTAATCCCAGCTACTCGGGAGGTTGAGGCAGGAGAATCACTTGAACCCAGGAGATGGAGGTTGTGATGAGCCAAGATCGTGCTACTGCACTCCAGCCTGGGTGACAGGGTGAGACTCCATCTCAAAAAAAAAGGACAATTCTTAGAGTCCTATTGTTCCTATCTGCCTTGGTGACAAAAAAAAAAAAAAATGAGTTGGGATGTATGAGTTAGGAGCATGCTGGTATGCTCTGTGAGGGAAGCATGTCAGCTGGCTGGCCATGATATGGTTAATGTGCTCCCTGCTCTGGGATGGATGGCTTGATGCCTCCTAAGTGATAGACACAATTCCTAGTGCCTCCTGTACTTTATTTTAGAGTCTTCTTCACAATGATGGTATAGAGACCCTAATGACCCCATTTTGTTGATGAAGTCGTTGAGGTTTAGGGAGGAATGTCAAGCCGCTGGCCAAAGTCACACTGGCTGAGCCACAATTCAAACCCAACCTTGCTGGCTTCACAGTGTCTGCTGCTGATGTTTTCAGTTCATGCTGATGAGTCATTTCCCACCCTCCCCAACCCCCTCCTGGTTATTCTTTTGGATGAAGGTAGAAGGAATGCCAGGGGACTTGGGAGAATGGTCTCATGTAAACAGCATGGCATGAGAAGTTGAGGGACCCAGCTTCCATCTTGACTCCCCCTCTCTTAGACAAATAGCTTAGCTTCTCTGTGACTCAATTTCCTCATTGCGAGACAACTTCGTCTGAGGGGATGATCTGTAGGTTTCTTCCATCATGATATTTCAGGTTGCTTCTAACTAGCTACCCTTAGTGAGGAGCAAACCTGATGAATTATATGCACTACATACTAAAGAGGCATTCATTTATTCATTCAGTGAACATTTACTGCACACCTTCTATGAGCCAGCCCAGGGTAGAGTGCGAGTAATTTCAGACACAGGCCCTTCCCTCAGGGAGTTTATAGGGTGTTGCTATGGTCAGGATATCAGCCTTGTGTGAAACACTATTTATTACTATTTTACTTATTAAATGTGTTGTGACACAGAATTATTCACTGGGAGCCACATTGCCCACAGCACAGGATGTGTCCTTTGCTGCTGTCTGACTCTTCTGCGCTTGCACCTGGCTCTGACTTACATGCAGGAGAGCTTTGTTCTCTAATTGATGAACATTAGGTACATTTAAGAATATTTTTTTAAGCATAGAAAGGTGACTTTTTTTTCAGTGAGCCTTGCTTTTTCACCTGATGTTAAAGATCTGAACATAAGTGGTTTGAGAAATGAAAATCAATCTATCTATCAGTCTACCGATCGATCGATCGATCTCCATCACAATTCTGTAGCATGTTCTCAAATCTCAGATCCACCCAAAAAGAGTGACCCCACTTTAACCTCATAACTCCACTATTTTTCAAAGACAAATCTTTATCTTGAGTAGCTGAAAAAAGGATGAGAAGGCTGCAAATTAATGAAAACCATTTCTAAATGAAAAAAGGTAAACTGGAGAAATAAAGGGAAAATTTGCAGCTTGTCCTTTAGAAAGCCTGCCCCAGCTCTCACCACATAGGATGCTTTACCCGCTTTCTTGCAACTCCTGAGGGCCACAGCATTGCTGGGATAATCCAGTGGCAGTTAAGTCCATAGGCTTTGGAGCCAAATTGCCCAGCTTGGAACCTTCTTTTTACCACTTAGTAGCTGTGTGGCCTCATACAGATGACCTAAGCTCAATCTCTTATTTGTAAAAGGGGGCTATCAAATTGTGGAAATTAAATAATAGATGCATAAAATCCCCTAGCGCAGTGCCTGGTGCCTTGCTGCTTTCTTCTTAGAATGGAATTTATCCTCCTTGTGATTGTGCTTCAAAAATAATCAGGAACCTCTTTGAGTGAGTGGCCTCTCTTATTGTATGACCAACAATCCTGGTTTGTCCAGGACTAAGAAGTTTCATGAGATGTGGGACTTTATGTGCTAAAAGTGGGAAAATCCCATGCAAACCAGGATAAGTTGGTCACTCCAAAGCTGGCAAAGTCCTCAGTTTTCCAGATGAAAATGGCAAGGAGAAATCTTGATACTGAAGCTGACTCCAGTGAGAACCCCCCCATGTGAGCAAGGCCAGGGCCGTGAATTAAATGAGAGACCCATGGCTGCTTTCCCTTAGCACCACATTCAAGCAAAAAGAGGAAGAGGCCTCACTCACTACCCCCAGGCATTCTGCCCCAAACATGAGACTGCATACGGTGCCTTTCTGCTGAAGCAAGTGACTTTCAAGCCCGGCTGCCTGTGAAAATCACCCAAGGAGTTTTTAAAAAAGAAATACCAATGCCTGGGCCCCATCATTAAAAGTTTTTATTTTATTGGCTCAGGGTGAGACCTGAGCATTTGTATTTTTTTAAAATCTCCTTGGGTGATTCTAATGTGCAGTGCAGGGTTGAAAATTGCCAACATATGTTACAACTTGGAGTTGGCAACAGGTGCAAATTGACTTATAGTTTTCCTAATTGACAAATTTAGAATTTCCTTATCTGAGTTTCAGCTGTAATGGCTTGATCTGTTAGTAATGCATGGGATGCTTTATTGAGCTGATGTGTCCATACTGGTGTTTCCATGTGAAGAAAACATCTTTAAGATGATTGAGCATTCTCTTTATTTTTCCCTTTTCTTTTGTGAGGGCAATATACTTATTAGTGTCCTGCCTAGCTCAAGTAGCATGGTTTTGAAGATTGAGAAAATTCAAAGTTTAATTTGAGTGGAGGGGGAACAGTGATATTTCTCTAGAAAAAAAAAAAGGCCTTCTTTTTTGTACCAGTTTTTGCTGGAGTCATGGCAGAGAAGAGCTGAGCGCCCTCCTTCTGGTATGTGGATGGAGATGGCTGCTTCTCAGGGCTGCTCAGAGTAAGATTGCGTGGGCTTTGGGCTGGGCTAGGTTGGATGAGAAAGGCAAGGTGAGTGGTACTTACAGCTTTGGAAATATGGGTATATTCTCCCTGCAATGTCCTGAGCCAGGCAGCAAGCTTCAAAAATTGTGCTGGTGTTATTCAATGCTAAAAAGACACTCACTCTCAAGCCATAAAAAGACATGAAGGAACCATAAATGCATATTATTAAGCAAAAGAAGACAATAAAAAAATACATACTAGATGAGCCCAACTATATGACTCTAGAAAAGGCATGTTTTAAATGTGAATTTCTATGCACCATTGACAACTTTGTTTACTTTATTTTTATTTATTGTTTTTTTTGAGACGGAGTTTCACTCTTCTTGCCCAGGCTGGAGTGCAGTGGTGTGATCTCAGCTCACTGCAACCTCTACCTTCTGGGTTCAAATGATTCTCTTGCCTCAGCTTCCCAAGTAGCAGGGATTACATGGATGTGTCTGCCATCATGCCTGGCTAATTTTTTTTTTTTTTTTTTTTTTGTATTTTTAGTAGAGACGAGGTTTCACCATGTTGGCCAGGCTGGTCTCAAACTCCTGACCTCAGGTGATTCCCCCACCTTGGCCTCCCAAAGTGCTGTGATTACAGGTGTGAGCCACCGTGCCTGGCTAACAACTTTAAAAATTTATTTTTTTCTTATGAAATAATACGTTGTTATTGCGAAAATATTTAAAAGGAAAGAGAGGAAAAGCATCTGCAGTTCTACCACTTCAGAGATAATAACCATGTTAAGAGTTTGGTGTATATTCTTCTGTTTACTTGTGTACACACATATATACATATCTATATTTTTTATAAAAATATACTGAATATTCTTTTTTAGTAAACTGATTTTTCATTTATTAAAATTGAATGCACAATTACCTATTGGATACAATGTTTTCTATTTAAGTGATGAGTACACTAAAAGCCACTAGGCAATATATCCATGTAATAAAACTGGACTTGTACCTCCTGAAACTATAAAAATAAAATAAAATGAAAAGAATTGAATAAACATGGTTTTCTGTGTTACTAAAGATTCTTGTTTGATTTATTTTGTCTACCCACAAGGTTTTGAATGAATTTTGTGCAATGATCCTATTGTTCAACAATTAAGCCTGGGCAACACAGTGAGACCCCATCTCTAAAAAAGTAAATAAATAAATTAGCCAGGCATGGTGGTGTGCACCTTGAGTCCCAGCTACTCGAGAGGCTGAAGTGGGAGGATCACTTGAGCCTGGGAGGTCGCGGCTGCAGTGAGCCATGATTGAACCCCTGTACTCCAGCCTGGGTGACAGAGCAAGACCCTGTCTCAGAAAAATCAAAACAATATTTTTCCAATTTTTCTTTATTCTCTTATCTACTTCATTGAATGTCCTATGACTTAAGGTTAAGAAATAAAATAGCTGGGTCGAAAGCTGCATGATATTTTTAAAGACTGTTGATCATTATTGCCAAGTTAACTCTTCCCCCGTCAAACCTTTGCTAACCTGACAGGCCCCAGATGGTATCCCATTTTACACACTTTTCTTTGACCACAGTGAGGGTGAACATTTGTTCCAATGTTGACTATTATTATTTTCCTCTGACAATTGCATGCTTGTGCCTTTTCATTCCATTGTCCATTGAGGTTTCTCTTTTTCTTATTGACCTATGAAAACATTAAAAAAATATCCAGCCTATTATCCCTGTCATATATATAGTGTGAACATTTCTACTCCCATTTTTACTCTGTTTATAGTGGGGTTTTAGAAAACCATTTGATACCTTTGTGCTTTCTGGAATTTCTTGTTTAATCTGCCTGTCACTGATACAGCATAGCGTTCACTTGCCTGAAAGCCTTTTTAAAAGGAGAGTTATAGCCCCCAAATCCACTCCAAAGTACACTATAATCATCCAGTGGAAACATCTGTGTAATTGAAGCATCATTAATGTCTCTGTCCCAAACTCAAAGAACTATAAAGGGCATTGTTAATTTTACTTCATCATCAGCCCCTTATTAATCTTGGCAAATGTTTAACTTGTAGGCAAGGATGTCCAAGCCAACTCACAATTTACTATGCAATTGGCTACAAATGTTGAGGTGGGTTTTTTTGTTTATCCACCTAAAAGAACTTTATGTCCCTCTAGCACTAAATTATGACATCTTATCTCACAGATTTAACAGCATCTAATGGTTCTATCTCTAGGTAATGTAATCCAGCTGGAGTTCGAAGGTATGCAAAGCCCATGTTTTAGAACAAAAGGGTATTTTTCTCTAGCCAGTAAATAAAAGTGATTTTTTTTTTCAGCTGTAAAAGGACAAAAGGTTTTGAAGTGATCCCACTGGGCAGGGTTTCCTAAACTTGTTTTTTGGCAGTTGGCCATGGAGCTAACTCAGTCTTCCAAACTTCTTCCATTTTTGTAGCAGTGTAAAGAATTCACTGGATAAGACTAAAGACACTTCATGGTGTGATGATTAATGCCCAGGGTCCTGTTAACCCAGAGGCAACCACAACTGGACATCCAACAGTGCCATTAGCAGACCGTTGATCAGTGTGTAGGAAGAACTAAAAACCTGACCCTTTTTCTTATTGATTTTAGTACCTTCACAGCCCCCCTCAGGTTTGCATGTTTTCCTTATTGAGAAAAAAAGTTTAACATTTAACACCATAAATGTCACAAGTACGGTAAATGGTCTGTAGCTTTAGTTAGAAGTTGTCAAAGATGTTTGACTTAAGTATTGTTTGATCCCATTTTCAGGGGTTAAACAGCTCTGTGGCGTTGCGTCTCCCTTGTTGGTTTTCCATGTATGTTTTGTAGTTCTGAAACCCAAGAATACTGTTGTCCATTCTCATTGCCCTGCTGCAAGAAGGTCCACTCTGTGGACCCAGTCCTGTTTCTTAAGACATTACTATTGCTAGAGTGAGAGGATAAAATTACATGAATAACCAAGAACAATTTCTGAAAGCAGGTATTGAGGAATCAGCACCTTGCAGTAATTCACACAGCTTTATTAAAATTACCAACAACAAGATCAACAGCAAAGATATGTGATATCCCAGCCACTGTTCTGAACATCTGGGCATATTTAGTTGCTTAATCCTGACAGTAACCCCATGGGGTAGGGGCTGTTATTGTCCATAGATTACAGATGAGTACCGCAAACAAAGGTAAATGGCTGAGCCAGGATTAGAACATGAGAAATCTAACTCTAGAGCTTGTCCTCTTAACTTGATTAAGTTGATACAACAACAATGCCGCAAAATGGGTGATGGGGTCCCCATTTTACAAATGAGAAGCTGAGGCTCAGGGGAATTAATGACTTTGTAATAACTTTCCACACATCTGTGAAGTAGCAGTTTGGCTTAAGCCCTAATTCTAAAGCCTTCCCCAGGATACCACATGTCTCGTACTACAACACATTTCTTTACATACAGGGCTTTATTCACTTCAGAGAGAGCTTATAACTGGCTAACAGACAGATACCCAAATGGGCCTGTGACACACTCTTCTGGGTTCTCATTGCACAGGAAGCTGGTCATTTAGACTGCAGTCTTCATTTGTGTGCCTGATGCAATAAGAACTGCCTCCAACTCTTTCTATATGAATAGCTGTAGGATATACCTTCTCTATTCATTCCTGCCTCAGGAACTTTGCTTTTTCTGTGCCCTAGCTTGGAATACGTCATCCCCAGATCTTGGCATGTCTGACTTCTTCTCAGGGGTTAGCTCAGATGCCATTGCCTCAGTGGGGGCAGACCCTAACTATCTGTATTAATCTCCTAGGGCTGTCATAACAAATCACCACCAACTGGGTGGCTTAAAGCAGTAGAAATGTATTCTCTTATAGTTCTGGAGGCCAGAAGTCTAAAACCAAGGTGTAGGCAGGACCACCCTTCCTTGGAAGGCTGTAGAGGAGGATTCCCCTTGCCTCTTTCAGTTTCTGGTGGCTCCACATGTTCCATGACTTGTGGCGGCACAACTGTAATCTCTGCCTCTGTCTGCACATAGCTTGCCCCTCTGTATTTCTCCTCTTCTGTGTCTTCTCCTCTTCTTATAAGAATGTTTATCATTGGATTTAGGTGCTTGAGATAATCTCACCTCAAGATTCCTAACTTAATTGTATCTGCAAAGAGCATTTCCCAAAATAAGGTCACATTCACAGGTTCCAGGTGGACATATCTGTTGGGTCGGGGAACCACCAGCCAACCTTAGGTCAAGCAGCTTTTGGTGCTGTTATGCTCTGTGACATCATCACCTCTTTATTTTCTTCAAAGCACTTGTCCTTATTTGATGCATCTTGTTCTCTTATCTACTTTTCTTTGCCTGTCTCCACCTAACTCCATCTACTTGGATTCAAACTTTATGAGTAAAGAACTATCTTGTTCACTGCTTTACCCCAAGACGTAGAACAATGCCTGATATATTGTAGGGGTCACTAAATATTTACTGAATAAATGAATAATCTCATTGGGCTAATGAGATGTCAACTTGGCTCTCTGATCCCTTCAGAAATTTCCAAGTTTTATTTTTTTTACTATTTTATTTGAATTTCAGTTGGATATTTTTCAGAAATGCAAATGTATTAGGAGACATATATTTAATATAATGGGTAAATGATCCAATCATTTCTACATAACATTCAATCACTAACTGGTCTTCTTAATTCATTTAGCTTTTGCTTTGCTCCCACAAATGAATGCTCAGCAGAATTTTTCTTTCACCTTTAGGCTCTGACCACCTCCGAGAGAAGGATGGCCTGTGGGCTGTCTTGGTCTGGCTCTCCATTATTGCTGCCCGGAAGCAGAGTGTGGAGGAAATTGTCCGAGATCACTGGGCCAAATTTGGCCGCCACTACTATTGCAGGTGAGGAGAAGGGGAAGGGTCTCTGTATGGACCCTGAAGAACTACTCCTAGAACAGGTTTCTAAAACTGATGGGCTAGAACCTTAAAAAGGAGGCATCAGGCCGGGCGCGGTGGCTCACGCCTGTAATCCCAGCACTTTGGGAGGCCGAGGTGGGCGGATCACGAGGTCAGGAGATCGAGACCATCCCGGCTAAAACGGTGAAACCCCGTCTCTACTAAAAATACAAAAAATTAGCTGGGCGTAGTGGCGGGCGCCTGTAGTCCCAGCTACTTGGGAGGCTGAGGCAGGAGAATGGCGTGAACCCGGAAGGCGGAGCCGAGATCCCGCCACTGCACTCCAGCCTGGGCGACAGAGCGAGACTCCGTCTCAAAAAAAAAAAAAAAAAAAGGAGGCATCTTCCCAGAAGATCTGAGGAACACAGAGGCTGGAGCTGAATCACCCCTTATAGATAGTTGGGGGTGGTGTCAAAGGCTACCAAGCTGGAAGGCACCAATTTCCTTTCCCCTGATGACATCACTCTTTAATCTTTTCATCAATGCCTATAAGGTAGGTGGCCCTCTCAAGAGGAACTCTGAACTGCAGAGCTTTGAAAAGTTATTTGGTAACTATCATGGCTGTGAGAGCCGTGCAGTCAAACCAGAGGCATTTCTTGTTGGTTTTCCATTCATATTTATCAAGTAAAAAAGGCAGACACAGAAGCTGTGACAGGTTGGTATGCTTTCATAATCCTCTCTCTACCTCTTTCTTACCTCCTCACCAATAATCAGATTCAGTGTCCAAGATGCCTGAGCTGGCACCCCTTGAAGGAACCTCATGGTTCAAGAGCCCCAGATATTGTTAAAGTTTTGTCCTCATGAAAAGAGGTACAGGCCAGGTGTGGTGGCTCACGCCTGTAATACCAGCACTTTGGGAGGCCGAGGCAGGCGGATCACCTGAGGTCAGGAGTTTGAGACCAGGCTGACCAACATGGTGAAACTCTGTCTCTACTAAAAATACAAAAATTAGCTGGGTTTGGTGGTGCACACCTGTAGCTACTAGGGAGGCTGAGGCAGGAGAATCGCTTGAACCTGGGAGGCAGAAGTTGCAGTGAGTGGAGATCGTGCCACTGCACTACAGCCTGGGCAACAGAGTGAGACTCCATCTCAAAAAAAAAAACAAAACAAAACAAAACAAAAAAACAGGGAAAAAGAAGTACAGAAAAGGAAACCATTATTTTGGAAGGAAGAAAAGGAAAGATCAGTGGGTAGGAGCTTAGGGTTGGGGGTCTATATCACTTTCCCGTTGTTTAAGTAAATGAAAGTAAGAGTATTCTGGAAGTGTGGTTACTTGCTAGGAGTGTGAACCTAGGTATGCTAGATATGTGTACATAACAAGAACGAAGCCATGGGTTAGGAGGAGGGAGTAGGAAACGATGTTAACTGTAAAGAACTTGGAGGTGGGGCAAGGGAATCCTTGGGTAGTCTCAGAGACTCTGTATTAAAAGCAGAAAGATTGTGACTCATTTTGCTTTGTTTATGAATAGTTAACTACTTTGAATGTTTGGTTGTGTTTCAAGAGCTTAAGGGACAGAAAGAGAGCTTTAGACTTTCCTCATAAGGTGATTATTTCTTCTGTTAAGAAGACTTTTACTTAGATATGTATCAGAGAATAAGGAAGCCCATGACTGTACTCGTTAAAATCAAAGAGATTACAACCTTCTGGGAGATGTAAACAACAACAACATCATATTCTTAGTTCCCATTTAGTCAAGAAAGCTGGGGATGTGATAGCTTGCAAAACAACTCGAATTATTCAGTGTATCATAAAAAATGAATTCTCAGGACAGGTAGAAACTTGGTTTACTCATTATTTCTAACAAGTACCAAAACCCCCTGATTCATGTGTGTTTTCTTTTCCTGGCATACCAAGAGTTAATTGGCACATGACATTCTTCTATTGCATGAAGCTGTTCCAAAACGTCCAACCTGACAAAATATATTATGATTGACAACCTCTGGCCTAGTGAGATCGCTTTGAGTCAGAGATGTGTTCCTCATAATTTGTGGAATGATTATCTAGGTTTCTGCTGGTGTCTTGAATAATTGGTGTTATGGTAACTGTATTTATAATGTAGTTTATTTTTTGTGGCCAAGAGCTTACATGATAATTACTTCTTCATAACAAATACCATATTTGAAAATAATATGCAATACAGATTTAATTTCTTCTAGGACATTGAGTTATGTTTCAGATTTCTTTCCAAAAAGATCACAGAGATAAAGAAAAAGGGAGGAGAAAATACATAGAATGAAAGGTAAACATTTCCTTCAACCCCCAGCAAATGGCAAATTAGAAGGTGCTTGTGAAATGTAATTATTCCTAGCTTGACAATTTTCTTGGCAGGCTGAAAATAATAAAACAATTTCACTTTAACTAATACTGAGCCTGAATATCTGAGAAAATCTTCCAGATTATTTTTCTTGTATGAGTAGACCCCAGAAGGAATCTTCCATTTAAAGATTTCTTCCTTGAAAAGTGTGTTGTTATTGGTGGTGATCAGACGGGGATTTGGGGGTGGAAGGCAGTGCTAGATCCTGCTTGTATATGAAGGTGAACGTTTGGGCAAACAGATCTGATGATTCTCAACCCTAGACTGAACGTGATCTATCATATTAGTGGATTTTTTTCAACTCCTGAATCTCTTTCAATGCCTCTCTGTCTCCTGCTAGACTCTCTTCTCCTGTCTTCCTGCCCCTTTCTCCTTGGTTGGGTCTTTACCTTCTCCAAATGTCTACCTTTAAAGTGACTGCAGTCTCAGAATATATGCCCTGCTGAAAAAGAATGTTCTGAGGGAGTTCCTTTTTTTTCCCTCTGAGGCTGAGAAAAAAACACCTTGTGTAGGAGGAAGAGAATAAAAGAAAGGGATGTAGATGCAGGGGACCCATTGCTAGACATGGTATTATTCCATATTTTGCATCTTGGCTAATATGCTGATGTTTACTGGATGTCTTAAAGATCTTGAGTGGAAAAAAGTAGTAACAACTATTCAGAGCTTCCTTCTTCCAGTTCACTCTGAGAACTCACATCCTTTCTCTATGCTACAGGAAGCCCAAATGTAAGATCCTCCAAGTGACTTGGGTGCAGCTGCCCCTCCTATGGCTTCCTTCTTAAACAGACAGTCCTAGGTGTGCCATTAGGTCTCAGCCAAGACCATCTGACATTGTAAAATATAGTTTATTTATGGTGGTGATGGCAAATAAAAGTTGTTAGCTGTTTTTAAGCACAAGTGCCTGGCACTGTGCCAACTCTTGGTATACATCATCATATTTTAAACCCCACAATGACAAATGCAATTGGTATTATTTTTAGTCTTTTATTTTATTTTTTCTAATCGACTTCCAGCCCCATTGTTACATTTAATACGCTTGGCTAGGAGGACTTTTTTGAATGGAACAATTGTGATATTTCTTCCAAGTTTCCAAGAGTTCTATATTGTGCTCAGTTCCCCTTCTCCCTTTCTTTTTACCTTCCTTGATTTTTCTCTCTTTCCTTCCTTCCTTTCCTTTCTCCCATTTTTCATTCCATTCTACTTACATAGAACTTACTATGTACTAGAAATAGCAGAGAGCAAGACAGTTCCTGGAGCTCACGTTCTGGTGGCCAAAGACAGGCAATGAATAGGTAAACAAATATACAAACAAGATACATACAGTTTGGGATAACTACCAAAAGAAAATATGAAGGGTGATGAGAGAAGAAGACGAGTGGGGAAGCTGCCTTAGATAGATGGTCAGAGAAGGTCACATTCTAATGGTGACAGTGGGTTTGAAAATGGAAGGAAAGAACGAGCCTGGTATTTGAAGAGCTGGCAGAAGAATGTACAAGGTAGAGGGAACACACAGCTAGCGCAAGGGCCCAGAGGCAGGAAAGGGTGCAATGTCAATGCACACTGGAGAAGAGACCAGTGTGGCTGGAGCCAGTGAACAATGATAAAAAGACAGAACAAAGTTGAGTCAAAGAGGTGGGCCAGGGCAGATCCCACAGTGCCTGATAGACCAAGGTTAAAGTGTTGAGTTTTGTTCTCAATGTGATGGGAATTTATAGAGGGATTTAATAGAAAGAAAGTGGCATGATTTGATTTTTACAAGATTACTCTGGCCGCTGTATGGGGAATGGACTGTAAGGGTCAGATGAAAGAGGGGAGATGAGTTGAAGGTGCATTTCTGTGCTGTCCTTCCCTGGAAACAGAACCAATGATTAAATAACTGTAAGTGGGCCACCCAGTTGCTGGTTCTCTGATTAGGTTTCTGTTCCTCCTGTGTCCTCACCAGGTTTGACTATGAGGGGTTGGATCCCAAGACGACATATTATATCATGAGGGACCTGGAGGCCCTGGTCACAGACAAATCCTTCATTGGCCAGCAGTTTGCTGTGGGGAGCCATGTCTACAGCGTGGCGAAGACGGATAGTTTTGAATACGTGGACCCTGTGGATGGCACTGTGACCAAGAAACAGGTACTTGCTAGGAAATCACTACAACGGGTTATCAGGCAGAACCAGTGGCCAAAATGTCCTAGAACTGGAGAGGTCCTTAGGGATGATCTAAGGTGACCTCATTTTATAGATGAGAACTGTGCAGCCAGGAAAGAGGAAAGCCCTTGATGAAGGACACCTAACAAGTTAGTGCACAGGGTAGATTAGAACATGGGCTTTCTGTGGCCAGGCACAGTGGCTCATACTTGTTATCCCAGCATTTTGGGAGGCCAAGGTGGGAGGGTCACTTTTGAGCTCAGGAGTTCAAAACCAGCGTGGGCAACAAAGTGAGACCCCCATCTCTACCAAAAAAAAAAAAAAAAAATAGCTGGGCATGGTGGCACACAATTGTAGTCCCAGCCACTTAGGAGGCTAAGGTGGGAGGATCGCTTGAGCCCAAGAGGTCAAGTCTGCAGTGACTCATGATCACACCATTGCACTTCAGCGTGGGAGACAAAGTGAGACCATGTCTCAAACACACACACACACACACACACACACACACACACACAAAACAAAACAAACAAAAAACAAAAAAAAAAACAAAAGAACATGGGTACTCTATGTCCAGTATTTGTCCCACTTGGTAATGGATAGACCAATATGTCAAATAAATACAGACCCAACATTTCCTTATGAAATGTTTGTAGCCTGCAGGTGCTCATATGTGGTGGCCATTATTGGTGACAGATTCAGAAAAGTTACCAAGAACTAAAGATCCCTGTCCTTGGGGCCTCAGTGAGTCAGTCCTTGGAATTGTAAAGTCAGGAGCTCAGCTGGCATCTTTGAGCCCCCGTGCCCTGGATAGGTCTTTTCCAGTTTTGGACCACATTCCCACTTCCATTTTACAAACTTTTCTTAGATTCAAGTCTCATTTTGATGTAGAATTCAAGAGATATAAAATAATGTGCCTTTTAAAGTATCCTTGGGATATTTTTGCTCACCGACAAGGAAGGCTCGGAAACCATTCCTTCAAGGGAATGGTCTAATCCGCACTCAGTTATGGATTTTATCTACTTGCAAGAAGCTTGTCTGTTGAGCTTATTTGTTTTGCTGTTAATGCAGTATTCCTCTACCTTATATCTTCCTCAGTGTACTCAGTGCTTGGATACCTTTTCCTTAGATTTTCTTTAACTGTTCACATCAGGCCAGTTCTGCAACTGTATCTCAAGTTCATCTATTTATTTCATTTCCCCTCCCCCTCCATAACTCTGACTGTTGGTTTTCATTTTTACACTGGAATGTGTTTGATAGGGTTTGGCTGTGTCCCCACCCAAATCTCATCTTGAACTGTAGCTCCCATAATCCCCACGTGTCATGGGAGGGACCAGGTGGGAGGTAATTGAATCATGGGGGTGGGTTTTTCCTGTGCAGTCTTGTGGTAGTGAATAAGTCTCATGAGATCTGATGTTTTTATAAAGGGCACTTCCCCTGCACATGCTTTCTTGCCTGCTGCCATGTAAGACATGTGTTTGCTCCTCCCTCGCCTTCCACCATTATTGTGAGTCCATTAAACCTCTTTTCCGCTATAAATTACCCAGTCTTTGGTAATTCTTCATAGCAGTATGAAAATGGACTAATACAGTATTGATTTCCCCCAACCTCTTCTACACTCTTCTGTCTGAGCTCAATTGTAGCTATAAATGGATACATGCTGCCAGGATCTGCTCTTGGGAATTTTTCTGGTAAAGAAAGAAGGAAGTTTTTTGTTCCTTTTCCCAGATTCCAGGACCCAGGTGATATCTTCATTGGCTGGTGGTCCTGAGACACACTAGAGCTTCTTTGCAGGTCTGGGTTTAGCTCAAGGGGGGTGATGAGAGACCAGTTACTTAATACTTAGCAGCATCCCCATTGTTGGCAAGTTACAGATGGTTCCTTTGCTGCCGTTGGTCCTGTTGGGTAGAGGTGGAATCCCTGCATAGCAGTGTTGTTGAGACCCTCTCAGGATGTCAACATGCATCAGCATTCAGCCCCAGGGATAGTTGAGTCTGGGGTACACTTTAGGTAACATAGTGCAAAATAAGCATACTTTTCAAACTATAGACATCTGAAAGACATATTTGAATTTAAATAAACTAGTATTCTAAAATAACCATTAAGTACCTTGGTGCATTCATTCAGTGGATATTTATTGAGAGCCTACCAAATGCATAATTTGTTTTTTTTCATGGTACAGTTTTAAAATATAAATATATAGTATCTTTATTGATATATAATTCATATACCAGATGGTTCTCTCATTTAAAGGGCACACTTCAACAGTTTCTAGTATATTTACAGAATTGTGCAGTTATCACCACAACCAATTCAGAACACTTTCATCACCCCAGAAAAGAAATGTTGTGCTCTTTAGCTGTCATCTTCCTCCCAACATCCCTCCAACCCACAGCCCCTGGCAACCCCTGATCTTTCTGTCTCTATGGATTCGCCTATTTGGGACATTTTGTATAAATGGAATCATATAATACAAGGTCCTTTATGACTAGCTTCTTTCACTTATTGTAATATTTTCAGGGTTCATCCACTTTGTACCATATATCAGTACTTATTCCTTTTATTACCAAGTAATATTCTATCACGTGGATGTACCACAGTTTGTTTATCCATCCATTTGCTGTTGGATGTGTGAGGTATTTCCACTTTTTGACTATAATGCTGCTGTGGACATCCATCTACAAGTTTTTGTGCAGAGATAGGTTTTCAATTCTCCTGGGTACATACTTAGGAGCGGAATTGCTGGGTCAAATGGTATCTCTATGTTTAACCCTTAAAGGAACTGCCATATGGTCTTCGTAAGCAATTGCACCACTTGACATTCCTGCCAACAGTATATGAGGGTTCCAGTTTCTCCACACCTTTGCTAACCCTTGTTATTATGTCTTTGTGATTTAAAAATACTGTTATTTTAAAACAACCTACTATATTATGGATTATTTTTAAATTAAGATAGAAGGAGATTTGATTTCTATAAGGAGAAACAGAACTATATCTCTCTGTTAGCAAAGCTCAGAGGAGACATAATACTGCCAAGTGTCTGCTTCCTACAGGAGGCAGGTTGTTGTGGTTCTCTTCAGTATTCTCTTGTGTTGGAGTCAGATAGACACAGGATTGAAAGCTGGCCTTGTCACTGCCTAGATTTGTGATTTTAGGCATATTATTTAACTTCTTTGAACCTCATCTTGAGGGGAGGAGCTAGTGATAATTATCACACATGCATCATGGGGAAAGTTTGAAGAGAAAGTCATGTGAAGCCTCAGGTACAGCGGCAAGTACCTAATTGATGCTCAAGAAATATCAGTTCCCTCCCCTTGACCAGAATCCTTAATTTGATTGAATATCAGTTCAAGAAAAGGATACAACTATTCTCTCTCTCTCTCTCTCTGTGTCACACGCACATACACACACACACACACACACACACACACACACACAAATCAGGTGTATATTTTTAAAAGTAATAATCAGTGTGCCCTAGGGTTAGAAAACCCTCACCCAACTCTTCTATTTATTCTATTTTAAAAGTACTTTGCAGTAAAATTTGAGGCTCAGATTGATGATCCCAAGGTAGTGGGAGATTCCCAGTTGTCTCTTGTTTGGGTTAAATTCTACTTACTTAAAAAAAAAGTAGATAGCAGAAATAATTTTCAACAATGAATTGTTAAAATTTGTGCTGTTCCCGTTTTATACAGAAATTCTCTTCAAGAGCAGCTTTCTGCTCCAGAGCACCCAAGGCAACCTTGGTGCCATTGTAAATCGTGTGAGCAATGGTTGGGTGTGCAGGCTTGAAGTCAGAAAGTTTTGGGTTTGAGCCTCAACTCTGCCACCTCCTTGCTGGGTTATCTTAGGCAAGCTATTCAACCCCCCTACACCTGCATTTTTAAAATCTGTGAAATAGGAATAATAATTGTGGCTGTCTCATATAAGCGTTTGGGAGAATTAAGTGAGATGACACTTATAAAATCCTGGCACATAACAAATGATAACAATTGGTTAAATAAAATTATTTATGTTTTAAAAAAAGCATCCTTGGGAAAGACTGTAGCATTGAATGAACCAGATATGATAAGAAAAGCAGAAAAAAAACACACAATTTTGCAGTGTCACATAAAGATTTGAGAAGGCCCCTTCAGTTTCTAAGTCATCTGGGAATTGATTCAAACTCATATTTCTCCCCCTCTCCCATCCCCCAGCACACACACTCTGCTTTAGAAAGCGAAAGGTTTTTTAAGGCAGCTTGGTCTCCTTTATGTCCTTGACCTGAGGTCAGAGTCAGGAAATAAACCATGGAAAAAAATCCTGTTTCACATACATCTCCAGAGATAAAGTAGAAATGCTTCTCCATCCAAAATGAAATTAAAATCCTGTTCTGGTGATAACCACCCCACTACTGCCAACCCTGCTGCTGTGGAAACGTTCAGTGAAGGCTATCCTGCCTGGCTTTATGGGACCATTCAAGGAGCAAGAAGGAAACCCTGAAGTTCTCAACCCCTGACATGATTTCCCAGGGACCTCCCTGGCCTCAATGTGGCATGTTTGGTTTCATGGGATTTACTATGGCTGCCTCCAAGTGTCTGATGCATGTGTGACCTCGGATGCCAAGAGAAAAATTGATGTGTGCTTTCCACTATACAGGGCCCAAGAGAGACTCTGTTTGATTTAGAAAGCATTTTCATGAGGCATGGTTCAACAACTGCAGTTCTTCCTTCTATCTTCATGAGGATATGTCACTATTTTCAAGTGAAATCTAGTCACATGAAGGACTGACTGATGCTATTTTCTTCAAATATAAGTGGAAAAAAATAAGCCTATAGCTACAATGAGAATAGGGGAGCACTTTGATCAAATGGCTAAGTAGTTAAAGGAGTTCCCAGTTTATACCTTCTAAAGAGATAGGACAGAGAGGAGTTGTGTGATTCATGTGGGTTGCAGGGTGAGCCACTCTTTCTTCAGGGGCGACTTCATTGTGCAAACATCGAGGGTTTCCATCCATCATGCTAGGTGAGCTCTTTCTTCCCTTCACCATCGATACCCTAAAGAATATTATCAAGATTGTCTCTTACTATGATCTTTTCTCCATCTCTAACATGTGGCCTAAGTCCTGGAATCTCCACTCAGTGCCACAGTTGTGAGACTCCCCCAGCTCTGATAGAAGGAATACTCCAATCCTGGTATTGTGAGTGAAGGACAGTGTGACAGAAATGGCTCCACATTGAGAGACAGCATATTTCCACTATGGTGGGTATCAATCCAGAACCATGACCTATATTTTGAAAACTGGATTTGAAATGAGAAACCTTGACACTTCAGGAGCAAAATTTAAGCAACTGAGTCTCTTTTTATGACTCATCCTAATCCTATGTTGTTGTTGTTGTTGTTGTTGTTTTCTTTTTTCTTTTTCTTTTCTTTTTTTTTTTTTTTAGACAGAGTCTGGCTCTGTCGCCCAGGCTGGAGTGCAGTGGTGTGATCTTGGCTCACTGTGACCTCTGCTCCCGGGTTCAAGCGATTCTTGTGCCTCAGCCTCCTGAGTAGCTGGGGCTACAGGCGTGCACCACCACGCCCAGCTAATTTTTTTATACCCTTAGTAGAGACAGGGTTTTACCATGTTGGCCAGTCTGATCTCAAACTCCTGACCTCAAGTGATCCGCCCACCTCGGCCTCCCAAACCAACTCCTATATTTCTAACAAGCTCAAAAATCATGAAACTCTTCCAGTGCTGAAGTCATTTGCAAGTCACAGTTCAGCTGATGGTTAAAAAGCTGATGTAAATAAATGCATACCAGTTAGGTGATGTGGAAAACCAAATCCAATTTGATTATGTCAGGCTAACTCTGAGCTGATTAATACCTCTTCAAGTTAAGCAGGCTATGTGGAAACATTTTGATGTTGTCCTTAACCTGGAAAAAAAGAACCGTTTGAATTTAGTTCAGAGAAAAAGCACACTTTGAAGACTGATTTTGAAGTCAGTTTTCTTTTAGCGTTGTTATTTTAATTTGCAAGAAGGTGTCTGCTCTTTTTAATTTCAGTGTTTAGAAATAGTAAATTGGCAATCTCAAAGTCACATTTTATTTCCAGCATGTGGTGTTTTAATATGTACCTCGATGCAACAAACCCCTGGTCAGCAAATATGAAGCAGCTCACTAAGGTGTTGTCCCCAGCACTGTATAAAAGCAACTGAATCATATCAACTGGAGAATCTGAAGCTTTAAGATTGAGTTCTTCTCTCTTCAGAGTTAGCTAGTCAAATTTCAGCTTCAACTTTTTGTTTTTGTTTTTTGTTGTTGTTTTGTTTTTTGTTTTTTGAGACGGAGTCTCGCTCTGTCACCAGGCTGGAGTGCAGTGGCATGATCTTGGCTCACTGCAACACTGCAACCTCCACCTCCTGGGTTCAAGAGATTCTCCTGCCTCAGCCCCCCGAGTAGCTGGGATTACAGGCATGCGCCACCATACCCGGCTAATTTTTGTATTTTTAGTAAAGACAGGGTTTCACCATGTTGGTCAGGCTAGTCTCAAACTCCTGACCTCAGGTGATCTGCTTGCCTCGGGCTCCCAAAGTGCTGGGACTACAGGCGTGAGCCACTGCGCCTGACCTCAACTTCAACTTTGATCACATTCTAATCAATGAACTAATTGAGAGACTATAATTGTAACAATTTATCCTTGTCCCTTTTGCTGGAGTGCCATTTGCTGGAGTGTGGTTTGCGCATCTGGAAGTAGAGCCTCAGAAATCATTTTAGTCACACTGATTAACCCACCTATAGAATTTAGTTAAATCTGAAAATTAGCATACCCACAAATAGCACTTCTACACTGAGTCACAGAACTGTTTAAGTGAATGGGCTATTATCACATTTAGTTTATTGTGATTCGATGTGGGTTTAAAAAAACCTTTTTCTTTGAAAATTGTGATGTTGAAAAGAATCTCTGCAATAAACATATATTCCTTTCCTAACTTAGTCTAATATGGTGAAGGTTGTTAGAGGCTGATTCATTTACAACTTCATCTATTCAGTGAGTATTTACCAAACACCTACTAGACGCCAGTCAGCTCATTAGCACCGAGGATACAACAGTATTCAGGACAGTTGAGATTCCTGTCTGCTGCTTAAAATCTAGCAGGGAAGATAAATTGATATTAAACTTTAATTACTGTAGAGTTTGTTGAACGGTATTACAGAGGAAGAACTTATTTGGTGTGCATAGCGGGGGAAACTAGACTAGGGCTCTAGAAAGTTCTCCATAGAGAGGTGATATCTAAGTTGTACTCTGAAGAATGGGTAGAAGGCAGCCCAGGTGAAACCATTTTATCAGACTCTTTGCTTTTCTTCAGTCCAATGTGGTTGTTATATGGTTGTTTAGCTCTCCAGATAAAGAGCTAAGGTTTCCTATAGGCATTCTCAATGGGATGCTACGATAACTGTGATTAGGATTCTCAACTTCAGTGCTCACTCTACAACACTGTAGTTGGGGAAAATAAAGACAGTCGGGCTCTGTATTGCACTATGGCTTGTGCTAGGACATTTTGAAAACCATAGGTTTAAAAAAATAATTTCTACTAGCCACTTTTCCTGTGATTTTCCTATTTGTCCTCTGAAGGCCAAACGCATATTCAGTACTTTATAATGACCTGTCAGCTGATTTGAAAATAAAATGGGAAGCTGGGTGCAATGGCTTATGCCTGTAGTCCCAGCTACTTGGGAGGCTGAGACAGGAGGATTGCTTGAGTCCAGGAGTCCAAGATCACCCTGGGCAACACAGCGAGACCTCATCTCAAATTTTTAAAAAAGCGAGAAAGAAAATAGAATGAGGGAGACCCTGTTTCTGGTTAGTCGGGAAGTTCTCATCTCCCTGTTTCTGGTTAACTGGAGTATTGTTATAAAGAATTACCTTCTCCTGGCATAAGTTGATTGCTTTAGAACTATTGTCTAAAGTGTCAGTAGTAAAATTGTCCTAAAATGTGTAGCAAGCGTGTAAGCATTATCGAATGACAACACAGTTACTTTCTATTGGAATACTAATGTCTCTGTGTTGTCGGGTGGATGAGCTTCACCAGGAAATATAAATATAAAAGAGAAAAGCTGCAAATGATCACAGGAACTAAGGGAGGAAGCTATGCCGTTGTCTGGGTAAAGTGTGCCTGAATCCAAAATATCCCAGAACTGGGGTGGATATTGTGTGAACAGGGATCAGCAGTCATTGGCCAAAGAAATGGGGAAATAGAAGGTGCATGATTTTGTTCCATTGTTCCAGTTTTGAGAGTTGGAATTTGGATGAGGAATAGCTTTCAAGTCTTCGCCCTCCAGCAGCCCTCTCATCACCTAGCATGGCTTTTCTAGGTGAGTGCTTTAAAAGAGCGTGTAAGGAGTCACTTGACCTTGATTTCCCCAGATAGTTCTTTGCAATTGTTAGCCCCCAAGAAGGCTGGTTGGTTTTTAAAAGAGGCTGGGTGAGAACTGCTCCCAAGAGCAGGGCAGCTGAGTATGGCTGTGCAGTCAGCACACTGCACAATGGTACCCAGCCTAATGGGGAAGGAGAAGCTGAAGTCCAAGCCAGCCGAAGGAAGGATGGTTTTCTGCAATTTATCCATGCTGGGGGTAGAGGGGGGCACCTGTTTTTAACTCACACAAAAGCACCATATGGAGTAACTGCTGCCTTGCTCAACCACTTTTGGACTCATGCTCACAGCTAACTCTATGAATTATTAAACAAAGAAAAATGGGTAATTCTAGGTGGGTTTTTTTAGTGTGTGTGGAAAGATACGTCTGTTCAATCCAAATCTCCTGCTTTCTAGGCTGCATGCCCACTTCTACAAAATATGGTTCAGATGTTACGAAGCAGTATCTTCACCTTGACGCTTTCCAGATAAATCGTTGTGATTTCCTGTGGGAGATAAGATCTGAGTTAGGCTCGCAGAGTCTCTCTCTTCCAAGGCTGTCCTGTCTCCAGGTTCACATGCCTGCTGTGGCCAACTGACTATATATGCGACACTGTACCAGATTGCAGGGCCATATGCTGTTTTCCCCTGGAATTCATCCCAAGTCAGTATTTGACTAGGTCCAATGCTGCCAAATAACTGTTGGTAATGTACAGTTCACCCTTCCCTGCCTGGCTACAACATGTCCTACAGTCTCCAAACTAATATCTGGCAGCTCTGTGTGTATTTAGCAACTTACAGATTTCCCTGTATTGATTTACACAAGGGTTTATTTTTAAAATTAAAAAAATAGTAAAAACCCTAACATTTATTTATCAAACATTTATCAGATACCTACTCTACATAAGGCTCTGTGTCAGCTTTGGGAAAAATACAAAACATAAGATATTGTTCAGATATTTCGCATGAGAAGCAATGTGTGAATATCAGTAGTTGCATATGGTTCAACCTCAGATTGTAAGCCTAGAGTCAGAAGACCTAAATGGAAGTAAATGAAGCTCCTCCATTTACTAAATACGTTACCTTGAGCAAGTGTTTTAACTTCTTTCTTTTCAATAAAAAGAGAGATTGGCAAGAATGACTCTAAGATCCTTCTTTCAGGATGTTAAGATCTGACACTCACAACAACCCAATAAGCTAGGCTGTATTATTTTTCAACTGCTTTTTAGGAAACTAAGGCTTAGAGAGCTTAAGTGACTCAAGACCACCAGCTAAAAAAGTGGCCAAGCCAGCATTCTAGCCTGAGTTTATCCAGTTGCTATTCTTGTATCATTTCCAAACTGACTCTTCATAAACAGCAAATCAAAGAGGGGGCAAATCCAGGGAGAAAAAGAGATGCTACAGTGATAACTGGAAGCACACTGAAGGATTTTTGTGTGGAGATAGCTGCATATGGACAAGGGTTATGAAATCCTTTATCAATCATTCTTCACTGGGACAAAGCTAAGGTGAGCAGAACTCGACTGTCATCATTAAAGCTCACAACCACAGGCACTGAAAAGTAAGGAAAACACTAAGCTGGAACTGAAGTGCTCTTTTGATACCCACACTCCTCCCCACCACATAATTAACATTGTCTTCTAATAAAGGAGAGCATATTTTTCCCTTTTTTGAGTGTGTGGCTATGTGTCATCCTGGATATTCCGGCTACTCTAGCTGCTGTGGCTAGTGAGATATCATGAATTCTTTCACAGTTGCTCCAGGAATTCCTACGAAGACTGTGCTAAAAAAAAAAAATAATAATGTCAGATGGTTCAAGAGGTGGTTCTGCTGCTGACAAGGCCCCAGGGGGAAGCTTTCAGGATTCAGTGGCATGAAGTTGTTTTATTAGCCTCACTGTGTTAACAGCCCTCCTACAGTCCCAGCCCAGTGAGAGCCTATGTATGAAACCTTAAATCCTAAAGGGACCTTCCTTATAAGGGACATGTAGCACAGTCCAGTCACTTGATAGATGAGGCAAGTGACCCAGAAAAAAGAGGTTATTGCAATTAGTTACTGCACATTAGAATCACCCAGAAAGCTTTTAAAATCCTAATTCCCAAGTAACACCCCAAAAGAATTAAATCACAATGTTTGGGGTGAAAGCCAGGCACCACCATTTTTTAAAGACCTCCCACTGATTTCAATATGTAGCATTTTGCAATTAATGAGCTAATGGTTTGCCTAAGGTCATACATCTGGGGACAAGAACCTACCATGGTTCAACTCCATTGTTTTTAGCCAAAACTGGCCCTTGTCTTAAGACATCTTGAGAAATGGTGGAGGAATAAACAGTCAAGCCCTGCCATGATGATGCTATGCCAGGCACTTTCTTAGTTTATCTTTTGCAACCACTCTTCAAGGTAGATACATCAGCTCTAGTTCACCATGAAGAACGTGCATGTGTTTTCATGT
Source organism: Homo sapiens (assembly GCF_000001405.40). NCBI lineage: Eukaryota > Metazoa > Chordata > Mammalia > Primates > Hominidae > Homo > Homo sapiens. Next base: position 68,494,892 of record NC_000009.12, read on the forward strand.
AGCCTGTGGATCCTTGCTAAATGCGAAGGCAGGCTCTCTGAGACTGCCTCAGGGGGACTGCAGTGGTGCTCACTTTAGTTGTCGAACGTGCAGTGACATTCATTCAACAAGTGTTTATGGAAGGTCTACAGTGTGCCAGGCATTGTCCTAGGCTATGTGGATAAAATGATGATGAATGAGGTATATAAGGCTCTGTCCTCCCAGAGCTTGTTAGCTAATGAAGAACCCAAAGTCATAACTCAGCAAGTCCAAAATTTTAAGGTTAACACTGCGGTGGAAACTTGTTTTATTCATTTTCACTGAGCCTTGTTTCTTCAAGACTTGTGGCGGCAAAAACACACATAATGAAGTTGTTAGAATATAAATAAGAAACATAAATCAAGACTAGGGAATATATAAGTAAGAGTAGAGTCAAGAACAGAAGAAGAAAAATTTATAGTCATGCAAGTCATGAGGATCCACTTGGGCTGAACCTCAAATTTGGCATTAAGTATCCTGGCAGCCATATCGAAAAGGGAAATGTGGTTAGTTACAAAGTTCTTATTGTCAGAAAGAAAAAGAATACAAGTTCCTTAGGGAAGGAAAGGCTTTCCTAATACTTGGCTCTTGAAGGAATGTCTCAGGCAGAGCTTCATACAGCCTCTAACAATATTTCTACTAGTGACTACAAAAGTGGATTTTATAAGACATAGCTTGTAGCATCCTGCAGTAAAAGTGAGAACATAAAACTAAAGTGCAATTTAATAAATTCATTTATGTTAGGAGTAGGTGGTGAGAGGTAAGTTGATTTGAGCCAAATACAGGTTCAGGTGAACCTATGACTAGAAGCTGGAACACCAGGGAATGGAGGGATTTTATATCCTTATAACAATCTACATAAACATAATTTCTCTCTACTGAGATTTTGATAATTCAAATGGTTATATTTTCTATCTTATGCTGTAGGGATAAAAGGCAAGTATTCTATGTTGTGAATAATGTAATGCCTTATACCAGGGGTCAGCAAACATTTTCTGTAAAGGGCTAGGTAGTAAATATTTTATACCTTGGGGGCTAGATGGTCTCTGCCACAACTATTCATCTCTGCCACTGCAGCACAAAAGCAGCCATAGACAAGATATAAATGAATGGACACGACTGTGCCCCAGTACAACTTGTTTCATAAAAGTAGGTGGCAGGTCAACTTCTTACCTACAGGCTACATAGTGCCAACCCCTAGTATAACCTAAAAAATAAATGCGATTATTGGTATTCTTTCATTGAAATTCAGGAACAATTGGAAACTTTGCAAGTCTTGGTCAGTGGTAACTTTGGCTTCATAGTTTAAATGCTATTGGGTGATGACACATGATGGAAAGAACATGGCTCGTGTCTGGGTTGCAAATTCATTAAGTTCGTTGAAAGAACATGCAGATCCCAAAGCAATCCAATACAGCTATTCACACATAAAAGGGGGCCTCAGCAGACATGGTGCTGGGATTGTTGCAGCACAGAACTAGGCTGGCTCTAAAGAAACCCTTACATTCCATGTGGAGAAGGAGAATTAATGATGTTCCTCACCTGGAATGGTCTTGAAAAGCAACATGGATTCTCAGTTAAGATCTCATGGTTAGTTTCCTAGGAAAGAGGGAAGATGCTGGACCATTTCCAGTAGGCTGATGCATGCTATTCACATCTTTGTCATCTTTCCAAGTGAGAAATCTATTCCAGGCTACCAGACATAGGTTCTAACAATCTTCTAGGCATGTAGCATGTAGTATAGTCAAAGACATTATAATTAACCTCAGGGGAAAACAATAACATTATTTCATTTTTAAAAGGCTTAGTTATGAGCAGATAACACATGTTTATAGTTTGTTATGACCTGAATTCTTAAATTTCCCCTCACTGGCCAAAAATGAATCTGAGAATGTTAATTGTTTAATGGGAGGTACTTCAAAGGGTTGAGTCTGGGGGCTCATCAGAAGAGGTAATCCCAAGTGACTTGGAATCTGCAACAGGTGGGTTAGGACCTCATCCTTAGATATTGCTTTAACCAATTTATGGGTAAGCCATAGTTCTGAGCAGAGTCACGTGCTCACGCGCCCCACGTGTAGTGACAACGGGAATGTAGGCTTAAACATAGGTAACAGCTTCAAAAGAGTTTGTAAAAACAAGGCTGTGAATATCAATATAATTGTGAGACTTTTGGGGATTTATTGTAGGTTTGAACGTAACTTGAAATACAGTGATTTGTAGACAGTCAGTAATTGCTTCACTTGCTCCATTTGGAATTTTGTAACTATTCACTTCTCCAGCAGCATAAGGTGGTTAAGAAGACAGTTTCTGTTCGTTGTAAAAAATTACTCCAGGCTTAAGGAGGACAACTATTGTGTCTTTATATTCATATACCCAGGATTTAGCACAGTGCCTAATCCATAAGGGCCACACTAAAATGTTTGCCCAGTGAATAAATCCTGGATAATATCATCCTGTCTGCAAAGCCAGTATTACAGAGTGATTGGTTGCCAGTAGGGGAGATAGCTCCCTTTGGTTACACAAATTGTGGCAGACATTGAACCACTCCAAAAGAAACTAAAGCTATTTATTTGGGGATTGAAACAAAAAAGCCTACACAACTTGAAAAAAGCATAAAGACACTCAGATGGAACCATAGTGTCTCCCAGCAGATATCACCAGATGGGGGTGGGGGTAAATAATTGCAGTCACATATGCAGCAGGTATATATATTTTTACTAATGGCTTATTCTTAAACAGGACTTGAGGCCAGAGAAATTTCAAGGATAAATTGCTTTGGGAGAATGCCTGATATCAATGTCTCCTGAGACATAGAAGTTTTCCAAAATAACAAATCACCAGATATATTATTTTGTTGCCTCCTCTTCCTTCCCCTGGCCCCTGCCAATATGCTTATTTACAAGAGTTACCTTATCAGTTGTCTTAGGAGAACACATTTCCTTCAACAGAAGTCACAGTATCATCTTATGGTCATAATTTTACAATATCCCTGCCTCTACTGAGAAGAGATACATAGCGAATGGAGATGTGCTGAGCCAATGAGGAATTAATCCTAGGCAGCACTAGTAGATGTGGCCACAGCTCTGGCCCCACCCCACTCTGGTGGTCAGGCCAAAAAAGAAGTCAGGTAAGAAGTGTGAAAGGAAATTCAATCTTGGGACCCCCAAACTCATTAAGCCACAGGGAAAATTCAAGCTGGGAACTGGGTCACGCAAACATGCCTCCCCCTTTTGGTTCCTAAATAAGATGGCTACAAGATGAAAAGCTACATGCCTCCCCCATATTTTGCCCACAAGGGAATTCCCAGTGAGCTGCTAGATCTTTACACTAAAGGTGTTTCTATTAAAATTTCACCATGGCAATATAAATTGATAGTTTATAGATGCAGTCACCCCTGGCCCACCAGACACAAATGCATATCTGATTGTTCCCCTGGCCCAGTTTTGTCTGTTATCTTATATAAAATGCAGATTCCCTGCAATTTTCCTCTGCCTCATTTGTCTGTGTCATCTTATGTTAAAAAAAAATGCAGATTCACTGAGCCAGACAAAGGCATGAATGACTGTTTTTCCCTACCCACCTCTTACATGAAAATTGTGTACTTCTCAATATCCTGCCCTTTCCCCTTTAAATTTGGAGCCTTCAAAATCATCTTTGGAGAAAGGCATAGACCTGTCTCCTAGGTGTGCATCCTTAACTTTGGCAAATAAACCTCCTAAAATAATTGAGACTTGTCATTTTTCTCGATTGACAGAAGAAAAGACAGAGCCAAGAGGATGGCAGTGTACTTGGCTACCCCCAGAGCCTAGCTGAGGCTCCAGCCCTGGGCACTTCACTGGAGCATTCCCTTGCCAGCAGAGGAACCTGCAGCCTAACCTCATGCTGGGGTAACCTTAATGTGGGCAATCCGTCTTACTGTAATAGACAAATTGCCTGCTTTCACTTAATCCACAGATTTACAAGGGACAAACTTTGGCCCTAGGAATATTTATTGAATATCATTTCATCCCTGTGACTTCCACTTCTTTCTGATTCCCATATCACCAGCCCAAGAGAACTTGAGTATCTGTTCACAGCTTTGCTCCTCTTTCCCCACATTAACCACAAAGCAACGGAAATAGAATAAAGAGACAAATGGGTAACTCTAAGTAGGTTCATCACATTCATTACATGCCCTGTATCCAGAGCCAATATAAATGGTCTTGATTCTGATTGTGTTGAGGTATAAAAACATGCTGATTTCTGTGGCAGGTATTAATGATTATTACTTGTGTATTCATTTGCTCACTGCTCCATTCTGGATGTTCTTGGTCTCAGGGCCTAAGGATCATTTTCTCGGATGCATCACGGCTCATCTTCCGGCTCAGTTCCTCCAGTGGTGTGCGGGCCACCCTCAGACTGTACGCAGAGAGCTACGAGAGGGATCCCAGCGGCCATGACCAGGAGCCACAGGTACAGAAACAGCTGTGCTCCCAGCAGTGTGTCTCGCAGCTCCTGGCAAATTTAGAGAGCTCCATGGGCCTTTAGTGGGGCTATTTTACCTCCTGGAAAGGTACATGATAATTTCAGCTGGAGGACAAGCTCAGGGCAACTCCAAGCAAGTTTAATTCGTTCATTACAGTGTTTGAAACAGAAAAATTGCTCTCTCGCATCTATTTGTAATCCGTTTAGACCAGCATTTCCCAAACAACTGTCCTCTCTTGACTGTTGAGTGGTTTGTTAATTGGGGTAAAGAAAAAGCACCTTTTATAGACAAGGAAATTTAGCGTTAGAGTCAAACTGGTGAAACTCTCAGAGCCTTGACTACGCTTATGTAACTTTTGAATCTCCAGACATTTGGACCATGACCTTGAGGTGCCAATACAGATGGGCTTTGTCTCTGAGATTGCTACATTGTCCACTCTGAGAGGAGAGGATATAGGTGGCCTTTTAAGTTAAGGAAGCACATTGACAAGGCTAAGCCAGACTGTTTGGCAAAGTCTCCTCATGTTTTCAACAATAAGGCTAATTAAGAACTCAGAAAAATCATAAATAACACAACCATAAGCCTCTCCACTCCCACATTCATTAAAGCTCCAGCCAACATTAATTAATACCAGAAATGACTCACTTTAATGTTGGGTACTTCAAGCTATACAGCTGGCTGCTCCTGTCTTCTTGGTGTCTTCAATCTGGGTTTTGAAGCAAGGTCCTTGATAAGATGATTTTTTCAGATGAAAACATTGGTTCTACCTGCCATACTTCCTTTGTGGAAAAGTAGAGAAACAGAGAAATACTCACTGCTACTCATTTTAGAGGTGCTCAGAATTTCTAGCTATAATTTGCCCTGATGGAGTAAGATACCTGGCAGGCTTTTCTTTCTTTGTCAGTAGTTTAGGGGTTTTTTTGTTTTGTTTTGTTTTGTTTTGTTTTTTTCATGGTCTGTTTCTTTGGAGAGTCTCAAAGAACTTGGCAATAATGGGTGCTACAGATCCTTACACCTGACCCTACAGCCAGAAGATCTGTCTGGAGTAAAATCATCCTAGATGGGACAGGAGAGGCTGGAGGAGGCTGAGAGCTATTCTCAGGGTTACCAAGAGCATGAGTGGGCAAAGCAGGTGGCCAGCATGAAGCCCTTGGCTCTTCCTCTCAGGATCATAGCCTTTCCATGCAGGGGATGGGACACACTCTGCCAAAATAATTGGTTAGTGCGTACATTTCTCCCAAGATAGTACCAAATCATGCAAGAATTTGGGGCTTACCCTGTCTTTCCAAATAAAACACTATTCTACATCTCATGTTGGGGAGGGAGATTAAAGCAGGGGCCTAAAAGTCCAGAGCTACGTACGTGAGGAATGATATTCCTGGCCTCACCAACTCTGACTCACTCTGACTCCGGGCTATTTTTTCCTCAACATTCTTTTCCCTATTTGCACAGGGCAAGTGGCTGTGATATTTGCTTATTTTTATTTACCCTCCGCACTGGACTGAGACCAGGCCATTAGACAAGTGTCACAACAATCCTATACACACAAGAGTCTCTCCCTGAGGCAGTCCACAAAAGCAGTGCTTTTTTTTTTTCTTTTCCCAAGGCTTCCTTTGAAGCTGAAAGTCTCCATCAGCCTACTCTTAGAAGGTCATGTGAGTAAAGGAAACATAAGTCATGCTGGTTTTGGTCCCCATGACTGCACATTTCTCATCCTGTTGGTGGAAAGAATTTGCCACTTTGAAGGGTTGGCGAATCCCTTCACTGACGTTGCTGTTGGAATTTCTGATTTCCCCTCCCTTCTCCTCAGAAGCAAGAGTTTTCCTAGACCTGGCTCGATGGGCCCCCGAGTATGTAGCACATGATCTAGCTAAAAGTTTTACATTAAAATAGAACTCCTTGTTAAAATACCATACATCATTGACTCACCAACTTAAGCCCTATTGCATAATACATTTGAGTCAGGATATAACATAGAGTAAGATTTTAAAAGAAATCTAACCACCTAGGGGAAAGCAAGAAGATTCTCTCAGCAGGCCAACCTGTCTTAATTACTGCTGAACTCTACCTAAGCCTTTAAGTGGGAGCATTTTGAGGGCTCCTTACAGGGTTGCTTTCCAGGACCACCTGCTTCTGCCTTCTAAAAAGCCTTTGATTAACTGTTGAACAGAGATAAAAGTAAGATGTACTCCTGAAGCTGCTAGTGTTATTCCTGATCAGGGCCTGACTGGAAAGACCTGCTTGTGTTGCTTTCTCAGCTACCAAAAGAACCCCTTCCACCTTCTCTAATCTGCAGAGATTCCATTGCTGATCTTGTTCCAATTCAACAGGTAGTTTTTGATGTTTTACCCACTCTAACCCAATAGCCATCTACACTTAAATTATTTTGCAAGAGAACAGAGAGTTCCCTTCAACTGGCTTATTAATATCTGGCTATTTTACTTTGGCCATGGATAGTTTCTTTTCCAGACATTTTGAACACATGTGAACAGAGCATGTTTTAAGCATTTACACTGATTGCCTTGCAGACATACTCATAACAATCCTAGTGATGCAATTAGGAAAACTTGTGATATAATCTATATGCATTTAGACCATACTCACATGTAGATTTTCCATTTGCATCCTTTTGTAGAACAGTGATTATGCTATTTAAGTTAATATCAATTTCTTATCTACATCAAAAATATTTTTTAAAAATTATATCCATATGTGCCTACGAATTGGTGGTAAGGAGAGGATGGGCCGGGGAGGGCCCTGATGAGATGGGCAGGTTCTTGCCCTGATCCCACTCTGTGTCCTTGGTAAATCAGGAAGGAAAGCTTCCAAAGGCTTGTTGCTGGAAGACTACCTAGTTTTTTAAAATACAAGTTTATTTTAATTTTACCAGCAATCAGTAGGCCTTCAATGAGCCCTCAAACCAGCTGGTAATCATTTGGAAAAAGGAATGAGCCAAAAGGGTTTAAAATCACAGGTAACCAGAAACAGTACAATTGTTTCCGTTTTCTTTCCCATCCAATTTATTAGCAGGGCTGCTATTATTAGCTTCTCGTTGACCTTCTTCCCTTGTCCCTTTCAGCCTGTGGGTGGAGTAGTTAAGGAACAATAGAAGATCCAAAAGGAAAAGGAAGGAGAAGTTTTGTTAAGGGCTAGGAAAATCACAGACTGATAATCAGCCCGTGGCTAATCAACCCTTGGCTTTAGTACTTTCAAGGCAGAATACAGTCACACCCGATCTCACCCCAGTCCTTGGGAGGGGCCTGATTTTCCCCCAGTCTTCCTGAAAATTGAGGAATTTAAGTATTTGTTTGTTTGTTTGTTTGTTTGTTTTTTGAGAGGAAGTCTCACTCTGTGGCCCAGGTTGAAGTGCAGTGGCATGATCTCAGCTCACTGTAACCTCCACCTCTTGGATTCAAGGGATTCTCCTGCCTCAGCCCCCCGAGTAGCGGGGATTACAGGTGACCGCCACCATCCCTGGCTGATTTTGTATTTTTAGTAAGGACAGGGTTTTACCATGTTGGCCAGGCTGGTCTCAAACTCCTGACCTCAAGTGATCCACCCGCCTCGGCCTCCCAAAGTGCTGAGATTACAGGTGTGAACCACCACATCCGGCTTTAAGTATGTATTTTTGATAAACTGTACCTAGAAGGCTTTAACAACTAATACCTAAGAACCAGGTCCCTCATATTTATTCACCTGTCAAACCAAAGGTCATCTGTCATTTTGTTCTACCTGTTCTTAATAAGACTTTGTAATCCAGAAATAAAGTATAGAGCCATTTTGTTTTACATAGGAAGAACATATGATTTGTCATCTAAACCAGAATACAGATGCTCCTAGATTTACAACAGGGTTACACCCCAATAAACCCATCATAAGTTGAAAATGCATTGAATACACCTAGACTGCAGAACATCACAGCTTAGCTTAGCCTACCTTGAACAAACTCAGAACACTTACATTAACCTATGGTTGGGGAAGATCATCTAACACAACCCCATTTTATAATAAAGTGTTGAATATCTCATGAAATGAATACTGTACTGAAAGTGAAAAAATCGGTGTATGGGGACTCACAGTATGGTTTCTACTGAATGTGTATCTCTTTCACACCATCATAAGGTTGAAAAATCATTAAGTCGATCCAGCCAAAGTTGGGGATCTGTACTTTTGTGAGCGAAAGATAATAATTGTAATTATGTTTAGATTGTCCCCAATAAACCAGGAGACATGATTACTCTAGCTACCAGCCTGCATCCTCTCTTAGAACCGCATCTCTTTGGAGATGGCTTTCTAAGAAAACTAGCAATGAAACCTGGAAGGAAAGAGGGAACATACAGAAATGAGAAGAGTCAGCTCAGAGGTTCTCAACCCAGGCAGGCTGCACATCAGAACCACTCAGGCAGCTTGGTGAAAGTACCCATGCTTTGGCCCCAGTCCTAGAGATTCTACTTTAATTGTTTTGAGGTGGGACCTGTAGTTTTTAAAAAATTTCCCAGATGATATTAATTAGACAAGTGCATCTCAAACTAATTACCGGCCAATCACCTTGGGAATGTGTTAAAATGTGGATTCTGACTCAGGTATGAGGAGGGCCAGAGATTTTGCATTTCTAACAAGCTCCCAGGCAATACTGTGCTGCTGGTCCAGGAGCCACCCATTGAATAGCAAAGAGCTAGGTGAACTGTGAAGTGCTAGCAGCAGGACCTTGAATTCTTTAAAACTGTAGAATGAGCAGCACCTGTTTTTAATACCATTCCACACATCGATCTCTGTCTTCTAGACTTCTATTTCTGTTGCTTATTGGATTCCACCTGAATGTCTTATAGACATCACCAACTTGACATGTGCAACACTGATTTCCCGCCAGCCTCCTGTGCACTCCTCCAAAACAAACTCCAGCATGCTGTTTCTTTCATTCTTCTCCATCTCAGTAAATGGCAGTTCCTAAAACATGTTAGACCACCTCATAGCTCTGATAGAATCCTCCCCTCCACCTCATTTAGAGAAGAGCCCAAACCCTTACCATGATCTTGAATGACATACTGGAAATGGCCCCCTTCTCCCTCTGACCTCATTTCCTATCTCTTTTCCTGCTTCTTTCTCCACTCCAACCGCTGTTTGGTGAACATGACGAGAATGCTCTGCCTCGTGTTAGTTACGATGGCTGTTCCCTCTGCCTGAAATGCTTTTCCTTCTGACATCTGCATAGCTTGTCTCCTTACTTCTCAGTAAGGGTGTCCCTGGCCACCTAATATAAAATAGCCCTCACATGCAGGTACTTCTTACTTCCCTACCCTGCTTTGCTTTCTCCATGGCATTTATCCTCATCATATATATATATATTTATTTTATTTTATTATCTGTCTCCACCCAGTAGAATGGAAGCACCAGGAGGCTGGGACTTTGTCAGATTATTTCCCTGTATCCCCAGTGCACCTGGTACATGGTAAATGCCCAACGCAGTTTTGCCAAATTATTGCAATATTGACCATTAATTACTTTGGAATCTCTCAGCCCAATTATATCACACAGGAAGCTGAAATATTCTGTACTCAGGATGAATGTTGGTGCTATCATCAGGTTTCCTCCTATGACTGAGGTCTTGAATAAAATAAATGCCATTTTTAAGGTCCCTACAACATGCAGGCTCCATTCTAAATACATCCTTTATCTTATTCATCGTTCCAGTGGCCTCATGGCAGAATTATCCTGCTTTGCTTTTGCAGGAAAGGAGACTGAGTCAGGAAGCAATTCAGATTCATGGAGTAGGTAATTTCTGGATTGGAGGTTTAAACTAAGTCTTTCTTATAACAAAATCCACATTGTCCATGTTAACGTTGAAGGCCCAGAAGAGAATTTCTTTTTATTTGTGCTTGAGTCCAAGGCTACCTCTGGAGCCTCAGTACAGTGTTATTGAGAGGTTTTTTCCTCAGATCAATCAATTCTGTGATTCCCTGACACCAACTGGGTGCAACAATTCTATTCAAGTCAGTTCTGACATTATCTGGATTTAGCCCAGACCCCACAAGTTAAGGGCTCAGTCTCACAAGATTGCTCCTACTAGGAATGCCAGCTGCAAATGGGGTGCACAGGCTACCCACATTTTTGCCTTGCCAACTACAAATTTAGGGTTTTCTACAATCCCCCTTCAGATTTAATAATTCACTAGAATGACTCACTGACCTCAGAAAAGTGCTTCGCTTAGCATTACTGGTTTATTATAAAGGCTAGAACCCAGAACCAGCCAAATGGAAGAAATGCTTAGGGCCAGGTGTGGAGAAGGAGTGTGGAGCTTCCATGCCCTCTCTGGGTAAGACAGCCTCCAGCACCTTGATGTGTTCACCAGCCTGGAAGCTCTTCAAACCCTGTTGCTGAAGTGTTCTTATGGAGTTTTCACTAGGTAATTATGGTTGATTAAATCATTGGCCCTTGGCGGTTGGATTTGGTCTCCAGCCCTGCTCCCCTCCCTATAGGTCACGGGGTGGGGCTGAACATTCAAACCCTCTAACCACCTGTTTGGTTCCTCTGGCAGCCAGCCCTCCACCTGAAACTATGTTGGGGCCCACCAAGAGTCACCCACTAGCATAAAGTCTGCTGTGGCTGAAATAATAACAAAGACTCCTATCATTCAGGAAGTTCCAAAGGTTTTAGGAGCTCTGTGCCAGAAATTGAGGACAAACACCACATGTATTTGTTATTCCACACTGTTAAAAGAAGTTTAGCCTAAAGCTGCCTCCTTACATAATTTAAGTTTGGCCTAAAGGTTTTTCCATACATAGTGAACTATGACCTAACTGGATGTGTAAACAGACTGTAACCTACTCTTGTGACAAGTAGCTGAGTCTCAGCCAATCACAGTGGCTGAGTTTCAGCCAATTACAGGCAGCCACTTTTTCAAAATATGTTCAAATAAGGCAAAAACTGAGCTGTAACCAATCCAGCTATCTCTGGACCTCACTTCTGCTTTCTGTACTTCACTTTTCTTTTTCTGTTCATAAATGTTATCTGACGTCGTGGCAGCTCCAAGTTGCTCTGAACCTATCTGGTTCTGAAGGCTGCCTGATTCAAGAATCGTCCTTTGCTCAGTTAAACTCTTAAGTTTAATTTGTTTAAGGTTTTTCCTTTAACAACAGTTGTAAAAGTGAATAGCGTCTTAAAAACAACCAGTTTTCTGTACTAATTTTGAATTAGCAATGAATAGGATTCAGAAACATTATGAAAATAATAATGTTCTAAATACATATTGGATATCTTTTCTAGTTCATAAGGGATCTAGAGTGAGTAGTCAAAAACTTGGAGAATAAAGTAGAAATGGATATAATACATATGATGTGAAAGAGAAACAGAATGGAGTTCAGAAGTGATGCAAATCCACATTCACTTAGCCATTCACTTTCATGACAAGACAAAGATTTTTGTATATGTATATGTGTGTACATGCATGTGTGTATGAGAGCAAGATTTGGGGATCATACTAGGTATATATGATTTAAAGAGCTAAAAGTTGTGCCTCGGTCCTGGTTTTGGGTCAAGTTTGGATTACAGTTTATAGCCCCCCAAACCCTGAAAAAAATTATATTTCCTCTCCTTACTTTCCCATATGTAGTTAAAAATGAAAACAAATTCAATTTTAAAAATAAATAAAAGATGTTGTTATTTAAAAAGAAAACCTGAGCAAGGATATATTAATAGCCATATATATGAGGGAAAACATGAGGAAATACCTCATTTTATTTTTCTCCTCAGAATTTGGTCGGTATTGCTGCACTTTGGAACTATGGGGGAGGGCAAAGTGTTGAAGAGAGAGTTGAGAAGAGAAACACTTGGTGAAGAGTTGGGCTCTAAACTCTATGACCAAGTTAAGGAGCTGGCTCATTCCACTTAGACGAGAGGCGTGACTTGGAGGTCTTCAGGAATTTAAGGAATAATGTGAGGCGGGAAAGATGACCAGCTGTTCTCCATAACTAATGAATATGTAATTTGAGGAAATAAACTCAAGCTGAACTGGAAGGGATTCACGTTGACTGTTAGAACAATTTCTCAACTGTCAAGACTCCTGCCCAATTAGGATGGCTAGTTTGTGCTTTTCTAAGTCTCTTTGCCTACATATATTCAAATAATTTTAAAACAGGGGCAAGAGTAGAAAGTATTGAGCAGGATAATGTCTCAAAGTATGTGTCAGCCTTAAAATTTTAGTTCTGTAATTATAATTTTTTTTTTTTTTTTAAGAAACAAGAAACAAGTTCTGGTCAGGTGGGTTAGATTTCCCTCTAGTGGTGTTGAAAGGAATTTAGTATGGCTGTGTTTTCATAACTGGCTCTTGGGGCGGAATTAAACTTGGAAAGATGCAAAGATGTATAGGTTTTTTTCTATTTCTGCTTAGATGAGTACTTTCTGGAAAGGCAGACAAAACGCCAGGGCAAACAGTCCTTCTTTTTCTTCCTTAGATATTGAAATCTGGACTCATACTCTGCCGTTACTACATATTGTTTTCCCTGGAGCTGAGAACACTCCTTGGGAGGGTTGGTCATCTGATGGCATGTGAAAAACTCCCTTGGTTGGGAATCTGGGAGATTCCCTCAGGGCCTAGTGTCTATCATAGACCAGGGCTTTTTACAGTTTTGATGACAATAAGCCTTTTTCTTGGCCAAACATTGTGATCAGATCTCCTTTCAAGGTACTGAGTATGTGAAGCCCTGTGTATCCACACTCCACATGGTCTAGGACTTGTGGGAAACTATGGACTGCCACCGTGAACCACTCATGTTAATCCCACAGACAGAGCCCATCTCAAATCTCTCTTTGTGGCAATATATACAAAAGAGGCCCTTAATTCCAAATCTTGCAAGAATACCGGCATTGCCAGCTTATCCCGAGAACCAGTGGTCTTAAGAACAGACCACTGAAGAGCCAAAAGGCATGCCTTGATCCTGGCTTTAGGTCAAGCTTGGATTACAGTTTAGAAAGCCTGGACCCTAAAAAAAATTATATTTCTCCTTTCTACTTTCCTATATGTTGTTTAAAATAAAAAACAAAATTAGCTTTAAAAATAAATATAAGGAAACCTAAAAATGTTTTGATTTTTTTCCTTATAATGCTATTCTAATTTCTAAAATATTAAATATCAACTTCTTACCAAAATATCTTTTGTTTTGGTGCCAGTTTTACCATGTCTAAAGCACATGCTTAACCAGCTATTGGTTAACCCAGTGATGTTTATATCCACAAATCACCAAGTCTTGCTGGATCTTGTTTACTCAGCCTGAAAAAGGAGCATGAATGAATTTGCAGCGGTCACACAAGTCCAGAGGTCACTGGTCATCACTTCTCTTGCCAGATGGATGGGTTTGACAAGCTGTGTCCAGCACAATCTGCCTTTCCCAGCAGCCTTTTTGTTCTAGCCCAGATGCACAGCACAACCACATTTCCGTGCCTTTCAGGAGAAAGCTACCCAGGTCTCATGAACTGGTGGTGATTCAGGTTTTCTTTGAAGTGGTGTCCTTCCTTGGTGTACAGTAAATAATTTGCTTTGCTTATATAATAAACAAGAGTGTATCTTAACAAATGGGGACTGACAGTGAACCTGGAGGTTGCCTGTGGCCTTCAGAAGGAAGCTCTGGACTAGTGTGTGCAATTAGCCAGCATCTGGAAGCAGCTTTTCCTGGGCTTCCCAACACGGTCATGCTTCATTCACATGGGGAATACAGGATCTGAGCTGTTAAGGGGAGAATGTGGCTGTTTTTGCTCTCCCGTCTACTCTTGGCTGAATTTAAGTTTGATGCCCTAATCCCAGAACGAGAACTCCTGTTCAAGATGCAGGTGAGGGAGTTTCCCATCCCTTGTTTTTGACTCCCAGGAACGCTGGCAGGCCTGACAAACTCCAGGGAGGAGCATCTCAAAGCCAGAATGCTTAGGCCTTGGGCAGGAGGGAAAGCTGTTAAAGGTTTATACAATTCTGGTATCGTGTTTGTGTTTTTGGTTTTACTTTTGAGCATTTTTGTTGGTACAAATCATCACTTGGGACATACTTTGGCAGGTTGGGCCTGTGTACTATACCATCATGATATGAGATGGAAGGTAGATGAGGCTGACAGAGTGGCTTGAAATGTAGACTTCATTATTATTCAGGTATGGGGAGGCCAACAGATGATGAGATGACGGCCATTGAAGAGATAGTTTGTTACTCACAGTTCCCAAGAGGAGGGGACCCAACACGCCACACAGGGCCACGCAGGGAAGCGCCAGCGTCGGACAGGAGGCAGCATGAGCAAAGGGAAAATGTGGGTGAAGCCTTTTTGGAGATTCTCTGGGAAAGGTAAGGTAAAGCATGATGAGAAGGTTTAGGATTAGCTTGTTTGAATAATTTCAGCAGGCTCTGGGGCACAGGGACTGTCCCTAATTTGCTGGTACCTAGCCTTGGGGTGGTTAGGGCAGAGAAATAGTGGCCCAAGTGTGAGAGCCCTGTGAGGGTCTGAGAAAGGAAGTGTTTGGTTTGCATCTGAAAGGCAAGCTCCAGGGTGTGTTGTTTGCTGTCTCTAAGAATTAGCTAACCCTGGGAAGAACAAAACCTTCCAGAGTCAGCCAGGCCCCAAGATGTCAAAGCATTAGAATAAAAACACCAGCTTAACAGCCAGAGGAAAAGATAAAACCACTGTCACTTTCTCAGGTGGGTAAAATTGTTAGGGAGCACCCCAACAAGATTTTGTTTTTTTCACATACCATCAAAGCTGGATGGCCTCTGATACAAAGGTTGGGCTTTGAAATCAGCATTTTTTTTTTTTTTTTTTTTTTTGAGACAGAGCCTCGCTCTGTCACTCAGGCTGGAGTGCAGTGGCGCAATCTCAGCTCACTGCAAGCTCCGCCTCCTGGGTTCACGCCCTTCTCCTGCCTCAGCCTCCCAAGTAGCTGGGACTACACGCACCCGCCACCACGCCCGGCTAAATTTTTGTATTTTTAGTAGAGATGGGCTTTCACCATGTTAGTCAGGATGGTCTCGATCTCCTGACCTCGTGATCCGCCCACCTCAGCCTCCCAAAGTGCTGGGATTACAGGCTTGAGCCACCGTGCCTGGCCGAAATCAGTTATTTTTGTTTTGAGTCCTAGTTCTGCCATTTTCCAGTTTTGTGATCTTGGGCAACTTAATATCAGTCAAATTGAGATAGATATACTTCTTATTTTATATTGTTGTAATGATTAAATCAGATAATTCATATATGTAAAGAGTTTTGTACAATGCCTGTGTAAATCAAAGAAAATGACCAAGATGAGTCTCAATCGTTTTAGAGGTTTACTTTGCCAGGTTAAAGGTCATGGCCTGTGACACAGCCTCAGGAGGTCCTGAGAACATGTGCCCAAGGTGGTTGGGTTACACTTGGTTTTATACATTTTAGGAAGATAAAAGTTACAGGCAAAGACACAAGCAACACATGTAAAGTATATATTGGCCTGGCCCAGAAAAACAGGACATGTCAAAGAAGGGGAGGCTTCCAGGTCATAGGTGGATTCAAAGATTTTCTGATTGGCAATTGGTTGAAAAATCTAAGCTTTGTCTGAAGAGGTAAAGTCAGTATAAACAAATGCTTGAGTTAAGATAAAGAAAGTTGTGGAAGCTGAGGTTCTTGTTATGTGGATGAAGCCTCTAAGTAGCAGGCTTCAGAGAGAATAGAAGGTAAATGTCTCTTATTAGACCTCAAAAGGTGTCAGACTCTCCAGAGAAGATCTAGCAAGGGAAGGGGATTCTCTACAGAAGGCCGATTTCCCCCACAAAAGATGGCTTTGTAGAGCCATTCCAAATTACGTCAAAGAAATATATTTTGGGGTAAGATGCTTTGATTTCCTTCAGTGCCTGTTATCTGTCATCTGATGCTATATCAGGGTCAGGTTGGAATTTGGTATCTTACTGCTACAAAGAGTCTGTTCTGTCAGTCCTAGAATCTCTAAATGTCAACAGCTAAGCTCCAGAGAGGAGGATATATTGAGGCATATGCTACGCCCTTTTCCTGTTATGGCCTGAACTAGTTTTCGGGATCCTTTTGGCCAATGATTAGGGGCAGGGAGGAGATGTCCATTCAGTCAGTTTGGGGCTTAGAATTATATTTTTGGTTTATACCTGACATGTGAATAAATGTTCAATAAATGTTGATTGTCACTAATGTTATTGTTTTTGCCTTTTTTTTTTTTTTTTTTTTTTTTTAGATGGAGTCTCACTCTGTCACCAGGCTGGAGTGCAGTGGTGCAATCTCAGCTCACTGCAACCTCCACCTCCCAGGTTCAAGCAATTCTCCTGCCTCAGCTTCCTGAGCAGCTGGGACTACAGGCATGCGTCACCATGCCTGGCTAATTTTTGTATTTTTAGTAGAGAAGGGGTTTCACCACCATTATTTTTATTAATAATGGTATTGACTCATTTTCTTATCACATGAGGATAAAAGATTCCCAGATTACTTAGCAATTTGTTTTATAATGCAATTGACTTGTCCTTTTCCCTCCCATTAACATCTCAGAGACCAAACTGGATCTATGAGAAATGTCCCAAGAGAACTGACAGCTTCTAAAAACCTAGGTCTTCTCTGAGAGCTCCCAGGGCTCTCATGACATGGCATTTTAGATGTACCATGCTTTGTCAGAAGGTTCAAGGATGAAGTGGAGTTTCTCTACTTGTCTCTCCATTCATGGAACAAATTCACTGCCCTCCTGGCTTGGAGTAAGAGGTAGTGAGTAGGGGTTGTTCAATGATTTCATTTCATCCAAATAATGTGCAATCTGTTGGTTGTTCCAAGCTCTTTTACCAGAGAGAAAGGGCTTGAACACTGGAGTGGGTGTGTGATGAAAGGCAGGTTCATTGAAGAAAGGATGCCTGAAGTTTCTTTGACTAGCCAGGAGGCATGTGCTCTCTGGCTTCAAGGGATTAAACAGAAAAACTGGTCCCTTGGAGCAGGAGTCAAGTTTTTTCTGAATAGGCCCAGAGAGTAAATAGTTTAGGCTTTGCTAGCTGTATTAGTTTGCTAGGGCTGATATAACAAAGTACCACAAACTGGGTGGCTTACAAAGCAAGAACTTGTTTCTTATTCTGGAGGTTAGAAGTCTGAGATGAGTGTGTTGACAGAGCTGGTTCCCTCTGAGGGCTGTGAGGGAAGGATCTGTTGATCTGTTCCATGCCTCTCTTTTTGGCTCATAGATGGCTGTCTTTTCCCTGTATCTCTTCATTATCATCTTCCTTCTTGTGTGTCTCTGGGTCCAAATTTCCCCTTTTAATAAGGACACCAGTCATATTGGATTAGACCTCACCCTAATGATCTCATTTTAACATGAGTACCTCTGTAAAGGCCCCGTCTTAAAATAATGTCACATTCTGAGGTATTGGCAATTAGGACCTCAACGTATGCACTTATGGAAGACAAATTCAACCCATAATATTAGTCGTATGGTCTGTGTTACAACTTCTCAACTGCCACTGTTGCACAAAAGCCGCCACAGGTAATACATAAATGAATTAGTGAAGCTATATTCCAATAAAACTATAGGCACTGTAATTGACTTAAGATAATTTTAACATGTCACAAAATCTTATTTTTTTCCCAACCATTAAACATAAAAACCATTTTTATGGCTGCACCAAAACCAGGTGGTGGCCAGGGTTTGGCCTAAGGCCTATAATTTGTTGATCCTTGCCTTATAGGTTTCTGAATATGACACGTTATTTACAATTTCTGATTACATTCAGTACAGCATGTATCAACATGAGTTTGGGTAAACCATACACACTATAAATTTCAAAATTACATTTGTATTTGTGTATATTTGTATACATAGATGAATTGTGAAGTTTTAGGGAAAAAAATATCAAATCTCTCTGGAAATCTCCAGCATGAGGCTTCTGAGGTTGAACTCCATAGCTTTTGATTGCAACCAAACATGAAAGGGAAATGATTATGTTTGTATTCATGAAATCAAATTCCTTTTTCAGGTCTTTTGTTTCTTGTCAGAAGGGTTCTTCATTTTTCTTTTTAAAGCAATTGCTTACACATGATTTTCAGAAGAGCAGCACTATGTCAGAAGAAAAGGGAAAAACGTTAAGAAATAAATGGGATGAAAAAAGAAAAGTATGAATATGAGCCCTGGTGAATTCTTACAAAGAAAGGGAAGCAAACACGTGACATTCAGTAGTGACCCCAAGCCAGGGAGTGCTGTGACATTGCATGTCCCTGTGAATGGGGCTTCCGGGAGCTGATAACAAGGTTCTAGTGCATTTCAGTCACATTAACAGTGATCCTCAAACCCAGTCTCCAAGGAACCTCACCCCATTTCCCTAGGAAGTAGCAATTCTGTTGTTTTTATTCTTTCTTTCTTTGCTTTTAATTATATTCTTGGGAATTACAGTCAGGACAGTCAGTGTGGTGTTTAACAAAAGCTAAGATACTTTGATGATATACTGAGATTTCCCAGTTATACATTTTAGACTGTCTTTGACCATGTAAGTGTTTCTATATTGTTGAATCAAGCCGCTGGCTCTGACTCATATCAGCCCATGTTTTTCAGAATTTGCAGTCATTATGAATTCACTTTCCTTTTAATGGATAAGATTTGATAAAAAGCTTAAAAGAAAGTACTTTTACACTGTTTTTAACAGCGCTTTATACTTTTGCTACACTAAAGGTAGTTCTTGGACTAGCAGCATCAACATCACCTGGTTGCTACTTAGAAATGCAGAATCTCGGGCCCCAACCCAGATCTACTGACTCAGATTCTGTATTTTAACAAGCTCCTCAGGTGATTCATGTGCACATTAAAGTTTGAGAAGTCCTAATGCTGGGCGTGGTGGCATTAGCCTATAAAGTGCCATCTACTCAGGAGGCTGAGGTGGGGAGGATCCCTTGTGCTTAGGAGTTGAAGACCAGCATGGGCAACTTAAGGAGGCCCTATCTCTAAAAAAAGAAAACTGATGCTGGCTGTACTGGCTTAAACCTCCAATCCCAGCACTTTGGGAGGCTGAGACGGGTGAATCACCTGAGGTCAGGAGTTCGAGACCAGCCTGGCCAACATGGTGAAACCCCTTCTCTACTAAAAATATAAAAATTGGCTGGGCATGGTGGCAGGTGCCTGTAATCCCAGCTACTCAGGAGGCTGAGGCAGGAGAATCGCTTGAACCTGGGAGGCGG
The DNA here is from genome assembly GCF_000001405.40 of Homo sapiens. NCBI lineage: Eukaryota > Metazoa > Chordata > Mammalia > Primates > Hominidae > Homo > Homo sapiens. The sequence goes on from NC_000009.12 coordinate 68,514,536, forward strand.
TGGAGGTTGTGGTGAACCAAGATTGCACCACTGCACTCCAGCTTGTGTGACAGAGTGAGACTCCATCTCAAAAAAACAAGCAAACAAACAACAACAACAACAAAACTGGAGGGAAAAAAGGGCAAGAAGTCCTGTGATGGATGACCTTTGGGATCCTTATTTCCACCTCTGCTTAGCAGGACTGACATTGTCTCCACACCAGACAAACCCTCTAATGCCAAACTAAATAGGATGCATTTATAGGGGTGCCTGGCCTCTATTTCTTCCTCATTTAGGAAAATCATAAAGCATGCAGAAAATAACCCAGACAAATGTGCCAAGATCCTTGAAGACTTGTTCCTGCTTCTCAGGTCAATTAACAAAAAAAGAAACAAGAAAATCAGTTTCAAGTTGCATCTCCATAGAAACCCTTTCTCAATATCAACTCAGCAGTGTTAGACAGTTTTCTTCACACAATTATACTAGTTGAGCTGAGAGATTCAAAATAACAGTGGATGAGGTAAAGAAAGTTCTAATTTGATTTTGCCAAGGCACAAAGCCTTGCTAAAATTGTGGGTAGACAGTCTAGCACACTTCAATTACTAGGAAAAGGTCAATTATTTAAAACACTTTAAATATGTTAGGTTAAATGGCAGCTGAGTCTAAAGGCAAAGGCCATAAAAGAACATGTTCCTTTGTCCAAACTGCATTCATAAAGTGTGCATTAACCATCCATTAATTTCACTAATAGTCTTTCTATTGTGGGGAAGAGTCTCTCCTCGTTTACAGGGCTCATTTCCATGTTTTTAGTGCCTGGTGTTAATGACTGTCCCACTACTGCCTCCTCCGTAAGACTCAGGTGGCCCTCACGGCAGAAGTTCTCTTCTAGTTTGCTTCTGCTACTCAACTCTGCCACTCAGCTTTGCTCAATGTGGAAGTCCTTGCTAACTTCTTTAGAATCTGATACACCCTTAAGGAATGTGTTCCAAAAGCTATGATGTCTGTTCCTTCTGTTGTCAACATCACCTTACGCAACTGCAATCTGATTGTACTCTCTCTGGCTGGATATATAGGGCCTGTTGCACACAAACAGAAATGCAGGCAAGCTTTCCCCCACTGGGTGTGTCACTGACCCTCTTGCTGACACAGAGAGATGTTGCCTCTGATTTGAGTGGCTTTCTCACTCCAAGAGCTGGGAACACCCCAACATTCTTAATCTCTTTTTATTTTATCTTTTATCAAAAAGATAACATGAACTTTATTTTATGGGCAAATAAACTTAAGCTAGAAGGGTTGTTGACTATCTACCAAAGGTCAGCTTATTGGGACTGGTATGCTGGTCCACTCACCTGTAGCCTACTTTTCTATTAATAGCAAGTCAGGCTTCTGTCTTCAATGATGATGATAATGGTAATAATAATAATAACAATAGTATCAAGTGCTTGCCCCGTATGGGGGCTAGGCAGAATGCTATGTGTTTTGTGTGTGTTATATCTCATTCTCACCACAATCCAATGCTATAGGTAGTCATGCTATCCATCCATGTTTTACAAATAAGAAAACTTTGGCCCTGAGAATTTGAACAATCTACTGTTTCTAAACAGTGTCCCTGGTATTTGAACCTAGATTTGGGCCTCAGAGCCCAAGACCTTAACTAAGGTCCTTATTATGTGCCATCAAAAAATATGGGGGTGCTCACCCACCTATAAAAAGTAAATTGGAGTAGACCAGCATTCCCATCTTCAATCTGGCATAGTTAACACACCTCAATCCATCCTCTAGGAATGTTCTAGAGGCAGTCCTCAAGCCCCACAATTCCAGACTAGTAGAAGGTGTGGTCTCTCTTTCAGTCCTCCTATTCCCTTTTATGTCCTCAGATCCTTTCCCAAGGGCTAGCCCTTTCTTAGAAGGCTGTACCCTCTGGAAGCTGGAGAATGCCACTGTGCTGCTTGTAACTGGTTACCTCAAGTAGGCTGTGGGGTGGCAGTTAGGCGAAGTACAGAGAGACTGTGAACTCTTCTCCCGGAGAAGCAGCATCACCACCTGGGGTGAACCTCACCATGGGTGGGCCTGAGAGGAGGTAGTGGGGTGGGCCTCCACCATCTGGCCACTGAGGTCCCTGCCTGGGCCTTGGCAGTCCCTCAACATGGGAGGGGGAAGAGCACACACTCTCAGGACTCCACTCAGCCAGGAGTTCTCCTTGCCAAAGTGGGCCTGGGGTCTCAGCCTCTTTGCTTTGTGACGTCCACCACACAGCTGCTTTGCCAGCTCTAGTGTGCTCCTAGGAGGGCTGGGTTGAGTGGAGACAGTTCCTGGATTTCATGTTTATATAGTTCTGTTTTTTTGTTTTGTTTTGTTTTTTGTTTTTTGTTTTGAGACAGAGTTTCGCTCTTGTTGCCCAGGCTGGAGTGCAATGGCGCGGTCTCGGCTCACTGCAACCTCCGCCTCCTGGGTTCAAACAATTCTCCTGCCTCAGCTTCCTGAGAAGCCGGGACTACAGGCATGCACCACCACGCCCGGCTAATTTTTTGTCTTTTTTTTTTTTTTTAAATAGAGACGGGGTTTCTCCATATTGGTCAGACTGGCCTCAAATTCCCGACTTCAGGTGATCTGCCCGCCTCGGCCTACCAAAATGCTGGGATTACAGGCCTGAGCCACTGCGCCTAGCCTAGTTCTGTGTTGTAGTCATGAGCAGTTGAGTCCATGCTGAGAGTTTGCATCTCAGGGCATAGGCATAATAGGGGACGGGGAGGACTGCAGTACCTTTACTCCCCAAATGGTTGCTGGGCTCTTACGCAAATCTGCCAGCCCTCCGCAGTAGTCTTCAAGGCCCTCATAATACAAAAATCTCTATTTCAGAAAAAGAGAAAATTTAAATTAGAATGCCCCAGATTCCTGGATATGTAACTATCCAGGTAAAATTTATACTTATTAATATTAAAATTATTTCACTGCCTCTAGTGTACTATTGCTTGTTCAGTGGTAGCAAATTCAGTCACCCACCAACACAGGCAGTAAGTCCTAGATTGGGGCCAATTTAAGACAATAGAGCATGGTGGGCACTCTGGTGATGCTCAGCTGTCTTTAATTATTGCATTGTTAATATGTGAGCTCAAGGTTGCCAGGTTTTCTGATTTTAAAAGGAGCAAGATATCTGGACTTTCAAATGAAATTTGATTTTTAAATATTGGCAGGAAAATGATTACAAAACAACACAAATCCCATATGAAGGACTTCTAACTTTTAGTAGTGGTGGACTAGGTGATTCAAACTAACCTTCCCTCTGTAAAGAGCTGAAAGAAATATATTAAAGCATCTTATTAAAAGCATGGTTGACCAATGACCTAATAAAACAGTAACAAGAACAGGAAAAGGGTTGGCACTCAGGAAAATGAGCCAAAGCTCTTTCTGTCCTAGGGAATTTGTCCATCTAGGAGAGGTACTAAAGAAGAGGTGCTTTTGATGACTGGCACAGGGTAAAGGTGACCGGCATCAGGTCCAGGTGGAGGAGGATCTGGTCTATTACAGTCTGCCTCTGCTAACCAGGAGACTAACCAAAGAGGCAGCAAAGAGGCAGACCTGTGTGGCATTTTCGTGTGGCCAAAAGAAATATGGTTAGTTAAGTACACATCAAAGGCAGAGATCCTGGCTTAACAATCCCTGCTCTAGGGTGTAAACTTGAAGAAGACCATTCCAAAGGTGGTATACAGACTGTACTCCAGAGGATTATAAATCCATGGCTCTGATCTTCTGGCTCCCTGAGGAGTCTCATGAAAGGAAATGAAGGAAACTAACAATATTCTAGGTCTCCAGTTATTTCTATAAGCAATTTTTCAAACAAAATGGGCACCAAACAATAAAAGATTATAAAGCACTTGGATACACAAAGCAACACATACCAGAATCAACAGAAACAACATACCACAGAAAAAGATCTATAGATACTGGAATTTATTCAATACACACTGTAAAATAGTTATTTTCACTATGTTCATGGAAATAAAGCACTGAATGTAAAAACATCAGCAAATAACTGAAAACTATAAAAATACACCAAGATGTTGAAATTAAAGAGCTGAGAAAGATAACCAAAATTAAGAACATAAATGGATTTAACAGCAGCTGAAGAATATCAGTGAACTTAAAATATTTCAGAAGAAACTATGCATCTGATTTTTCAGTTTAGTCCTTATGATTTGCAGAACAAAGAATATAAGATTGCTGCCTTTGGAAGATGAAAGATCATATTCGGAAAAATACAGAATAGAGGGTAAGAGACACAAAGGATACAGTGAGAAGTGCTAACATAATTTAGTTGGAGTCTCAAAAGAGGAGACAGAAACTTGGGTATAGGCAACACTGGAAAAAATGATAGGTGAAGATTTCCCAGAACCAATGAAGGAGGTCAGCCCACTGATTCTAGAAAGCCAAGCAGGATATATAAAAATAAATTCACATCTAGACACATCAGGCTAAAATTGCAGAAAATCAAAGGCAAAGAATAGTTTGATTGACAACTAATTTTTCTTTATCAACACTAAAAATAAGGAGACTGATGGCTTAGAACTCTTAATCTAGTGAAACTTTCCTTCTAAAATGAAAGCGAAATAAACACATCTTCAGATAAACAAAAGCTGAGAGAGTATCTACACAAAAAGAAATTCTCAAGGATATTCTTCAGGAAGAAGGAAAATTATCCCAGATAGATATTTGGAATAAAATGCAGCAAGGAATAAAAGAAATGTTAAAAATAGGAGTTGGTATAAATGAACATTGGCTGTATAAAATATTAATAATTGCTGAAATATGTATATTAATTAATATGGAGAATTAAATTATACAACCACAGTAACTAAACACCATGAGCATAATTGTAGTTAAGGTAAGATCCTTGAATATATTGGAAGAAAATAAAGGTATAGATAAATACTAGACTTTGATAGGTCAAGGATTCATGTTGTAGTTTCTAGGTAACGATTAAAAAAAATAGAAGGAAATTACATAACTTCTTAAGAGAGGAAAACATAGGAACTTTAAAAAATTGAGAAAGAAAAACAGCTAGGTCAATTTCATCCATGTATACATATGTAACTAACCTGCACAATGTGCACATGTACCCTAAAACTTAAAGTATAATAAAAAAAAATTAAAAAAAAAAAGAAAAACAGCTAGGTCAAGTAAAAAGCACATAAGGTGGTGGATTTAAACTTGAATTTACTGGTTATTACTTTAAATATAAGTGAACTAACTGCTGTAGGAAAAAGACAATGTAATGGTGATTCATACCTGTAATCCCAGCACTTTCAGAGGCCAAGGTGGTAGGATTGCTTAAGCCTGGGAGTTTGAGACCAGCCTGGGCAACATAAGGAGACCTTGTCTTTACAATAAATAAATAAATAAATAAATAAATAAATAAATAAATAAAATTAGCCAGGTGTGATGGTGTGCACTTGTAGTCCTAGCTAATTGGGAGGCTGAGGTGAGAGGATTGCTCAAGCCTGGGAAATTGATGATGCAGTCAGCCATGATCATACCACTGCGCTCCAGCTTGAGTGACAGAGTGAGACCCTGTCTCAAAAAAAAAAAAAAGACAACTATAAGCTCGTTATAAAAAATACATCTTTTATACATAAAAATACAGAAAATTTGAAAGTTAAAAGACGGAAAAAGATATACAAATGATAACCTAAAACTAGCTCTATTATTTCAGATAAAATAGACTTTAAGGTCAAAAGCATTGCTAAAGATAAAGAGAGACTCTTCAAACTGATAAAAGAGTTAAATCCCCCAGGAAGACACAGTAGTTTTAAATTTATAAAGAAAAAAAAAAGAGGGAGAGAGAGATGAAAATGTAAGAAGAAAATAAATCCACAGTTGCCCTTGAGTATTTTAGCACCCCTCTCAGTAATTATTAGAATAAGTATACAATTAGTAAAGAACATAGAATATTTAAACAACTTAGTTAACACACCTGACTTAATAGGCACATATAGATATTACACCACGCAACATCAACTCAACGTGTAAATTCTTTTCATGCCACAGGGGACACGTATAAAAATTACCTATATGCTGAGGAATGAAAGAATACAGAGTATTATAAGGGCAACTGAATTCGAAAATGAAAACAAAATTGACACAAAAAAAGCTTTTGATAAAATGTATCATCTCTTCATGATAAAAATTCTGTGAATAGGAATCAAAGGGAAGTCCTTTAATATCATAAAACGGTATTGCTAAAGAAAAAACCTGGACGTAGGCTATATGTGCTGACAGTATGCTAACAAGGGAGAACGACTTGATGGGTTCATTTAGAACTCAAATAGGCTTTGTCTTCAGAAGGACAAGCATCAGTTTTACATATAATTAGAGTATGTTAAATTGTTTGCATTTCCCTGTGATTGTTATATTTAATAATCCTTAAAAAGGTAATTTTCAAATAGTGTGCCTAGAAACAGGGAAACTTTTGGCATTAAGACAAATATATTTATAAACTTTCAGAAAATGAAAACTTTTCCCTCAGTATAAGGGCAGTCTAGATAGTGAGATACAGCCTAGCTTTGAGGTTAAAAATCACAGTACTGAGTAGGTTCAGAGCTCAGCTTTGCCACTTGATTGCCATGTGACTGCACAAGTTATGTAATGAGTCCAAGCCTCAGTTTCCTCATCTGTAAAATGAGAATAATACCACCTACCTCATAGACTGTTTAGAGATTAATTCAATACATGAATTTGGAATAGCACTTGGCACATTTTGGGTACTCAGTGCCAGCTATTACAAAATTACTAAAGAATCAAAACTTAGAATCCAAGGCACAAAGTATATAAAATGGCAGTGAGGACTGAGAACACTGATCGTGGCTTCCGAAGTCTTTTGGAGAAGAAAGGGAGGAAAAGGAGGAAAATGGAGAATGGAGAGAGTCCTTTGAGTAACAAACTGGAGAGGCAAAGGTCCTTTTGTTTTTTTAACCTCGGTTTCAATCTTGAAGTTTTATTTCTGCTAACCATTTGGTAAAGGCAGAGGAGATCCTAATTTCCCTTTGACCTAGCAAGTGTATTCCATGTGAAAGAAACCTGGAAGCCTAGTGTGGATATACCCAATGAAGAGAAATGTGAAGACATGTGAGGGACATTTGGGAGGGATGGGGATCTGAACCAATTAGTAATTCCCCATCCTTTTACAATGTTTTGGTGGCAGAAGGTGAGGGGAGAGGTGGATAGAAAGAAAGAAGAGAGGAACAGGGAAACCATGGCCAGGGAAACAGTCCTAACAATTTAAACTGACAACTCTTGCAGGTAGGTTTGTAGTATTCAGCAGCACAGTGAAAGGGCTCAGAGATTGTGCCTAAAGCCTCTCAGCTGCTCCTACAGACAGCGGCCAGTGCTCTTGCTCTCTCCCCTTCTCCATCCACACAGGGCATGGAGCCAATTAGAGCTCACATTTGAATAAGAATATCGGGCCTGGCACAGTGGCTCACACCTGTAATCCCAGCACTTTGGGAGGCCAAGACAGGTGGATCACCTGAGGTCTGGAGTTCAAGGCCGGCCTGGCCCACATGGAGAAATCCTGTCTTTACTAAAAATACAAAAATTAGGTGGGTGTGGTGGTGTGCACCTGTAATCCCAGCTACTCAGGAGGCTGGGGCAGTAGAATTGCTTGAACCCAAGAGGCAAAAGTTGCAGTGAGCCATCTGAGCCTTTTATATCAGGGGCTCACATGAACAAGTCTCTTGTAAAAAGAAGCTCTCTCTGATGAAACTGAGAACAGATAGCAGACTCACGCAAGCTCCGGATGGTGGGGCAGTGTGTTAAGGAAACAATGGGGATGAGAATGAGGAAGTAGATGGGGAGAAATAGAATCAGAGGGTTTGGCAACTGCTTGGATGTACAGGAAAGGGAGAAGGACCCACCAACAAGTACTTCCAGCTGAGCAGATTGAGAGTTCAGAGGGACCTGCTCCTAGCAGGAAAGAGAAGGTGGAACCATGGACTGGCGTAGCGAGGAAGTTAATTTTGGTTTGCAAGATGTTACATTTCATATTTTGGGTTTGTTGGTGGTAGAATACTGGACCATGATGGTACCTCCAAACAATCTAAGAGAAACACATTTTGAGTGTTTATCTTATTAATTGTGATTTTATTTTAATTTGCTTAAAATTTTTGATTTTAATACGCAAAGAGACCAAAGTTAGCTCAAGAAAGTCAAGAGTAGGGTCTGTCACATGTCCAAATCTCAGAGACTAGACCTGGAGTATGGTTACCACCTCAGGCCTTCCTATTGGGAGGTAATGGATCTTTAGAGATAATTGGGAGTCATGCCATTGTTTTCTCTCTACCAACTCCTTTATTATTTCCTTCTGCTCTCTTTAATTCTTCTCCTGGTTTCACCCTGCTTTCTTATAATTTTTTGTCACCTTTCTCAGAGTCTCTGCTTTCTCATAATCCAGGATTACCATGGAGTCTTATGCCCTCATGGTTAATTAATTATAACCTCGTGATTTAGTTCCCACTACTAACTGTCCGTTCTTTCATTACTTACAGTTCAAATCCCCGAGGCAAATAATCTGCTAGGCTAGGTGAAGTTTTTGCCCCAGGCTCTATTGTAGGTTGCTAGCCAGCCTCTCTATTGGCTGCCTGTAGGTCAGACAGCCACTTCTGGTCCAATCAGCTGCAGCCAGGGAGTGGGATCATGTGATGCAAACAATGCAGCCTGGGTTTGGGCTGGAGCAAAGCATTTGACAGGCACAATAATTAGAGTACCTTAGAGCAGTGGTCCTCAGAGTGTGGCTCCTGGACCAACAGCATCCTGGGAAGCTGTTGGAAATGTCAGTTCTTGGGCCCCAACCCAGACCCCTTGAATCAGACACTCAGGATGAGGGGTGCTGCAGTCTCCACTTTAACAGACCCACCAGGGGATACTGGTGCATGTTCAAGTTCAAGAACCACTCCCTTAGACTATGCAAAAGCATATTGACTAAAAATGAATGTTTGCATGAAATCTGGAGAGAAAGCCTGGCATTCAGGTTTAGCAGGTTTTAAACAAAGTGGGAGTGTTGTTAGTTGATCCTAGGGATCAGGAGAAAGTAGCATTTGTTATAAATCTCTATTTTATGGATGCCAGAATGTCAGTGTTTTCTGTTGTTGGATGACCTACCTGCATTTCTGGTTTGTATTGCCTGCCCCGAAAGATGAACTATGGTAATTATCGTCATCCACACCTATTCACTCTCCACCCATGGCTCCAATCCTTCCCCGACTGTACAAATGCACATTCCTCATAGAGACCAGCCCAGCACTAGGTTCCCTCCACAGATTCTGACAAATCTTGCTTGATAAGTGATTATGATTCTGGTTAGGGTATTGTTTTCCTCCGAAAAATCAGTTAACTATTTACTTTGAGTCTTGTGACATTCAGATCATTTACATCCTTCCTGTCTATTGCTTGTCCCAGAGTAAGAAGTTCAGTTTGTTAGGGTTGTTTTTTTTTTAATGGATCTAATTTACATGAAAGTGGATTATAACAATGACATAAAGCAAAAGAGAAGATGGGAGAGAAAGTAAAAAGAGAAACTCTGTCTTTCCAGGGAGTATGGACAAGTTAAAACCTAATCTAGGATTTATGTGGGCTAGGATTAATGTGAGGTTAACTGGGTGCAAAATTTAAGTGGGTGTGGATGCCAAAATACTCAGTAATCAAGATAAATATCGTAGTGCAATTTTTAAAAAATCAAAATCAATGTCCAAAAAATTCATGATAAACATAGTGTCAAAACTTTAAATAGAGAGAGGATCCAATACCCCCTGTAGCCTGTCTACATTAATGGACAGCAAACATCCAGAAAACCCTGCAAGGTGGCAGAAGATGCCATCTTGAAAGGATGCAAGGCCTGCTTGGTTTGGAGCAAGATAAGCGTTCACTGCTTCCTACTGTTGACTGTAGAAGAAATATGTTAGGCACTCTAAAAAACACTGGAATTAGAAAAAACAATGCTATACTCTAACATAATTGATTAAAGTCTCCATTAATTTATTTCCTTTATTCACAAAGGGTTATTTTGGAGTTTCCAGGACATTCACATAACCCACATAACTGAGAACACCTCTTCTCCCACTGTCTGCCTGGTTTTGGTCAGGGAGGAAGACTGGTCAGTCCTACCCAACTCCTCATCTGATGTGGGACTCATCTGGTCCAATAGGGTTGCAATCCCATGATTTCCCTGCTCCTCCCCATTCAGTGCATTTTGTCTTTCTCTCTTTATCCTTGTCACTCTCAGATCTTATATGCAGAACTGTATGATGGAAAATGCAGTAGAGGAGCCCACTGTATGTTCTTATCCCAGCTCAGCCACCAAACAGATGTGTGACCGTGGGTCAATCCTGTGTCGCACTGGGCTTTAGTGTCTTCATCTGTGCCATGAAGAAATCAAATGACACCAATCCACATTCCTCTCTGCTTTTGAAATTCTGTGCTTCCAGCTCCATGTTAGAAAACTCACATCCACAGTTCATAACCCCTCTTTTTGCTCCTCATTCCAACTGCCTCTCCAATTGCCCCAGGAAAATTAACTCCCACCCACCATGAGGCATGGTCGATGACATGAGAGAAGAGTTTGGGGTTTACGTGTATCAGAGGAGTGATTTCTAAAGAAAAACATGAGTAAAAACCCGGCACTGTTGACCCTCCCACATGCACACAATGTCCTCCAGGAATGCCCACAGGAGTCTCTATTTGCCTTATCATCTTTTCATCAAATATATCATTCATTTACTCCACAAAGATGTATTGAGTATCTCCTAAGCAGTAGATACTTTCCTTAGCCCTGAATAAGACAAAGTTTCTGCCCTCATCATGTGGCCACTCATTCTAGCACATATATACTGTCATGCACGGCGTAGTGATATCTCTGTCAACAACAGACCACATATTCCATGGTGGCCCCATAGGATTGGAATGGAGCATGTATAGAAACCTGCTACATGGCACTTGATATTGATGTTGCGAATCAACTAGGGGAAATGATTGATATTTAGTGATGGTGCTGGGACATTTGGTTTCCCATATGAAAAACAATATATAAATAAAAAGATATATACCATCTAGGTTTGTGTAAGTACACTCTATAATGTTTGCACAAGGATGAAATTGCCTAACGATGCATTTCTCAGAATGTATCCCCATCATTAAGTGATACATGACTGTTTAATTTATACACTCAGGGAAGAAAAAATATATTAGTTTATTAGCCTTAAAAATGGGAGCTTGCCGGGCGTGGTGGCTCACGCCTATTATCCCAGCACTTTGGGAGGCCGAGGCGGGCAAATCACGAGGTCAGGAGATCAAGACCGTCCTGGCTAACACTGTGAAACCTCATCTCTACTAAAAATACAAAAAATTATCCGAGCATGGTGGCAGGCACCTGTAGTCCCAGCTACTCAGGAGGCTGAGACAGGAGAATGGCGTGAACCCGGGAGGCGGAGCTTGCAGTGAGCCAAGATCGCGCCACTGCACTCCAGCCTGGGCGACAGAGTGAGACTCCTTCTCAAAAAAAAAAAAGAAAGAAAGAAAAAAAAGGAGCTTAACTTGAAGTTTCCTTTCCAGAAAGCTGGCAAAAAATTCAATCTTGGGTATTTTTAGGGACTTCTTCCCAGGCCTTCCTGGGGTCATACAAAATCTAAAGAAGTTCTGTGGTTCCTGGAAAATGGCTGAAAAGACTGAACATCAGTGAGGTGGTCTTCTTCCCAAACACTCATATTTCCCGGAAGGCAGATGACTCCATGGCATCTGTGCCGGATTAGCCCAGGCTCTTGGCTCAGGATGGGAGTCCTCATATTTAGGAGTTTCCTCATGTGGCATTTTCTTCCCTTCAGCTTGCATAAGCACCACGGAAGCCCTCTTCTCTGACATGAACAGAAGAAGGGACAAGTGCTTGGTTGATGAATCCAGAAACAGAGTTAAGTAGGTCCACTATACACATAGATATCCTATTACATTTGTATCATAAAACATATAAATGTACATGCATTTGCCAGTATTTTGATTTTGGCCCAAGACCTGTTCTTTAATATGAGCATACTGTTTGCCATTGTGATCCTCTTTCTTCAAAAGATTCCCACTCATAATTCATCATCTATAATATCTGTCTTTGATTCCTTTATATTACAGCGGGAACTTAAGGACAATTGTGAAGCAACCTGAAAAAATAATTCTTCTATAATTTTAAAATTTCTCCCTAATATTTTGTAGTATCTCACCCACATCTAATTTGACAGGATTAGCTAATCACCATTATCTGTTCTTTCCAAAACACTCAACTTAATTTTCATAGAAAAAAAGTCTTCTTATTTGCATTCACGTTTCATTGGTTTACATATAATTAAATTGCATAGTCTCAATAATTAGTACAATAGGCATTAACATATTGGGAACAAACTTAACTGACTCCTGATAAACACAGAACTCAACTGCTGAAGGGAGAAGTAGGTGAGCATATTAGAAAGTGATCTTTTGGTCACGGACATCTAGTGAGCTACGGACGTGAGTCAGGATGTTTTACTGAAGAAGTGGAAAGCACGCGTTAGTTTGTAGAGTTAAGTGGAGATCAGAAAAGAGAACTTCTCTGGTGTTTACAGTATTTGTTAAAACTTGCTTCCCCGCCCTTTTGCCAATAGGTACCACCACTTAAAGATGTGGAGTCAAAAAATCTTGAAATTTACAATGATGTAAAACTGAATATGTTTTAATCCTTTAGTTCCGTAAGGTTCAAATTCATTTTCATTGCATTTTCTTAAAATAATAGGATAGTATATGTTTATCTTTATTCACCCTCTAAAACCTCAGCTAAAGTGATTGAGTTTAACTTCACTCTCTTTTTCTGTCTGAGTTTAACTTCTTTGATAGGTGTTAATGAAGAATTACATAACCAAAAAGGGGGAGCAGGAAAGAGGGAAGAGAAGACAGGAAGAGGAGCAAAAACTAATAATTGAATTTCTGTACAAAATGGGCACTTTGCTCCTAAAGAATAGAGATCCCTCTATCTTGGCATCACATGGGATATGTCCTGGCAAAATGTGCCAGTGTAAAATGTTTCTGGGCACCAACAGGGTTATTAAGAGGAAAAGAATCCCTTCTGTTTTTACGAATCAAGATGATCAACACGGAACCGGAGGAAAGTGCCACTTTCTTGTGTTCTAGATTTTCATTTTTCTTCCAGCTTCCAGGAGTCTATGTGAGCTTGTCCATCTAGCCATCTTCATAGAGTAAGATAATTTAATACATGTAACCATAAATTGCTGCCAGATCAATATTTCCAAAGCACAGCTGTGATGTCACCTTTCAGCCCAAAACACTTCAATGCCTCCCCTTGCCTAATGAATTAAAACCTTACACCTCACTCTAGCATTTAGGTCCCTCCCAACAAGACTGGCTCACATCTCTCAGGATTCTTCTGTATCTACATGCCACTCAGGACACAATGGATTGCTTGTGATGTCTTGTACCTTGTGCATTTCCTTGTGTTCCTGTTGTGTGGATTGGAATGTGTGCACTCCCTTTATGCATGGGAATAGGTTAGGGCCCACAAGGAACTGAATTCCTCTCCCCCTCCCAAAATGCAAGCCTTCTTTTCCTGAATTACAGAATTTTTGTTTCTTCCATTATCCTAATATTACCCAAACTTCTTTTCTATCAGTATCTCTATATTAATAGGTGTCTTTATTTTTTATTTTATTTTTATTTTTTCTTTTTAGAGACAGGCAGGGTCTCACTTTGTCACCCAGGTTGGAATGCAGTTATGCAATCATAGTTCACTGTAACCTTGAACTTCTGGGCTCAAGCCATCCTCCCATCTCAGCCTACCGAGTAGCTAGGACTATAGGCACACACCACTGCACTCAGCTAATTCTTATTTTTTGTAGAGATGCGGTCTATGTTGTTCAGGCTGGTATTAAACTCCTGGCTCAAGTGATCCTCTGCCTCAGCCTTCCAAAATATTGGGATTACAGGCATGAGCCACCACGCGTGGCCAATATTTGTCTTTAAATTGACTCACTTTGTTTTTACCTCAATCTACTTATTTATTATAAAAGTACTCTACATGGAAAAAACAATACCACTTGATAAATATAAGCACATCATGAACATGAATTCAATAAAAACATTCAGTGACATTACATTCTAGCTGGGTAACTCCTGAGGCATGCACTATCTTGGTTAAATTGTTAAAGATTGGCAGCAAACAGAGTTTCTCCTTGATGAAATCAGAAGGATTGAAGAACGGAAAATAGACTGATTTTCTCACTGTTTTATTAGCAATACCATATCCATGCACCACTGAAAATCATTGTGAGTGTTGCATGCTCCACACCTCGGAAAACAATGCCTCAATCCCATGAAACAATAAGAAAGAAATGAGTCTTCCTCCTTCTCATGTCCTTCAACTTCCCAAGAACCTATTCCTTAGGCTTCTAAAGCATGCCCACCTCCTCCAGAAAACCCACTGAGGTGCCTCATAAGCCCAGTGTTACGTAATGGGAAGGCATGATCAGTCATTTCTGCAACGTTGGCCAATGAATTGGTCTGTCATTTCAGAAACATCAGGATTGTGGGTTCTTTAAATCCATGGCCCTAGGATGAAGAATGAGCTTTTATTCTCGTGTGTGTGTGTGTGTGTGTGTGTGTGTGTGTGTGTGTGTGTGTGTGGTGAGGATGAGGGTGTAGCAGCAGAAGACTGGAGTTTTTCTGAACTCCCTTAATTCACAATGCTGTCTTCATACAGTGCTCTCATGTTTGGTAGTTGGGTTGTACATTTTCCTATTATAGATAAATTTCTTTTGAAGCTGGTTAAGACTTTGGAGATCACCTTCTCCCCCTACTCTCCTGCCCTGCCCATTCCAACTACCATTGGTGGAGGAGGAAGCAAATGTCCTGCTCATGAAGACTGCCTGTAAACAGTGAATTGGAATCTGAGTCCAGATGCTTATGGTAGAAATCCATCAGAATGCCCCAAAATGTAACTGACTTGAGTTGTTCACAGACTTTCCTTTTCCTTTTGCAGGCAGTGCTGAGCCCTCTCATAGCCATCGCACTGAAAATATCCCAGATTCATGAGAGAACTGGCCGGAGGGGACCCACTGTCATCACCTGAATAGAGGAAAGATCACTCACCAGGGCCAAAGAGAGTGCTCAGCGGGAGATGCTTCACTGATGCCTTCTTGCTACCTGTTTGTGCCTCTTATGACTTTGGAAAAACAAAAGATATTTTGCTTTTGGGGGATAGAGGGTGGGTGGGAAAAGAAAAAAAATCCATTTGGTTTTGGTTTTGTCCTATTCCTCCAAATGCAGCAGGGCCTTTAGTTGTCTGTTAAAGCTGCACTATAATTTGGTATCTACATTTTATCACACAAAGGAACCTCCCCTTTTGACAACAACTGGGCTAGGCAGCTGTTAATCACAACATTTGTGCATCACTTGTGCCAAGTGAGAAAATGTTCTAAAATCACAAGAGAGAACAGTGCCAGAATGAAACTGACCCTAAGTCCCAGGTGCCCCTGGGCAGGCAGAAGGAGACACTCCCAGCATGGAGGAGGGTTTATCTTTTCATCCTAGGTCAGGTCTACAATGGGGGAAGGTTTTATTATAGAACTCCCAACAGCCCACCTCACTCCTGCCACCCACCCGATGGCCCTGCCTCCCCCATCCCATCCCCAACATCCCTGTACCACCTTCTCTCACATCTTCTAAAGCTTTGTACAAATCACAATGGTGCACTTCCAACAAAATATATCAATAGGTGTTTTCCTCTCTTATTTTGTAAATAGTATTATTTTAGCTATTAAGCTGGATACCTTCTTTCAAATTCAGCCATTCAGTTGTAAAGTTGGGAAGAAGTTTCTTGACAAGACTCTGCAATTAAATGCTTAAAATTTGGAGGGGATCCTTCCTTGATTACATCAAGTATGTTGGTACATGGGTTTATACAAGTTCCTCTTGAGAAGGCAAAAAGACCACCATGTGTGAGAGCTCTTTGACTTGGCCAATAGGGGCCTATCTTAATGCACTTGTTTGGACACATTTCTGATCTTATTTGTAAAGGCTGCAAAAGGAGAGGATGAAATGCTGTAAAAGTAGGAAATGAAGTGGAAGCTGGAAGAAAATGTAATTGGTGGTACAGCTATGGGCCAGATGGTGGAGGGGAGGGTGGGGACCCCTGCCGGCAAGCAGAGTGTCACAGCTGGCTTTCCTCACTTGGGAAAAGGGTACTGCCGGTCTAGCAGCCTCCTCTGTACTCAGCCAGGACACCCAGCGCGTGGGACCTGTTTGTGTCTGTTTTGCTTCCTTGGGAACGGCACAGTCACTCACCCTGCCATTTGCGGAAATGACCTGGTGCACTTTGACTGTTAAGCAATGCGTTATTGCTGTAGTCAAGGTTAGTGCAAGCAAGGAAACATTCCCAGTAAGGTATTTGTTTCCATTTTCTGTCTGTGCTTCTGTCAGAAACTTGCTAGGACATTTAGTGGCCAATAAAAAAGAAATTCCTAATTTCAACCTTATCCAAGGATTGTGGGTTTTTACTTATTTGTTTGTCTCACCAGTTGAGAAACTCCAGTACTGGTCACCTATCCTGATAAATCTGCCTTTCAGAAAACCTGCAAGGGCTGTTTTTCACTATTATGGCAAGAGACATGTATTAAATGGAACAGAAAAGGTAAGTTACTCAAAACTGCCTTTGGGAGTCAGCAGAAACTGAAATGGCATCTAGACCTCCACTGTAACTGTCTTCATTTCAAAATAATAGGAAGGTGGCTTTGAGCTGAGATTCTAAAACAAAACCATTTCAAGATTGATCACCAGTGGAATCAAATTCATGTCATAGCTTTGGTTCTCAGGTTCTTGTCTCAAGAGTGGACATCTATGCTAGCCATCCATGTGTTCATTAATCACGGATGTCTTGGTTGGGACGCTCAGATGTATTCTTAGGTGTATCAGCTCTAGGTAAGAAAATATTTATTTTCTCAAGTTGCTGAACTTTTAATGATCTCTAACTTGTAAGTTCATATGTAAATTAGTCCTTACATAAAAATTATATTTCTTTATTTTGATATGGAGTCATGCGTGGACAGTAGCCCAAATATATATTTAGCCATCAGTCCATCCATTCATCCATCTATGTGTTCATTCATTCATTCTGTGGACATTGGTTGAGCAACTCCTCTAGGCAGAGTTCTGTTTTAGATGGGGCAAAGAAATGGATAAAACATTATTCCTGATCTTATAAGTTTATAATTTGGGAGTAGGAGGCTATGACAAACATACACAAATAATCAGTTAGACAAAAATGTTATGAGAGACACAAATAATGTGCTGTGGGACTACACAGAGAGGGGCAATAGACTCAGAGACGGTGGCACGAGAGTGGTTTCCACAAGAGTAGAGTTGCTTGGGATTTGTAAGCATTTACAGAATTTCATCAAGGATGAGTGAAGTCAGAAGACAGACTAGGAGATGAGGGTTAGGATGGCTGGAGAGGAGACTTGCTTGGGGTCTCCTGAGGAGTTGGCTTGGATGCATGGGGTTGAAGCAGGCACAGGGTTGTGAATGTCAGGCAGAGCAAAGCCTTGGGCCCAGCCACCGGAAGAAGCAGCTACATAGCTGCCTATTTTGACAGAGTTTTTTCAGCTATGTTGTCAAGGGAAGGTCTTTTGGTGGGTCTAGGACACAGTCATTCTCTGGAACCTGCTCTGATTCACATTGCCAAGATATTATTTCTGCCTTACTTGAAATCCAAACTTCTCTTGCCGAACTATATGTGTACATCCTCTTGCCTAATTCTCGGGAGAGGAGAGAGGCAGGAAGTCACTGTTCCCCATATGATGTTCTTTATGTTCTTAAAGATGAAGCTCTAGGCTGGGCGTAGTGGCTTACACCTGTTATCCCAGCAATTTGGAAGGCCCAGGTGGGTGGATCACTTGAGGTCAGGAGTTTGAGACCAGCCTGGCCAACATAGTGAAACATTGTCTCTACCAAAAATACAAAAATTAGCCAGACGTGGTGGTGCATGCTTGTAATCCCAGCTACCCAGGAGGCTGAGGCAGGCAAATAGCTTGAACTTAGGAGGTGGAGGTTGCCGTGAGCCAAAATGGAGCAGTGTGCACTCCAGCATGGGCAACAGCAAGACTCTATTAAAAAAAAAAAAAAAAAAAAAAAAGAGCTGTAGCCACTGTAGCCACTGATCTTTGAGAGTAAATGACTTGACCGGGCGCAGTGGCTCGTGCCTGTAATCCCATCACTTTGGGAGGCCGAGGCAGGCGGATCACGAGGTCAGGAGTTTGAGACCAGTCTGGCCAACATAGTGAAACTCTGTCTCTACTAAAAATACAAAAAATTAACTGAGTGTGGTGGTGTGTGCCTGTAATCCCAGCTACTCAGGAGGCTGAGGCAGGAGAATTGCGTGAACTCGGGAGACGGCAGTGAGCCGAGATCATGCCATTGCACTCCAGCCAAGGTGACAATGTGAGACTCCGTCTCAAAAAAAAAAAAAAAAAAAAAAAACAGGAAATGACTTTAAAGGCCCCAAATTTCATGGGAACTGCAAGAGTCAATCAGAGGAAACTATGGATAGAGTGTGGCAACTTCCAGGGCAACTCTGGTGATCTGCTGTTACAGAGGGGTTCACTCATTACAGCACGTGTCTGCAGAAAAATGGCAAGCAACACTATACATCACATGCTGGTTTTCAACCAGGGCGGGTATTTGGAAATGTGTGTGTATTTGCCAGAGAGGCATTTAGTGGCAGTAGTAGGAAACCAAACACGCTAAATATCCTTCCAGGTGTCAGCCAGTCCCCCAGAACAAAAATTTGTTTTGTGTCACCCAGGAATCTTGAGTTTATTCAATGTCCTTGAAAATGGATAGGCAGTCATTATTAAAATGAGATCGTTTGTCAACTTTTACTGATCTAAGTGCAGCATACATCCGCAGTATTTGCGGGACAAATCGTGTTGCATGACGTTATAGGTGGAAGGGCTTGCACGTGGCATGCAGGCTTTCTGCACAGGAAGTCGAAGCTTGATGCACGGTCTCATGGATCAGTGTAAGGCATGGGATTTACTTTGACGTTCAGATGGGTGTAGGGAATTTGAAAAGCACCTGCAGGAGCTGGTAATGACATAACTGTGTGACTCCATTCCATTGCTGGATCATGCACTGGATACTCTCAAAACATGTGGACACTGAAATCCCAGACACATGTCTTAAGGAGCTTCCCATCCCTGAGTGTAGAAGGGTCTGAGAAACGGTGTGCCTTTGGAAATAACGTAACTGCCAGTAAATCAGCCTTTGGCCCTTTGACAGTTACAAACAGCAAGAGATTATCCGAAGCAGCAGAGCTTAGCAGAATGCCTGTTCCACTCCAACCAGCTGGAGTCCTTACTAGAAGAAATAGCTCATGCAGCTGACAGCCCACTTGGTATGTGAGTCAGCCTAGGTTGTCATGGAACCTTGTAGAATTTGGAGAAGATATAGATTATAAGTCCATGTCTTTATCATCTTTCCATGCCTATCTGCACCTAATATGTGCCCTACAATGTAGGTGAGCTAGAGCAATGCCTCACCAAAGACAGTATATTTAAATAGAATCTTAAATGATAGACAGGAGTGTCAGTAAAAGCACTGGTAAGATTTTGCATGGAGGGTCGAAAATGAACACAGTACATCTCAGATATGCAAAAGACACAGTATAACTTAATCTATAATTGAGGATAACTGACCTTATCCTCACCTTCTGGAGTGGTGGTAAGGCCTACTCAAACTTTCTGCTCAAAGGGACATTATGAGATTACAATACTGGAGGGCCTTCAACCCTGAGAACTTCCCTTCCCCATTGACATATGAACCTACCATCCACAGGTGAGAGAAGAGAATGAGCAAAGACTCTTTGTAGTGGGGATTTTTCTCTTTTCACTTTCTTATGCTGCATGTGCTCTCCCTGTCATTCATGGAATTGCTGTTTCCAATCCTTGACCGTAAATTTTATAAGCTTCAGAAGGAAGAGCAGAGGCAGTATCTATTTATCTTGAGTGAATCCTCTAGGGGATGACTACTATATTATTATTATGAACCACAATCGGATATTTTTGTCTGATTTGTCCAGTGGATTTTAATTGCTGGGTCTCTCGAATGTAGAATTTGCTTTGTGTCCTACCCTTGTTCTCGACACATGATTCAGAGTACATATGCAGTCGCTGGAAACTGCTCTGATTCACATTGCCAAGATATTATTTCTGCCTTACATGAAATGTTAAAAAAATGAACAAATAACTACTGGTATTTTATTTTCAAAAAGACACACCCAAGTTATTTTCCAAATCAGCAGTTAGAGTTCAATAATGTTTGGGTTTGCAGAAAGATCAACTCATTCTGACACTGTGTTAGTTTAACCAGAGAATAATACTTTGACTTATGGTCTTTTATTGATTTTTTTTTCTGATGCAAAAAAAAAATGGCAAAAGAGAAATTTAAGTACAAAATTTATTGCGGTAAAGAGATTAAAACTATTTCTTATGTAAACCAAAATCAACATTTGTTTCACTTGACTACCAGTAGTTGGAAAAACTATCTATTACAAATGCAAATTCTGGACAAAAGACCAATGATGGTCCTTGTTCAAGTCAGTAAATGTGCTCAGACCACCAGGGAGAATTTCAGGATAACTGTCTTAGTAGAGAGATAGAAAGAGATGACAAGAGGAATAATAAATTACATTACTAATAAATGATCACTTCCCTATTGGACAACCATGAGTGACCTTCATATCTTTATGCCCTCAATGCCAAGGATTCAAATAACAGATTCCCAAATTCATGCTTCATGGACAAGGATTTCCTTTTATGAAGCTTCTTATGCATTTTTCAGGATATACTTAATCTATGCATTCAGCAATGATGGAGAAGATGAGGCCACAGAGGAGGCTCCATCCCATCTGGACCACCCTCTTCCTCTTTGAAAGATGTACATCCTTCTCACCAACTGTCTAAAGCCCTTCCTGTGCCCATTCACCAAGGGCTATCTCCATTGGGAATCATTCTTCATCATCAATATAATGATCAGGGGGAAACTCTGCTATGAGGCAAGGGACCAGTTTCTAGGCAGAAAACCTGGAGGACATTTTACGTATTTTAAAAGAAGCCGATTAACCCTAAAGCAATCTCTGCCACTTCTCCAAGGGCTTTAAGATATTGCAGCAACCCTGGGGCTCCATTTTCTGTTACAGCCCATTTTCTGAAGGGAGAGAGAAATCCAAACTGTCTCCTAGAAGGAGAGAAGTTAGACAGGGCTACCTAGCTCAAAAGTGTGAAGTCAGTCAGTCCTCCCATGTTCCTCTAGGAACCGTTCTTCACCCTCCTAGAAGTCATTGTGTTATTGGAAAAGTTTCTTAACTTCTCACAATGTCAGTTTTATGCATATGTAAAATGGGAATAATCATAATGCCTGTCTCTTAAAGATGGAATGAGGGCTAACACGCATGGAAAGCTCATGGCACAGAGCCTGCCATATAACAGGCATTCCACAACTGTGAAGCCAGCATGAATGCCTCACTTAATAGAGGAGAAAACTGAGGCCCGGAGAGATGAAGATTCTTGGCCCAAGTTCAAAAGCATCAGGCTGCATCTCTGTCTACCACCCTGCAACCAGACTTGTCCTCTTGTATTTAAAAAAACAATAAAATATAATAAAGTTGAGGAGAAACCATCGGATTTAAAAATGAATGTCCTAAGTCTAAAAGTCAAGATCTGTATCTTGAGACACAAGAAATTTCCTGTTAATGATGAACGTACATCATTAGAGTTTCTTATCTTTCAAATTCTAGAGATTTATATGGGGATTCTTTGAATTACATACAAATATTTTTAACCTTTATAAGATTTATATCAAGTGGTATATTAATACCATCTGTGGCCAGTACAAATTCCACCCTACACCCCGGAATTCCATGTATTATGAATTAAGTATTCTGTCTATTCCATTTGGGTCTATAAGCATTCTTATCATGTCTATTTGTTTAAGGACCTCTTTTAAGAAACAGCTCATTTAATATTTTGTGTTTGAACCATCTTGAAGGCAAATATTACAGTCATTTTCCTTTTACATAGAAAAAATACATATCATGAAAATAAAATAATACAAAATAACATTCATGGGTTCCGAGGGCATATCTCCCAGGATGTGAAGTACTGCCTCACTCTGGTAGTATGGTCAGCTGGAGGTAACTAGGAAACAAGCTAACAAAACAAAAGGCTGAACAATCAATAAATTAAACAACAAACCTTCGCTTTGAGATTACTAGGTGATATAGAACAGGAAGGCATGTGGCTGTCCTGACAACCAGCATCTATTCCTCCCTGGCTGGAGTTGAGGTGATGGGAGGGAAATTGAGTGACAGCAGAAAGAATCTCTGTAAGCAGAGCTCTCAGAGTGACACCTTTGGGGACCCAAGGCCAGCCGGGGTTAAGATTAGTGTGAATGCTCTGAAATGTCTGCTTGGTGTTGGCCACACCCTTCCAGGGCCCCTGGCCTGCCCTGCCCTGGCATGGCCAGTTATGTCTGGAATTCAGGGCTGTCATCCCCTCCCCAAGCTCTCTTGTGGGGTCCCTGGTGTGGCTTTTCCTCCCACAGTCCCTCGTTTGCCTTTATTATCAGTAGCTGCTCCCCACAGTGGTGGCATCATGAGTGCTGGAGAGCTTTCTCTGCCTCAGCACTCTTGGCCTCGCCTCTGGGCGTCCTCTGAGATTGCTGTCACCACCAGGCCGGCTATGGACTCTCTATAAGATGGTGGGGCCTCTGGGTGGGAGTCATTTCCATCCTGGAATTCCAGGCCCGTCTCTGTATATAGAGGTGGAGGAATGCCAGAGGCCTCTCTCTCTGCAGGACAGCTCTGCTTTTCCACCTCAAGGCTCTCTTCATAAGCTGGAGGGTAAAAGTCTGGCCTAGGGGACAAAACAGCATAAACATGCGTGCGTTATTTAGGCATTAATGCCAAAGAGGCAGACGGCTGCCTCTCTCAGCTCAAATTGTGCGAAGCTAAACTGTTAAGAAACATGGATTTTTGAAACAGATGTACTTCTTCCTGGCATCACCAGTTTTTTAAAAATGTGCTGCTCTTCCAAAAGAACCTTTTTATCAGCCACAGGATGCCTGCCTCTAGTCACATTTTTTTCCCAGTGGGTTATGCCAAGCTATTCCTTCTCTATTGCTCATTCACTCATGAAAACAGGGCCATTCAGTGTGAGATCCTTGTCAACATTAGAGGAGGTGGGGGCTTTGGATAGGGAACTTCTCTCTACCGAGTACTTAGTCCATCCACATCCTTGCTCCCTTTCTCGCATGGCATCATCCCCTCAATTGCACTCACTTTCTCTGATCATCACAGCCAACAAAATAATGAATGAAAACCAACTCTGTGCTGATCCCTGAACTATACCAGATGCCATGTCTCTATCCTAACACCCTTTCGAGACTCAGTAGCTAGTTTCAAAGAAAATATACAAACATATTCATTTCTCAAATGATATCAACTGACAACTTTACACAGATTTCAGTTGTAGCCCTTTCTATGCCAGTAGGCTAAAGCAGCCATTCATTCGGGGGCTGATGTACTCATTGGTCATCTTGCCTGGCATTTCTAATTGCTAAATCCTCCTGGCTTCTCCATCATGAATGAATTTGGGGGAAGGGGAGAGGGGAGGAAGAGAGACCGGTGAGCTTGGCTGAGTTGTGTATTTATAGAGTGATCCTTCCAGTGCCTACAGGGAGTGTTTATGGTGTGTAACCACAACAGAACAGGGACTGCCATTTGTAGCCACAACTCCATTCCAAATGTTACCAGGCCCAAAGCCAGTAGCTGAAGAAGCTGTCTACTATAAGGCATAAATCTCAGCCTTCGCTCAGAATAGCCAAGGCTGAGTCACGGGGCACATGTGTAAAGGCATTTTACACAGAAAGGTGAGATGTTCCCTGGAGTGATGTGAAAGGTTCCAGGATGACTGCTGCCTGCCCCAAATCCCAGCTACCTCTCCCAACCCCACCCTCCTTCAACTGCCATCCATATTCCCAGTCCCCTGAATTCCATCATCGGAGACCCATTTGCTTTGATATCTCAACCTGGGTATCCATTTTGAGTGCAAATGCTTTGGAGAAATGTGACTTCCCAGGCTGACTTGCCAGCCATTCTGCGTGGGATAAGCATCTTATTACATGCAGCGAGAAGAGGCAGTAAAATGGGGGTGTTACGATGTCCATAATTTACTTTCAAACATTTCAGTATACTGTAATATTATGCAGTGTTAGTCAATTTAAGCTATATCCTAAAGGCAATCAGTTACATTTATCAGAAATTCACACTCTAGAGGTAGTCCTCTAACATTTATACAAAAAGAAATCATCACTCTAGAGGCATCTTCTACAATCACTTCATTTCTCTTAATTTTTAATCAAACCCAGAAACTCTGCTGGTTAGTATAACATTGGAAATAAGTTTTGGTTTTCATAATTATTATCTTATTAATTAGCATAAAGGATGCCAAAAGTGGATGCTCATGGGTAAGATTACTTATATTCAAGATACATGGAGTAGCTAAAATATTTTAGATACTTTCTACTCTTGCACGAAGAGGGCAAAATAATTATAGTCTTGTAGCCTGTATCTTGAGAATGATGCCTAGGGTGTTATCCCTAAATGGTCCTGTGGCTAGCCAAGAATTAGGAGGTTTCTTGTTGCCTGATACTGACTATAAGATTAACTGAATCTTTTTTTTCTTGTGGTAAAATATATATGACATAAAATTTACTGTTTTTAAGTGTATAGCTCAGTGGCACTAAATACACTCATATTGCTCTACAACCATCACCTTAAAACTCTCTACTCATTAAACAATAGGTCCCCAGTCTCTCCTTCCACCAGCCCCTGGGACCACTGTTCTACTTTCTGTGTCTGTGAATTTGACTACGCTAAGTACTCATGTAAGTGGAATTATACAATATTTGCCCTTTGTAACTGACTTGTTTCACTTAGCATAATGTTTTCAACTTCATCCAAGTGGTGGCATGTGCCAGGATTTCCTTCCTTTTTAAGGCTAATATTCCATTGCATGTATATACCACATTTTGTTTATCTACTCACCTGTTGATGGACATTTGGGCTATTATGAATAAATGTTGCTACAAGCATTGGTGTACAAACATCCATTTGAATCCCTGCTTTCAGTTCCTTTGTGTATAAACTCAGAATGTAGAATTGCCAGATCAAACAGTAATTCAATATTTAATGTATAGAGGAGTCTCCACACTGTTTTCCACAGTGGTTGCACCATTTTAACATTCCCACCAGCAATGCACAGCGTTCCAATTTATTGACATCCTCACCAACACTAGCTGTTTGGTTTTGTTTTTTGATGATAACTATCCTAATGTATGAGATGGCGAGAAAGAATGAATCTTGCCTCTAGAATATTATCACCTTCCCCTGAAGGAATGTTTTATGCAAGGTGAGATCACAACACCTAAAAGGACAGTAAACTGGGACTTTTCTGAGCTCACAGAGATTCCAGGACTCATTTTATGCCTGCTTCTTCATTTGTTGTGTGGCAGAATTTGGTCTGGGACTTGCTTTCCTTAGAACCTCATAGCCAGGTTATGGGAAGTAACTAACCATCACCTGCCACTAATTAATGACAGCTGCCATGATATAACAAAAGAGCCTGGGTTTCTAAATTGGCTTAGGTGGGTTTTCACTGGGGGTGGTGGTAGGGTTTCTCTGAGATGAGTTGCCCCTGCGTCATGGTTTTCCCCAAAGATGGCGCCACTCTTCCTAATAACAACCCCAGAGTAATTCCCTGACAATAAAGCTTTGGTTCTAGACAGACAGCCCATGGGACATGTAAGTCGCTCCATAGTAGGATCAGAAATTACTCAGATCTTACACAACTCAGCCCATCTCAGCCCTTCTTGGTCCCTCTGCCTGTCAGCACGTACCTGTCTACTGTGGCCACGGGCAGGGCCCCATGAGCAAGGTGTTGTCGGAGCATGTGCCTCAACACTCCTTTGCTTTCAGTCACCTGGCGATAGTTGCTCCAGAAAATTCCACTCAGAAGGATCACAAACCCCAGAGGCAGAAGCAAATAGGCCGCAATCAGGCTCCCCTGACAGTCGAATATGGAGCCCCAGGAAATGAAGAAGGCCCCCAGGCAGACCATCAGGAAACCCATCAGGAGGGCAAGAGCACAGAGAATGAGGCCAGTTCTGTTCTGCATCCTTGCACCTTAGGAACCCAGCACCCTGACCCTGCTGCTCCTCTGCTTCCCTGCTTGCTCCAAGAGAATGAGCTCATTAGCCAGCTTGCAGCTTTATATGCTCTGGGACCCACTGGCCTTTGGACAACTAAATGAAACAGGCACTTAGAAGCTATTCATTAACCATTGAAAGTAAGTGTAATATCCTTGGAGAATTAGCCAAAAAACATAGCATTGTATACTGCAGGCAGGAGTGGCTTCGTGTAGCTGTTTTGTTCTTCAGAGTTGGGTGGGACACTCAGCTGTTCCCAGTTATTTGAACGTACAGCCCTCCTTTGATTAAAAGGCGCTGGTCTCTTAATCCCCATGGAGGGCAATTCCCCACTAAAAGCTGGAGAAGTTAGCACTCTTTAAAGAACGATCTTCTTTGAGGTTTGGTAAGAAATCCCTTCCTGATTCCTTCTCCCTTTTTCTGTACTAAAAAGGCATTTCTTCAAGGCTGTTAACATGTTTGTCTTGCCTCCCTCAATGAATCCCCACTTATTGCCCCCACACTATGATACTGGCATAATTCCAAGACAGAAGTTCAGAGTGTGAACTTCGTGGTTCCTGCTCTGTTGACAAGATCGAAAGAGCCTGAGTGGGAGGGAAAGGAGAGTGCTGGAGAAAAGGACTATAATAGACAGAGCCTCGGGAATTTGGGGGGATTTTGGGCCTGTAATTCCTGCAATCTTTCCCCCTTTCATAAAGTACATATGAAATAGAATTCGTTTTAGAGGATGCTGCTAAAAATGTTCCCTGTCCTCTCCTCCACACCTCTGCTCTATGTAGCATTGCCTCAAAAAATCTTTCCAGAACCAGCCTTCTGTTTCCTGGCTGGAATTTGTTTTCTTTAGCTTGACTGTCTTTGATTGTGGATAGCTTATTTCAGACGTGCTTTATGCCCTGGCTCTGCCCTTTTTTATTTGATAATGTGGCATGTCTCTGCCAAAAGTCTCCTTCCCATAGGAACCCTGGGTTGCTTTTACTCAGGATAGCTTATCTTCAGTTCCTCTTTGCTGCTGTTCCACTCCACTACTCCATTACCATTATTTTCCATTTACTTTCCCAATGAGAGCAGCAGTTTTTTGTGGCGTGCCCTAATAATCCCTCATATAACCTTTAGTCTCACACTCACCATCTCCTTAGCTCTACCTTCATGTTAGGGCTGGGAGACACGGATATTAGAGAGGTACACACTATGGATCAAAAACTATATAAGGCACTTCTCCATTCCAACCCTTAGCCTTTACCTTTCTTAGCTTCAATTTCGACCTTGAACTACCTTGATCTTCTAGTCTTGATATTGTCTTTGTAATCTTAAAACAGCTCTTATTCCCTCCTTCCCCAAACTGTGAGATGGAATATTTCTAAGATGATCCCTAAGGATCCCACCTCCTGATATTCATGTCCTTGTGTAAGTAATCCTCTCCCCTGAGTGTAGGCTGGACCTAGTGACTTCATTCTAATCAATAGAATATGGTAACGGTGATCGGAAGTTACTTCCGTGGAGGCTACACAAGATTGTGGTTTTCATCTTTCTAGCAGACTCTCTCTATTGTCCTCTTGGCTTACGCCCTTTGAAGAAGGAAGCTGCCATATTGGAGAGGCCCATGAGGCAAGGAATTGAGGGCAGGTTCTGGCCAACAGTCACTGAAGAACTGAGGCCCTTAGTCCGTCAGCCCATGAGGAACTGCATCCTGTCAATGACCACGTGAGCTTGCAATCAAATCCTCATCCCACTGAGCCTTGAGATGACTCTGCTCCCAAGCATCACCTTGACTCAGTGACCCTGAAGTAGAGGACCCAGGTAAGTCATACTCGGATTCCTGACCCACAGAAACTGTGAGATAAAACGTTTCAGCCAGGGTCCTGGATGCCACAAGATGGCAAGAGCCATAATCAATGAATGCATTATGATCAAATCATTTCATGTTTATGGATGTCACTATTTTAACAAATAAAAGAGGTCAAAAGTTTAAAAAAAGTATATTTTAAAAATATGCTAAGTTTTGTGGCCATTTTTTAGATAGCAGTAGATAACTAAAAAAATTCTCTTAGAACTTTGAAAATCAGAAGAGACAATCAATGTTAAGTATTTATCATAGTACCTGGCACAGAGAGTGCCCTGTGAAGGTTATCTATAATCACCATCACCAATATTGTTATTATCATTGCTGTTACAATTCCAAAAATCTGTGGAAGACCCAGGACCCCCAGCTGAAAGGTCTGCACTAGGAGTTGGGTCCCAGGAACAGGTAGATGGTAAAGCCCCAGGATAATGTTAAGAATCAGGTGATGGAGGAAGAGTACTCTCAATCGGAACTGCCCATCAGACAGTTGGGCTTCTCTGTTTTAGACAAAAATGGAGGCAGAAATTAGACTGGGGATTATGACAGGTCAGGCCTCATTCTTGTGATCACATCAACACATGAGTAAATAAGTTTCTCTATACTTTTTCCTCCTCCATGCCAATAAAGTACACTAGAACCATTGCCTTATAGTTTGTCAGACAGTTCCTTCCCCTCCAGTGCCCTTTGAGGAGGCTCCTGTCATTCCACAGCAGTGTTGTTGTTGTGATGGTGGTGGTGGTATGTTTTTGGTGAGAAATTAGGTATGGAAGAGCAAAATCCAGGAAGTGGCAGGGGGATGGAAGGACTCAGTCCCTTTACATAAAATTTATGTGAAATTAAGAATAGTTCCTGGGCTCAGGGTATTTGAGGAATTTATTTTGGGCATCAAGGGGAAAAGGCTGGGAATATTTGCAGCATCTGTGGGAAGGAGACGAGAAAAGGAAAAAAAATCAATATGGAAATATGAAGTATCACAGGGAACCATATTTCTCCTTCAAAATGACTAAGAAATACTAATGAACACCACACAGTCTATCTGTGTAATAAAACTGTACCTGAAATACCTCCTAAATCTGTACAAATAAAAACAAACAAATTTAAAAGGCAAAAGAGAGAGAAATACTGGTGAAGTTGAGGTTATTTTGTATGTTTATGTTTATTATTAAATATACATTACTAAATAATTATAATTTTTTAAACTGTGACTCTGCTTCAGTTCCTCTTTTTGCCCATCATAAAATTTTATTATGAATAATTAAAACTTTACTCGCTGGTAAGAAATTACCAATGCTTAAAATGGTAATTTTAATTATAAGAAAAATTAGGTTGAAAAGATAGGGTGTTCCCTCGCATTGTCAAATAACATACAATGCCGCAGATAAAAACAGAGATCAGCATCGTTTTTAGGAACTATGCTTCACCCTCAAATTTATTTGTATACCTGGAAATTCAGTTGCCATCATCAAGCTTAGGTTAATTGATTATAAACTGGTTAACACAATTGAGCATCATAGCATCTTGAGACAGTTCTAGTCTGCAAATATAAGCCACCAGTGTACTTTACAGTAATAACACAAAATCAGCATAATACTGTAAGCAAAAGATGCTAAGTTATCATGTGTTATTATGAAGTTATGAAGGTTGTCATTGTTGTGCATACTTTCTTTTTTTCTGAAAATATTTGATCTTTACTTTTTATGTGCTTTGTAATATGTGCTATGAGTGTAGTCATATATATATGGAGATTATATATTAAGCTATATCTATATCAGGGGTATGTGCCCACTCTTTAAACTTTTAAGTTCAGAGGTACATGTGCAGGTTCGTTATATAGGTAAACTTGTGTCGTGGGGGTTTGTTGTACAGATTATTTCATCACCCAGGTATTTAGCCTAGTACCCATTGATTATTTTTCCTGATCCTCTCCCTCCTCCCACCCTCTACCCTCCAATAGGACCCAGTGTCTGTTGGTCCCTTCTTTGTGTCCATGTGTTTTGATCATTTAGCTCCCACTATAAATGGGAACATGCAGTAAATATGTTTTCTGTTCCTGTGTTAGTTTGATGATAATGGCCTCCAGCTCCACCCATATCCGTGCAAAGGACATGATCTTGTTCTTTCTTATGGCTCCATAGTATTCCATGGTGTATATGTACCACATTTTCTTTATCCAGCCTATTATTGATGGGCATTTAGGTTGATTCCATGTCTTTGCTATTGTGAATAGTACTGCAAAGAACATATGTGTGCATGTGTCTTTATGATAGAATGATTTATAGTCCCTTGGGTATATATCCAGTAATGGGATTGCTGGACTGAATGGCGTTTCTGTCTTCAGGTCTTTGAGGAATCACCATATTGTCTTCCGCAATGGCTGAACTAATTTACACTCCCACCAACAGTGTATAAGCATTCCTTTTTCTCCACAACCTTGCCAGTATCTGTTATTTTTGACTTTTAACAATAGCCATTCTGACTGGTGTTAGATCGTATCTCATTGTGGTTTTGATTTGCATTTCTCTAATCATCAGTGATGTTGAGCTTTTTTCATATGATTGTTGGTTGCATGAATGTCTTCTTTCTGCTTCAGTTCTAAACCACATGGATCACTGCTATATAAGCATTATTCCCCTTCTGTGCCTCAAAAATGACCAAGAATCACTAAAACCAATTACTTGTAATTTTAAACAATTTTTATTACTTGCAGTTTCCCTCCTATTTATGTTGCAGTATGCCCTCTTTCCCCACACTCACTAGTAGTAATAACATTTTTGAAAAAAAGAAATGAAAGCAGATGTACACTTGCTTTACTCACAGTGAAACAGCATAGACATGGAGAGAAAGCGTCTTGTTCTTCAGCCATCTTGAAGGTGTAGAAGAAACTCAAGCAGAAGAGCAGTTGTAATAACAGAAGAGAAAATCAGGCCACATTCTCAGGGCTGGGGCAAAATAAAAAGAATGTAAGAAAGAGGCAGTCAAACACTAAGAAGTTGCCTTGAAGAGTCATTTCAGGAGACCTTTGGCCCTTTACCTGAGCTGTATCCTATCTTCTGGATCTGCCTTCTCTCCCATGCCAACTTTTCCATTTTCTCCCCCTTGCCACTACTCAGCACTGATTATGAGAGTAAGGGGCCATTTAAAGGTGGCAACACTGCAGAAGAGAGAGACTGATGATTCACCAAAGTTCACAGACAGTATGAAACTGATGGGAAAATGGATACGCTGGAGGGGTATGGTTCACACCTCTAGAGAGAAAAGTTCTGGGACTCAGTGGAGGCCAAGCCAAAGTCCCCCATCACTGTTTCCATCTCCTTCTCAAGAGATCCACCAAGGAAATGATACCTTGCTTTTAAACTAGTCTATTTGCTTATTATTCTTCCTCTTAAAAATTCACCCATCAGGCCGGGTGCGGTGGCTCATGCCTGTAATCCCAGCACTTTGGGAGGCCGAGATGGGCAGATCACGAGGTCAGGAGATAGAGACCACCCTGGCTAACATGGTGAAACCCCATCTCTACTAAAAATACAAAAAACATTAGCCGGGCGTGGTGGTGGGCACCTGTAGTCCCAGCTACTCAGCAGGCTGAGGCAGGAGAATGGCTTGAACCCGGGAGGCGGAGCTTGCAGTGAGCCAAGATCGCACTACTGCACTCTAGCCTGGGCGACTAAGAGAGACTCCATCTCGAAAAATAAAAAAATAAAAATAAATTAAAAAAAAAATTCACCAATCAGCAGAAGTGTCTGACATAGCAGTAAGCAACAACATGTTATTTGGTTGACAGCCAAATTATCTTAAACCATAATCACTCTTTCAACACTGTTCCTTTGAGCATGACAGATCCATGAGGATTGTTCTGAACACTGAGTGCCTTACCTTGCACATCAGAGCCCCCAAAACCTCACCCTTCTTTCAGTCTCCGGTGCAATACACAAATGCCTTAGAACTTCTCACAGCCCTATGCACTCTAGTTTCTGTTTACCAGGCACATGGGCCAATACCCTTGTTTCGAAAACAGGAAGAGCATTGCTGTGAATGAGAAGTCAGTGGGGACTTTGGAAGGAAACTAATGGTGTGTAGAAGCTGTTGCATAGGAGGGACATGGGGCCAAGAGCTGAGGCAGACTGGCCAGATTTCAGAAGGTCACTTTGGTTTAGGAAGTGAGGCTTTGTGGGAGGCAGGGAAGGGGCGCATAGGCGTAGCAAGAGATGTCAGCCCTGCCTGATTTCACGGTGGTGATTACTGAGTGATTTCTGGATTAGCCTTTCACACTTGAGGGTTCACTGAGCACTGGCCACTTCCTCCTCTTTTCCATTCTTGTTTTCTTTGCTTTTGAAACTGTCCACCCTCCCTCCTCTTCCCCCACTCAGGAGAAGATTTATATGAAGGCTTTTTTTTGGTTGGCAAAGAACAGCTTCTCACAAAGTGCATGGCACAGTAAGGTAAGCTGATGTGAGAGCAGCACGTGAGGCCCCACTCACCCTGGGTGGAACCTAGTGGGTCTCTGGGCCAGGGGACTCTGTGGAGACCAGGACTAGGTGGAACTATGGGGCAGTTGCCTAAAGTGCAAAATTTGTTGGGGGTTATAGGGGGTGGGGAGGGTGGAACTTAGTAATCAAGAAAAATCATATTTTCCAGCAATGTTTTAAAAAATCTAATTGGCAGAATATGGCTCATGGGGCAGCAGCCTGTTTCTGTAAATAAAGTTGTGGTGAGGAAATTTGGTCCTGTCTATTGGCCAAACAGAAAGATAAATTTTGTTCTAGAGGGAGGTCAATTTAATCCACAAATAAGCCAGAACAAATTTAATTTCTTTGGGGATCCTTGGAAAACTGAAAAGACCACACTTCCATGGCCACTTTGGATCAGAGCAGAAGCCTCAAGCCAGGGCAGAATCTGACTGCCTGCATTGACACCACCTGGCATGATGGGCAGGGACTTGTAAATAGGAAGCAGTTTCTGTGCCCACTTTATGAAATTCTCTGTAATATTCTGTTTCCCTTTTCTCCACTTCCTAGTTTTAATACTCTTGAATAACTTAAGTGATAGCAAAATATGTGTTGCTCAAAGATTTAGTAGAACTCCCTCATAAAACCACTGGGTCCAAGACCTTTTTTTCTCTTACTTTTTTTTCCTTGTAATTTTTTATTGACTGCTAGGTACTGTGTGTAGGATAGTAGAGACTGAGATAAACAGTAGATATGCCATGCCTGAACATGGGCACAACTCTGCCATTGCTCACCTCTCGGTGTAGGGAGTTGAGCAAATCTAGTCAAGATTTGGGCTGAGTTTGGGTTTTGTTGTTATTATGGTTCCCTTCAGTGCACTACTGGCTTCAAATTCCTCTGGTATTAACTGGTGCTTGGGGTGAGGGATGGCTTGCTGAAGGGTTTTTTTCAATGTTCCTCCTCTATCCTCAATTTTAGACCTTCACTGAGTACTCGCACCTGAGTGGGGTGGGTCTTCATACTCTTGCCTATTTTTTCAGCAGCAGACTATGCTTATTACCTGATGCTTGCTAGCTGGGTGGTAGGGGGAGGGGGTTTCTCTGTTGTCTTGATCCACCTTAGTCTTATGCAGGCCTTAAGATCCTGGTGTTGGAGACTGGGGCTTTCTCAGTGAACCTACTCTTTCTCCAGCATTAGTTTCCTCTAACAATCTGACCTCAGGATAGTTCCCTGATCCTCCCTTACAGAGGGCTTTTTCTTTTCACTTTTTCCAGCCACATGGGTTTCGCCTGTGCCCTGGGGGAAGGAGGGTTTGCCACCTCCCGACTCTAGCAGCTCAACAGAGTCCAGCTGGGGCTTGACAATTTCCTGCAGCAGCTGGGTGGAGATCCACTGGAGAAGAGCCCAGAAGTG
This sequence comes from Homo sapiens, assembly GCF_000001405.40. Taxonomy (NCBI): domain Eukaryota; kingdom Metazoa; phylum Chordata; class Mammalia; order Primates; family Hominidae; genus Homo; species Homo sapiens. The sequence goes on from NC_000009.12 coordinate 68,548,544, forward strand.
GGTGCAAACCCCCATCGTGTCTACAGCTCCTAGTGTTTCTGTACTCCCACATTAGCCCACATTTGGCATCTAACAATTAGTTAAAAACTTCAGCTGAATTATTCTTACGATCTTGTATGACATTTGTGTCTCTTATACCTGGGCCCTGTCATAGGAGAGCCAGGGCTTGTGTCCCGGCTTCCATTGGAGGCTCCTGTCTTTCCTTAGATTGAAGCTATTCACTTGCCCTGTAACCTCAGCTCCCTGATGGAGTCAAGAAATATTATGATTTTGTAGGTTGTCAGGCATTTTCTGGTTGTTAGATGAGAGCAATACTCTTTCAGGCTTTCTAACTCCTGGGCAGAAGGGGGGATATCCTTGGCATCATTTCTTTATGGTAAACTTCAATTAGTTTTTCAAATTCTCCTAAAGGTTTTAAGGTTATCTCTTCTCCTGAAGTCATTTTTTATAATTTACAATTTCCTAAAAAACATTCCACTTACATGCCTACAAATTCTCTTCACACACACACACACACATAACGTTCACTTATAATATAATATATGGTTATAATATTATATGCAGTATTCAATTATAATTTTAAAGTCTTATCTGATTTTCTAGGTATGTCACCTTTCCAATTCTTAACATTGCTATTTGTGTCTTTATTCCTTTTTGTTTTTTTGATGAGACTAACCATAGCTATTTCATTAGATTTTTCAAAACTACTTGTTCATGTATTGATCTAAGAGTCAGCATTTGGTTTTATAATCATTCAGGCTTTTTTTAAAGAAAGATTTTATTTTGTTTATAAATTTATATTTCATAAGTTTCTGAAGTTATCATCAATAATTCCTCTAGTCTACTTTGAATTTTTTGTCATTTTGGGATAGTGTCTTCAGTAAATCAGGCCTTTTTAAACGATTCTATTAGTTTTATGATTCACCAGTTTTTGCTTTAATCTTTAACAATTTCTTTAGTCTACTTTTAATGACTGTTTTGTCATCCTTTTTGCAGTATGCTTAATTTATCTCCAATCTTGTTTTCAAATAAATATAATTAGTGCCACCCATTTGTGTCACTTTGACCCAAATCACACACATTTTTATATGCCATGCTCTCATTGTCAGTCATTTCCAAATAATAAGTAATTTCACATAATATAAAAATGAGCAAAATATATAAGCATATAAGTGTTTTTAAAAGAAATAGGAAATAGCCCTTAAACAATTAAAATATGTTCAACCCCACTTATAATAAGGAAAGTACTAAAATACAATTTCTTGCCTATCAGATCAGCAAAAATCTCAGTTTGACAACACACTCTGTTGGCAAGGCTGCAGGGCAAAGATACTCATATATTGCAGGTGGGAATACAACAGCTAGCAAACTTACATTTGCATTTTTCTTTCTGACCCAGAAATCACACTTCTGGAAATATATTCCAAAGATACATTGGCAAAAATACAAAATTTTAAATGTGCAGATTTACTTATTGCAGCAGCATTGTTTGTAATTATATAAGACTGGAAACACTCAAATGGCCATGAATAAGGGCCCAGTTGAATAAACTAAGGTACATTCACGTGTCAGAATGCTATTCAGTTATAAAAAGGAATGAGTAACATCTCTATATTACTAGGGTATACTGATAAGATAACAAATCAAATAACAAAGTTTATAGTATAAAAAAGAGGGGATACAAATATGTATGAATATATGTCAATATTTTCAAAAAGAAACAATGAGATTATCAAAGAAAATTAATTTTTATAATGGTTACCTTTAGGAGGGAGGGAACAGGGTAGGAAGGATACAGTTGGAAGACAGATTTATCTGAATGTGTCTTTAAAATAGTTACAAAATTGGAACTATAAGCATATTTTACATAATTAAAAACCAAATTAAATCAAAGCAAAGTAATCCTTAAAATTTTTCTTTAAAAAAGGTAACAAATGAACCTAACTTCTTATCAGTTTGATTGCTTGCCATAAAAAAAGTATTCTAAGTAAATTTAAATTGCGGTATTTTCACTCAGTGGGAAAGACTCTAGTGTAAAACAATACAAAAACAAAATCTACAAATAAATCCTAATATGCATTCAGTAGTCTTATGGATGGTAAGAATATGGGGTATTGTAATCCTAGCATTGTGGGAGGCCAAAGCAGGCAGATCACTTGAGTCCAAGAGATCGAGACCAGCCTGGGCAACATGGCAAAACCCCATCTCTACAAAAAAATACAAAAATCAGCCAGGCATGGTGGCGTGCCTTAGTCCCAGGTACTCAGGGTGGGTACGCTGGGGATGGGCATGCTGAGGGAGGTCAAGTCTGCAATGAGCCATTATCATGCCACTGCACTCCAGCCTGGGCAGCAGAGTCCCCTTCCTTACAAACCCTTTAGGTAGACATAGGAGCTTCTGGAACTCTATTTATCTCTTTGCACTGTGTCCTGGAAGAGTCAGACTCAATATTGCAGCTCACTAATTTAATACTCATTTGCATCCATTTGGATATTCAGCCCGATTTTTAAAGTAGCAGTGATTGTATTTTCAATAATCCAGAAATCCGATTCTTTTTCTATTTTATGGCTGTGACAGTCATCCCAGTGAATGAAGGTTCTGATTATGGGAGCCATAATCCTCTAGAGTTTTGGGGTAGAAGCTGGCAGGTGTTCAGGTAGATGATGTTGATGTGAGGGGGTTTCTCTCCCCAGCATAAGTGGTCTGGGAACTTCTCACATCAGAAGCAGCTAATGGTTTCCTTTTCTTCCCACCGCTCCTCCTGCCACGCCTTGTTGTATATGTAGAATTACTCAACCCTGCTCTGCTTCTCTGTCCAGAGTCAGCCCTTCTGATAGGAAACTCCCCAGGTTCACTGTTTAAAGCAGTTACCGAGGCTTTAACCAGAAAGCAAACACCACTCTTGCCAAAAATGCAGCACGTGAGAGTGATAGGAAGATCATAACAGGCCAGGCAATTCATAATGTAATCTTTCAATTTTATTTTTTATTTTTCTTGAGACAAGGTCTTGCTCTGTCACTCAGGCTGGAGTGCAGTGGCATGGTCACAGCTTACTGCACCCTCAACTTCCCTGGGTTCAAGCAATCCTTCTGCCTCAGCCTCCCAAGTAGCTGGGACCACAGGCGCATACCACCATACCTAGCTAATTTTTTAATTGTGTGTGTGTGTGTGCGTGTGTGTATGTGTGTATGTGTGTGTGTGTTTATAGTAGAGACAGGGTTTCGCCATGTTGCCCAGGCTGGCCTTAAACTTCTGAGCTCAAGTGATCCTCCCACCTCAGCCTCCTAAAGTGCTGGGATTACAGGAATGAGCAACCACGCCTGGCCCATAATGCAATCTTTTAATTTATTGATCAGATAATTACTGACAAGGCCCCTCCCTGCACTGTACGAGTTAACTCTGAGCTTGAAATTTCTCTAGAACATTAGTGCACAAAACAGCCCTGACCTTTGCAGTAATCTCCTTCTGGTCATTTTCTGCTTTGATTTCTTTGTCAATCAATTCTTTGGTCTGTATTCCAGGAAATCTTCAGAATTTCTGATCTTCGACTGTAACTTTTCTTGTTTGGTATTTCAGTGGAATTTGAAGTCGGGGCGGGGGGAGTAGACTGATGTGCTCAGTCTGCCAATTCGATCCCCCATTTTTTTCTGAGTGTATAAGGATATGAGTGGGTATTGTTTACAAAATTAGGATCACGTTGTATACATAATTTTGTATTTTGCTTTTTTAGTATAACAACATGTGTTTTTTGAAAACAGTATTTTCAGTGATTATATTTTGAATGAGTCTTCGCTGTTTATCATACTGAAGTATAATTACTGATATTCTTTTATTTCTTCCACACTAAATAATAAGGTCCTTGAGAAGAGAGAAAATGTCAGCACTGTAGATCCTTAAGACGAATTGAAATTCCTGGCATGTAGTAGTTCCATAAGTCTTCATGATTCAATCTGATTTTTTTTTTTTTTTTCAGTTAAATAGGTGAGGACCAAGGCAGAGACTTAGAGAGGGGATGGATGGGAAAAAAAGGGAGTAAGTTTGACTTGGCAATAGGGGAGGATTAAATCTGCTCATTCCTGTCTTTTGATTTTATTCCCACTTTCCTTGTTTGCTGCTATTACAGAAGCAGAATCCTTAGTTGAATTGGAAAATATGGTTGTTGAGATTTTCCTCCCCCTTATTAGAGCCCTAGAGACAAGAACCTATCTTTGGAACACAATGTTTCTTTCAGCACATGTCACAATGTGTATAAAGTATTTCTGAGGGGATGTGTTTCTAAGTTAAAGGTATTCTAAGAAGTATAAAGATGGTGCTGATCTACCCAAGTTGCTATTTACTGCCTCAGAAAGATGAGTCATGCCCTGCTTATGTTGAGGGACTGAAGTAACGACTTCTCATAGCCAGGAGTATAATCAAGTCGTGAACATCCATAACAGTAACTATAAACTCTTATGGGATTGTGGCATTAGACGGTTAGAAACCTTTGTTTAAGTGTTTTGGGATGACTAGTTCACTGCACTTGAACAAGTGTTGGAAATCCAAATAAAAAGGCAAAACATTATCCTCACATAGATTTATCATCAAGCTCACATTTTTTTTTAATTTTACAAATATAGTTGAGTGTCTCAAAAACAGATGATTCCCATTTTCTAGCCCACAAAAGCTTAAAAATAAATCCTGGGTCTTATTTTTTTCTCTTTCTTTTTTTTTTTTTCAATGCATCTGTTTATTTAATGTGAGTCACTAATGCCTAGCCCAAGAAGAAGCTGAATAATTCATGACCAATATTTTTTTCTCTGAATGAGACTTAGACATAAATTATTGTACCTTCATATACATATATAATGTTCATTATCTTTTTAAAAATCAATAGGGGCCCACATTTTTTAGTTTTTGAAAAATGGGTAGAAGAAGGAAGGAGGGAGAAAATTGCTGCTGATCTATAGGAAAGAATAGCAGGGTATATCTTGGTTTAAACTGAACTATGTACAGTTTCTCGTGTTTTTCACTTTTCACATGGTCCAATATGAAAAATACACCTAAAACAATCATAATAATTATGTACCAAGTACCAACATGTACCAGGCAATTTTACTTTTGCTATCTTTAATTATCACAACAATATTGCAGTGTAGGTAAGTTCCCTTTAAGACTGAAGGATGCTGAGTCCTAAGAGTATCAGTGACCTCCTCGAGGTCATTTAGAGCCACTTTACAAACCCATCCCTACTGGCTCTATGTCCTACACTCTTCACCTTACATCACAATGTCTCTCTGCACAGCTGATTTTAACATTTGCAATTTTACGTAATACATTTACAATTGATGATAAAATTATTAATTGCTACTTCTAATAGATTTGCAAAATATTTTAGATTCACAGTATTTATCAAACACCTGTCATTTACAAGTGTATGAATCAGGATGGGCTAGGATTTGCTTTGTAGCAAACAACCTCATATCTCCATGGTTTTAAATGACAAAAATGTATTCCTTGTTCTCTCACAGAGTCCATCATAGGTCAGCTAAATCTTTGCTCTAAGTTGACCTTTTCTTCACTTTAGGATGCAGCTGAGGGAGTAGCTATTTTCCTAAACACAAATAGTCACAATAGCCAAGAGAACAGATGACACTGAAGGGTCTTGCATTGACAATTAAAATTTTGGCCCACAGGTTTCACACATCGCTTTGTTATAACTCATTAGCAATAACTGGTCACATGTCCCCAACCAACCACAGGGGACCAAGAAGTGTAAATCTACTGTAGGCCCAGAAGATTCAAATAGCTAGAAATATTTGGTGGGCACCATTAATTCTACCTCACCAGGAATGTAACTAAGTGCTGGAGGGAACACAAAGAATGAGTTATGCTCTTTGTCCTTTGAAAACTTACCGTGAGCCATGCAAACAAGCAACCACAATGCAAAGCAGGTAAGAGTGCAACTGTAGTAAAAGCACCATGTTCAAGGAAGACAGAGGAAAGAATGATTAATTTAAAATGGTGAGACTCCAGAATCCTTTGCAGAGAATACTACAGATGCATTCCTAAAGTTTAAAGGGTTTTAAAGCATCAAAAGGTATTTTAGGGAGAAAAGTACTTAAACTAAGGGAACTGCATGAAAGGGTCTGGTGAGTTCAAGGCAAAGATGAGTAGACTGATGGGACAGGACCAGCAGGTAAATGAGACTAGGAATGAAACGAGAGACTGAAAAGTCATCTGGGGACAGAGTATAAAAGTCTGAATGCCACACAAGGAAACAGTGCCCTTTATATTGAAATTGCTACATTTTATTAGAGCTAAATCAGAAATGTTCTTGTCTCAAATTGATTAATGTTTCCATCTTGACACATTTATGTTTTTTTAGAAGAATATATTCTCATGTTAAGTAGAGTAAAATAACAAGATTGTCAGAACAGAGTATCTGGTACATAACAGGTAATCAATAAATATGAATGAATGTATGGGTAGGAAGAAAGTCAAGGAAGGCATTATATATTAATCCTTTCATAATTTATCAAATTCTGAGTATGCACAACTGATTTTTTTAAATAAAGAAAGAGCATATATTACTGAAGAGAACTGGTTGGGTGATGCCTCAGTAAAATGTTATCTAATTCTACATGTTTAATTACTTCTCTTTCTTCCTTTCTTGAGCCTCAGGTATGTGAATGATTTTAACATTCCCTCTTAGGTTTGGTCCTCCCATTCTTTAAGCAAATTTGTTCTTCTCTGAAAATTTCCTAGGCTCTCTGTTTGTCTCTTTAAGCCTCAGAGCCTCAAACACTGGAGAGAACTTGCTGCATGCGAGCTTATTCTAATACTTAATATTTTCTGGGGCCTCAGGGTGAGGGTTGCCTCACAGTCCCTGTGTATAGAAGTTCTAATCTAGAGCATGCAATCTTGTGCACTAAGTAAAAGCAGCTATACTAAAAAATAAAAAAAAAAAATTAAAAACAAGCCAACAAAACCCCAAACCCCACCTAGAGTTGTTAAATACAGAACTTTTCAGCAGCCAAGTGACCCTGTCAGCCCTTAGCTAGAATTTCATGCCTCCCAGGAACAGGGTAATTGAAAGGAACAATGCTGATGGCTTGGGCTAGTCACAGCTGGAAGGTTGCTGCCTTTACACTAAGACTCTGTTCTGCCTCCTTCTGTGGAAAATGAAAGAGGACTTGTTAATGGAGCAAAACCTTGCAAAGCATGTGTGGTGCTGTGGGATTTGTGATGGAAGTACAAGTGGGAGAAGGAATGGACAAACAGCAGGGTGACCTGAGTCAACATAGCAGACACCATGGGCCCCCTTGCCATCTAGGCCAGGGCTTCTCACACATGGCCACATGGATCATTTGGGGAATCTCAAGAAAGTGCAGACTCTGATTCAGCAGGAAGGGGGTAGAACTGGAAATTCTGCAACTCTGACAAGCTTCCACGTGATGCTGATGCTCCCTAGACCACACTTTGAGTAGCAAGGAGTACAGGCAACAGCTTCCCCTTCCCAAGGAAGCTAACTCCTTCCTGTTATGAGAGCCTTAAGGTTCAGGTGTTCACCCTGCCCTATGCTCAGGCAGCATCACCCCTTCCCAGCCCCACAGAGTGAGGACTTTAATCAGCCTGAGCCAAGTGTGGTCATTCCACTCTTTTTGCCAGTTACTGTCTTGGACCTAGTTGTGTGACCAATCTTGGTGAACGAAACAAAAGGGAAGGTTGGTGGGAGCTTTTAGAAAGAGTTTCCTTGGTCTACTGGAGCCCCAGGTAGAGACTTACTGCTTCCTCTGTTTGGAAGTTACCTGGCTATCCTCAGAGCTGTTGTATTCATCTTACAAAATGTAAGGAGAGACCTTGCTGGTCCCTGGGTTCTTTCTGCTCACCTCTCCATTGGAGACTCACTATCTTCTTTCAGGCACCGCCTTCTCTAGTTGACCCTACACAATGGACTTCCTCAGGGGTCTACTTTGGCCCCTTTTTTCTTCTCATTCTGCATTCCCTAAATTAGACGTTTCAAACTATGCATAGCCACTCATTGATGGGTCATTAAATCAATGCGGAAGGTTGTCAGCGGCATTAGGAGAAAGAATAGCATATGATTGAACATCACATATGGCCAGATTAAGAATTGTTCAGGCTAACCTTGATTTATGGAGTGTGCACGTTTAATACAAAACACATTTTACATCGTAGATCCCCTTCAAAAAAGCTAGGGAGCCACAGGTACCTGTGACCTCATTTATTTGTATGACTCTCAAATCTCTATCTCTGCCTCTACTTCTATCTCTATCTGTATGTCTCCTATATCTATCTGTCAGTTCCAAGCTCATGTCTTCAACTATCTACTCAACATGTCCACTCAGAAAGCTCAGAGCAATTCAGAATCAAAGCCAGACTCACCATCATCCCCTTCAAGCCTGCCCCCATCCTCATGCCACTGCCCACTCCAAACCTCCTTCTCCTGTGTTTCTTGCATTAGGAAAGGACACTACCATCTACCCAAACTAATGAGACTGGAACCCTGGGAGTCATTCTTGGCCCTTCCCTCTCCTTCATATCCAACATTCTCTGTCTCCACATGCTGTTTATTTCACTCCCATTCACCTTTCCAAAAGGTAATTTTGAGATACCTTTTACCCCTCTCCACTACACGCTACCATCCTAATCTAAACCACTGTCATCCCACTTCTGGACAAGGACATTCGCTTCCTTAACTTGCCTCCCCATGTCATCTCTTCCTTCTTTCCAATTCTTTCTTCCCTCTGCAGACAGAGGACCTATTAGCCATGTCACTTCCCTATTTAAATATAAGGGGAAATTGCAAATCAATAACCTGTCATGGAACTGGACGTGGTGGCTCACGCCTGTAATCCCAGCACTTTGGGAGGCCTAGATGGGAGGATCGCTTGGGTCCAGGAGCTCAAGGCCAGCCTGGGTAATTGGCGAAACCCCAAAATTCAAAAATTAGCCAGGCATGGTGGCGCACCTAGTTTCAGCTTCTTGGGAGGCTGAGGTGGAAGGATCACTTGAGCCCAGGGGGCAGAGGTTACAGTGAGGTGAGATCGCGCCACTGCACTCCATCCCGGGCGATGGAGCCAGCTCCTGTCTCAAAAAATACATTTTAAAAAACCTGTCATGGAAGGCCCTTTGTAAAGATCCCTGACTGTCTCCCTTGCCTAGCCCTCACTGCTTCCTGTTTGGGGCTGCTCACAGCTTTTCTTACGTGCCACACTCTCTCATGGCTGTGACTTTGGAGGTGCTTCTCTTTCTAGGAAGTCTCTTCTCCCCTCATCTCTTCATGTATCCAACTCCCCCTTATTCACTGAAGTCTCAGAAGGCTGTTACCTCCTTAGGGAGGTCTTCCTTGGCTCCTGAATAAGATGAAGTCCTCCCAGAATAACACACAAAACAACTGTAAGTATTTATTTGTTCTACGGTCTTGATTCCATATGAAACTACAAGCCCCGTCGAGGCAAGCACTCTGTCTCCCCTCTTCACCTGGGTACTCACAGCTCCAAGCCCAGGATCTGGTACTCAGCAATGATGGCATAGTCATTATTTATTGAATAGACAGATGAAGGAAGCTGTGTCAAAGATACTTCTTAAATAATTATGGTGACCAATGCAATTTTATATCTTTAAAAGGATACCTGATTGTCTAAAAATGGACTGTTGCCATTTGAAACATTCTAGACCTATTTAGCAGTCCAAATGACTGTGAACTCCAGCTGAAGTTCACGTGTCGAGCAGAAGCATGTGTTCACTAGGGGTCTGATTTTACCACTCATCTGAGAGTAATGTCCTGGCAAATCCAATCTCTAAAGTGGTTCACCCTCAATCTGACTTCACTGTATCGCTGTTCATCAGAATACACATTTATAGATGTGACTTAGTGACACCTAGAATAGTGTGATCCATTCTCACACTTCTTTGTGTTATTTGTGTGTCTCTTCCACTCTTAGGCCAATGCCAAGTCTATAAACAGGCAGGAGATAACAAGGCTGCTGGTTTCTGATAATAGAGGCCTCACGTATTTTTCATATCCTTCAAATATTATTCCTCAATATGTCCCCAGGGCAAGATACTACAATAATCCCCTTGGCCTTGGCCTTGGCCTCTCTTTGAAGTTGAAAGTTAAAATGCATTTTCTCCAGTTGCTTTTAAGTAACATAGTTAAATATTACAGTGTGGTTGACCCCTGCCTCCCAACTGCTACCCTTTTGATGTGATTCTGGCTTGTGCTGACTGGCCTGCTGAGCACACAAGCATGGGTGAGCTGCGGAGGCAGGTACCAGGGAAAGGGACACGTTATACTTTAATAAAAAAGCAATTTCACTTTCCCGAAAGAGTTACCTTGGGACACGTGATGGAGGTTCATGTACTGCATCCTATAGAAATGACAAAGGCTAAACCTCAACCTGCATTCATCTTCTCTTCTACACCAACCAGTGCGGTAGACAATGGAAGTACAGACTCCTTCCTGCTGTAGCTGGTCCTCTTTCCTAGCTAGGCTGGGTAGGTGTCAGAAAGAGATGAAGTGTGGCCTCCCTGCCATGAGCTGAGACTCTGGAAGCATCTCTATCCCTTGTCACCTAGTGCTACTCAGCAGGAAGGGAGCATAGGCCATGTTGCTATTGTCCCATGCCAGAGACCAGACGCAGATGGAAAAGACACTCATCCCCTATGAGGCCATGGAGGGCCTCTGCTGGTGGAGCAAGTTCAAGCTGCATTCAAATAAAGTCCCTGGCAGTATTTCCCCTGCTGTCTTCATTTAGGCCTTTGGGTGCCAGAAAAGGCTGAGATGAGTTGCTGCGTCTTCTTGGCTTTGGGGGAATGACACTTGTTGAGGTTCATAGGAAAGCTCCGAGGAAGTCACTGTGCTCTTAATGACCACTCTGCTTCTAGGTACTGTTTGCTTCACCTCCATTTAATATACCTTGTAGACCCTCCCAGTCATTCTCCCTTGCTCTTCACTTTGCTTTTACTCTTTGACCCTCATTCCTTTCCTCCCTCTTTCCGGTTGAACATGTTTTGGTGAACTTGACAGCATTTGTATTTCTTTACTTATTTCATGTATAAGAGCAATGCTTTGTACATCAAACAAAGCAGCCTTGGCTTAGATTGGGTTCCTTGGAAACAGCCTCTGAGATAGAGAATTGCATGCAGAGTTGACTGGGGGTGCTTTAGGGAGCTGCACCAGTAAGGAAGTGAAGAAGGCAGAACTGGGTAAGGGGAGAAGCTGATCTACAAAGGGGCTGCCACCCAGAGGCCTTAACCAATCCTGCAGAGAGTTCTGGAGCTAGACGGTCCTCCAGAGGTGTACCAAATTGAAGCTAGGGGCCCAGCCTTTCCTTCCCTGCATCAGCCACCCATTGGCCACTGGCTCACCCTTGGGAAGGAATTTATTCTTGGACAAGGTAGTTGCCTTCCGTGGGGGGGAAGTTCTCAGTGAAAATGTGGAGCTCAGACTCAGGCCTTTGAGGAGGGGGAGCCCCCTGGCAGTGGCTGGTACTTTCAAAGTGGCACAATAAGGCTGGTTCTGAAAGTGTGAAGGAAAGCAGGAAACAGAAACCAGCTGTTGCTTCCAGGGAGAAAGTAAGTACCGGGGTCATGCTGGTGGGTCTGGCAACCACATACGAAGCTGTAAGTCCCTTCTCCCACAATCCTGCCACCCGATCTCTCTCTGGTGCCCCCTGTTGGCAGAATCTAACACGAAAGCCCCAGCGTTATGGAGCAGCAGGTAGGAGGGTAGACAGTCGCTTCACCACCAGCCTGTCTGCAATTCTGCATCCACGTGCCTGCATGGTAATAACTGGCAGGAGCTGCACATGAGCTGCCTTTTGAGAAAGGGTCACACGCCCTTGAGTTCACTAGGTCCCCACCCAGCTGCTGTCTTACTCATCAACCTTTCCAACCAGGCCCTTGTTTGTTACCCTTGCGGCGGGGGAGGGGGGCGAAAAAAAAAACTGCTTCCCTCAAAAGGATCCAAATCATTTTTTGAGAAGGGTTCCAGGAATCAGTATGAACACAGGAATTCATGCTCAAAACTTTCATCACAGCTAACATAACTTCATGATGTTTTTTCCTGCCAGAACTAACTGACTCTTCCTCCTGTCTTCTTGAGCAAGCCACAGGCACCCCACCCAGCCCCCTTGCTGAGGGAAGTTTGGGGGTTTGGCATTGTGTTGCACCACTCAGGGCTTGGTTTTTGACCTATCGCTCAGCCTCCCGCATTGTTTCCGCCCTCCTTCCCTTCCACTTTGGAGAGGCTGGGCTGCAGAGGCCAGGTCACTTTCCACAGCACACAGCTCAGCAAGCGCTGTCTCATGGAGTAAAAATTCCCTTGAGATAAACCAAAGCCCCAACTACAATTATTTTCTCTTTGTATGGATTTTTTTCTTGGAGTATGGCTGTAATCAGAGCTTGGCAAGAAAGTCATGTTCTTCTATTTTTTTAAGAAAGGCTACAAACATTTTAGCAAATTAATAGATAGCGCTGAAGCCAATAATAATTTTGTAAATTAAGATCCTGGGGCCAGGATCATGGAAATATGGATTATAGGTGTCTAATGTCTCCCAGAAGATGAACAGATTTCTTACATCAACAGCCCTAAAAGCATCTTTGCCTTGTCACTGTTGTCACTGCTGAATGTGTATTGTCACTCCCACCCACCTCTCCTCTGTTGGTCTTCTAGAACAAAATAAGTACAAGTGAGAGCCCAGATATAAAACACAGAGCTAAGATACCCAGCATACATTTTTGTCTGCCCCCACAAAGCGACCGTTAATCATAATGACTTACTGAGCACTTACTATGTGCCAGGCTACAGCTATATGTTATATCTGAACCTCTGAAGTTGTTTGCATTTTCAGATAGAAAACAGAGGTGAGGTTCAGGGCAGTTAGATGACACAGAACAAAGAAAGGACAAAAACAGATTCGGAAACCTCTCATTCATTATGATTATGTTAAGGAGAAAGTCTTACTCTGGTATTAATATATATTTTCATTTTATTTTGTTTCTTTGTTTTGTATTTATATTTTGGATTTGATATTTTTAACACCCCTACAACACTAGCCCTTCTCCACTGCCTCCCTTCCTCCCTTCCTCTTAACAAAAAGAGAGCCAAGCTATAATTTTTTTTTTTTTTTTTTTTTGAGACAGGTTCTCTTTCTGCAGCCCAGGCTGCAGGACAGTGGCAGGATCACAGCTCACCTCAGACTCAACCTCCTGGGCTCAAGTGATCCTCCTGCCTCAGCCTCCTGGGTAGCTGGGACTATAGGCATGTGCTACCACATCTGTCTACTTTTTAATTTTTTGTTGAGATGGGGTCTCACTAGGTTACCCAGGCTGATCTCAAACTCCTCAGCTCAAGCAATCCTCCTGCCTCAGCCTCCCAAAGTGTTGAGATTACCAGCTTGAGCCACCATGCCCAGCCTCGAGCTAGAATTTATATCATTGTTTTTCATTAGTTGTATCCATTTCATAGTTACCTCCTATTTATGACCAGTGATACTGATTTTCCTTTTACAGTAGAGACATGACATTCCATTTTAAAATAAACTTAAGTTAAAAAAACCAAGTCAGCTGGGCGCAGTGGCTAATGCCTGTAATCCCAGCACTTTGGGAAGCCAAGGTGGCTGGATCACTTGAGCTCAAGAGTTCGAGACCAGCCTGGGCAACATGGCAAAACCCCATCTCCACAAAAAAATACAAAAATTAGCCGGGTGTGGCGGCGCACAGCTGCCATCACAGCTACTTGGGAGGCGGAAGTGGGAGAATCACCTGAGCCCGGGAGGTCAAGGCTGCAGTGAGCTACGATTGCACCACTACCTTCCAGCCTGGAAGACAGAGTGAGACCCCGTCAAAAACAAAAAACAAACCAAACAAACAAAAACGGAGTCAAGTTCTAAAATAATAAATAAGTACCTAATAGCCAAAGTGGTACTTGACTGGGCAAATAATGTGAAAGTATGACCTTGCATAACGTTTCTGAACATCTCTGTGCCTCAGTTTCCCCAGGATAAGAATGGTACCTACCTCACAAGGTGGTTGTGAGGATTACCCATCTTGACCTATCCCGAAGGCATAAAGCAGTACCTAGGACACAGTCAGCACTACATGAGTGCTAACTGGTGTTGTTCTTATGCAAATGCATGAATTCAGTTCTTGTGTGCCTCTGGGAAAGACCAGCTGGTAAAAGCAAAGACAACCAGGGCATCAGACTTCTAAATGTAGATACATTGGTAGAGGCTATGCCTAGCTTCATACTGCTCTGTAAAACTGCAGAGTTTAAGGGGAAATTTTACTGTGATGTATAGTCATTAACATGCAGTCTTTCTTTTTTAGTAATCAATTGTGTTTGTTACTATAAGAAACTTAAAATCTTTGAAGTACTCTATTTCTAACAAGCTTCCCTGCCACCTCCTCCCCACGTGTCTACAGGAAATTGAGAACAGTACGCAAATTGCAGAGATTGCTTCAATAATTCATTTACTAGATACAAAGCTTAAATTTTAAAAGTCCTGGGACTTTTAGATCATGCATTTTACTCACAGGGATTATAATTATGATGAGATAAAACTTTGATGGTATCTTCTAAAACACACAAATTTCTGGAAATGCAATGTGGAATCAATGTGTCAAAGAAAAGCTTTAAAAGAGTTTGTGGAGCTTATTTTTGTGTTATCATGGGGTTTTCATAAGAATAAACTTTAAACAACCCAACATTCCAACCCAATTTTGGAAGGAGAAACTTGGTATGCGGTGTTGGTCATCAGAGACTGAAACGCAACTTCCCTGGGGTCTCAGGTGTGAGATATTTGGTGGACAAAGCATTACTAAGTCCCTGGTATACGAAGCAAATCAGCATTCTCCCTGATATTTAAGGTACAAAGGTACCAAAAGGGCATGGAAGAGAAAGTATACAAGCCTGCTAGGTCTGGATTGTTTATTTAGGGAACAATGGAAACAGTGGGATTGTTGAGGATTATGTAGTCTCCTGTCCGGCAGCAGCAGCATCAGCTGGGAATTTGTTTAAAAGGCAAATTCTCAGGTTCCACTGAATCTAGAGCCACTGAATCACAAACTGCGAGTTGGGCCAGGCACAGTGGGCTCATGCCTGTAATCCCAGCACGTTGGGAGGCCGAAGCGGGCACACCACCTGAGGTCGGGAGTTCAAGACCAGCCTGGCCAACATGGCAAAACCCCATCTCTACTAAAAATGCAAAAAATTAGCTGGGCATGGTGGCATGCACCTGTAGTCCCAGCTACTTGGGAGGCTGAGGCACAAGAATCGCTTGAACCCGGAAGGCAGAGGTTGCAGTGAGCCTAGATTGCACCACTGCACTCCAGCCTGGGCGAGAGACCAAGACTCCATCTAAAAAAAAAAAAAAAAAAAAAAAAAAAAAAAAAAACCCAAAAAAATGGTCTGGGAGTTGGTCCCAGCCATCTGTATGTTAGCAAGCCTTCCAGGGCATTCTGTAATGTTGTAGAACCACTAGTTTAGGGGAAAGACATAGCATCTGTCTAAAAGTAATTTTCATAAGGTGCCCGTAGACACAAGTAAATGTAGAATGATCATTAGCTCCTTTTTTCATCTTCCCTTTGCATCCTGAGGAACATAAACACAATAGCCTTCTAGGTCAAAGAAGGACAATTTTGCCCTACTGACTCCAAGTTCTCCTTTTTTTTTTGAAACAGAGTCTCACTCTGTCACCCAGGCTGGAGTGCAGTGGCGCAATCTTGGCTCACTGCAACTGCCGCCTCCTGGGTTCAAGCAATTCTCATGCCTCAGCCTCCTGAGTAGCTGGGATTACAGGCATGTGCCACCATGCCTGGCTAATGTTTTTTGTATTTTTAGTAGAGACGGGGTTTCACCATGTTGGCCAGGCTGGTCTTGAACTCTTGGCCTCCGGTAATCCACCTGCCTCGGCCTCCCAAAGTGCTGGGATTACAGGTGTGAGCCACTGTGACCGGCTGACTCCAAGTTCTTTAGGGCAACCAGGGCTTTTCTGGTGGCCAAGGCTTGACTCACAGAGAGCAAAGAATAAGAAACATTCTGATTCTTATTTTAGCAACTCAAGACATAGCAACCCAAGATGTGGAATCTGATGCAGATGGGTGCCCTCTGAAAAGATGAGTCATTCTATCATGGTCCATGACACATAACCTGGACAATTCAGAATGGGAAAGGGGTGCAGCTGGAACACAAGCGAGGAGAGAGAGAGGAGAGAGGGTAGTGGTAAGGGGGTCACTTGCTTCGGTGAGGCTATTTGTCAGGAAGCCAGGCTGGGTGCCTAATCAGTGTGGCCGTATTCTCTCTCTTCATGGCTCTGCAACCTGTTCATTGGATGAACCTGGCTTTGTTCCTTCCCACCTCTGGGTATTAATATATTAAGAAAACAAATTACAGCCCAATCCCACAAAGGCTAGGGAACCTGCCTTTCTTCTTCTTCATTGTGTCCCCAGAGCCTAGCAGATTGCCTGCTACGTAGTTGATAAATATTTGAAAAAAATCAGTGAGGCTGGAGGTAGAGTTTGTTCTCAAGGTGAGAGGTAGGGCAGGATTTCCTCCCTTAAGTAACCAGGCAGGAAAAGAACAGAGTGTCACTTGTTATAGGGTACCATGGTCAAACCAAGGAAATCAGGATTAATTTGAAAGTCCAAAAGGAAGTAGCACAGATGAAAACTGGATATAGTCAGAGGTCAGGACTTGGGCAGACCTGAACTTAAATGGGATCAAAGAAAGGAAATGAGGTAAGGATAGCCCTGCTGTCCACAAATTGCCCCATGCATAAGTAGATTAGGTTGGTGTAAAGCTATGTTAACTAATATTCAACAAATATTTATTCAGTCCCTATTATGTGACAGGTACTACTCTAAGAGGCACTCGCAATTCTGCAGTAAACGAAACAAACAAAAATCTCTACAGCCACGAAGTAGAGAGCACTGACCCCAAAAGGAATAATAATAATAGCCATTTGATGATTTAATAATCGTAATAAATAATTGCTTACCAGGTGCCAGGCATTGTCATCGTTATCATACATAGACCACCCAATCAGTTGATGTGGAAGTAAGTTCTATGCTTATGCTAACTTTCACTTTTCCAAAGGACTTTCTTCTTCAGACCATCACCTCTGGGTGCAGAAACGACAGGAGGAAGTAAAGTCTGAACTTACGACCTGGGATATTACATTTCAGTTTGGTTCTGGCCAGGCACCATGGCTCACACCTGTAATCCCAGCACTTTGGGAGGCTGAGGCAGGCAGATGACAAGGTCAGGAGTTCGAGACCAGGAGTTCTGGCCAATATGGTAAA
Source organism: Homo sapiens (assembly GCF_000001405.40). Classification (NCBI taxonomy): domain Eukaryota; kingdom Metazoa; phylum Chordata; class Mammalia; order Primates; family Hominidae; genus Homo; species Homo sapiens. The sequence goes on from NC_000009.12 coordinate 68,565,851, forward strand.
ACCCCATCTCTACTAAAAATACAATAATTAGCCGGGCGTGGTAGCAGGCACCTGTAGTCCCAGCTACTTGAGAGGCCGAGACAGGCGAATCGCTTGAACCCGGGGGGCGGAGCTTGCAGTGAGCCGAGATCACGCCACTGCACTCTAGCCTGGGCAACAGAGCGAGACTCCGTCTCAAAAAAAAAAAAAAATTGGTTCTAACAAGTAGGCAAGTCGCCTCATGACTTATATTACTGGTTACTGAAAGATTGAGTAACAAGATTGCAGTTAATGAAATAATATGAGGCTTTTGATGGGTGTTTATATGAATAGTAGGTAAAGAAAATGGTTTTAAGAGAATGAGCATCAAAAGTCTTTCTCTAAAATCCTTTGTGGCATGTTGTCAGAGGAACATTAATAATGAACTATTCTAGACATCCTCTCGACAATGCTTTCACAAAAACATAATATCACTCAACTGACATGGGTTTAGTTAAAAATTCCAGCCAGATGATGATTATTAAAAAAGAAAATCCTTACCAGTTAGACATGCATGTAGACCCTTGAGTGTGTTTTTAAAAAGATAGATACATGGAAACATTAGATATATAAAGATGTATATTCCAGCCAGAAGTGCCTGTAAGACAACAGTACTCCTAAACATAAAGTAAGTTATTTAGAAATTTTCAGATTTGACAAGGGGTTTTATTGTTTGCCTCATATACTTTATACACATAGAACTTGCTGTGTTAAAAAGCCCTAATTCACTAACTTCATTTGTGTATTATTCAATGCCTTTCCATGTATTAATATTTCTGGGGCTGTCCCTGGTGAATGATTGTGTATGGAAGAGAATAAATTATTTGGTTAAGACCCCAGCCTCGGGAGGCAAGTTGCCAATGCTTAATTACTGGCTCCGTCACTTACTGGCTGTCTGATATTGAGCAGGTTATTTAACTTCTCCATGCCTCATTTTCCCCATCTGTAAAAGGGGGTACTAATAATGTGTCATAGGGTGGTTAACAGGTTTGAATATGCTTATAAAATGCCTGGAAAAGTCTCTGGTACATCGTAAGTGCTGTGTGAGGTGCTGATGTTTTTCTGCTTCTGCAGGTGTGCCCTTGCTGTCCTTTGCCTCCTCAGCTGGGCTAACACTGCTGCTCTTCCCTTCTGAAGCTCACCATCTTCCATCCTCAGATCCCCTCTTTCACAGTGCTGCTGACATCTCTTCCACCCAACCTCACCTCCCATAATTCCCCACACCTCAGAAGAGCCAAGCTCTGCCATTGCACGTGGAGGTAGAAACTAGAGAGATAGCACCAAAAAATAACTTTCCTCCTTGACATAGGCCCACATCCATTTTAGGGTGGGTTCCTGAGCTGGCTCATGACATGGTCCTGGCATCTTCCCTGTAACCAGAGTCAGTTCTGCCCAACCACCCACTCCAGGCCTCCCCACGCCTCAGACCCTAACTCCAGGAAAAAGGACCATGTTGTCCCCTCACCCTAGGCTAAGGCCCACCACAGTTCATTTCTTGCCTTTGGATTGACCTCTTCCTAGGATGGCTGGGAATAAGAGCTTCCCTTCCCTTAAGGACAAGCCCCACTCCACCCACAGGGCTGTGGGACAGATCTGAGGCTCAACAAGATGATCCCATTAGAGTCCAATTTAGGGATTGCTGGGAAGTGCAGTCATCACTGCCAGTGGGGTCCCACCAAACACACTGTGCTCAATTCAGATCCTACTCAGCCAGCTTCTCTTTGTCAAGGTTTTCACAAATCCTGGGGTCGAGTCTCACCCAGGGTCACCTTGAGCCAGTGGAGTCTGGGATTCTGAGAGGCCCAGGTGGTGATCTAGGGTTCAGTTTCCTGCTCTGTCAAGGACTATTTTAGCTATGTTACACTTTAAGAAGAATTTGTGGGTCCCTCTGGGAACTTAACTCTATTTATAACATTGTTTCTATGGGAAAGAGTGTTCCAAGTGACAATCAATTTAAAACGGAATGCTTAGTACACAGCCTTTTCATCGCTGGGGGACTGCTGGTAATTTTTTCTTCACATGTAGAGATTATATTGAAGTTTCAAAACAAATCTAGTATAAACAAGTAGAGCAAAGAAAAAGCAGGTGTTGCTTCTTGTATTTTTTAGGAGACATTTTAAAAGTTGAAGTTTTTTAAGAAAAAAAGTTTATTTCACAGGGTAACATTTATTGAGCATTTACTGTTTACCAGCTACTAAATTAAAGACAGAGTCTGTGTAATCTCATTTAATCCTCACAGCAAAGCTCTATGGAGGTGTGATAAAGAATCACCGGCATTTTTGATGTTTAGCCAATGAAAGCTTTCAAACTCCACCAAACCCTCCCACTTCTGCCCCACATCTGGGCAAGCTGATGAAAGAGCACAGGTGCGCCCTCCTGTGGTGCTGGTGGGACATCCCATCCATGTAAACCCAGCTGCAAGAGCGAAGCTTCGCCCAGCCCCACTCTCCCACCTCCACAAAACCCCAAGGCCAGCCTCCGTTTCCCACTCCCTTAAACCATTCTTGGACCTCTTGGAAGCTCACTTTACTTCCCCCCGAAAGCCTTACTGTGTGAAATATAAAGCTTTTCACACCTTGTGTGTGTGTGTGTGTGTGTGTGTGTGTGTGTGTGTGTGATCATTAGTCCCAACATCCAAGCCAAATCTTCGGTGAGGGGTCCATCTTCTCTCCATGAGGTGACTATAGTAGGTGAGTATAGTAGTCTCTGTTTTACAGATGAGGAAACTGAGGCTCAGAGAGATTAAGTTGCTTGTCAACTAGATAACAGTATCATCTTAACCACTCTGCTCTTTCTTTACTTCAGCTCAGATGCGTCTTGCCTTTTGAAAATCAGTGAAGGAACTTACATTGAGGGATTTTACCTCTTGCTAATACTCAACACCTACTGATTACCTACCCTGAGCTAAGCTTTTTTCATGAATGAACTCATGTTATTCTTTTTTTTTTCTTTGAGACAGAGTCTTGCTCTTGTTTCCCAGGCTGGAGTGCAATGGCGCCATCTCGGCTCACTGCACCCTCTGCCTCCCAGTTCAAGCGATTCTCCGGCCTCAGCCTCCCAAGTAGCTGGGATGACAGGCATGCACCACCGTGCCCAGCTAATTTTATATTTTTAGTAGAGACGGGGTTTCACCATGTTGGTCAGGTTGGTCTCAAACTCCTGACCTCGGGTGATCTGCCCACCTCAGCCTCCCAAAGTGCTGGGATTACAGGCATGAGCCACCATGCCCAGTTAACTTATGTTATTCTTTTAATAACTCTATGAACTAAATACCATTGTCAGTCCCATTTTTATAGATGAGGAAACCAAGAAACAGCAAAGTTCAACAACTAATACAGGGTCACCCTGCTAATAAATAGCGGAACCGGGATTTAAACACAGACAGTCTGCTCAGAACATGTTCTCTTGGCCATAGGGCTATAATACTTCTTACATAGTCCACAAGTAAAGCTGATAATTCACCCAGTTTTTAAGGATTGTGGTTTGGCCACTGCTTAATTGGACAGCAGTTGTTTAAAGAAAGAAATCCTATATTAATGACACATTTACTGGTTTCATTATATCTTGTATAGTGTTCTTATGTTATTCATATGTAGTTTACTCAATACAGCAAATGTCTATAAAGAAAAGGCAATGCTTCAGTTTCTTTGATATCTTCTTCCCCACCCGACCCCCAATAACTAGGACATTGCTTTTTAGGCAATGGGAACCCAACAAATGTCATCTGAATGGCTTAAAATCAGTAGGTGTTGCAGAATGAAACCCCACAATTTCACCTTTGCCCTAGATACTACACTACACATCATTACAAATAGGCCAGGGCTCTCCAACAATTGCCATGGAAACTGTGTAGAATTCCTGTTCGCTGTCTCATGCCATCTGTTTGACTAAAGGTATAACAAGGAAAATAATAATCTGTAATTTCTCATAGCAAAGTTCCCCAAATTCACAAAGACAAGAGTATTTTTTTAACCATCTGCTTTCCCTTCAGGCTTTTCAGCAACTTCTGTGTAGCTAATACATAAAATTGTGTAACATTTATGAGGGCTGGTTCACCATATATGGTTTCTAGCTCTGAAAACTCAGTTATGTGGAAGCTAGAATTAAACAACATCAAAAACCAAAAACAAACAAAAAAAAACCATGATAACTCAAATGGAATCTGCATGATGAGTTACAGGACTGACAGTGGAAACAAAAGTTAAAAGTAGTCTCTTATTTCTGTCTGGGTACCAAAGGCAAAGCTTGCTGCTTTTCAGTTTGGCCCTGATTGTGTCTCTGTCAAATGCCTTGGGCAAATAGATTTAAAATTTGCCCACGAACAAAGTTAGCTTAATAATGGCTTCCATGCAGAGCTGTCAGAAGATAAAAGAGCTCTATAAAGGATTCTGAGGAATAAAACTTTATGGAACTTAGTGCCATATATGACAATTCCTTTGAGGAAATACATCAAAGGTAGAGATGAAGTGTTTGAGCTGGAAGGCACTTCATTCAGTTCAGTGGTTTTGAATCCGTGCTCCATGGAGCCCCTGGGTTTCCTCCAATTTCCCTCTGCAGCTGCCAGAGGTAAGAAGTTAGTAGAGTGAATGTCTGGAGTCACCAGCCCAACTTCCACTGAGCACCCTTGTGTGTATTTGATTTTCTTTTGAATATTCTCATAAAATTTATTTTAACAAAGGACTCTGTATTAGTCTCTTCTCATGTTGCTGATAAAGACATACCTGAGATTGGGTAATTTATAAAGAAAAAGAGGTTTAATGGACTCACAGTTCCATGTGGCTGGGGAGGCCTCACAGTCATGGTGGAAGGCGAAGAGGAGAAAAGTCACGTCTTACATGGTGGCAGGCAAGAGAGAGAATGAAAGCCAAGCGAAAGGGGAAACCTTTTATAAAATCATCAGATCTTGTGAGACTTATTCACTATCACAAGAACAGTATGAAGGAAACTGTCCCCATGATTCAGTTATCTCCCACCGGGTCCTTCCCACAACATGTGGGAATTAATGGGAGCTACAATTCAAGATGAGATTTGGGTGGGGACACAGAGCCAAACCGTATCAGACTTCGTGGCTTAACAATACTTTGATAAGATTCTGAGCTAATCCAACTCCCTCATTTTGTAGACGAAGAGATTCAGTGATTTGCTAAGGCCTCAGAGATACTCAGAGATGTGGCTGGGACTAGACAGGTGGTCTGGCTTCCCAATCTGCTATTCTCTCAGTGGTCTTTAGGCTGGAAATAAATTGCTACTGCACACCTGCAACTCAGGGACACAGTGCTGAACAATTTCTTCAAGAGACAGAATTCTGAACTTCTTCCCAGTCCTTGGAACATCATTCTCCTGTCTCTTAACTTCTTGCTTCTCTGATTATATTTTTATCTAGCCAATTGGATTTTCTGCCTAGCATGACTTTTCCAACAACAACCTGTTTGCTCCCCAGGTAGATAACTGATAAATGTTTATATCCTAAAAATCTCCAGTGCAATATGTCCTTGGAGGGAAAACACCCTCTGAGGCATATCAGTAAGGTACTGGATCTTGATGTCCCCAAGAAATGGTACTACGAAAGTTGCCCACTTCAAAGAAGATGTGATTTTTATTTATAGAGTGGAAAAATCATGAATGGGTCTCTTTGACAAAAGTTAAATAACGAGAATTATTGTATTATTAGTAATAACTTTTCATCAAGGTCCCCCGGAGAAAATAGTAATAATAGTAACAACAATAATAAAGGTGAAAAGTCCATGTTGCCTTTGTTAAATAGAAGCATCTCTGATCACAGCATTGGAACTGGAACTGGAAAGGACCATGCAGACCAGTTCTCCTTCAAAAGAATTCATAATTTCCAGTAGGAACCATTGTCATCATCCTCAATACTGCTACCATTTCTTGAGCACTTGCTATGGACCAGCCAACTGTGTTAAGTAAGCTCTTTACAAGCACTGTCATTTAATCTCTGTAACCATTCCAAGCGTTATTATTCTCCCCTTTCTACAGATATGAAAACTGAGGTTCAGAAAGTTTAAATCAGGGTCATGGCCTTGTACAACTACAGGGAACATTATTTACTTTGTTTTCTATGTAAATGGAACCTTCTGGAGCACAATGCAGCAGCCTTGGTTTAAGTGACTCCCAATTTCCCAGAACTGGTAAATGACAAATTCAGGAATCACCTCCAGGCCTGTCTGAAGCCAAAAGCCCCGTTCTGATCACTACACAAGCCCCTGCTTCAGAAATCCATATGTGTGCTCGCACTCTGGAGTCTTATATTGATGATGATGAGTTAAGAAGAAATTCAGTTGGCTGTTGTATTAGTCCGTTCTCATGCTGCTATAAAGACATACCTAAGACTGGATACTTAAAAAAAAAAAAGCGGTTTAATCAGCTAATAGGTTCTGCGGGCTGTACAGGCTTCTGCTTCTGCGGAAGCCTCAGGAAACTTACAATCATGTCAGAAGGTAAAGAGGAAGCAAGCACATCTTCACATGGCCAGCAGAAGAGAGAGAGAGAGAGAAGTGGGGGGGCCAGTGCTACACACTTTCAAACAACCAGATATGCTGAGAACTCTATCACAAGAGCAGCAGTGGGGAAGTCCGCCCCCATGATTCAATCACTTCCCTCCAGGCCCCTCCTCCAACACTGGGAATTACAATTTGACATGAGACTTGGGTGGGGACGCAAAGCCAAACCATGTTAGCTGTTAAGTGGTGAGCATGACTTGAACTCAAGACAAATGCCCAAGAAGACTTTATTCGAACTGGTTTTCTATTTGTTTAGACACCAAGTGTTAGCTTCATAAGGTATAATTTTTTTAAACTGTATTTTGAAATAATTTCAAACTTAGAGAAAATTCACACCAATAGTAAGGAGCTCCCAAATACCTGTTACCCAAATCCACCAATTATTAACATTTTGCTGCCTTTGCTTTCTCTCTCTCTTTCTCTCTTTCTGTGGTGTGTGTGTGTCTGTGTGTGCATGCATATGTGTGTGTGTGTGTGTGTGTGTGTGTGTGTTTGCGTATTTGGGAATTACATCCTGAATATATACATATATACACATACGGAATTTTTAGTGATCCTTGAGGTGTGCTCCCTATGAACCAGCATTGCCTTGGTACTTGTTAGAAATGCAGATTACTCAGTCCCACCTCAGATGCACTGAATCAGAAACTTTAGGGGGTGGCATCCAGCAATCTGTGTTTTAACAGTCCTCCAGGCGATTCTGAAGCTCACCTATTTGAGAACCATTGTCCTATTAAAGAATACTTCGGAGAAGATTGTTCTGAGCAATAGGACAATACTATTATTTTAATATTTAATATTTTACATTAATGCCATTTTCTCATAAAAGGAGAGAAGTTGGGAAAAGCTGGGAAGTGTACCTTAGTTTTTCTGGGGGGTTGAGCATGACATAAAAGAATCATTCTTAGATTTTTCACCATGCCTGAACTAATTCATATAAAGAGACTCTATAGGCTAAGCTAAGTTTTAGGACTTAGTGTTCTAATTAAAGATTTAAATATGACTTTCCAAATTATTGCCTGGAATGGATTCATTTCTGTGAGCCTAATCCCTTTGCAAGTGTCTAAAGCTTGCTCTCACATTCACACAAAAAACTTACAGAAATACAAATACAGTCATTATAGAGAAGCTTACTGATTATGTAAACAGTCATGTCCACCAAAATTGTTTAATATAATTTTCAGAGGGTGAGAGCCTGAATATATCCTTTCTAGAAAGCTGCTTAACAAGGTTGTCAAACATTGAGGTAACTGACAAAATCATCAACCACGTAAAATTTCATTAGTCTTTACAATTACAAAATCAAATTTCTCCCTTTAAATAAATGCTTTGGGGTTTTATAACATGCAAAGTGAAGACTCCCAGCTTCAAAGTGTGCCTGTGTGTATTCTCAAGTGTAGCCTGTGTCCCACAATAGTGGACATAGTTACCAATAATTATTTCTTTCTGTAACCTGAGTCAGTTGACAGCCATATAAAATGGGCTGATCATAACTGTGTCTAGAGGGAAGGGGATACATTTCTAAAAGAACACTGAACAATATTTCTCTGGGATTTTAAAGTCTGGGTAACTCTCTATGAAGTAGTGTCTTGGGGGAGATTTCTTCTTAGTTAACATGACAATTAAGTCAAATTACAATAAACAAATATTCAAAGTCTAGATGCTTCATTTATTTAAGTCAATTTTAAAAAATATAAGAAGAAGAGAAGCAACTGGGAGGAGGGCAGTCTCTTGAAATCTTTTGAAATGAAGCTAACTTGTATTTAGAATTGTGTGGGGAAGAGAGAAGGAGGTTTAGTATTCATTTCCTGGGGCTTATAAGCTGTGGAATAGTGACAGTATGTTTATTCTAAAACATCAAAGATCCCTGTCTCACAACATCTCAGACAACAAAGATGGGAAAACAAATGAACCAAGGACACATCCTAATATATTCTGCGATGTTTACTCCCCCTACAGGCAAATCAATCTTTTGAAAACTGTCTTTAATAATATCCTTGTAATTTTTACACTGTTTCTTTCTTCCAGCAGCCCTAGCCATTATTTATAAGTCTTCTAACTTCTGTCTCGTACTACTCTCTATCCCATGTAGCTCTCTCTCTTTAGCATTTATTTTTATATTTGTCAACTCCTTTCTCCTCTCTCCCAACTGTAAACGCCAAATCCAGCATTGGAAGGAATGCTCTACATCAAATCACATTTCTGATAAATGAACAGTGAAAATTTAACAATACGACTTTTATGACAATGTGATGGCAAGTGCCCTGAACTTGGGTGTCCAGAAACCTGAACTCGAGTTTGGGTTTGGCTACTAATTAGTTTGTAACCTTGGGTTCGTTGTCCTTGTCTATAAAATAACATGGTTGAAGGAAAATGAACTAGAAAATACCCTTGACCAACTCAACTTCTATATCTTTTCACATTATATTTAATATCTCAAGTGCTGCAAATCTAAGTTCTTTTTTTTTTCTTTTTTTTTTTGAGAAGGAGTTTCACTCTTGTTGCCCAGGCTGGAGTACATTGGCACAATCTCAGCTCACTGCAACCTCTGCCTCCCAGGTTCAAGCGATTCTCCTGCCTCAGCCTCCTGAGTAGCTGGGATTACAGGTGCAGGCCACTACACCTGGCTAATTTCTTTTTTTGGTTTTGGTTTTTTGTTTGTTTGTTTGTTTGTTTGTTTTTTGGCATTTTTAGTAGAGATGAGGTTTCACCATGTTGGCCAGGCTGGTCTCAAACTCCTGACCTCACATGATCCACCCACCTCAGCCTCCCAAGGTGCTGGGATTACAGGCATGAGCCACCGTGCCTGGCCTTGCAAATGTTAAGTTCTAAAAAATTAAATGAATAAGAGTTGAAAAGGAAATCAACATTGTTAAAGCAAAATATACCAGAAACAGTGTTGAGTTGATGTCCCTGGATCATCTTATGTGTATAATCTTTACAACAACTGTGCAAGATGATTGGTTTTACCTCCATTTGTATACATAGAATTTCACAGGGGGGTAAATAATTTCCCAAGATTGCATGGTTCAAAATGGCAAATCTGTCATTTGAATGACTTGGGTTTTCGATCAAAGAGTTTCGAGTCTATAGTTACAATTTACTCACTAATTGGACTTCCACAAATTGCCCTGGGTGAGTTTGTCTGTAAGTATATGTGTTTATACACATGTAATACTTAGTTTGGAAAGTAGGATCAAGTGTTTTTAGATAGTGAGGAAATTAACGCAGAAGACAAGTAACTTGGTTAAGTATTAATTTTCTGGTAGTAGAATCAAGAATGAAAGGATTTTTAATTTTTATGGGTTCATAGCAGGTGTATATGTTTATGGGGTATGAAATACTTGGACACCGGCATGCAATGCATACTCACATCATGGAAAATGAGATACTCATCCACTCAAGCGTTTATCCTCTGTGTTGCAAACAATCCAATGATTCTCTCTCAGTTATTTTAAAATGTACAATTAAACTATTTTGACTATAAAATACTAGGTATTATTCATTCTTTCACACTATTTTTTGTACCCGTTGTGCTATAAAATACTAGGTATTATTCATTCTCTCAAACTACTTTGTGTAACCATTAACCATTACCACCTCCTCCTGACCCCACACTACCAGGAAGGACAGGATTTTTCATAAGGCGATTTTGGAGTTTCAGAAGTCAGAGTTCACAGTAGGTATTGGAGAAGCTACACAGCCATAAACAGTCTTCTAAGGAAAATGGCAAAATGCATACTCTGAATTAAGCTTTAAAAAAATCAGATAGGGCCAGGCACAGTGGCTCGTGCCTGTAATCCTAGCGCTTTGGGAGGCCGAGGCAGGCAGATCACTTGAAGTAAGGAGTTCAAAACTACCCTGGCCAACATGGTGAAACCCCATCTGTACTAAAAATATTTTTTAAAAAATTAGCCAGGTGTGGTGGCAGGTGCCTGTAATCCCAGCTACTTGGGAGGCTGAGGCAGGAGAATTGCTTGAACCTGGGAGGCAGAGGTTGCAGTGAGCCAAGATCATGCCACTGCACTCCAGCCTGGGTGACAAAGCAAGACTCTGTCTCAAAAAAAAAAAAAAAAAAAAATCAGATAGTTATTTAAAAAGTTGCAAATGTTTGGTGTCATGTGAGATGCCTATTGAGGGATGTGCGGGTGGCATCCCTGCCTGAGATCCTCTTCTTTAAGAGCCATGCATATGTACTGGGATCATTTAAAGGAGAAAATCTTCTATTTTTTAAGAGTGTCAGAAGTGAAGATTTCACACCTGCCAACAGAAGGTGCCGTCAAAAAAAGACAGTGGAGATGGAGCTGCTCCTAATGGAAGACTGTCAGACAATGAAACTCACCTCCCATTTCCCGTAGACCTCTGTCTTTGCTAGACAATGGAGGTTGCCAGTTGGTCAATCAAGTAAGCAACCCCTTGCTACTAAGTCAACCAGTCAGTGTTCTATTCCTGCAGGCAAGAGACATCCTGGGTAAAATGCCCATAGCTAGTAACTCATAGGCATTCAATATCTGATTATTTAATTAATACTGCTTTTAGAAATTTAAAAATAATAACTGCGAATGCCAACAGCTTTCGGGCTCTGCAGCAAACCAGTGGAGGCATTTGGGACTTTCTTTTTCAACTGTTCTCATTGGGGCTGAGACTATCATCAAGAAGTACCAAATAAACATATTTTCAAAAATCGATGTTATTTTTAGATTCTTTGGATCCTTGTTTTTGGCATTAGCAGCAGGAAGAAACCTTGTGTTTTGAAACGTTTCTTTTCTAATTGTGCTGTTACACACACAGTTGGACAAAATGTCTGGTTTCCTTTGAGAGAGAACCATCAGCATAAACAAAGATGGTAAAACAGCTTCTTTCTTTTTTGTCATTATTCCTGTTCACTGAAGAGAAAGGATGGTCTACCTCAGAGGTTACACACTGGTGGCCTGTGGTTAGCATTTAGACTGGAGATGTATTTTGTTTGACCAGCACACTGTTAAAGCAAGCAAACAAACAAACAAATGCAATTTAAAAAAGGCAAACAAACCCTGATGTTGAATGCCTTTACAGGAGGTCTGATAGTCATCAGGCTTTTGCAATTTCTGTTTCTTGTATGACTCTTGTAGGTATTTTATTATGCAGCCCTGGGTCTGCGGAGAACAATGTATGCACAGCCAATTGTTTTTCTCTCATAAAGAAGAATACTGATTGAGTGGTGGTAGAGGGTGGTTAAGGGAGTCAGCAGAAACCTGCAGGTAATCTACCTAAAATCGTGACTCCTCCCCCACCGAGTTTCCACCTGCAACTATATTCTTTCTGTAGAAGACTTTGGCTAGACAGGGGTTGGAGTCCACTTTACAGGACAGGCTACTCCCAGGGAGGAGGAGCTGTCACAGGATGGGTCTGTTGTAAGGACATTAATTAGACCATGGTGCTAGGGGATGATGGACGGGGAGGAGCGAAGCTCTGAGCCCACTCCAAGGAAGTTTCTCTTTGGGTCCTTTGATCCTTTGGTTGGTGCAATGAGGTGAGTCTGCACAGGGCCTCTAAAGGGCTCGTTGCTGCAGGCTTCACCAAGCAGGCTTTGTTGGCAACAGGAAATATTCCCCAAGGTCAGAGGCGGTGACTTCATCCACATTTAGAAATCAGAAGGTGAGAATTGACTCAAATGCTTGCGGCTTTCCTACTCAGTTCAATATTTTGGAATATGTACAAAATTTCTTTCTAGAAAGTTCCTCAAACTTTTAGCACACAGAATGGCTCTAATTCGCTACTAATCCATCCTTTTTACCACAGATGTTTACACTCATTTTCTTAGGACCAGAGATTCCATCACATGTTTTTAATCCCCTGCCCCTGACCCCATAACACTCTCCCCAAACGCAGAGCAAGGCAAACCATAGGGCCTAATAAGTGGTTAATGGGTTGAGTTCATTTTCAGTTCCTTTTATTTCACACTTATAGGTTGGGCTATAAAAAGGTCAAACTTCCCTTGGTGATAGCATATTACTACTAGTGGTTGAAGCTCAGAAATAATAATAGTCTGGATTAACTGTACATTTTCAAACCATAGAAACCAGCTCAAGTTTGTGGTCAGGGCTTCTATTTATGCTTCCTTTAAAGAGTGTGACAAGGGTTAGATGAGTTCTGGTCTTAATCCTTTTAATTCAATGTGCACCTGTCCACTGCAAGGACACATGAAGCATACAGACCTTCTGGATTCAAATATGGCAGAAAGGAAATGGCCCGGGCTCCCTTCTGGAACATCACACACTGCAGCATCTCAGCCTTCCAGAGTGCCTTTATTCCATTCTCAACCCTGGGCCCATAGTTGAGAATCAGAATGTACTACTTTTTGTTTCCTTGTTTGTTTTTAAGACTTCAAAACACACAAGATTTTCATAACAATGTCTGTATACCAGGATATTATTTTAGGGTATAATTTCTGTAATAATGTTTGCCAATAGTTGATTGTCTAGACTGGATAAATGGAGTGATATGCGATCATCCCTTGTATTCACATATATTTCTACTACATTACCATCTATGTTGAAGGTCCTTTAACAGAGACATAAGAAAGAAAAGTATTGACTGGGCACGGTGGCTCATACCTGTAATCCCAGCAATTTGGGAGGCCGAGGCAGGTGGATTACCTGAGGTCAGGAGTTTGAGACCAGCCTGACCAACATGGTGAAACTCCATCTCTACTAAAAATACAAAAAAAAAAAATAGCGAAGCGTGGTGGTGGGTGCCTGTAATCCCAGCTACTAGGGAGGCTAACGCAGGAGAATCGCTTGAATCCAGGAGGTGGAGGTTGCGGTGAGCTGAGATTGCACCACTGTACTCTAGCCTGGGCGACAGAGTGAGACTCTATCTCAAAAAAAAAAAAGGATTATTTGAACATTATCACTTCATGTAGGCAAACTTACAAAATTTCTACCAAATAGTCCTACATATTTGAATTAAACACTCTGAATGAAGGTGATTCTGTTTTTAATGTTTACTCCTTCCCCTGGGCCAGTAGGTGATGAGTATCTCTCTGTTCATGAGTGACTGGGGACAGAGCTATCACGTTATTCTGAGTTTTTGAATTTTCATTTATATGTCCATGCCTTCTCTTCGTCATCATGCAGGAGATTTACTGACATAAAAATTATTTTGTAGACTCTTTATTACTGCTGCCGATGTGCCTGCTCCTCACAGAGATATCTAACATTGATCTCTTCTTCCTGCCTCTTCCATGATCACCTTCTCAAGCTGCCTGAGGACCTCCAGGGTCCTAGTTCCTCTTTGGTCACCTCCTTATTAGTGAGGCCTGGGGTTCTCTCGTCCACTTGCATGCTAGGTTCATGACCTTACTGATGACATTTTTCTCTCTCTCATATTACACTTGTAATGCACTGGGTATTCCATTTCTTTAGAAGTTCTGACTCTGGCAACAGACTCAGTCCTGCTGTCTCAGGCATGAGAGGGTCTATTGCCCTAACCCCAGTGTGATGGTTAGTTTTATGTGTCAACTTGACTAGGCTAAGGGATGCCCAGATAGCTGGTAAACATTATTTCTGGGTTTGTCTGTCATGGTGTTGTTTCTGGAAGAGATTAGCATTTGAATCATAAACTGAGTAGAGAAGACCTACCCTCATCAATGTGGGCAATACCATCTAATCTATCCAGGGCCCAAACAGAACAAAAAGGTGAGAGAAGGGAAAATTCACACTCTTGAAATGTGAAGGTATGATTTACTGAGGAAATGCTTCCTGGAGACAGGGACATTCATCTCCTGCCCTTGGACATCAGAGCTCCAGGTTCTTAAGCCTTCAGCCTCAGAGACTTCTATGAGCAGCCCCTCAGCTTCTCAGGTCTTTGGACTCAGGCCGAATTATACCGCTGGCTGTCCTGGGTCTCTCATTTGCAGATGGCATATCATGGACTTCTCAGCTTTCATAATCACATGAGCCACTTTCCATAACGAATATTTTCTTGCATCTCTTTATTTTGTAATTTTTTATTTTTTGAGACAGGATCCCACTCTGTCACCCAGGCTGGAGTGCAGTGGCACAATCTCAGCTCACAGCAACCTCTGCCTCCCAGGCTCAAGCGATTGTCCCATCTCAGCCTCTCAAGTAGCTGGGACCACAGTCATGCACCACCATCTGTGGCTAATTTTTTGTAAAGATAGGGTTTCTCCATGTTGCTCAGGATGGTTTTGAACTCCTGGTCTCAAGTGATCTGCCCACCTTGGCCTCCCAAAGTGCTGGGATTACAAGCATGAGCCACCACACCCGGCCCATATCTCTTTATATATATCCCGTTGGTTTTGTTTCTCTGGAGAATTCTGACTGATACACCCAGCGGCCTAAATAAGGAAAAATTAGCTTTCTAGGTGAGCAATGTTTCTTTACCAAAATGTAGTCAATAGAACATTGGGCAATTGGGATGTAAATACACATAATATAAAACAAAAAAGTAATGCCCTATGTGTTAAAATTAGATTTTTGGGGCCAGCCATGGTAGCTGCCTGTAATCCTAGCACTTTAGGAGGCCAAGGCAGGCGGATTATTTGAGGTCAGGAGTTTGATACTAGCCTGGCCAATATGGCAAAATCCTGTCTGTACTAAAAAATACAAAAATTAGCCGGGCATAGTGGCATGCACCTGAAATTCCAGCTACTCAGGAGGCTGAGGCATGAGAATCACTTGAGCCCAGGAGGTGGAGGTTGTGGTGAGCTGAGATCACACCACTGCACTCCAGCCTGGGTGACAGAGCAAGACTCTGTATCAGGAAAAAAAAAAAAAAAATCAGATTTTTCTATATAAAGGAAGTTTTGGGGGTCTTCATTCATGAATTCACTTTTTGATGAGAGCTTTGGGAGACACCATTGAAACCTTCCCAGATCCCACTCCCCCTTGGTTCTCTGTGCCCACACCCCAGCTTCTGTGGGCTCTGAAGCTAACTACTTGCAGCTTTGCCCTCTTTCAGAGATTTGACTGTGGCTACTGAAGCTACTTTGTCCATTTAGAGAGTTGAAGTGCCTGGGAGTTTATGACCCACCCTAGGGTCCCTGGTCTCTGCCACCAATGATGGACGGATGTTGTGGGAGGGGACATTCAAAATGCCAGCTAAGGCCGGGTACAGTGGCTCATGCCTGTATTCCCAGCATTTTGGGAGGTCAAGGCAGGTAAATCACATGAGGTCAGGAGTTCGAGACCAGCCTGGCCAACACGGTGAAACCCCGTCTCTACAAAAATACAAAAATTAGTTGGACATGATGGCGGGTGCCTATAATCCCAGCTACCCAGGAGGCTGAGGTGGGACAATTGCTTGAACCCGGGAGGTGGAGGTTGCAGTGAGCCGAGATCAGGCCACTGCACTCCAGCCTGGACAACAGAGCGAGACTGCATGTCAAAAAACAAATAAACAACAACAACAAAAAAAACCAGCTATGCCTCAGTGTGCCCCATGGGATCAGGCTGAGACTGGGACTTTCTCCTGGCATTGCTCAATTGCTTGGCTTCTTCCTCTACTCCACCCTGCCTCCCCACTCCCTTAGCAGTTTCTCCAGGAAGCACTTCCTTAATAAATCATATGCACCCACATTTTTGGTTAAGTGTCTGCTCCTAAGAAAACCCCATCTAAGACAAGCACCTTCTATGCACCAGGCACTGTGATTGTGTTCCAGTAGAAGAGGCCACTATGAACAAATTAACCAATATGATTAATGTATTTTAAAATGCTACTGGGCATCACGTTTCTCTAATGAAACATATGGTGTGTCAGCCAGGAGATGGCATACTCACTTTGGGTAATTCGAGAATAGTTTTGTAAAAATATTGTTTATAAAGGTATGGGCAGGATATAGGGAAATCACAAAGAGGAGTGCAACGCCCCAGCACTAGCACCAGCAGGGTACCAGAAACCCCTCCAGAGAGAAGTCAGCCTGACTGAAGTTACAGCCTTTGATCAAGAGATGGAACCAGAACAAGGTGACCTGGCAGGGGGTCCAGGGAGAAGAAGGGCAGAGTATGGGTCTGCGCTGGTTAACAAGCTTTTCAGCACATATGGTGTGTAATTGCCAAAAGTTACCTGAATATAGAAAATAATTTTTATAGACCACCTACTGACAACTCATGGAACACTGGTGTTTTGTAGGATTCCATTTAACACTACAGGAGAGCCCTGTCTGAAGATGATTTCCTTAAGGAACAAAACATCTCAATCTGAGAACTTTTTCTGTTACAAATATCCCCCATCCCACTGTCTCTGCCCAAGTAACAGCCTATTTCCATGCAACAAAGCCAGCACCACATTAAAATAGGACCACTCTTGATCTCCCTTGTGTATGGACTCTCAAAAAGTCAAACTCACAGAAGCGTAGAGTAGAATGGTGGTTGCCAGAGGTCAAGAATAGTTGAGAGGGGTACAAAGTTTCAGTTAGACTGGAGGAATAGGTTATGGAGATCTATTATACAGCATGGTGACTATAATTAATAACAATGCATTGCATACTTGAAAATGGCTAAGAGAATAGATTTTAAATATTCTCACCACAAAAAAATAGCTATGTGGGGGTGATGAATATGTTAAACCACTTATTTAATTATACCACAATATATACATACATTAAGACATCATGTTGTATACTGTAAAGGTATGCAATTTTTATTTGCCAAAAGTAAATAAATAGCTTATTAGGAAAAAAAACATGACCATTCTATCTAACTCCCACTGCCCTGTCCTGGATCACCCGCCGCGATCTCCAGGTGCCGCATTACCACTTCTCACCTTGACATTTGCACCCTTGGTTACAGACATACACAACCTTGACTCTGGTTGAGATTCTCCTCCACTTATGCTGTCCTGGGCAATATCCGCTTAGCATTCTGTTTATCCACACCTGCAGAACTTTTTTTCTGAAACCTCAGTCCTATGTAGCACACGGCCCTCCCCACCACCAGGGGACAGCGCTTCCAGCCCAGGGAGCAGAAACCAGGCCAAGGAGGCAAAGATGAAATCAGGCAGGGGACGGTGGCTCACGCCTGTAATCCCAGCACTTTGGGAGGCCTAGGCGGGCGGATCACATGAGGCCAGGAGTTTGAGACCAACCTGGCCAACATAGGAAACCTTGTCTCTACTAAAAATACAAAAATTAGCTGGGCGTGGTGGTGCACGCCTGTAATCCCAGCTACCCCGGAGGCACAGGCAGGAGAATCGTTTGAGCCCAGGAGGCGGAGGTGGTAGTGAGCCAAGATCGCACCACCGCACTCCAGCCTGGGCAACAAGAGTGAGACTCCGTCTCAAAAAAAAAGAAAAGAAAGGAAAGAAAGGAAAGAAAGAAAGAAGGAAAGAAAGAAAGAAAGAAAGAAAGAAAGAAAGAAAGAAAGAAAGAAAGAAAGAAAGAAAGAAAGAAGGAAGGAAGAAGGAAGAAAGAAAGAAAGAAAGAAAGAAAGAAAGAAAGAAAGAAAGAAAGAAAGAAAGAAAGAAAGAAAGAAAGAAACCAGGGCTGCCTCCAAAGCTCCCCGCTCACAGGATCAGCTGCCCGTCCTAGAGAAATTTCTTTTTAACACTTTCATTCTTTTAACTCTTTCCCACTCACTGGATAAGGATTACATAGGCACTAAAAGGCATGCGTGTATTTAGAAAAGACATTTCGTATTTTGCAAAGGGGAGAGCATTTCCAGTATTGACGGGGGTCTGTTTATTCTGTTGATAAATTAGAATTATAGCAAGCTTTGTTACCTCACTTCTGATCCCACAGCAGGTTAGAAGGAAGGAAGAGGTCAGGAGTGGTGTTAGAGACTGGCAGCAAGACAATGAGGGAAAAGGTGAAAATGGAAACAGAAATGAAAACCCAGAAAGCATTGCAGGCTGCAGGGAGTTCGCATGCAGGCTTCATAGTGGAAAAAAAAGTAGAACTGTGATCAGATCTCAGCAGCTTCTGAGCATTTACAGCTGTTTTTCATGGGGCCGGAGCCAATTTTTTAAAAGGAAAAATCTGAATCTCTGAGAAAATGGTTAATGTCGGTCATTGTACTCCAAGCAGGCAGCAAAGAATGCAATGCATTTTTAAAAGACATACAGCCCTAAAAGAATGAATGAGAATTGACTCGATTCTGCTTTTAGGGAATCTTTGAGGGAGAGGAGGTAATTCGTCTTTAGCATCTTTCACGCAGGCCCCGCTGGTCTTTGCCGGTCTACAAAGACCTCCTCCTGCCCTCCACAAGAGGGCGCCAGAATTCCTAGGACAGGACCCGGTCTGTGGTCAAGAGACCCGATGAAACTCGACATGACCACTAGAGGGGGGCAGTGAGGTCCTTAAACTGCATTCTGAGATTCCAATTTGTATTTGTTTATGTCATTTTAAAGATGCTTTCATCTAAGAGACATGCTTTGTCCTGTGTGCATGATGCCAGTGAAAAATGTGCTCTTCAAACCATGGGAGCACACTTCAGTTCAGCATTTCCATCGCATCAGGGCTGGTCTGACGTAAGCAGGTGACTTTGGCGGGAGGTGGGGGGATTGGGGGGCAGGGAGGGGGTGCCAGGTACTCTTTACCCAGCAGAAAAGGCATTTTGTTCTGCTCAGTCTATCCACAACAGTTTGCAGGAAACATTAAACCTATTAAAGTGTGCCTTGTTTCAAGAATGCATGTAGGTCACGAACAACTGCTAAAGATCGATCCTTGCCACTTCTTTTTGAGGGAATTGGAGTTAATACAGAATATCCAAAGATAACAGGAGGAATCAAGTCGGGGTTGATGTGCCCCCACCCCCCACCCCCAAGCAAATGAATCATCTCTCTTCCGAAGGAACCGTTCCATCCAATAGCACCACCTAAAGACCCTTTTGGAAGACTGCGGTATGCTCCACTGGAGTGCTCTGAAAATAGCCCTGTAGTGATTAACGTAAGGACAAGAATGATTCTGCTGGGATTTGTTTTTCAAGCACCCTGTTTTTGTGGCCAAGAACACATTCCTTGAATGGATACACTTCAGGTTGTTATATAGACAGTAGTGGGGGATTGGAGAAGGTTTAAGATGTACTTCAACATGGAATAATAAGCGATCATTTTTCAGGGGTCCCCAACCCTCGGGCTGCAGACCGGTATGGGTCCGTGGCCTTTTAGGAACAGAGCTACACACAGGAGATGAGTGGTGGGCGAGCGAGCGAAGCTTCATCTGTATTTACAGCCGCTCCCCATTGCTGGCATTGCCACCTGAGCTCCACCTCCTGTTATATCAGTAGTGATGTTAGATTCTCATAGAAGTGCAAACCCCATTGTGAACTGCGCATGCAAGGGATCTCGGTTGCGTGCTCTTTATGAGAATCTAACTAATGCCTGATGATCTGTCACTGTCTCCCGTCACCCACCCCCCCACCCCCGCCCCACCGCCGATGACACGGTCTAGTTGCAGGAAAACAAGCTCAGGGCTCCCACGAATTCTAAATTATGGTGAGTCGTATAATTATTTCATTATATTTTACAATGTAATAATAAGAGAAACAAAGTGTGCAATAAATGTAATGCACTTGAATCATTCCAAAACCATCCCCCACATCATCCCTGGAGAAATTGTCTTCTATGAAACCAGTCCCTGGTGCCAAAAATGTTGGGGACCACTCCTTTAAATGATGCTGAGGAGTACATTGACATAGATGGACAGTCGCAATATGTTGCTAAGTTTAAAAAAATAGGTTCTAAAACAGCATGACCCCATTTGTGTAATATATGTGTGTATACATACATTTTTAAAAGTCTGACAGATATATCCTAAAATGATTATTCCTGGATGGTACAATTATAAGTAATATTAAATATTTCTCATTTTTCCCTCCATTTGGTTTATCTGTATTTTCACATTTTATCTACCCAACCATGTATTACATGTGTAATTTTTTTTTAAGTTTGCCAACACATGCACTTTATATCTTTTTTTGGTATTAAAAAAGACCCAGTCTTGGAACTTTTTTACACTATTATCATACACTAAAAGAATTTTTACCATTCCACGTTAATAAGATAAACACAAATTCCTTCAATATATTATTCTCCCATTTTATATATGTATATACAGACTTATTAAATAAGCATTTATTAGCACTTTAAAGAGTTATTTTTAAGGAAGAGATAGAGTGATTCATCTTTTTGATTGCTCGCTTTCATCTAAGCCAAAATGATACATCTATAGAAACATTATGGGTGAGAATCAGAGTACACTCCTTTTGTTACTACATATATATAGTGTATATATAGTAACAAAACATATACTATATGTATGTATGTATACTATACTATGTACTATACATATACTGTATATTTACATATGTTTCTTAACCTTACTTTTACTAATAAAATTTCTTAAAGGGAAACCTTTGAAAGAATCATACTTGACTTCAATCATAACCTAAAGATGTTCTTTCAGGAAATTCTGGGATGATGTATGGGTTGTCGTGAAAATGATTCTGAAGCCAATTTTAGCAGCACTGAATCTCTTGTTTTTCTGTAATCAGTAAGAGGAATGCAGCGATTCTTGAGCTTCTCAGCCTGTTCTTTGTCTCACCTGTGACACTAAAATAGTCCATTTTTCTAAGTGCTCCAGCCTTCCCAAACTCAATTATTAACAGATTAAATTTCTATGAATGTTTAAAAACAGTTGAGGTAGATAAGAGTTGTGATTCTCTGCCATTTTCCAAATAATAAATGTATATTCACTGCTGCGTTAGTAAGAAACTATTCTGTATTCATAGGCCCTTCAAACTTTTAAGGAAATTTAGATTTATCTAAAGCTTAGGGTGTATAGTCAGAAAACTTTTTTTTTAATACTTTAAGTTCTGGGATACATGTGCAGAACGTGCAGGTTTGTTACATAGGTATATACATGTCATGGTGGTTTTCTGGACACATCAACCTGTCATCTACATTAGGTATTTCTCCTAATGCTATCCCTCCCCTAGCCCCCCACCGCCTGACAGGCCCCAGTGTGTGATGTTCCCTTCCCTGTGGGAAGGATGTGGCCATGTGTTCTGATTGTTCAGCTCCCATTTATGAGTGAGAACATGCAGTGTTTGGTTTTCTGTTCCTATGTTAGTTTCCTGAGAATGATGGTTTCCAGCTTCATCCATGTCCCTGCAAAGGACATGAACTCATCCTTTTTTATGGCTGCATAGTATTCCATGGTATATATGTGCCACATTTTCTTTATCCAGTCTATCATGAATGGGCATTTGGGTCGGTTTCAAGTCTTTGTTATTGTGAATAGTGCTGCAATAAACATACGTGTGCATGTGTCTTTATAATAGAATGATTCATACTCCTTTGGGTATGTACCCAGTAATGGGATTGCTGGGTCAAATGGTATTTCCAGTTCTAGATCCTTGAAGAATAGCCTCACTGTCTTCCACAATGGTTGAACTAATTTACACTCCCACCAACAGTGTAAAAGCATTCCTATTTCTCCACATCCTCTCCAGCATCTGTTGTTTCCTGACTTTTTAGTGATCACCATTATAACTGGTGTGAGATGGTATCTCATTGTGGTTTTGACTTGCATTTCTCTAATGACCAGTGATGATGAGCTTTTTTTCATATATTTGTTGGCCATATAAATGTCTTCTTTTGAGAAGTGTCTGTTCATATCCTTTGCCCACTTTTTGATGGGGTTGTTTGTTTGTTTTCTTGTAAATTTGTTTAAATTCTTTGTAGATTCTGGATATTAGCCCTTTGTCAGATGGATAGATTACAAAAATTTTCTTCCATTCTGTAGGTTGCCTGTTCACTCTGATGATAGATTTTTTTTTTTTTCTGTGCAAAAGCTCTTTAGTTTAATTAGATCCCATTTGTCAATTTTGGCTTTTGTTGCTATTGCTTTTGGTGTTTTAGTCATGAAGTCTTTGCTTATGCCTATGTCCTGAATGGTATTGCCTAGGTTTTCTTCTAGGGTTTTCATGGTTTTAGGTCTTACATTTAAGTCTTTAATCCATCTTGAGTTAATTTTTGTATGAGGTGTAAGGAAGTGGTCCAGTTTCAGTTTTCTGCATATGGGTAGCCAGTTTTCCCAACACCATGTATTGAATATGGAATCCTTTCCCCATTGCTTATTTTTGTCAGGTCTGTCAAAGATCAGATAGTTGTAGATGTGTGGCATTATTTCTGAGGCCTCTGTTCTGTTCCATTTGTCTATATCTCTGTTTTAGTACCAGTACCATGCTGTTTTGGTTACTGTAGCCTTGTAGTATAGTTTGAA
The DNA here is from genome assembly GCF_000001405.40 of Homo sapiens. NCBI lineage: Eukaryota > Metazoa > Chordata > Mammalia > Primates > Hominidae > Homo > Homo sapiens. The sequence goes on from NC_000009.12 coordinate 68,588,615, forward strand.
GTCAGGCAGCATGATACCTCCAGCTTTGTTCTTTTTGCTTAGAATTGTCTTGGCTATACGGGCTCTTTTTTGGTTCCATTTGAAATTTAAAGTAGTTTTTTCAAATTCTGTGAAGAAAGTCAATGGTAGCTTGATGGGGTTAGCATTGAATCTATAAATTACTTTGGGCAGTATGGCCATTTTCACTATATTGACGCTTCTTATCCATGAGCATGGAATGTTTTTCCATCTGTTTGTGTCCTCTCTTGTTTGCCTGAGCAGTGGTTTGTAGTTCTCCTTGAAGAGGTCCTTCACATCCCTAGTAAGTTGTATTCCTAGGTATTTTATTCTCTTTGTAGCAATTGTGAATGGGAGTTCACTCGTGATTTGGCTCTCTGTCTATTATTGGTGTATAGGAATGCTTGTAATTTTTGCACATAGATTTTGTATCCTGAGACTTTGCTGAAGTTGCTTATCAGCTTAAGGAGATTTTGGGCTGAGACAATGAGTTTTTCTAAATATACAGTCATGTCATCTGCAAACAGAGACAACTTGACTTCCTCTCTTTCTATCTGAATACCTTTATCTCTTTCTCTTGCCTGATTGCCTTGGCCAGAACTTTCAATACTATGTTGAATAGGAGTGAGAAAGGACAACCTTTTCTTGTGCCAGTTTTCAAAGGGAATGCTTCCAGCTTTTGCCCATTCAGTATGATATTGGCTGTGGGTTTGTCATAAATAGCTCTTATTATTTTGAGATACATTCCATCAATACCTAGTTTATTGAGAGTTTTTAACATGAAGGGGTGTTGAATTTTATCGAAGGCCTTTTCTGCATCTATTGAGATATTCATGTGGTTTTTGTCATTGGTTCTGTTTATGTGATGGATTACACTTATTGATTTGAGTATGTGGAACCAGCCTTGTATCCCAGGGATGAAGCTGACTTCATCATGGTAGATAAGCTTTTTGATGTGCTGCTGGATTCGGTTTGCCAGTATTTTATTGAAGATTTTCATATCGATGTTCATCAGGGAAATTGGCCTGAAATTTTCTTTGTATGTTGTGTCTTTGCCAGGTTTTGGTATCAGGATGACGTTGGCCTCATAAAATGAGTTATGGAGGATTCCCTCTTTTTCTATTGTTTAGAATAGTTTCAGAAGGAATGGTACCATTTCCTCTTTGTACCTCTGATAGAATTCGGCTGTGAATCCAGCTGGTCCTGGGGTTTTATTGGTTGGTAGGCTATTAATTACAGCCTCAATTTCAGAACTTGTTATTGATTTATTCAGGGATTTGACTTCTTCCTGGTTTAGTCTTACGAAGGTGTATGTGTCTAGGAATTTATCCATTTCTTCTAGATTTTCTAGTTTATTTGCACAGAGGTGTTTATAGTATTCTCTGATGGTAGTTTGTATTTCTGTGGGAACAGTGGTGATATCCCCTTTATCATTTTTTATTGTGTCTATTTGATTCTTCTCTCTTTTCTTCTTCATTAGTCTGGCTAGTAGTCTATTTTGTTAATCTTTGCAAAAAATCAGCTCCTGGATTCATTAATTTTTTGCAGGGTTTTTCATGTCTCTATCTCCTTCAGTTCTGCTCTGATCTTAGTTATTTCTTGCCTTTTGCTAGCTTTGGAATTTGTTTGCTCTTGCTTCTCTAGTTCTTTTAATTGTGATATTAGGGTGTCAATTTTATATCTTTCCTGCTTTCTCCAGTGGGCACTTAGTGCTATAAATTTCCCTCTAAACACTGCTTTAGCTGTGTCCCAGAGATTCTGGTATGTTGTGTCTTTGTTCTTATTGGTTTCAAAGAACTTATTTATTTCTGCCTTCATTTCGCTATTTACCCAGTAGTCATTCAGGAGCAGGTTGTTCAGCTTTCATGTAGTTTTGCAGTTTTGAGTGAGTTTCTTAATCCTGAATTCTGATTTGATTGCACGGTGGTCTGAGAGACTGTTACGATTTCCATTCTTTTGCATTTGTTGAGGAGTATTTTACTTCCAATTATGTGGTCAATTTTAGAATAAGCGTGATGTGCTGAGAAGAATGTATATTCTGTTGATTTGGGGTGGAGAGTTCTGTAGATGTCTGTAGATGTCTATTAGTCCTGCTTGGTCCAGAGCTGAGTTCAAGTCCTGAATACCCTTGTTAATTTTCTGTCTTTTTGATTTGTCTAATATTGACAGTGGGGTGTTAAAGTCTCCCACAATTATTGTGTGGGAGTCTAAGTCTCTTTTTAAGACTCTAAGGACTTGCTTTATGAATCTGGGTCCTCCTGTATTGGGTGCATATATATTTAGGATAGTTAGCTCTTTTTGTTGCATTGATCCCTTTACCATTAAATAATGCTCTTCTTTGTCTCTTTTGATCTTTGTTCGTTTAAAGTCTGTTTTATCAGAGACCAGGATTGCAACCCCACTCTTTTTTTGCTTTCCATTTCCTTGGTAAATATTCCTCCATCCCTTTATTTTGAGCCTATGTGTGTCTTTGCACATGAGATGGGTCTCCTGAATACAGCACCCCAATGGGTCTTGACTCTTTATCCAGTTTGCCAGTCTGTGTCTTCTAATTGGGGCATTTAGCTCATTTACATTTAAGGTTAATATTGTTATGTGTGAATTTGATCCTGTCATTATGATGCTAGCTGGGTTTTTTGCCCATTGTTTGATGCAGTTTCTTCATAGTGTCGATGGTCTTTACAATTTAGTATGTTTTTGCAGTGGCTGGTACCGGTTTTTCCTTTCCATATTTAGTGCTTCCTTCAGGAGCTCTGGTAAGGCAGGCCTGGTGGTGACAAAATCTCTCAGCATTTGCTTATCTGTAAAGGAATTTATTTCTCCTTCACTTATGAAGCTCAGTTTGGCTGGATATAAAATTCTGGATTGAAAACTCTTTTCTTTAAGAATGTTGAATATTGGCCCCCACTCTCTCCTGGCTTGTAGGGTTTCTGCAGAAAGGTCCACTGTTAGTCTGATAGGCTTCCCTTTCTGGGTAACCTGACATTTCTCTCTGGCTGCCCTTAACATTTTTTCCTTCATTTCGACCTTGGTGAATCTGACAATTATGTGTCTTGGGGTTGCTCTTCTCGAGGAGTATCTTTGTGGTGTTCTCTGTATTTCCTGAATTTGAATGTTGGCCTGTCTTGCTAGGTTGGGGACATTCTCCTGGATAATATCCTGAAGAATGTTTCCCAACTTGGTTCCATTCTCCCTGTCACTTTCAGGTACACCAATCGAACATAGTTTTGGTCTTTTCACATAGTCCCATATTTCTTAGAGGCTTTGTTTGTTCCTTTTCATTATTTTTTCTCTAATCTTGTCTTCACGCTTTATTTCATTAAGTTGGTCTTCCATCTCTGATGTCCTTTCTTCTGCTTGATCGATTTGACTATTGTGCTTCACAAAGTTCTTGTGCCGTTTTTCAGCTCCGTCAGATCATTTATGTTCTTCTGTAAACTGGTTATTCTAGTTAGCAATTCCTCTAAGCTTTTTTTCAAGGTTCTTAGCTTCCTTGCATTGGGTTAGAACATGCCCCTTTAGTTTGGAGCAGTTTGTTATTACCCACCTTCTGAAGCCTACTTCTGTCAATTCATCAAACTCATTCTCTGTCCAGTTTTGTTCCCTTGCTGGTGAGGAGTTGTGATCCTTTGGAGGAGAAGAGGCATTCTGGTTTTTGGAATTTTCAGCCTTTTTGCACTGGTTTTTCCTCATCTTTGTGGATTTATCTACCTTTTTTTTTTTATTATTATCCTTTAAGTTTTAGGGTACATGTGCACATTGTGCAGGTTAGTTACATATGTATACATGTGCCATGCTGGTGCGCTGCACCCACTAACTTGTCATCTAGCATTAGGTATATCTCCCAATGCTATCCCTCCCCACTCCCCAACCCCACCACAGTTCCCAGAGTGTGATATTCCCCTTCCTGTGTCCATGTGATCTCATTGTTCAATTCCCACCTATGAGTGAGAATATGCGGTGTTTGGTTTTTTGTTCTTGCAATAGTTTACTGAGAATGATGATTTCCAATTTCATCCATGTCCCTACAAAGGACAATGAACTCATCTTTTTTATGGCTGCATAGTATTCCATGGTGTATATGTGCCACATTTTCTTAATCCAGTCTATCATTGTTGGACATTTGGGTTGGTTCCAAGTCTTTGCTATTGTGAATAATGCCGCAATAAACATACGTGTGCATGTGTCTTTATAGCAGCATGATTTATAGTCCTTTGGGTATATACCCAGTAATGGGATGGCTGGGTCAAATGGTATTTCTAGTTCTAGATCCCTGAGGAATCGCCACACTGACTTCCACAATGGTTGAACTAGTTTACAGTCCCACCAACAGTGTAAAAGTGTTCCTATTTCTCCACATCCTCTCCAGCACCTGTTGTTTCCTGACTTTTTAATGATTGCCATTCTAACTGGTGTGAGATGGTATCTCATTGTGGTTTTGATTTGCATTTCTCTGATGGCCAGTGATGATGAGCATTTGAACAGGCATCCTACAAAATGGGAGAAAATTTTTGCAACCTACTCATCTGACAAGGGCTAATATCCAGAATCTACAATGAACTCAAACAAATTTACAAGAAAAAAACAAACAACCCCATCAAAAAGTGGGCGAAGGACATGAACAGACACTTCTCAAAAGAAGACGTTTATGCAGCCAAAAAACACATGGATTTATCTACCTTTGATCTTTGATGTTGGTGACCTTTGGATGGGTTTTTGTGTGGATGTCCTTTTTGTTGATGTTCATGCTATTCCTTTCTGTTTGTTAGTTTTCCTTCTAACAGTCAGGACCCTCTGCTGCAGGTCTGCTGGAGTTTGCTGGGGATCCACTCCAGACCGTGTTTGCCTGGTATCACCAACAGAGGCTGCAAAACAGCAAAGATTGCTGCCTGTTCCTTCCTCTGGATGCTTTGTCCCAGAGGGGCACCTGCCAGATGCCAGCCAGAGCTCTCCTGTATGAGGTGTCTGTCAATCCCTGCTGGGAGGTGTCTCCCAGCCAGGAGTCACAGGGGTCTGGGACCCACTTGAGGAGGCAGTCTGTCCCTTAGCAGAGCTTGAGCACTGTGCTGGGAGATCCACTGTTCTCTTCAGAGCCAGCAGGCAGGAACCTTTAAGTCTGCTGAAGCTGCGCCCACAGCCACCCCTTCCCCCAGGTGCTCTGTCCCAGGGAGATGGGAGTTTTATCTACAAGCCCCTGACGGGGCTACTGCCTTTCTTTCAGAGATGCCCTACCCATAGAGGAGGAATCTAGAGAGGCAGTGTGGCTACAGTGGCTTTGCCAAGCTGCAGTCAGCTCTGCCCAGTTTGAACTTCCTGGCAGCTTTGTTTACACTGTGAGGGGGAAACCACCTACTCAAGCCTCAGTAATGGCGGATGCCCCTCCCACCACCAAGCTTGAGCATCCCAGGTCAACTTCAGACTGCTGTGCTGGCAGCAAGAATTTCAAGCCATTGGATCTTAGCTTGCTGGGCTCCATGGCAGTGGGATCCACTAAGCTAGACCACTTGGCTCCCTGGCTTCAGCCCCATCTCCAGGGGAGTGAACAGTTCTGTCTCTCTGGTGTTCCAGGTGCCACTGGGGTATGAAAAAAAAAAAAAACTCCTGCAGCTAGCTCGGTGCCTGCCCAAAATGGCTGCCCAGTTTTGTGTTTGAAATCTAAGGCCCTGGTGATTTAGGCACCCGAGGGAATCTCCTGGTCTGTGGGTTGTGAAGACCGTGGGAAAAGCATAGTATCTGGGCCGGGATGCACCGTCCCTCATGGCACAGTCCCTCACAGCTTCTATTGGCTAGGGGAGGGAGTTCCCCAACCCCTTGCACTTCCCAGGTGAGGCGACGCCCCACCCTGCTTTGACTAGCCCTCCATGGGCTGCACCCACTGTCTAACCTGTCCCAATGAGATGAGCCGGGTACCTCAGTTGGGAATGCAGAAATCAGCTGCCTTCTGCGTTGAGCTCGCTGGGAGCTGTAGACCAGAGCTATTCCCATTCGGCCATCTTGCCAACCACTGCATGGGCTTTATATCTTTTGCATTTCAAGGGTTTGTTTAGGTAGAACCTTCTGATTTTTTTTTTTTTTTTTTTTTTTGAGACAGAGTTTCACTCTTGTCGCCCAGGCTGGAGTGCAACGGTGCGATCTCGGCTCACTGCAGCCCCTACCTCCAGGGTTCAAATGATTCTTTCCTGCCTCAGACTTCCGAGTAGCTGGGACTACAGGCGTGTGCCACCACGCCCAAGTAGTTTTTGTATTTTTAGTAGAGACAGGGTTTCACCATGTTGGTCAGGCTGGTCTCGAACTCCTGACCTCAGGTGATCTGCCTGCCTCAGCCTCCCAAAGTGCTGGGATTACAGGTGTGAGCCACTGCACCCGGCTGTCTTCTGATCTTTTTAAACAGGATGTTCTCATGATACGATTTCTATCCATCTGTTCTTACCCTAGATTCTCAAGGCTGAATAAAGAACTGGTCAGGTGGAATTGCTGCTTTCACGTAATCTTGAACTTCTCTGCTTTGCTTTTGGAATGAAATGCCGTGGCTCCAAACTGTCCCTGGTCAGGGTCCTCCCTCACAGCATTACTCCAACCATCTTCTCTGTCCCAGCTTATTCTATTTCTCAACTCCCAGGCTTAACCTGCCTAGACCTCTTCCTCATCCTTGATCATCCTCTGTGTGTGGGGGGTCCCAGGCTTTTGCTGAGTTTACCTCCACCACCTGGTGTGCCTGCTCTTTCTGGCCTCACCTGGTAACATCTCCATTCTTCCAGGCCACTTCAAATGCCCCTTCGTTTGGAGCCTTTCCTGAAGCCCAATAGGACATGAGCTCTGCAATGTTTGTAATGAAGGAGTAATGAAGCCAGATGTTGCCTCACGTGGTTCCCTGCTTTTCCTACAATGCAGTTTGAGTCTTTTTTAGAAACAGCGATCACCTCTGCAAACAACCAGCAACCCCACTGGTGCAGTGGGCATTTATAATGTTGAGTAACATAGTTTAGCCAAAAATACATACAATAAAGAAGAACTGGCCTCATACCAACATATTTCATGATGATTCAGAGATTATTAAGTGGTGCCAATTTCAAAAGCCTATCTGAGCACACAATTTCATTGCAGGGTTGTCCAATCTTTTGGCTTCGCTGGGCCACATCGGAAGAAGAAGAATTGTCTTGAGCCACCTGTAAAATACACAAACACTAATGATAGCTGATGAGCTAAAAAAAAAAAAAAAAAAAAAAAAATCGCAAAAAAATCTCATGTTTTAAGAAAGTTTACAAATTTGTATTGGGCCATATTCAAGCCATCCTGGGTCACATGTGGCCTGTGGGCTGTGGATTGGACAAGCTTGCTCTAGAGCCATAGACAAGGTTTGTTGGTGGTGTAGGACGACAAGAAAAGGTGACCTGGGCCCCATCACACGCAGGGCCAAGAGGAGCAGCTCCACTCTGCAGGCCCCACCCCCGCCACTCATGCAAATGAAGCTGTCCTCAGGCCTAGCAACTTGCCCTCTGCCCTCTTCAGCCTCAATACTATGCTGGCCTCTGTGCTGTCCTGGCCAATGGAGATGGGGACAAGGGGCTCCCCAGGGCAGCTGGAAGTCAGCTCCTGCTAGATCACTACTCCCTCCCACCCAGCTGATGGGGAGAATCTCTGGTGGAGCCATCCATTTTCTGGCTCTGTCTTACAGCCCAACCAGTGACATTGCCATCTTCTCCCATTTTCCAAGCTCCTCCCAGCCCCCTCCCCAGGCGTCCCCTCTGTCAGGTAGTGAGGGTCTCCTTGGGAGGCAAGCAACCAGTAAGGACAGTCAGGGCCACTTCTGGGTTGGAGGGAGGCAGACCCTGATCCAGAGGGAGTCCTGCTCATGGGTCCTCCAATGCTGCATGTGATTCCCCACTCTTTCCACAGTGCTCATGCTGTGACCCCCACCTGGAACCCCCCTACCTTAATTTCATCCCAACTCCTACCCATCCTCCAAGGCTGGCTGAGGTCTCACCTACCCTAGGGGCTTCTTGACCATTTCCCAGCCGCAGAGCATCTGTCTCCTCGTACTCTCGGCTCTGGCTTTCATTTATTTAGTCTAGAGCTAAAGCACATGGGCTATAGTCAGGCTGCCGGGACCCAGGCTGTGTGACCCTGGACAACTTACCCACAGTGTCCTCAGTTTTCGTATTTGTAAAATGGGAATACTCATTGTGCCTACCTTGTAGGGTTATTGTGAAAATTAAATGAACTGGGCCATAGGTCCAGCTACATACTAAGAACTTCATACATCTTATCTTTTCTCTGGATAGCCTGTATTTTTCAGGTCAGTTTATTGTTATTTAACTTTACATAGTTTACATATTGTCTTCTTAATGAGATTAGAGGTCCTCTGAGTGCTATAAGTAAGCTGTTGATGGTGCCTCTTTGTAGTCTTCACAGCACCTAGCCAGTAACCTACACACAGTAGGTGCTTAATACTTATTGTTTAAATTCAATATAGTGCTAGCAGTGTCATGTGGTCTGCAAAATAGATCATACCAAAATGTAAGTCATGGATCAGTATAACTCCCAAAGGCTTCTAGTTTCAGGTAGACTTTGCTGCAACACAAACCAGCCTAAAACATGGTGGTCTAAAAACAGCAATGACGATTTATTATTTCTCATGATTCTGTGGGTTGACTCGGGAGTTCTGTTCATTTGCAACATTTAGCTGGAGGGTCAGTGGGGCTGGAGGGCCCAAGATGACCTCACTCATGTCTAGCCCTTGGTTCTGGCTGGTGGCTGGGCTCCATGGTTCTTCTTCATGTGACTGCTCATGCTCCAATAGACTAGACTAGGCTTCTTAATAGCATGGTGGTGACTCAGGATTTTAAAAGTGTTACAATCAAAGGTATATTAGCATCCATGTCTAGGTTCTGGAACTTGCTGTGTCACTTTTGTCATACTCTATTGATTAAAGCAAGTCACAAAGCTGGCCCCAGTTCAAAGAGGTAGTGAAATAGATATCACCATTTGAAGGTAACACACCCTTGGTAAGAAGTTTGGTTAGCTTGTGAGATGACAATCTTCATAAACTTTCTATGTCATGCTTTACAGTTGAACAGTTGAACAAAGTTGCTCACAAGCATTTGCTATTTGAGCCTCATAACAACTCAAAATTCCTCTGAGGCAGGAAGGAGAGGTATACTATCTTTAAAATGTAGAGTAGAAGGCTAAATTTACACATGTTCCTCAGACTCATACAGTCAATTAATAGAATTGCACTCATGCAGCAATTTCCTTTTTTTGCTTTGAAATATTTCAGTCCTACAACAAGTATAGAAAAATAATACTCACACATGTATCTTCCACCTCGCTTAAGAAATAGGATGTTAGCAATTCACTGAAGCTTCCTGAACATCAGTCACCAATCACATAGCCTCCATTTCACTAACTGCTTTCTCTAGGATAATAGCCATCTTGGATTTGGTGTCTATCATGTCCATGCATAAAGTTACGCATTTTCCACATGTTTTGTTGTTGTTGAGTTGTTTTTTGTTTGTTTGTTTGTTTTTGTTTGTTTTTTGTTTGTTTTAAGACAGAGTCTTGCTCTATCACCCAGGCTGGAGTACAGTGGCAAAATATCGGCTTACTGCAGCCTCCACCTCCCAGGTTCAAGTGATTTTTGTGCCTCAGCCTCCTGAATAGCAGGGATTACAGATTTGCACCACCATGCTCGGCTAATTTTTGTATTTTTAGTAGAGACAAAGTTTCAGCTTGTTGGCTAGGCTGGTCTCGATCTCCTAACCTCAAGTGATCTGCCTGCCTTGGCATCCCAAAGTGCTAGGATTACAGGCATGAGCCACCGTGCCTGGCCTTCTTTCCACATATGTTTTTATCCGTCAGTTACAACTACCATATTTCATTGTTTCTAAGGCACATTTGTTTTTTCACATTTTCATCTCTCTGAAGTCAGGATGCTCTCATCATTGGTGACATCTTCCAAAAGCAGTCAGCCAGGTGGCCGCTGTATCACAGCCATCATGGCCGTACATTCTCTGGCATCACAGGGACAAGAAACAAACTTGCAGAATTGGTGTCAACATGTGGGAAAAGATTCTGGAGACAATGGCAGGGTACTCTTCTTACCCTGAGGAACCAAATGGCTATGAGGAGGGGGTAGGGGAAGAAGGGGTGGCAAATCAGAAATGTTTTAGCAAGATTCCAGAGCAGGAACAAAAAGTAGGTTAGCTGCACCTAACTGCAAAAATAGCTTGAGAGTACAATGCCAATGACTTTGTTCTTTTATAGATTCTTTTCAAAAATGCTGTATCACCAATACTCAATTTGCATGGAAGTTTTATTGTGCCAAAAAACACAGACACCAGGAAAGAATTCTAAGAAGTCAGATGTTAAATGTGGAAAAATTTATAGAATACCTTAATTGATTATGTTACTTATATTTTCCTCTTTTATGCATGTATAAGAGTAATATATGGTTTAAAAAAACTGTCAAATCAGTGTGGAATTGTAAGGGACAAGAAAACATTTTGTCAGAGTTTAATTCTCAGCATTTTTTCTGTCTTAATGGTGCACAAACTAATAGTCTATCTCATAAACTTTATTTTTATTTATTTATTTTTTTGGAGACAGAGTTTCACTCTTGTCACCCAGGCTGGAGTGCAACGGTGCCATCTTGGCTCACTGCAACCTCCACTTCCCTTGTTCAAGCGATCCTCCTGCCTCATCTTCCCAAGTAGCTGGGATTACAGGCACATGTCACTGCACCCAGCTATTTTTTGTATTTTTAGTAGAGACGGGGTTTTCCCGTGTAGGCCAGGCTGGTCTTGAAATCCTGACCTCAGGTGAGCCGCCTACGTTGGCCTCCCAAAGTGCTGGAATTACAGGTGTGAGCCAGCCCGCCCAGCTATCTTATAAGCTTTAGGTAAATACTGTTAAATTGTATCTATAATTCTGTAAACCACACTTGTTTGCCTGACATTATGTTTTTGAGGTTTTTCAATTTGCTAAATCTAGGCCTGCTTCATTCATCTTAACTACTGTATAACATCCCATTGTATAAATATACCATGTTTTATGTATCCTTTTTATCCATTCCCCCATTTATGGGCATTTAGATTGCTTCAATTTTTTTTAATTTCAAAGAACGTAGTTATGGGTATCTTGTACAGAGCTCCTTGTGAATAGAATTTCTGAATCACAAATAATACACATCTTTGACTTAATAGACATTCTCAAATCATTCTACAATGTGTCAAATTTGCAATCTGATTATTCCTGTATGAGAGGTCCTGATTTCAAGGGCCTCTTCGTTGAACTTCCATCCTCCTCTCTCCTCTTCATTGAACTTCCATCCTCCTCTCTAGTTCCCTCTAACTCACTCCTTTATATAGCCCAAGTGACCACTAAAATACACAGCAGATCAAATCACATCTTAGCTTTAAATCTTTCCATGGATTTCCACTGTGATTTCCAACAAGACCGCAATGACTCACTGGGCCCTGAATTTGCTCCAGAGCCTCAACTCTTGCTGTCACTACATCTGACCAGACCCACCCTCAACATTACAACCAATGCTTCAGAATCCTCTTAGCTCCTTTTCCATAAGAGTCCTTTCTCTCACCCTCTGTATACACCATTTTCTCTCCTTGGAATGCTCTTTCTATTAAAACCTCTCCTGTCCCACCTAAGCCCAAATTTCCCTAATTAACTCTATTCACCATACTATGTCTAAACGTAGTCACCTCTTTTCCCTGGGAGCCTTCTTTGGCTCCCACTCCCCCCACACCCACCATCATCACTGGAGTAAGTACCTTTCCCATATCCTCTGTAGCATATTTGACAGGCACTCCCCCATCACAGCATCATCACACAGTTCTAAAATCACCTCTTTGCTGGTTTTACTCCCCTACTAGACTTTGAAGTCCCCAAATTGAAAAGGAGGGGAACAGTGTCTATCTTGTTCACTGCTGTATTCTCACCCGATATGCAGTTTATACGGCACTCATAAATACTGTGTTTGTTGGATAAACAAGTACATGAAGCAAGTCAGCACTTGAATCTAGATCATTTGATCTGAATTCTCATTTCATCCAAGACAACTTCTCTTCCTAAAATAGAAATTACTACACAAGCCATCATGAGGAGGAAATGCCAGAGATAAAATTTGGAATTGGGGTGTCAAACTATAAAAATTCCTCTAGGTTTGACGGCAACTTCAAGCCTTATAAGTGGTCTCTTGGGTCTAGGCATGCCATTTATAGCATGAGGAGGGAGAGAAGGAAGGAGTCCACTGGGATGGTCCTGTTTGCAGCCACCTGTAATGCACAGCTTGGTAATGGAAAGCACACCTGGAGATGTTTGAGAAGAAATCAGCCATTCCCAACATAGGATAGAAACAAAATGGAAAAGGTTAAAGTTAACATGGAGAGATTAAAAATCATTTGGAATTATTTCATAAGGATGTCCTGTAGTTTTTTGACATATATGTATTTTAAGACAAGAAATGAATTTGCCAGGTCCTGACAGCTCTCTCTTACATCAAGAAAAATGAAAATATATTTTGTTTCTAAAATGCCTACATCAACTATGGGTCTTCAGCTGAATCATAGTATACTGGATTTAGGAAGCCAACAACTTCCTTCTGAGTTAAACATCAGAGACTGGCATCCCCTAAGTCAGTGGTTCCTAAACTCTAGCATACATCTGAATCACCAAGAGACTTACAAAAACACAAATTGCTGCCGCCACACACCTCTGAGAGTTTCTTATTCACTCGGTCTGGGTAAGGCAGGAAATATGCATTTCTAAAAAGTTCCTAGAATCATTAAAAAAAGATGAAGTATTAATACATGCTACAACATGGATGAACCTCCAAAACACTATGCTAAGTGAAAGAAGCCACATACATAAAGTCATAGATTGTGTGACTCAATTTATATGAAACACCTAGAACAGGCAAATCTGTAGAGATGAAAAGTAGATTCATGGTTTCCAGAGGCCAAGGTGAGGGGGAAATGGGGACTGACTACTTAATGTGTATAGGCTTTCCTTTTGGAGTAATGAAAACATTTTGCAACTAGATAGAGGTGATGGTTGCATAACACTGAGGATGTACTAAACATGAGTGGATTGTTCACTTTGATTGTATGTTATGTGAATTTTACCTCAACAACAAAAAGTTTCTAGGTAATGCTGATATGGTCCAGAGACCACACTTGGAGAAGCATTGACTTTAGTTACAAGCACAGAGAAGAGACGGAAGTAAGCCAACTTCCAAAATGGATGGAAGCCTCCACGTGTAATCCAGCAAGCCTGTCTACAGCTGAGAACTCAGAAAGGCTGAAATAGGCTGTTGCACTGGAAATCTTCACTCTCAATTTGGGCTCGGACCAATAGCTGGTAGCCACTTCCACATTCCAAATTGAAGTCCTGAACCACCCAAGCAAAGGACGGGGCTGAATCCAGTTGTACTCATCTCAGCTGACCAATCACCTCTGGCTTATAAAGAGGACTTTAAGGAATGAGGGAAAGTTGGCAAATGGACAGATAATTTCTTTGGATATAGGCGCTGGCATTCTGTGAGGCTGCCCTCATGCCTTGGGGAAGGGGTGAGAATTCTTCCCTTTTCACTTCACATGTGCCCATCTACCCATCTCTGGATACTGTTTGCAGGCCTAGGGCCATTAATCTTTTTAAAGAACTTGAGAAGGTGAAGACCATTTCATCCCCACTGCAACATGTAAAAAGAGAGATCACCTGGAGCCAGAACAACAAAGCTTTACTCTCAGTTCTGCCTCTCACTAATTCACTGGCTTGACCAATTATTTACTTTCTCTGAGCCTCAGTTTCCTCATCTGGAAAATGGGAATAAGAGTGACTTCTTCATAGGGCTTTTGTGAGAACTAAACAAGATAACCTTTGAAAGCACTATAATATGCTTTATGTATCATGGTTATTATTTGCCACAATTAGAATGTTGCTCTACCACTGTACCCACTGATCCAGTGTGCCTAAAAGGCTCCAAGGGATGCTCCTCCTCCTGAGAGGTGCAGCCCCCTATCTTTTTTCCTATAACTACTCATGAACGATGGTATCTACATGTGTCACAATGTAATATGGATCTGGGTATTATTGGAGGAAAACCTATTCTGCATAGAAGACAAGAAAAACAAATAGGAAGTATGGATAAGTAGGTTGACACCTGCAAGACAAGTTAGAGCACAAAGAAGAGGTAAATGCTGAACATAGAAAGGAGAGAATGGAATGACTGAGAGGAACCTATTGTAAATGACACAGTCAATATCCATGAGGCCTCAAATCAACCCAATTGATGATGGCCATTCTGGCCTTATATGTGGTCTGCCCAAGAAGCGCATATGAAGGCCATAGTGCTTCTCATCAGGCTGAAGGGTGAGCTACAGCTGCCTTCAGGAGTGCTTATTCCTGTGTTTCAGCAAAGGGACAAATGTGTGTGTTGCTGACTGTAGACATCTTTCATATGCCTCTCTCCCTTGCTTACATATCCACTCTGTACATACATACACAGGACATGGTGGGGAGGCTGATGCAGCAGAGAGAGAGAACAAATGAACATTGCTAGCACAGGGTGCAGACAGTGGGATCTTCCATCCACTGAGATCTTTCTCTAAGTGTATTAGCCTACTCCACATGTCTCCTTGCTTCTCACTATGTGTTTTAAATGGAATCAATAAACCAGCTCATTCAAGTGTTTTACTTTGTTCTGGGAGACTTTCTGTTCCCTGTCTTTAAGAGAGCTTGCCTGGTGTGTTTTGTGAGGCTGCCATTACATCAGGGTAGTTTCCCACATGGCACACTCCTCATGCCTTTGCACACATGGCCTGTGCCCTCTGCCTGGAATGCCCTTTGTTGGGCTCACACCATTTACTCTTCGAAACCACAATTGAATATCAGTTTTTCTGCAAAGCCTTCCCTCATCCTGTCCCAACTGTCACCCCACCGTAAATGTCTGCCCCTTAATATTTTGTCTCCATTGTAAGACTTATCACACTGGACCATACATGTGTGTCTTCTCATTTTTCCCTCCTTCTGTATGCCATAATCAGCTTGAGGGAAGGAACCAGGTACAACTCCTGATGCACAGTAGGTGCATGCAAGTATCTATGCCAAAAGTGTCTGCAAAAAGGACTGATGTATGACAACTGATGCTTATAGGACCTCCTACTGAGAGAGATGGTAAAATCATTTAGAGCCAAAATTTTTCAGTCTGCTTCTAGAAGTTAAGCCAGAAAATATGGATACATTTTATTTTCGGAAACTTTCCATGGCAATAAAACACCACTGCAAAGTTAGAAGACATATGACAAACAGGGACATTTTGAAAATTATATCACAAAAGGTTAATGTTCCTAATATGTAAAGAAGTACTAAAAATAGATAAGAAAAAACCAATAATCCTATAGAAAAGTAGCGGGCGGGGAGGGAGTAACAAGTAGACAGACCAGATAAGAATTGTCAGTGGTTTGTAAACTTATTACAAGATGTTCAACTTTACTCAGAATTAGGAAAATGCAAATTAAAACTCTTTGGGGATAATATTTTTTACCCACCAGATGAACAAGAATATTAATGTTTAGCAAAATGCTTTATGGCAAGGTTATGGGGAAACTGGCATTCTCATACATTGCTGGAGGAAATGCCAAACATTAGAAACATTACAGGAGGGATCTTGTAGCATCTTGTGCACACTCCTTCACCCTTTGACCTAGTAAACACACTTCTAGAAATCTATCCCAAAGTTACACTGCAAAAACACAAAGGCAAAAAAGGTGTATGTGGAAACTATTGTTCATTGCAGTTCTATTCATAATGGCAAAAGAATGGAAAGACCCAAATGCCCAAGTATAAAAAATTGTTTGATGAAGCTAGACAAATATACTCAATACAGTGCTATACAGTTGTGAAAAAGAATAACAAATCTCTCTGTGTAATCTATGGGATCATCTCCAAGATATATCCCTTATATCTGGAATCCCCTCAGAGCACCTTCTTTTGAAACAGGCAAGAATAATCAAATCTCTCATACAACAAAGTCCAAATAATACTTTCCCCTCAGGGAGTGGGGCAGAGTTCTCTATCCCTTAAGTGTGGGCTGCAGATGGTGACTTTCTTCCAAAGTGTACAATATGGAAAGAACAGAAAAAAGGGAACATTAGCATGGAAAGATCTGACAGAATCGTACCTCATCCATGTGACCAAGGTCAACATCAACAGTGATCAGTCATGTTGATAGTATGTGTCCCTGATAAGATGTGGTGAGAATGGCATTTTCCCTCTGTGGCCTTCCTCCCAAAACCCATATTCCCAATCTATCAGGAAAACATTTGATAAGCCCCAGTGGAGGGACATTATACAAAATACCCGACTAGTACTTCTCAAAACTGTGAAGGTCAGGCCGGGCACGGTGGCTCACGCCTGTAATCCCAGCACTTTGGGAGGCCGAGGCAGGCAGATCACCTGAGGTCAGGAGTTTGAGACCAGCCTGACCAACATGGAGAAACCCCATCTCTTCTAAAAATACAAAATTATCCGGGCAGGGTGGCGACCTGTAATCCCAGCTAC
Organism: Homo sapiens; assembly: GCF_000001405.40. Classification (NCBI taxonomy): domain Eukaryota; kingdom Metazoa; phylum Chordata; class Mammalia; order Primates; family Hominidae; genus Homo; species Homo sapiens. Next base: position 68,605,187 of record NC_000009.12, read on the forward strand.
TCGGGAGGCTGAGGCAGGAGAATCGCTTGAACCCGGGAGGCGGAGGTTGCGGTGAACTGAGATCATGCCATGGCCCTCCAGCCTGGGCAACAAGAGCAAAACTCCATCAGAACAAAAACAAAAACAAATGTCAAGGTCATCAAAACCAAAGAAAGTCTGGAAACTGTCACAGTTAGAGGAGCCTGAGGAGACAAGGATGACCAAATGTAATGTGGTATCATGGGTGGGATCTTGGAACAGAAACAGTGCATTAGGTAAACACTAAGGAGCCCTGAATACAGTAAGGACTTCAATTAGTAACAGTGTATAAATATTGGTTCATTAGTTGTGACAAATGTACCATACTAATAATGTAAGATATTAATAAAAGTGGAAACTTCATGAAGTGTGTATGGAAACTCTATCTGTTATCTTTGAAATGCTCTCTAAATTTAAAACTATCCTGAAACAAAAATTGGATTCTAAAAAGTGTCACTTTTCAAACTTGGCTATAGCTTTAAAACAAGCAAATACATACATAGAAAAAGGGAACAATTTAAATTCTATTAACAGTAAGCTTGTTAAACTATGGCATACTCATCTGACACACTGAAAAATAAAAATGAGGTAGGTACAATGTGAAAGGAGTTCCATAATATATTAAGGGAAAAAAAATCAAGGCACAGAACATTGTGCATAGTAAAATCCCTCTTGTATAAATAAATAATTTTTAAAAGATAAAATATAGATCTATTTTTGTATGCTGATATACACATGAAAGATTTTCCAGAAAGATACTAGAAAATATATTTATATTTTTATAAATATAATAAATATATGTTACTTCTGAGTTTAGAACTGGTGCTACAGGGTGGGGAGGGCTTTTAACACTTTCATCTAATGTTGAACTTTGTGTGCGTGTATTTTAATTTTTAAAAATCATCATCCTTTTGGATTACAACTAATCTAGCTTCAGGATTACATACAGCTAAAATTGAAGAGAGGATTTGAAAGGATCTGCATCTCCATGCTATACTTTTTGAGTGTTTCCAAGAAACCCAGCCTGATATTAACCTCTGTCACATTACTCCTTTTTTTTTTTTTTTTGAGACAGAGTCTCGCTCTGTCACCCAGGCTGGAGTGCAATGGTTCAATCTTGGCTCACTGCAGCCTCCGCCTCCCAGGTTCAAGAGAATCTCCTACCTCAGCTCCCCCGAGTAGCTGGGACTATAGGTGTGCACCACAATACCTGGCTAATTTTTGTATTCTTTTAGTAGAGATGAGGTTTCACCATGTTGGCCAGGCTGGTCTTGAACTCCTGACCTCAGGTGATCCACCTGCCTCAGCCTCCCAAAGTGCTGGGATTACAGGTGTGAGCCACCGTGCCCGGCCAACATTACCCATTTTTGATGATTAATTTATGTGTCAACTTGACTGGGCTAAGGGCTGCCAGGATAGCTAGCTGGTAAAATGTTATTTCTGCATGTGTCTGTGAGGGTGTTTCTGGAACAGATTAGCATTTGAATCAGCAAACTGAATAGAGAAGATTATCTTCACCACTGTGGTTGGGTATCATCTAGTCCATGGAGGGTCCAAATAGAACAAAAATGTGGGAAAAAAGCAAATTTGCTCTCTTCTTGAGCTGAGACATTTATATTCTCCCACCATTGGACATCAGTGTTCCTGGTTCTCTGGCCTCTGGACACAGACTGGGACTTACACCAACTGTACCCCGGTTCTCAGGCCTTTTGATTCAGACTGATTCAGACTAAAGTTACACCACCAGCTTTTTTGGTTGTCTAGCTTGCCGATGTCAAATCGTGGAAGTACTCAGCCTCCATAGTTATGTTGGCCAACTCTTACCATAAATACATATGTATACATATGTATTCTGTTATATGTATATATGATTCTGTTTCTCTGGAGAATCCTAATATACCATTAAAGCATTAACATTAATTATCAATTGGATGCCATCATCTTAGAAATCTAAGAGGAATCTTCTGAGAAGTTGGATATGAGAGATCTGCATACTGATGAGTGCATGCAAATGAGCAGTAGGGAGACTGGCACATACGGTGGATGAGCAAATGTTTCCAAGGGATAGGCTGGGTTGACCGGGGGACACACTAGATCATGAGTTATTTGATAAGGCAGAGGAGGCTACAGATGCAGGATGATGTGATTTGAAGGAGACAGACCACAAGGGAAGGGCCTAATATTTACCTTAATAGACTATTGAGCAGTTTTATCTAGCCCAGAGATTCTCAACTCCGGAGGTACATTAGAATCACCTGGGGAACCTTTTTAAGGCTATGTTCTTCAACAGCGGAATAGAGAAACAAATCGTGGCACATCCATATGGAGTAACACTCAGCAATAAAAATGAACTATGGACACGCTGTATCAACCAAACCGATGAATCTCAAATGCATTATGTTAAGTGAAAGAAGCCCGCACTGAAAAACTACATACTACATGATTTCATTCCCATGTCATTCTGCAAAAGACAAGACTATAGGAAAAGAAAACATATCAACAGCTGCCAAGAGCTTGGGGTGAAAGGACAGCTTGACTACAAAGGGGCATAAAAGAATTTGGGAGAGGGCGTGGACCTGTTCTATGTGGATTGTAATAGTTACATGACTGTACGCATATGGCAAAATTTACAAAACTTTACCCTAAATAAGATGAATTTTATTGCATGTAAATTATACTTTAATACAAAAGGCCTTCCCCCAAATATTAGAATTCATTTGGTCTTGGGTGGAGCCTAGAGATTATTTTTTAAAAGCTCCTCAGATGGAAAATATCTGCTTCGGTCTAAGATGGAGTATCAGGGAATGGATTTTCCGTCCCACCTGAGTCAATCAAAAAAAAAAAAAAAAAGAAAAAGAAAAAGAAAAGCAGAGAAAATATATGAAACAATGGGCTTTAAGACACTAACCATCAGGCAACCAAGGATGGTGAACCCTGCAATTTGGAGGGATGGAATACTGCTCTTTATCTTGATTATAGGAATTATTCCATGGGTGTATATACATGTTAAAACTTAGCAAATTGTACATTTTATATGTGTAGTTTATTGTACATCAATTATGCATCATTAAAGGCATTTTCTTTAAGTTCCCCAGGTGATTCCAAACATAATAGCCAGAGTTAAGAACCATCAGCCCCAACATATAACCTTACTTGGCCCTGGAATCCAACATCGTAAGATTCTAATCATTTGAACTCAATGTAATGTGATTGAAGCATATAAAATGTTAAAGTTTATTACAAGTCATACTTTACTTAAACAGAACTCATTTTAGGAACTAAGTTCACACTTGCAGGAATAGTAGTTTTTGACAATGATTCTTTTGATAGTGATTGACATCACTGCTAAAAACAAAAGACAGACACAGAGAGAGAGGCTGGGACCCTAACTGGAAAGATGTTTAAATGTTAGAACAAAACACATTAATACCAACTTCTAGGAAACTTAGAATATGCACAAAAAGCCTTAAAATTGTTCATAACATTTAACCCAGAATTTAAACTAAGGACATAAGAAAAGAGCACAAGTGTGCCACTTCAGCAATGCTATAATAGCAGGAACATGGGAATCTAAAACAACAGCAAAAAAGAAGTGGTTACATGAGTTATAGTATGTGAGTAAAAAGAATAGTACAAGGCCATCTAAAATAATATTGTATAATAATATCTAATGATATCATTAGATACGATATTAGCCCGAGGCTGCAGCAGCGCATCCCCGGGCGCGGCGCCCACCAACACTCACAGTGCAAGGGCTTGGCTCCGAGGGGGCTGGGAGCCCGGGCGCCCTGGAGTGAGGGGGGCCAGGAGCGGGCTCTGGAGGCTGCAGAGGCGACTCTGGAGAGGACGGAGCCTCGGCGGGGAGCGGATGTTTTGAAGATGCTTTGGCTGCCTTGGAGATTTGGAGATCTGATGCCACGATGAGGACTCACACACAGGGGTGCTCCCAGTGTGTTTTTCATATATTTGCTTTGCATTGTGTCAGCCTACATCACCGACGAGAACCCAGAAGTCATGATTCCCTTCACCAATGCCAGCCACAACAGCCACCCCATGCTGTACTTCAGGGCAGAGGTGGCGGAGCTGCAGCTCAGGGCGGCCAGCTGGCAGGAGCACATTGCAGCCCGCCTCACGGAGGATGTGCACACGATGCTGTGCAGCCCCTTGGAATACCTCCCTCCCTGGGATCCCAAGGATTACAGTGCCCGCTAGAACGAAATCTATGGAAACAACTTGGGTGTCTTGGCAATGTTCTGTGTGCTGTATCCTGAGGACACTGAAGCCCAAGACATGGCCAAAGTCTACATGGAGAGGATGGCAGTGCAGCCTATTTGGTTGGTGAAAGATGCTCCTTGGGATGAGGTCCCGCTTGCTCACTCCCTGGTTGGTTTTGCCACTGCTTATGACTTCTTGCACAACTACCTGAGCAAGACACAACAGAAGAAGTTTCTTGAAGTGATTGCCAGTGCCTCAGGGTATATGTATGAAAATTCATACAGGAGAGGACGGGGATTTCAATACCTGCACAATCATCAGCCCACCAACTGCATGGCTTTGCTCACAGGAAGCCTAGTACTGACGAATCAAGGATATCTTCAAGAATCCTGCTTATGGACCAAACAAGTTCTGACCATCATGGAGAAATCTCTGGTCTTGCTCAGGGAGATGATGGATGGCTCCCTCTATGAAAGAGTTGTGTATGGAAGCTACACCACTAGATCACTCTTCCAATACATGTTTCTCATCCAGAGGCACTTCATGTTGGCCATCCGTGGCTTAAACAACACTTTGCATTTATGTATAGAACCATCCTGCCAGGGTTTCAAAGGACTGTGGCTATTGAGGACTCAAATTACAACTGATTTTATGGTCCAGAAAGCCAATTAGTTTTCCTTGATAAATTTATCATGCGTAACAGCAGTGGTAACTGGCTAGCTGACCAAATCAGAAGGAACTGTGTGGTGGAAGGTCCAGGAACACTGTCCAAAGGGCAGCGCCGGTGCACTCTGCACACAGAATTTCTCTGGTATGATGCCAGCTTGAAATCAGTTCCTCCTCCAGACTTTGGCACCCCTACGCTGCATTATTTTGAAGACTGGGTGTCGTGACTTGAAGTGCACTACCTGCTGAAATCAATAAATCTTTCCTCTCTTTCAAGTCTGGAAAACCGGGGGGACATGCAATATGTGACATTGTCCACAGAAACAAATACAAAGATTGGATCAAAGGATGGAGAAATTTTAGGACAGGGCATGAACATTATGATCAAAACTCATTTACTTTTGCTCCCAGTTGTGTGCCTTTCGTTATTGAGGCTCTGTACAGGCCAAAGTACACCTTCTTCAACAATGTTTTGATGTTTTCCGCAGCTGTGTCGAAGAGCTGCTTTTCTCCCTGGAAGGGTCAAGTCACAGAACACTGTTCATCAAAATGGTCTAAATACCAGCATGACCTGGCAGCTAGCTGTCAGGGGAGAGTGGTTGCAGCAGAGGAGAAAAATGGGGTGGTTTTCATCTGAGGAGAAGGTGTGGGAGCTTATAACCTCCAGCTCAACCTGAAGAATGTTCAGAGGAATCTGATCCTCCTACATCCACAGCTGCTTCTCCTTGTAGACCAAATACACCTGGGAGAGGAGAGTCCCCTGGAGACAGCAGCGAGCTTCTTCCACAATGTGGATGTTCCTTTTGAGGAGACTGTGGTAGATGGTGTCCATGGGGCTTTCATCAGGTAGAGAAATGGTCTCTATAAAAAGTACTGGATGGACAATACTGGCTACGGCAAGAAAGCAATATTTGCATCAGTGACATATCCTGGGAGCTATCCCTACAATGGGACAAACTATGTGAATGTCACCATGCACCTCTGAAGTCCCATCACCAGGCCAGCTTACCTCTTCATAGGGTCACTATAGATGTTCAGAGCTTCACCATCCACAGAGACTCTCAGCAACTGGATGTGTTCATAGCCACCAGAGAACATGCCTACGCAATGTACCTGTGGACAGGTGAGGCCGCAGGACAGTCTGCCTTTGCACAGGTCATTGCTGATCATCACAAAATTCTGTTTGACCAGAATTCAGCCATCAAGAGCAGCATTGTCCCTGAGGTGAAGGACTATGCTGCTATTGTGGAACAGAACCTGCAGCATTTTAAGCCAGTGTTTCAGCTGGAGAAGCAGATACTCTCCTGAGTCCAGAACCAGCTAGCTTTAGGAAGACTGCTGACCGGCTGCTGAGATTTTCAGATAAGAGACAGGCTGAAGAGGCCATCGACAGGATTTTTGCCGTAACACAGCAACAGCAGCAGCAAAGCAAGTCAAAGAAAAACCGAAGGGCAGGCGAATGCTATAAATCTGTGGATGCTGTCCCTGATATTTTTGCACAGATTGAGGTCAATGAGAAAAAGATTAGACAGAAAGCTCAGATTCAGGCACAGAAAGAACTACCCATAAATGAAGATGAAGAAATGAAAAACCTCTTAGATTTTGCAGATATAACATATGAGAAACATAAAAATGGGGCTTGAGGAAAGGCCGGGTTGGACAGGCATGGATGGTGACAACTACTCGTAGCAGGGCCTCATCACTATCTGCTTCCTATACCAGATTGTTCCTCATCCTGAACATTGCTATTTTCTTTGTCATGTTGGCAATACAACTGACTTTTTCCAGAGGGCCCACAACCTTTTTCCAGAGGGCCAAAGATGTCTTTATGCAGTTCTTCTAACAGATAGCTGTATTTTATTGTGGTTGTACTCTTCTTGTTCCCAATCACAGTGTTAGCACTGAAGCTATAAGTTGCCTGGTCATTTTGTGATCATAAAAGTCCATGAAAAAAAAATTTATTACCCCAGTTTATCAGATTTTTTCCCTCAGATTCATTTTAACAAATTAAGGGAAGATATTTTGACACAAGAAAGCAGGAACATGGAGAAATTGGAGCAGGAAAGGAATTTATCAAGGCAATAGGAATAGCTTGGTGGTCCTATGGTGTTTCCAGAAGTATTTGGCATTGCAATTGAGCAGTCCAAGTAGTACTACTTTTAGAAGAAACAAAAAGTCTGTTTTTTAAAGTAATGTTTTTTCTTATGAGAAAAAGGTTTAGATAGAATTGGGTTTTATTCATATTAATTTAATGCTATTAGCAATTTCCATATACTATATTATGGAAAAGACTGAAGAACACAATTCTGAGAAATATTTTAAAAATTTTAATGGTATAGTCATGTTGAAAGATAAATGTTGGCTGGGTGCAGTGGCTCACGCCTGTAATCTCAGCACTTTGGGAGGCTGAGGCGGAGGGATCACGAGGTCAAGAGATGGAGACCATCCTGGCCAACATGGTGAAACTCTGTCTCTACTAAAAATACAAAAATTAGCTGGGCATGGTGACGCGTGCTTGTAATCCCAGCTACTCGGGAGGCTGAGGCAGAAGACTCGCTTGAACCAGGGAGGCAGAGGTTGCAGTGAGCCAAGATCGCACCACTGCACTCCAGCCTAGCAACAGAGTGAGACCCTGTCTCAAAAAAAAAAAAAGCTAAATGTTGTAAGTCCTGGTATGATGGTGTCAGCTTCCTTGGGGAAGTACTTCTTTAGTTATGTAGCTAACGAGATCTTTTACTACAGATCTGGATGGCTATTCAGATAACATAGCAAAAATGATAGCAGAAGATCATCAAAAACTTAAAATATATTTTATTAGAAAACATGTATCTATGAATGAGTATTTCCTTGATGCTAGTCTCTGCACACATATAATTTGTTACTTGTATGCATTCATTGGTTGTTCAGTATGTAAGACAATTACAAATAACTTAATACTGTATTTTCCTTGTATGGAAAACTGTTGTAGACCCAATGACTAAAACTTTCAAAATAAAATATTTTCTATTATGAAAAAAAAAGAATATCTAATGACAAGAGAAATTCTGTTAGATAAGTTGCTTTTGGCTATAAGTAACAGAAAAATTTAAACAGCATAAACAATATAGCTATTTATTTTACCATCTGTCAAGATGTCCAGTTTGGGAATGGTTGCAACATCGGTTAATTCAGAAGTTTAACAAAGGAATAGCAGTCCTGGTTCTGATCTTGTTCATCAGCTGATCTTGTTCATCAAGCTTGCTCCCCCATCCCCCATGTTTGCAAATTGGCTGCCATTGTTTCAGATACATTCAGACAATACCCAGACTTGAAAACGGAAGTTTCTTCCTACAAGTCATTTTTTTTTAAAGAGCAAAGAAACTTTTCCCAGACATTCCCTAAGGACTTCCCTGATGTCTCTTTGGCCAAAATAATGTCACATGCTTACTCCCAAGTCCATCACTGACAAGGTGAAAGGAATGATTAAGAATGACCTAGACCAATTAAGTTTCATTCCCTCAGGCTGGAGAAGGTTCCAGCTTTCCCTACAGCACATGGCTGTCCTATGTCTCAACAAAATCAGGGTTGGCTCACAAACCAGAATGGAGAGAATTGGCTGTTAACTAGACTACCGTCAGGTAACACAACAGTAAATGCAACATATTTCCATTTGTATAAAGAAAAGTGAATATAGATAGGTCTATAAAGAATAAAAGCCTATGCATATTTTAAAATATTATTCATGTTGTTGGGATTATAGAAAATATTTATTTTTCTTGTTTCTGCTTTTCTTTTTTTCCTAAATGTTCTGCAATGAATATGTAATATATTTGAAGTCTATTTGTGCCCTCCCCCCACCAAAAATATATCCAAGAAAGGTTACTTTAAAATAAAACATTTATAGTCCTTGCCAGGTCTTTTTTTTTTTTTCTTTTAAAGTAAGTATTAAGAGCAGTTATGTAAAATCAAACTCAGAGGTTTCATTCAGTTGAGGCTAGAATGTGTCTGATGCAGCCTCCAAAGACATGGAGCCTCCTGCACTCGCATGAGTCCCAGGACCCTGAGGCCCCACGGAGATGTCAGCAATTTTATCCCAGGGGCTACTCTTGCTGCTTAGAAGACGATGTCCTGTGACTTATCTTCCCAAACTGGAAGGTTGGACAGTACAAACCAGATTCTAAACCAGTTCTCAGTGTCAAGGCCAAGAAGATATCAGACCTGTCTAGGGAACAGGGTTACACTGAGACTTTCGGTTCCACCACAAGCAGGAAGACAGAGCTGGAGGAATGAAAACAGAAGGCACAGCAAAAAAGACAATTAAAGAGCAGCGAAGTCACTCTATGCCTCTAGACACATGTCCAATAACTTGGCATAAAAGCACATGCATTTTGTGACCAAGTTGGACTGGAATTCTGTCCTGGTGTACTCTGCATGTCACCTGTAGACACTTCTCAGCCTGTACCCGGGATTCAAAAAGTTGAGGGCGATCAAGAATGAGGAAAGATATTTCTGCAGCCAAAGCAGGGACAGTCCACATTCACTCAGCAAATCTCTGACCCTCTGCATGAAACCCCAGTGGCCACCTCCAGCCCAGTCCTGGCGACACAGAGCAGGCAGTGCCCTCAAGGAGATGAGAGACGCAACCCAAGTGGAAAAGACTCGAGCTTTAGAGCAACACAGACCTCAGCTCCAATCGGACGTCACCAATTGCTAGTTGTGCAAACTTCGGCAAGCCACTTCACCACCCTGTGCCTCAGTTTCTTCACGTGTAAAATGAGAATAAGGCTTTTTAAGTATTCATCGAGTTCGCTTATGCAAAGTGTGACGAACCTCAGCTCAGCATAATTGAGTGAAGAAGCTGGAAGGGCAGTAATGGCCTCCAAATGCACCTCCAACAGCCACCCAGGAAATCCCGCCCTTGCTTTCGCCTCAGACTCTGGGCACAAAAATTAATCAAGAGCTCTGAGGCCGGAAATCTGGAGCTGTCAGATTCACTCTTCTGGATTGAACTTTTAATGGAGGTGGATCACTGGGGCTTGCTCTTGCCAGATAAATAAATGGTACTTTAAAAATTATACCCAGCTAACAAAACCTGCTCACAGCCACACCACTGGTGCTGGGGAAGCGAGCTCTGACTCCGAAGAACAAATCACGCCTGAGGGGCCTGAGTGGAGAAAGTAAGGTTAAATCACTGGAACCACGTATCCATCTGCAACGGACTGTGTGGGTGGTGTGCATGAAAAGAACAGAGAAGAAGGTAGGAGAAGCTGCAGGAGGCAGAAACTGGAGGGGAGGCTCTGTCTTTGGAGTAGCTGCCACTTTGATATCTCTCTTTTTTTGGAAATGCTCTCTGCTGCTACTTGTTTGGGAGTTTAGCACAGCTAGAGAAATGGCTCATGAAGCTTGAGGTGAGGTGGAGATGAATTCCCTCTAATGAAAATCCCTGAGCCATCAAAGTGCTTCATTAGTTCCACACAAGACCTCTAAGGTGCGCAATGGACATACGGGGCTCTTCAGTGAAAAGATTATTCCCCGTGTGCTCATCTGGACACTAAATTCTGGTTTAATCACTATTAAAACTGTCCTGAGAGAAAAAATGGGGCATGTGAAAATGAGAACACTCAAGGTCATATTTATCCACATTGTTTAGAGTGAAAAGTGTAGCTCATACAAAGCTTGCCTGGCTACTGAAACCACTTCATTGAAAAAAAAAAGGCCAATAAATATGTCCAAGCCTTTGTACTTCCATTTTTGTAATCTAAAATGTTTTGGTTTGTTTTAGTATTTTATCTAAGAAAAAGAATGTGTTTGGGGCCAGGAGCAGTGCCTCATGCCTGCAATTCCAGCACTTTGGGAGGCCGAGGCGGGCAGATCGCCTGAGGTCAGGAGTTCTAGACCAGCCTGGCCAGCATGGTGAAACCCTGTCTCTACTAAAAATACAAAAATTAGCCAGGCATGGTGGCACATGCCTGTAATTCCAGCTACTTGGGAGGCTGAGGCAGGGGAATTGCTGGAACCTGGAAGGCGGAGGTTGCAGGGAGCCAAGATTGTGCCACTGCACTCCAGCCTGGGTGACAGAGCGATACTCTCCGTCTGAAAAAAAAAAAAAAAAAAGCAAATAAAAAGAATGTGTTTGTAAACTTTCAAGATATTTTACAAGTTTGTGTTTTGATGATAGTGAATTAGTGATATCTAATATCATCACTTGATAATAGTGATGGTGGTACAATAGCCAGAGAGTTCAAACCTTCTGCTTGCGAATTGGGAAACTGAGACCCAGAGAGATGAAAGGACTTACTCAGGACACAGAAATTGCCACTGGCTGACCTAGGTCTGGAGCCCAGGGCTTTGTGTAAATATATAAATATTTATGGATTTAGGTATGTACTTATTAATTTTTAAATAGTAACTAACCTTCATCTCACAGTGAGTACATGTCCATATTTTAAAGAGTCAAACAGCACTATGTGGTTTATAACAGAAAACAGTGGTCTCAAACCCTAAATGCAGGCAACTGCTTTCAAATCTGTCCCATGCTTCCTCTGACACATGCCTCCCTTTTTTTATTATTATTATTTTTTGAGATGGAGTCTCGCTCTGTTGCCCAGGCTGGAGTGCAGTGGTGCGATCCCAGCTAATTTTTCATATTTTTAGTAGAGACGGGGTTTGGCCATGTTGGCCAGGCTGGTCTCGAACTCGGGACCTCAGGGGATCCACCTGCTTCAGCCTCCCAAAGTTCTGGGATTACAGGTGTGAGCTATCATGCATGGCTGCCTCTGAGAAGTGACAGCGTGCTGGCAGTCCTCACAGCCCTCGCTCGCTCTTGGTGCCACCTCTGCCTGGGCTCCCACTTTGGCAGCACTTGAGGAGCCCTTCAGCTCACCGCTGCACTGTGGGAGCCCCTTTCTGGGCTGGCCAAGGCCGGAGCCGGCTCCCTCAGCTTGCAGGGAGGTGTGGAGGGAAAGGCGCGAGTGGGAACCGGGGCTGCCCGCGGCGCTTGCGGGCCAGCTGGAGTTCCGGGTGGGCGTGGGCTTGGCGGGCCCCACACTCGGAGCAGCCCGCCGGCCCTGCCAGCCCTGGGCAATGAGGGGCTCAGCACCCGGACCAGCGGCTGCGGAGGGTGTACTGGGTCCCCCAGCAGTGCCAGCCCACCGGCGCTGCGCTGGATTTCTCGCCGGGCCTTAGCTGCCTTCCCGCGGGGCAGGGCTTGGGACCTGCAGCCCGCCAGGCCTGAGCCTCCCACCCCCTCCGTGGGCTCCTGTGCGGCCCAAGCCTCCCCGATGAGCGCGGCCCCCTGCTCCACGGCGCCCAGTCCCATCGACCACCCAAGGGCTGAGGAGTGCAGGCGCACGGCGCAGGACTGGCAGGCAGCTCCACCTGCAGCCCTGGTGCCGGATCCACTGGGTGAAGCCAGCTGGGCTCCTGAGTCTGGTGGGGACATGGAGAACCTTTATGTCTAGCTCAGGGATTCTAAATACACCAATTGGCACTCTGTATCTAGCTCAAGGTTTGTAAACACACCAATCAGCACCCTGTGTCTAGCTCAGGGTTTGTGAATGCACCAATGGACACTCTGTATCTAGCTACTCTGGTGGGGCCTTGGAGAACCTTTGTGTGGACACTCTGTATCTAGCTAATCTGGTGGGGACGTGGAGAACCTTTATGTCCAGCTCAGGGATTGTAAACGCACCAATCAGCGCCCTGTCAAAACAGACCACTGGCTCTACCAATCAGCAGGATGTGGGTGGGGCCAGATAAGAGAACAAAAGCAGGCTGCCCGAGCCGGCAGTGGCAACCCGCTCTGGTCCCCTTCTACAGTGTGGAAGCTTTGTTCTTTCGCTCTTTGCAATAAATCTTGCTGCTGATCACACTTTGGGTCCACACTGCCTTTATGAGCTGTAGCCAGCTCATAAAGCCAGCTTCAACTCCTGAAGCCAGCAAGACCACGAACCCACCAGAAGGAAGAAACTCCGAACACATCCGAACATCAGAAGGAACAAACTCCTAACACGCCGCCTTTAAGAACTGTTAACACTCACCGCGAGGGTTGGCGGCTTCATTCTTGAAGTCAGTGAGACCAAGCACCCACCAATTCCGGACACACCTCCATATTTTAAAATAACCTACTGATAGTAGATTTCTTGTTGTTACCACTTTTAGGCATAATCTATTGATATCCTAATTTGAAAAACGAAGAGTTATCCTCTCCTGACTTCTCCTCCTCTGTTCTACCTATATTTGGCAATTATTTTTAAATTTCTGATTCAATCAGTAATTAGTAAATAAATTATTACAACCCTGCACATCTTCTCTGCTGAGTCTATTATGACTTCATTTTTTTCTTTTTGAATTTTTTTCTTGTTTATGGAGTTAGTAATTGCCTTATGTATATATTTTTTCTTTTGCTTAGTCGTGCACTGTCATGAATTCTCAAACTCTCCAGTAGAATGTACTCTCCCTCTCAGCACTATTTTCCGTATATGTCTGGTTCCCTAGCAGTTTTACACTGTTCCTGATTATGTCTCCCTTTGAGTCCGGTTCTCCTGCTGCAGACTAGCCAGTTACTTACAAGGCTCTGCCCAGACTTCAAGCTGGGAAAATCCTTCACAGGAATCCCCTCTGTCTTAGGTTGGATTCTCCTGTTTCCTAGACCACATGTATTCTTCTTGGACAAATAATTCATTCATTTTGGTGAAGTACTGCCAGAGAAAAGATTCATAGCATACAAATTTTTGTGAAAATGACGGCATTCTACCCTCATATTCAATTGATAGTTTGGCTAGGTATAGACTTTTCTACCTAATTGATAGTTTAGCTGTGTCTAAACTTTTCCTTCAGAAGTTTGAAGGCTTTGCCCCTTGGATAGATATCTAGCTGCCAATGTTGCATTTGGGAATTTTGATGTCATTCTGATTCCCATTTTTTTAAATATAATATGTTTCTAGAATGTTCTCTTTATCCCTTTGGAGAGGAAAAATGTATTGAATATTTATTATGTATTAGACCTATTCAAAGCTATGCACTTATCTTGACAGTCCTTACAAAAAAAAAAAAAGTGAAAATTACTTTTCCTCTTTTTCAATAATAGAATTGAAACTCAGGGAGGGTATGTAATCTGCCTGATGCATGGGGCCTGTCACTGTAGGTTATGCTGTAGTGACAACCCTAAAACCTCAGAAAACTTGCTCATGCATATTATATGTTTGACATGAGTTATTAGCGGTCTCAGCTTATCAAAGTCACTCAGGGACGCTAGTTCTGGAGGTTCTAACAACATGTGCATCCATGCTCAATGCTGCAGGGAAAAGGAAACACGGCAAGTCACTTAATCATCGTCAAAGTTTCTGCCTGAAAGTAACACAGGCCACTCCTTTCCATGTCCAATTGCCTAAACCCTGTGACATGGGCACACATAACTTTAAAGGCAGTGGTAGTATTTCCATGAGGGAATTCCTTCCTGGCAGTTTTCTGTAAATGTATATGTTTTTCCAAATTCCAAGTCCCAGTGAAATTTAGTCGACAAGGTGGGAAAACAGAAAACGAGTATTATGATTCTTCCATAAGAATTAAAGCATAGGAATTAACATAGACATGTTACTCATGTTGATTCGAAAAGCAAGACCAAAAAATGCTAATGGGGAAAATCAAAGGTTAAGGTCAACATTTCTGGGAACCAGGATAGGAGGAGGGACTAGAGAAGTGAGAATCATCTAATCAGTCTTGTTTGTAGCATTGTTATATTGTAAGTGTGTATTCATGGCTTTGCCTGCTGGGTGACTCATTCTTGCAAATAAAGTAAACATCAGTAAGTTTGTATGTGTAGTGTACTTCATACAAATCCTATGAGTGATGTTCTAAGAAACCAGTTTTGAAAACAAATGTCCTTAAATTGGCAGTTTCAATGCATGGTTCTATTTAGTGCTGTTAACTTTGCTAAGGGATCTGAATGTCATATTATTTGAATACAACCCAGTAATGTTGACTGGTGTTTTTCAGTTTTTGAATATTCCCTCTAGGCTACAGTTCTTTGTAAATATTTTAACTGAAGAAATGCAAGGAGCAGATGATATGAATGTTGTGGAAGACTCCGACAGGAAATCAGAGACTGTACAAAAACCTGAATTAGCAAAAGCAATATCAATTTCAATGGCAAAATCAAAACCAGAACTAGCAGACAAGAAAAGCAAATATTTTTATTTTCATTATTAAAAAAACAAATAACTTACATGAAGTAATAGGTGTTCTAAAACTCAGCTTGAAGATGCTTTTGTATGCAATCCTCACAATTGAACAAATGTCCATGCAAGGCAGGAAATTGGCTAGGCAAATAATTCTTTGTGGGTTCTACATTTTCATTTTAATAATGATAACTTATAGAAGTATTTGTGGTAATATATTTCATTTTAGTAATAATTTTTACTTGCTATTTATCTTATGTTATTATCTCCATCTTTTAATATTTTCTAGTATCAGATGTCTATATGAAGAAGATTATTTTTACATGTTACTGAAACATATATTCTTGTTGGAATAAATCAGTTCACAGTAATAATACGCCATCCATTTATTATTATGTCATTTCTAATAGAAAACTTCTGATAGCATAACCCTATCACAGAAAAATGACTTAGTATTCACAATTATGGCCGCTCATTATTATACAAATACATGTAAAAAAAGATTATGAAAAATGAATAATTTATGACTTCAGGGTTCCTGAGAACTAAAAATCCTGACTTGTTCCCCAATCCCAAAGACCTATGCCTCTTGGAAATTTGAAAATACTAAGCAGTGCAAGATATAATACTACCAAATGCCTGAAATGACCACAGCCATAAATATTTATTTGGTGAATAGTACTAAGTACAACCCAAATAGTCGTGCCAGAATCCAAATCCAGGTTTCTTATTCCAGAACTCATGTTCTGTCTTCTACTCAAACTTCCTCTATTGTCACTAATTGTGTATTAGTATTTATTTGCTCATTAGATTATTCCAGGATTCATTCATTTATCCAACAAGTATTTGCTAAACCCCATGTGTATAGGAATCACATTGGTCTCACACAGTGATGTTCATAATTATTTATTGAATACCTGACTACCAGACACTAAAGGTATTATAGAGCATGAAACAGTAGTCCTAAAAGAATGAGGCACAGGACACTTTCGATTGGGAATAGAAGGTAAAATCTAGAAAACAGTGGGACAATTGGGATCTAGAGTGTGGTAGATGGTCGGGCGCGGTGGCTCATGCCTGTAATCCCAGCACTTTGGGAGGCCGAGGTAGGTGGATCACCTGCAGTCAGGAGTTCCAGACCAGCCTGGCCAACATAGGGAAACCCTATCTCTACTAAAAATACAAAAATTAGCCATGTGTGGTATTAGGCGCCTGTAATCCCAGCTACTCAGGAGGCTGAAGCAGAAGAATGGCTAGAACGTGAGAGGTGGAGGTTGCAGTGAGCCAAGATCATGCCTGGGAGATAGAGAGAGACACTGTCAAAAAAAAAAAAAAAAAAAGAAAAGAAAAGAAAAGAAAAGAAAAGAAAAAAGAAAAAGAAAAAGAAAAGTGTGGTAGATGGCTTCTGAAGTCACACCTAGCAATGTAAATGTGAGGAAGGAAGGAAGGAAGGGAGGGAGGGAGGGAGGGAGGGAGGGAGGGAGGGAGGGAAGGTCCTAAAATGAAGGAGGTGGGCTTCTAGGAGAAAGATGAGAGCTTGCTGAGACATACAACACACTGAGTAGGAACATGGTCTTTGACATCTGATAGTGCTGCTTTTAATTCCTAATTTTTTGGGCCAGGCACGGTAACTCACGCCTGTAATTCCAGCACTTTGGGAGGCTAAGGTAGGAGGACTGCTTGAGCCTAGGAGTTCAAGAGCAGTCTGAGCAATACAGTGAGATTTCATTGCTACAAAAAAAAAATTAATTTTAAAAATCCAAATCTTGTGATCTTAATCAAGTTGCTGAAGTGCTCTGTGCCTCAGTTTTCTCATTTGCAAAATGGGAACAAAATAATTAATTTTAAAGCTTATTGTATGAGTTAAATATAAAGAAAACTCTTAATATAGTACCTGGGACACAGTAAATACTCAGTAAGAGGTAGCTATTAATCATACTTTATCGTTCTGCCTAGCTCTCAACATTCTTGAGGATTTTTAAACATTTATAAGAAATGTGCCTTACAGATTTTTAAAAGTTTCTTCAATGGACGAAGAGTTCTGGCCTAAGGAGAGAATATTTAAAATGTAGTCTGACTTTTTGGAGAGAAAAAGTAGCCAAGATCTCATATTTCTCTGCATGTTTGTCCCAAAACCACTAATATAGCATAAAAACAGAGGAATGTGCTTGCTCTGAGATTTGGGATGCACATGCTAGTCAGAAAGAGTAAACAAATAGGCCAGGCGCAGTGGCTCACGCCTGTAATCCCAGCACTTTGGGAGGCCAAGGCGGGTGGATCGCCTGAGGTCAGGAGTTCGAGACCAGCCTGGCCAACATTGTGAAACCCCGTCTCTACTAAAAATACAAAAATTGGCCAGGCATGGTGGTAGGCGCTTATAATCCCAGCTACTTGGGAGGCTGAGTCAGGAGAATCACTTGAACCTGGCAGGCAGAGGTTGCAGTGAGCCCAGATTGCACCACTTCACTCTAGCCTGGGCAAAAGAGTGAAACTCTGTCATATCCAATGTGTTTGCAATATCTTTTCTCTCAAGATATAATAAATGTGGGCTGGGCGCAGTGGCTCATGCCTGTAATCCCAACACTTTGGGAGGCTGGGGCAGATGGATCGCCTGAGGTCGGGAGTTCAAGACCAGCCTGGCCAGCATGGTAAAACCCCGTCTCTACTAAAAATACAAAAATTAGCTGGGCGTGGTGGCAGCCACCTGTAATCCCAGCTACTCGGGAGTCTGAGGCAGGAGAATCACTTGAACCCGAGAGGTGGAGGTTGCAGTGAGCTGAGACTGTGCCATTACAATCCAGCCTAGGCAACAGAGCAAGACTCCATCTCAAAAAAATAAAAGATAGAATAAATGTGGTAGCCATTCTTATTCAAGCCCGTTGTGAGATCATGGTGCATCCCATGTTTGCTTATCTTTTTCAATGGCTTCACCTGTCCTGAAGAACAAACTGTTCAAGGTACTTCTCTTCCAACTAAGAAGAGGATCCACAGCTTGGGGGCAGCTTTATCCAGTTAGAGTCCTGGAAATGACCAAGTCAAGATTGCTTCCATGATTTCCCAAGAGATGATTACTTTGTATGCCTACAAAACACATTCCAGACATATGTCAGCTTGTGCCCAGCTTGATCTGTCTGGCCAGAAACGAGGCAAGAAAGAGGTGCCATCGTGGAAATTTCCCTCCAACTCTGTGTTGTAGGGACCTTGTACACCATGTTAGAGAATTTAGACTTACCACTTTAACCAATGGTCCTTAAAGCAATGGAGAGCTACCAAAGGGCTTAATGGGGGTTAGGTTTGGGAGGACATGATCAGATTTATACTTCAGAAAGGTCACTCTGGCTGAAGTGAGAAGAATGGATTGCAGCACAGAAAACCTTAGAGGCAGGAGGAGAGGCAGGAGGAGAGGCAGAAGGCTATTGCAGAAGACCGAGTGAGAGGTGAAGGTAGCCTAGACCAGGTGGTGGTGATAGAGATGGAGAAAGGGGGACAAATTCTTGGAGATGTTTGGAAAGTCTCATCACACAGGATTTAGTTGTTGATTAGATGTGGAGAAGGGGGAAGAGGAAGGAGTAACAGAATGCTGCTCAGATTTTTGGCTGGGGCATCTGAGTAAATGGCAGTGAATTCACTGAAATTGGAATGCTGGTGTAAGCACAGGTTGGTAGGAGTCAGCAAGTTCAGTTTAGGACATGCTCATTTAGAGCAACCCATGGAACCTCCAAGTGGAGATGCAGGTCGTCAGCTCTCTGATTCTCAGTGTAGGGCTCTCTTTGCTTCTCCATAGCTGCTTTATCCCCCAGGAACATCTCAGACTTGAGGATGGAGGGGAGGAGATGCTATCAGGGATCTTTAGTCATAGCTGGCATATATGGGCCCAGATGGTTTGGCTGGGGGATCCCTTTTGGTGTTAGGGGGGATAATGTGTGGGGGTGGGGAGTGCAGCGAGGAAACCTTGATATGAAAATATTCTCATTTCCAAAAGCACTGATCCACTATAACAATATTGTAATTGATTCAGGCAAGGGCCATGGATGGATGCTAAAACAAGTTTGTTTGTAAACAAGCTATTTACCCAGTCTAAAATTATCCTCCTGAAGATTATTACCACAAAGGAAAAATGTTTTAGAGTGAAGAAATCTGGGTGACACCACCAGTACCTCCCCATAGATTATTTATTCTAAAGAGGGAGAGATTCCCCAGAAGTGGAGCAGTCACACGGATACTACTTTAACCACATGATCAAAGTTACCTTCACCACCAATGGGGCAAACTGACATCAGGTGCCCCCTAATGTGACACACTGAGAAGGACACAGTGTGTGCATAATTTGAATCTCACACCAGACAAATCCCAGAGATATGTTACAGAAAAATAGGCCTGCACTCTTCAAAAATGCTGGTGTCTTAAAAGACAAAAATTGGGAGCCTTTTCATTCTCAAATAAAAGAGACTAAAGAAGCAACTGGCTTCTTAGACAACTGGCTGGGTGCGGTGGCTCAAGTCTGTAATCCCCACACTTTGGGAGGCCGAGGTGGGCAGATCACGAGATCAGGAGATGGAGACCATCCTGGCTAACACGGTGAAACCCCGTCTCTACTAAAAATACAAAAAACTAGCTGGGCGTGGTGGTGGGCGCCTGTAGCTACTTGGGAGGCTGAGGCAGGAGAATGGCGTGAACCCGGGAGGCGGAGCTTGCAGTGAGCCGAGATAGCACACTGCACTCCAGCCTGGGCAACAGAGCAAGACTCCGTCTCAAAAAAAAAAAAAAAAAAAAAAAAAAGCATGACAACTATGTAGAAATACAAAGTCCTGGGTTGGGAAAACATGTTATAAACCCCAATATTGGAAAGACTGGCAAAACTTGGATATGATTGTATTCAGTAAGAGATTCAAAGCTGTGTTAAATTTCCTAAATTTGATCATTGCACTATGTCTTTGTTTTTAGGAGACACTTGCCAATGTGTTTAGGTGGGAAAGGTCATGATATCTGCAACTTATCTCAAATAGTTCCTAACAATAATAATAATAATAAATGTACATATAGAGAAAGCAAATATAGCAAAATGTCAATAACTGGTGAATGTAGGTGAGAGTATACAGGGGTTTGACATATTCTTTTTGCAACTTTTCTAGGAGTTATATATTTTTTTTCAAAAGGAAAAGAAGCACAAGCCGAGGGAGTTCTAAACATTGAAGACTCTAACCAGTGTTTTTTTTTAAGGTCAAATATTTTAATATTATTTTTTCTAGCCACTAAATTCCATCTTAATGAAATGTCAAAATAGGAAACAGGTGAAGGAGTAATTTCCTGCACTGCCAGGCTCCTAAGAATGTACAGTATTAGCTTCAATTTCAAACCTGCAGTGTTTAGAAAGGAATTTGTTTTCTTTTAAATCCAGGTACCAAAGTTGAAAGCCCCGAATGCTCACAGAGCAGCTGGAACAAGAATTACTGCCTGCAGGCGCTTCTGTCCACCAGCCACGTGTCAGTGAGTGGCCCTGGACCCAGCCAGGTTGTGTGTGCACCTGCGGTTCTTGCCATGGGGAGCAGGAGCCATTTGGCTGCTCCTCTTCATAGGGCACCACCTGCAATCTTTCACTGCCCAGGTAAGCAGAGCATAGGAAGTCAGGGAATCAGAGCACTGAATGGATCTTGGAAAGCACCCAGTCCAACTCTCCCCACCTTCCCATCTGTGGCATTAATCACCTCTATAACGTTGTAACCAACTGGTCAACCAGCCTCTATTTGAACATAGCCAGTGGCTAAAACGTCTAAGCAGCTCATCCATTTTTGAATAGCTTAAATTGTTTGAATATCCTTTCTCTTAAGAATAAGTATCAGTACAAAATGCCTACTTCCGTTTTGTAGGTATCTGGTAAATTTTTTTCAATAAAAAAAGTCAAGTCAGATTAACTAAAATTGTGGAACAACTTGAATATTTGCAGTCAATAACTAAAGTCATATATTTCAGATCCTTCAGCAGGGCATCTCTGTAAAATAACATTTGGAAATCACAGAAATTTACTCTTAAAGGGCCTTTCTTGTTCATTACATTCTGAGATATACCCATTTTATGGCCATATATTTGAAAACAGACAAAAATACAGGAAATTTATAGGGACACGTAGTAGGCATATGTATATGTATGGATAGCACGTTTACATGTGCATAGATAGGGGACATGGGAGGATAGATATCAAGGGTATTCCTAGGGAGTGGGAGTGGGTAAAGGAAAAGAGGCTTTTACTCTCCACCTTAGACATTTTGTTATTGTTTGATTTTATTTTTTATAAAGAGTATGTTGCTATTTCTATCACTTAAAACCATTTTCTCAAAAATTTACAAAACAACAATAGAGAGAAATCACTTACATTGAGCTGAAATCTGATTGCCCAGAGTTTCCATTTTCTACTGCACTCTGGACAACTTAAGATAAGCCCACTCCTTCTTGCACATAGCAGCGAGTCAGCTGTCTGATGCCAGTCCTTGAGGCCTCCATATTTCTCTTCTCCAAGATAAATGTTCCCATTTCCTTCAGCTGTCTCTCAGTTGGCAGGAATTCAAGTCTTCTTGACTTCTTATCACTGCCCACCTCCCACTGAAGTAGAGCATATCAGGTGGGCTCAGAGAAAAACCCATTCAGAAGTTCAGGTGGCAGTTGGTCATCTATTGAAAATTAGCGAGTCCATGGTTCTTTGTGTTCTTGCACCAACTTGGCCTAACTTTTTGGGGTCTCAGGTGCTGTATTAAAGGTGCTCTATTTCATGCATCAGTGATGGATGAAAGCAGGTCTGCAGGACACACATGCAGTTATAATCAGAACACCATGGCGAGCTTTCCCAACACTTATAAAACCTGGCTGATATATCAATGCCAACTCAGCACAAGAACAGCAAGGAAAATGTATAAAGGGAATAGTAGGAAAATATGTTCCCCTGGCAATCAGAAGAATTAACAATGGTATAGCGAAGATATGCATGTTATGGCAGCACATGACCAAGATAAGAGCACATAGCAAAGCGGTCAAGAGGATCAGCTCTTCCACATATTTGCTGTGTGACTTGGGAAGGTTTCTTAACCACTCTGTGCCACAGTTTCATTATCTGTAAAATGGGGATAATAGTGGTCCCTACTTGATACAGCTAACACAAGGTTTAAATGAGCTGTTCCTTTAAAAGTGTCTCTGGCACATAAGATACGCTACATAAGTGTCTAACAAACAAAAAACAAATGAGGTGACTTTGATTTCATGGTTTCTGACTGGAATGGTCAGAGGAAATAATGTGAACAAGAGGTGTGCAAATGGACCTGCTTGGCAAATTTGAGGACTAAACTGTGCTCTGTTTAGGAAACATAACAAAGAATACAGTTCTATCGGCTGAAGCATTCCACCTGTTGCAAACACAGAGGAAACTGTCCTTTCATAGATTAGTGCTTTGGACACCTGCCTGCCTGCCATTTCTTCCTTGTCAAAAAAGGTTAAAATAGACCAACCTCATTAGTACCAGGAACATATGAATATGTTAAACGGTTGGTACAATGACTCCTATTCAAAAGTACAATGACTGAGAGGGAAACAACTACCACTCCTAGTTATTGCCATTCCTTCATTTACATGGGGCCCCATGGAGTTTATTTAGGGCATACAATTGAAGTACATTTCTCTATAACTTTCTCCTGCAATGGATCAGCAAATTTTATTTTTTTTTCTTTTTGAGACAGAGTCTTGCTCTGTCACCCAGGCTGGAGTGCAGTGGCGTGATCTCGGCTCACTGCAAGCTCCACCTCCTGGGTTCATGTCATTCTCCTGCCTCAGCCTCCTGAGTAGCTGGGACTATAGGCACCCGCCACCATGCCCGGCTAATTTTTTTGTATTTTTAGTAGAGACGGGGTTTCACCGTGTTAGCCAGGATGGTCTCGAACTCCTGACCTCATAATCCGCCTGTCTTGGCCTCCCAAATTGCTGGGATTACAGGCATGAGCCACCACACCCGGCCCCTGGATCAGCAACTTTTGTACATGAGGCAGACTGGATGTTCGGCAGAGCCAGAGTTCATACTATGCTGAACATGTCAGTAAAATACAAATTATCTTTGAACTGGGCTTTTTCTAATTCCAAGTTCTTCTCCCACTTTCTTTAGCTTTACCTGTGTTCTAATTCAAATCCCTGAGAGTGTAATGACCTTCACCCAGACTATGGGTCACTAAGAATGTTCAGTGTAGGATGTTGATCTTGATGTATTGAAAATGGCACTGGTTCTGCTAATTGTTGGTGGGGGACTCCTCTGGAAAAACATCTTGCATTACTGAGCACATTTCTTCATCAATCTTTATGAAATCTACCATTTCTCCTATACAGTCATTCTGAGTATCAAATGGTATTGGTAAAAACACTTTTTGGACACCAAACCTGGAATTGCAAACTCGAATGTCTGTGGTGGCCAGAGAGGTAACATAAACATGTGATTAGCGGCAAGTGTAACATGATAGAGAGTGGTGGTGACTGTTGACAAAGTGGGAAGTGTATGTCCAGCCTAAAGACATTCAAATTCAAGGGTTGAAAAAAGTGATACTGGTGAAACAATATTGCCTAATGTCAGATTAGTTCATGGACGAGATTTGACCTACAAAACACCTGCTTGCAACTCTCGGAAATAAAGAGCAATATGGTATGGTAGTGGGGAAGAAAATAGATTTTGGAGTTAAACTGGCCTATGTTGAAACTGGTGGTATGACCTCAAGTAAGTTAATGAAGGTCTTTAAGACTCAATTTTATGTATCTATGTCTCCAGGATTGTTATGAATATTTTAGAACAATGTAAACTTATTACCAATAATTATTAATTGAAGAAGTTCAAGTCTTTCTATGTAAATATCCTGCTCACTTTATCTAGAGTGCTCACAGCAACAGTTTTCCCCCAGTTTATTCTTGTTCAAAGTGTTGAGGTTTCCAAGTGCATGCTGAAGTTAGAAAGATAAAAGCATGAAGATACAGTGGGTGAACCTAGAGGAAGGCTGCCAAGACTGCGCTGGCTTTGTCTGCATGTTATCCCATGCTCTGAGATCTGACCCTTGGCCTCCCAGTCCAGCAGTAACTTCATTATAACACTCAGAAATGAGGAGACACACAGTAATGAACTCCTGTGAAGTTCACATGCAAATGGGACATGAAGCCGAATGTCTATGTGTTTTTTTCTTTAGGGTGGGTATTGATCTCCAGGTGGAACTATTTATATCCTTAAACCAAGGCAACTCACTCTCAATATTGGAGTGTCCAAGAAACTGCAGACATCTCACTTGGCCTCCCTTGTGCTACATCTGGTTGATTATAGTTTTTACTTGTTTTAAATTTTTTAAAAATATATGTGATACTTTTGTGAAGGAAAAAAATAAAAACAAGAAAAAAAAGAACTGCTTTATTTCTGAATTTAGAACCAGACATTAATTCCTGGTTCAGACTGTCATGACCACAAGGAAATGAGAAATATTTGCTCATGATTTCTTTCAGATGCTTCAAAATATTTAGAAGTTTTAGGACTTTCTTTGGCCAAAGTCTGGCAGAGGTCATATATTTTCTCTGTTCCTGAGTCTGGGGTGGTAAAGGGAGGATAAAGAACAGCAGGAATCTATTCCAACTAGGGTTGGCAGATTTAGCAAATGAAATTTGAATTTCAGATAAAAACGAATACGTTTTTAGGATAGGTATGCCCCCATTCGAATTGGCAATATCTGCAATTTATGGGATATAAGTTACACTAACAAGCTACTGTTGGTTATCTGAAATTCAAATTTCACTTAACATCCTGTATTTTTATTTGGTAACCCTAATTACAACCCACAAGGCAAAAGCCCTCATCAATGGCTTCCAAAAGTGTATATGGAGAGAGCGCTCTCTCTTTCATTAGTGTTGGGGGTGTTGTGGAGGTTGAGGAGGTATATTTTCTTTGGAGACTGATTTCTGGTAGGTAAGGCCTGAGCCTTGAGCACTAATAGCTGTTAGATCTCTATGGTCTTCCAGCCAACTATCATAGCATCTGGTGATGGGGACCAAAGAGGAGGGAGCTGAAGAAACCCTTCCCTCTATGTGCTTTTAGAACAGAGATGAGTTGCTTTTAGAGATAAAATATAGCATATTAGGACAATCAAAGAGAAAGTGTCAGGATATAGAATAAATTATCTGGAAAATCAGAATTATGTGTGTAACCATTACTTATAAATGGAAATGATTTTGGAGACAATCTCCTCTCTTCCTATCATTTTACAAATGAGAAGACAGAGACTCAAAGCAGTTTCCTTTCTGGAATGTGATGGAAGGGATGTGTCTGTGTGTGTGCATGTGTGTGCGTAAGCCTAGCAGTAGTAGTAGCAGTAGTAGCAGAAGGAGATGGTGAAGGAGAAAAAGGAGGAGGGAGAAGAGACAGAGGAGGAGGAAAAAAGGGGGGAGGAGGAAAGAAACTGAGGCAAAAAGACTTGAAGTACAAATACCTCTCCACTACACCTGTCCTGCTACATGATTGTGGGTTTCTACAACTGTTTTTCCTGTAACTTTTTAAAAACTTACATAAATAATACACATTCCTTAGAAAAATTCAGGATTACATACAAACAAACAAACAAACAGAAACCTCTTCCATGAATCCAACATACAGATATTACTATTGTTAACATTTTAGTGTATAAAGAAAGTACTTTGGTATGAAAGACCCAGCATTCATTCTGCCTTCTTCAGGGAGCCACACCCACATTTTGCTCTGGGGATAGCCACTCAATCAATGGAATATCATTTCTAGTGGGGCTACCAACCCAGGTGTCAGGTCCTTTGCTGGCAAAGCAGTAGGCAGGTGACCAAGCTGTGATTTCAGTCTCTAGCTAAGTGACCCTCGAAGACTGACAATGCTGGAGTTTCTTCCTCCTGAGAGGGGAACACTAATGAGATCACTCATTGGCACATATCATTCAGACACCTGGAGCAGCTCTGGGTCCTGGGCCTCCTGAGAACTAATTCTTCACCTTTTCCTTCAATTCTAATACGGGAAATTGATTGTATTCTTGGCCTCAACTAGTGGCCTCCATACCATGCCCTGTGCAAGAGACAGAGGCCCATCAAGAACTGAAATCTAGTTCTCCACCCCTTGAATCTGGGATGCATTGCAATTTGCTTTAGCCAGTAGAATGCAGGAACAGTGAAGTGTGTCAGCTCAGAGCCTCAACTTCTAGAGGGCTTGTGTGCTTCCAGTCTCTCTTGGAGCCACAAGAACAAAACTGGTGTCAGCTGCTGGAGGATAACAAACCACTTGGAGGAGAGCACAGGAGTCTCAGCCAACTCTCAGAAGTAGAACCACCTCATGCACACACAGCTGACCTCAGATACATGAAGAAGACGACCTTATATCACGAGCTAAATACATGTTCTAAGCCTCGAAGTTTGAAGTGGTTTGTTATGCAGCAATACCTAACTCATACTTGTATCAACTTCCACATCTTTCCAATAAATTCCTTTTTTGTGAATTTCTACAGCTACAAAGAACTCTATTAGACACTTTCCAACTAGTCTCTCATTCTTGTAACAGAATGTGATCATATCACACATGCTCTTTTGTAATCTACTTTATTTCACTTTGCAACTGATTTTGAGCATCTTTCCCAAACGATCAAATGTACACAGTTGAAGAAGGAAAATCTCCCAAATGCCACTTCTGAGCCTCTGCCCAAACCAAGTTTCATCATGACATTATGGCCACCAGCCAAAATGCCATTTGTAGGCAGGCCTAGCATGATCTGTTCTGTCCAGAAGGAAGTGCCTTTAGCTTGTTTCTCCATGAGATTATTGGACAGCACTGTGACTTTTCACAGCTTGATGACCAAGAAAAGGACACAGTCATGCCTGAGAGGTGCTTGAGAACATTAACCTTCCCAGGCACTGTTTACCTCTTTGGAGAAAGAAAGCAATAATTGCATTCAGAATGTTCTATTATTTTCAAACATATAAAACATATGGACAGCGAAGACAGAAAAAGAGATAGACATTCCCCATAATGATTTTATCTTCTGACCCAAAACTGAGTGATTGGAGCTCTCCAGTCCTTTTATTCCTGGTCATCCTATTTCCATTATCCTTTTTTTTTTTCCACCAAAAGGCAGCTTTAATTTGAGATATTATTTGTTTGGCAGAGTAGGGCAAGGGGAGGGTGCAATGCCAGCCCCATAACTCTAGTCTCTAGTCTCCACGCTAATGAAAATACATTAATATTTTCCAAGGAAATTAGTGTTTGTAAAATGGATCCCCTGCAACTGTGCACACATTTCTATTGGAAGGAATTTTCTGAATGCATGATCTGCTTTGATCCCTTCCAATAGGCACACAACTGTAGGTCTATTCTCACCTTGCTTGCTTTTCCTTTGGATTTGATTTTTTTGTTGATAACAATAATTCCTATGGCATTTATCTCATTTAATCCTCATCAAAACTGCATGAGGTAGATATTGTTATTATTCTCCTTGGAATAAATTGAGGCTTAGAGAAGGCAAGTAAATGGTGTGAAGTCTTGTAGCTAATAAATGACAGAGCTGCGATCCCACCCTTGTTTGTCAAACTCCCAAATCAGGATGTTTTACCGTGATGTTTTCATGTCCCAATTCTTACTGAATTTTAAATACAATAAAGACATAAAAAATAAATCACCAAAGTACAGGTTACTTTTTTTTAAAGTAGGAAACAATAAGTGGCCTTAATGAGTTTCCTTCCAATCCTAAAAGAGTATGATGTTGAAATCCCTGTCTCTTTTCTCCCTAGGCAGCGTCTTCAGACTTCCAAATAAGCCTGAAGAGGACAGGAGAGCGAGCAATGTCTCCCTGAATGGGACTACAGGGGACGCTGGTAACCGCACCTCATTCAGCAACTTGAGAAACATCAGCAATAATACTACAAGCAATCGCTTAGGTACTTGACTGTGAGCAGGAATATGAGACAAGTGGAACACACTGGCTCTCATTTTTTAAAGATGATTTCACCTTAAGAGGTAAATACTTACGGAAAACAATAAAGCACCTACAAGAAGAATTATGATACAGGTCAGCACTGTCCAACAGAACTTTCTGTCATCATGCAAATGTATTGTATCTGTGCTGTCCAAGATGTGACATATCCAATATATTACCCACCTATGGCTATGGAGCACATGAAATGTAGCTAGTATGATGGAGGAACTCATTTTTAAATTTTAATTATCTTTATTAGCTTAGTTAACTTTAATTAACTGAAATTAAAATTAAAATAGCCAAATGTGGCCAGTGGCTACCATATGGGATGGCACAGCTATAGATGGCCATAGAAGTATGGTGAAGTGGTCAGGGAAGTCCTCATCAAGAAAGTACATTTTGAGAAGCTTTTGAAGTGGGGTACAGAGGGAAGAAAATGCAACTGGATTGAGAAAGATGGGAGGAAATGAACAAAACACAAGGTTTGTTCTAGTAGAAGGCCTGGGGTTACAGATTCAAATGCCTACAGAAAGAATCATAAGGTGGGCCAGTAGGCCGGGCACGGTGGCTCATGCCTGTAATCCCAGCACTTTGGGAGGCCAAGGCGGCCGGATCACTTGAGATCAGGAGTTCAAGACCAGCCTGGCCAAAAGGATGAAGCTCCATCTCTACTAAAAATACAAATACTAGCCAGGTGTGGTGGCGCCTATAATCCCAGTACTCAGGAGGCTGAGGTGGGAGGATCACTTGAACCTAGGAGCCAGAAGTTGCAGTGAGCCAAGATCATGGCTTTGCACTCCAGCCTGGGTGACAGAGAGGATTGGTGGGGGTTATGGGGACCATGGAGATTAGAGACCCTACCCCCATGTAAAGTGTCAATCACTAGTCAGCTCCAGCCAGTTATTGCCATACAGAAATGTAGGCTCAATGTTGACTATCTTCTTATTTTTTGGAGGAAGTCAGAAACTCCAATTTTATGTTAAGTCACCTAATTTTAAGTCTTGGCCACAGTGTGTGCTAAACATTCTTAGCAGATGCTGTTGGTGCTCCACTCATATCCACTCAGCACTCCCCTCTGCAGGTGAGGCTGCCTAGTGTGACTGCCTTCAACTCTGCCTGAAGACACTGTGCACACACTTGACCTGCATTCAGCACATGTAGGAATGCTAAAACATTAATGCCCTTGGAAGCAGCTCTCAAACAATGAGAGGAAAGTATATAAATATGATAGATAGTCTTACCTTTCAGTTAGGATAGCTCTGAGATATGTCCTGTATTGCCTCCCAGAGTTTCCTTGTGTGACTGAGCTCCAGCTGCCACAGTACAAACTGGTAGATAATGTGCCATTCATTGGAATCCATCCCTTTTCCTTCTCACTCTCCCACTTGCCTGTATACTGATGTTTCCTGGGATCACCTCCCAATAAACTACTTGGACACCAATCCATATCTCAGAACCTGATCCTGGGAGGAACCCAAACAAAGACACTGTTGCAGCATACAAACTCAAATTCCAGTGGCGAACACAATGATGTTTCAATCTCACTCACATCACAGTCCAATGAGGGTCATTGTGGAGACTGTTCCACCATCCAGGGAGCCAGGCTCCTTTCATCATGTGGCTCTGCATCTTCTATGACACCTTCCTTCTCTGCATTCAGTTGCAGATGGGGACAGATAGAGAACGTGGAGGGCTGGGAGGAGGATTTTTACCATCAAGGCCTGGAAACAGTGACCAGCACTTCTGTTCATATCCATTGGCAGAACTCGTCATATGGTTCCTCCTACTTGCTGGGGACGCAGGGAAACGTAGTGCAGCTGTGCACCAACTGTAGAAGGAAATAGGTTTGCTGAACACATAGCAGTTTCAGCTGCTGCAACTTATTTATTTATTGAGACAGAGTCTCACTGTGTCACCCAGGCTGGAGTGCAGTGGCGTGATCTCAGTTCACTGCAACCTCTGCCTCCGGGGTTCAAATGATTCTCCTGTCTCAGCCTCCTGAGTAGCTGGGATTACAGGCATGTGCCACCACACCCGGCTAATTTTTGTATTTTTTTTAGTAGAGATGGGGTTTTCACCATGTTGGCCAGGCTGGTCTTGAACTCCTGGCCTCAAGTGATCTGCCTGCCTTGGCCTACCAAAGTGCTGGGATTACAGGCACGAGCCACTGCGCCTGGCCTGCAACTTATTTAGATTTTGTAAAAATACTGTCCGGGCCAAAGAAGCTATGCCTGTGGACCAAAGTCAGCTTGTGGAACACCAGTTTGGAAACTGTGGCCCAGATATTATTCCCTAGAGTTAAGGGAGAAAAATTTTGCTAGCAAGCCACCCAACAAGTTCTTAACTTGCACAGAAATAAGTGTGCCACATTTTATTCAATGTCCAAACACTGTACTGAGTGCTCCACGCACAGTGCTGCAGTGAGCAGCCTCTGGAGATGTGTGTGAAACATGCAGATATTGCATGACTATATGAAATTAATCTATATGAAATTTGAAATGACTTTATGAAAATTGAATCAATTCTCCACTGACTGAGTTTATAATTTCACAGGGAAAATGATCATTTCATTTCTGATAGTTCTTACATGAACAGTGGGTCCCTAATCAGATAGCTGTGACTTCCTTCATCCTCTGTCAAGTGATTGTCTCTCAGTAGGTCATGTCAATGTAGCCCCACTTCCACCTCATCTTCAGCTCTTCAGCCTCTCCCCCGATTCCCTACGCTCCAGCCCCACTGCTTGTTTCTCAAACTTGCCAAACTTTTTACACCTCCAGAATTTTGCAAATGCTGTTCCTTATTCCAGAAATGCATTCCTGCTCTCCTCTCTTCTCTTTGCTTCATTCTTTACCCAACTGGGTCCCTGGTATCTGCCAAGTCTTGGCATAAATATTCTTCCCTCATAGAAGCTTTGACTGACCACCCAAAACAAAGGGGCTTTTCTCCACCTACCATTATTCCCGCTCCTTCTATCTATCATGATTCAGAACCATATCTGCATGTTTCACACACATCTCCAGAGGCTGCTCACTGCAGCACTGTGCGTGGAGCACTCAGTACAGTGTTTGGACATTGTCAGAGCTCAAAGATATCTGTTGAATACATAAATGAATACCAAAAAAACTCCACTGCTTTAAAGAAGTTTGTGTGGATACCTTTTATAATTAAAATAACATCTCCCCATCTGTCTTGAAAGTTTAGTTAAACTTGATTAGGATTTAATGAAGAGAAATATTTATATATTGAATGCTACCTGAGGCAAAGAAATAAAATAAAATTCCTCTCTTTATCTCAGAAATCCCTGAACTTAGTCTCTTCTAAAACTAACCTAGATAAAACTCAGTGTGATCATTTATGTCAACAGGGGTGGAGAGACGAAAGCTCTTTGAAAAAGTGAAACTGATATTAAAATGCAAAATTTTAATTCCTAAAAGCATCATTGACCTAAATAATCTAACAAGTTGCTCAGGGAGAAAAAAATAGGAATCAGCTTTGATTTTTCCCCACCCCTTCCAATCTCTCTGCCATCCTTATGAGCTGTACTTCCAAACACAGCTCAGCTTCACCTCTTGCCTCTTCCCCTTTTGCCCAAGATTGTGTCAATCCAAGCTGCTGAATGCGTAATGAAGCTGTCTGTCTAAGAAGCACAGTTACTTGTTTAGTTAGAAATGTAATTTTTGTTTTGGGGTTTTATTTGGGAGGGATTTTTTGCCAAGTGGTAGAATTTGAAAGTGTTTTCCCTATAGGAGGCAGATTCGGAAGTCTGGCCTACGACTCTTTTGGAAGCTGAAACTAATTAAAATATTCATTTTTCGCCTCTGTAGCTAAGACCCGGCAGGGGAGATAGCATTTGTTTTATGAAGGTGTAACTATATCCACTAACCTCTTGTGTGCCACATTCGGCATCTGCCCCAAGGCTGCCACACCTGCTCAAACACCTGCCCAGTATGTGAGTATTTGGTAGAACAGTTTTTAATGGCTTACCTAAGGGCACCTAGGGTCACCCACCTTTACCTGAGGACAATAGAGTCTTGTTCCACATATTTATTACCTATACACTCACCTCTGAGTGAAGTACTTTCCTGGTTTCACCTTCAGTGAGATCTGAAAAGCTATGCAAAAGACAAATAGAAAAAGAGAAAGAGAAAGAGAAGTTAAAAAATAGTTGTGTGTCATTAAAAAAAAAAAAAAAAATCACTGACCGGGCATGGTAGCTCACACCTGCAATGCCAGCACTTTGAGAGGCTGAGGCAGGCAGATCACAAGGTCAAGAGATTGAGACCAGCTTGGCAAACATGGTGAAACTCCATCTCTACTAAAAATACAAAAATTGGCTGGGCGCGGTGGCGCATGCCTGTAATCCCAGCTACTCAGGAGGCTGAGGTAGGAGAGTCGCTTGAACCCAGGAGGCAAAGGTTGTAGTGGACTGAGATCACGCTACTGCACTCCAGCCTGGTGACAGAGTGAGACTCTGTCTCAAAAAAAAAATCACAGAGGTTGAGAAAGATACGAGAATATGTTAAGTGTCCTCCGTGCTTCCAGAGTGTCTACAGAATCCTCAAAGAAGTGTAAAGCCATAAACCAAGACAGAGCCAATTTCAGCATTCACTGTTTTTGAATGGCAAAAACTAATAATGATGCTTCTTCTGAATACTCAGTATGTCCAAGGACAGGCTAGATGTTTTACTTACATTATCACATTACTTCTCCCTACTCTCTACCATAGGAGACAGTATGAATATTTATGAATATTTTGTTATATTTATTTAATATTCATTAAATATTTATGAATGCTTTGCAAATGAGGAAACTGGAGCTCCAAGAAGTCCAGTGACTTGGGAAGTAGTAATGCATGGGCTAAGAGCAGACTTGGAGGTCACATCATCTGTGCTGGGGTCCCAGCTCTGCTATTGACCAGCAGTGTGACTTTAGACAAATTACTTAATCTCACTAAGCCTCTGTTTTGTCACAAAAGGGCAGTGGTAATAGGTAATGACCCACCTTACTTGTGAAGATGCAATGACTTAACACACACCCAATGCCTGGCACATCATCTAACACATCACCTAGCACACAAGACATGCTGAACCAAGGTTTGCTATCATCCTCCTCAAAGATCACACACAGCTAGAGGGTTGAGAGCAAGGCTGCCAACCCTGGTTGTTTTATTCTGCTCATAAAGCTTCTGTATCTTCCACTTGCAAAAACTAAATTCAGAGAAAAATAATTGGAAATAGAAAAGGGTGGTCAAAGAGAACACCAGAACCAGAAGGAGGCGAAGACCAGTTCCTTCTGTATCTGGAACTTGCCCTATATGGGTCCTTTGCCTCCTATACCAGGCTCTGGAGGAAAATCTGTTTGGTGAGCTAAGAAGTATTTTTTTTTCTAATCAAGAGAAGTCTCTATAAGCCTTCTAGAATTCTCATCCTTGATGGTGAAAGAAATTACAATGTGCATATTCTATTGTTACAGGCCAACTCCCCATTTTCTTTCCCCCAAGACTGCCTTTTCCCACACCTTATTCCTCATTCTCCCACCTCTCCACTTCTTGACATTGGCCTGGTTCTTCAAGGGCCACCTGAAATCCCACCACCTCCCCAGTGAAGGTTTCCCCTTTCTCTGGAGGCTGAAACATTTATTTTTAGTTTAAACATTTAATTGGTTTTCCTGTTTCATAGGGACTAATACCCCCCAAATAGATGATGTACTTCCTTTGTGTACTCCACAGGGATTGATACTAAGTTTCAAACCCAGAAAGTTCTAAATAGATATGCACTTTGTATAAATTATTGTTGAGAACTGGACTGATTGTAGCATTTGTGAAACTCCCACCTGGTAATAGGGATGCAACTGAAAACTCGGCAGAGTTTTAAGCCTTGGTCCCCACCCTCAAGGTGCTTTCATCCGTAAAGAGAACAAAGCCCGACCAGGTGTGGTGGCTCACGCCTGTAATCCCAGCACTTTGGGAGGCTGAGGTGGGTGGATTATCTGAGGTCAGGAGTTTGAGACTAGCCTGACCAACATGGTGAAACCCCGTCTCTACTAAAAATACAAAATTAGCTGGGCGTGGTGGCGCATGACTGTAATCCCAGCTACTCGGGGGGCTGAGGCAGGAGAATTGCTTGAACCTGGGAGGCGGAGGTTGCAGTGAGCCAAGATCGCTCTATTGCACTCCAGCCTGGGCGACAGAGTGAAACACCGTCTCAACCAAAAAAAGAGAGAGAGAGAGAGAGAGGAAGAAAAAAAAAAAAAAGCCCACAGCCTGTTATAACAGGGAGGCACTGAGGCAGAAAAGTTAGCATTATGGGTTACTTAATTTCCCTTTTTTTTTCTTAACAGTAAAATGGGTATAACAGTCATACCTACTTCATGGAGACTTTGTCAGGTTTAAATCAGATAGTGCAGAGCCTAGCATATCCTAAGAGTTCAAAAAATATAGCTACAGGTAGGTTCAGAAATTAGAAAAGCAATTGTTCAAATACCGGGGGAACAACAAACATCTTATAATTAAAAGGCTCAACTGGGTATATTTCCAGAGACAGCTGAGCTGCTATCAAGTTATTTTAAAGGTATTTTATGCTAAGTACATAGTTCACAGTAGAGATAGACACGTCTACTCATGCTAATTTCTATGCAGTGGGGCAGGGGAGAGGAATTAAGAGTTAAAGCAATGGAAAGGAGTGTGCTTCTGGGCCTGAGAAATCCCAGGTGGGAGGTGACTCTGGAAGTCAAGGCCATCATTGCTCTCTCCTACCTGAATCAAAGGAATGAGTAAATTGGAGACAAATTGATAGAGTTCCAAGTAATGAACCCGAAAGAGTTTCATTGCTTTATATTCCATTACGAGGAGAGTGTAGGGTTGAGTATGCTGACCTGCAGTGAAACTGTGTTTTATTTTTTCCAACAGAGGCCCCATTTCAACACAGGCAACATTTCCTTTTTTCTGAGGCTGCTTTGGGGAAAGCAGAAGGGAAAACAAGCAGGCAGATTGGACGTTACTGAGCTGAAATCATCTGGGCTCAGAAGCATCTTGTGAGATAGCAGACGGACTCTATGAGCCCTTGTGTCCAACTTTGGCACAGGGGGCTTAGGGGGTCCCACTCTTTGGGAAATGACTTTGGTCCACACTAATGTGCTCTATTAAAGGAGCTCCAGGAATCCTTTGAATAGGATTCTAGCAGTTTCTAGCAGTTGCTGGTCCTATCGGAAGTATCGTAACACTAAAATGCAGCTCCCCTAGCCACTGCATTTAGGGTAAGAGTACCACATGTAGCAACCAGGGGCATCTTGTTCAAAGCCTCCTGTTCCAAATTTAACTTGTGTTTTTGGTGAACTTGGTTGTGGGTGGAGTTGACACCTGCCAAGAAGGTCCCAGGTTGATCCTATTAATAGGCATGACTGTAGCTAAGGAAGTTACAGTGCTAAGTTGCACTTGGTTGAACTATAGCTTTGAATGTGATGATCCTCCTCGCCTGAATGAAAAGAAAAGAGAACCACCTGCAATTAGATTCTACAGAAGCATGTGCTGAAATACATACAGGAAACTTTGCAGGCTCAACAATGACAAGCTGAAAGTATTAGGAAGATGATAAGGTACACATCCTAATAATAGTATAGTGAACATTTCCTGCCTCCTTACTCTGTGCCAGGTAGTATACTCAAGACCATAGCTGTATTATGTCACAGTCCTTGCATCACTCTGTGTGGTATTTACTAAGGTCTTCCTTTCATAGTTGAGGTACCTGAAGCACTGAGGGGTCAGATGCCTGCCTAGGTCACACAACCAGAAAGTGCAGAGGCAGGACGTGAACACAGACCAGGTTCCAATGTCTCCACTCTTTCTATCAAACTGCCACTCTTAGTCTCTAATGTAAGCTTCATTGAACCAACACACAAAGCACCTGCTGGGTGTGGGGCAATGTATAAAATCCCTGGGGGCACAGAAAAGAAGTATAAACTTGATTGTGCTTGCAATATATTTCCAAAAAACCAATGAACTATTTGTGTGGTAAGTAATTGGATTAGAATAAGGGTCATCTCCCAAAGAAAATAGAAATCCTTCCCAGGGTGGAGACCACATCTGTTTTCCTATCCAGAGAGCTTTGCTCAAAGGCCTATACCTCCCAGGCTCTGGACAAACATCTCTTGATGCTGACGGGAGGGACATGGTGTCATAGAACAAATCAGGTCTTACGGCTGAAGGTCCTGAGTACTGGTCCCAGCACTACCCCAAATTTGTCCAGTGCCTTTGGCAAGTTAACTTACCTCTCTAGGGGTCAATTTCCATGTCTACAGAAAAGAAATAATAAAAATAAAAGTTAATGTATGCCCTAGCCTACCTCACAAAGTTTAGTGGCGATGAAATGCAGTAACTATACAAACATGCTATGGCTGGGTGTGGTGGCTCATGTCTGTAATCCCAGCATTTTGGGAGACCACGGCGGGTGGATCACTTGAGATCAGGAGTTCAAGACCAGCCTGGTCAACAGGGTGAAACCCCATCTCTAGTAAAAATACAAAAAAAAAAAAAATAGTCAGGTGTGGGGTGCACGCCTATAATTCCACCTACTCAGGAGGCTGAGGCAGGAGAATTGCTTGAACGCGGGAGGCGGAGGTTGCAGTGAGCCAAGATTGCATCACTGCACTGCAGCCTGGGTGACAGGGTGAGACTCCATCTTAAAACAAAACAAAACAAAAACCCAAAATGTGCTATGCAACACTATAAGGAATTTCTTTATGAGCTTTATTCCTTGAGAGTGCTGCAGAAAATCACCGGAGTGGATATCCCTGAGAGCTAAGCGCTTGGGTATGACTTCATGAATGAGGGGGACAACTGAAGCTATAGAGTCTTGTGGATTCTAGAATCCTTAAACTGGCCAATTCTCATTTTATGTTTGAAAGCCTGGAGTGGGATGTGAAGGATGTGATACAGAGTTGTCTCCAGCTTTGGGTTCCAGGATCTCCTTGTTTGGTGAAAGGAGCCTTGACATTTTTCCTTCCTGTAAACTTTGCCATCTTCCTTCTCTGCTTGGCAATTCATGCCTAACAAGTGACATTTCCTAGGGGCAAGATAGCATAACTGTCAAGAATAGGGAATTCCTATTATTAATTTTTTTGGTTTACTTGTAACCACCCAGTGGGTTCACCTTGCCTGCTGCCTAGACAAAGCCAATTTATCAAGGCAGGGGAATTGCAATACAGAAAGAGTAATTCACGCACAGATGGCTGTGCGGTAGATGGGAGTTTTATTATTACTCAAATCGGTCTCCCTGAGCATTCTGGGATCAGAGTTTTTAAGGACAACTTGGTGGGTAGGGGGAGGCCTGTGAGCCAGGAGTGCTGATTGGTCAGAGATGAAAGCAAGGGAGTCAAAGCTGTCTTCTTGTACTGAGTCAGTTCCTGGGTGGGGGCCACAAGATCAGATGAGCCAGTTTATCGATCTGGGTGGTGCCAGATGATCCATTAAGTGCAGGGGCTGCAAAATATCTCAAGCACTAATCTTAGGAGAAGTTTAGGGAGGGTCAGAATTTTATAGCCTCCAGCTGCATGACTTCTAAATCATAATTTTTAACCTTGTGGCTAATTTCTCAGTCCTACAAAGGCAGTCTAGTCCCCAGGCAAAAAGGAGGTTTGTTTTGGGAAAGGGCTGTCATCATCTTTGTTTTAAACTATAAACTGTTTCTCCCAAAGTTAGTTCGGCCTATGCCCAGGAATGAACAAGGACAGCTTGGAGGTTAGAAGCGAGATGGAGTTGGTTAGGTCAGATCTCTTTCACCGTCTCAGTTACAATTTTGCAATGGCTGTTCAATCATTCTAAATCTCAGTTTCCTCAGCAGAAAATAAAGAGATGATAATAGTACCAACCTTATAGGATTACTGTAAATTCTATAAGGTAATTATAGAATTCTATAAGGTAATTATAGAGAGGTAATTCCTATAAGGAGCTTAGCCCAATGGCTGGAAAATATATGTAGGCCATTGTTAATATGCATATATAGTTATAATTACGGTGTAGTTCTGTTTTTCTTCTACCAACCCTATCTTCAAATATACTTGCTGTCAGTTAAAGTTCAATATCTTATAAAGAGATTTTAAGGCTTGGGAAAGATTAGTGAAATCAAGAAACTGGGAGTTGCTAAAAAGTTAGTTATAAGGCAAGAAGCCAGAAACATCACCCTCCCTGGATTCAGGCTGTTCCCCAATAATCTAAAGTGAGAAACATAAATAGGGCAAAGATAATCTACTTCATAAGATTATGAATAAATGACATGCAAGGATTTTTTTTATTCTATAGCTCCTGTCACAGCATTGAGAAAGCAAACTTTTCATGAGGCAGTCACTGTCATTTGCTCTTTATTGCCTTAAATTTCCAGGCCGTGGAACCCCAAAGTCAACCCCCAAGCATCCCCAGAAGAAAAGTACACTTTGAATAATTACAGTCCTTTAACTTTCCTGATTCAACCTTCAAAGGCCACGAATTGCTTCTAACGAAGAAGCTGAAGTGAAAGAAGAAGGAACGTCAACAAAAATGTCTGTTTGTGTTATCTCTTTACTTTCACGGTTTATAGGTTTGGGGGAAAGTTTTTATTTTCGGTGGAATAGAAGAAGGGAAGAAGAGAGACTAAAAAGCATTTCTTAGATTTCCAGAAGCAGTAATGGAAAATCCCGACCCTAGAGTCTTGCTTTCTTCCTAGAAATAGAATGCTCCTGAAGTTCCCAGGAGAGCCCTTGGCAGACAGATGTCAATCATTCCATCCCTTGTTTTGCTGGGTGGAGTCACTGGAGCTTAAAGAAGGGGAAGTAAACTCAAGCACACATCCTGGTGACCTCTAGCCACGGGTCAAATTTCACTGATGTCAATTAAAAATGACCAAAGACCCGCCCCTGTGAAAACCCTGTGGGCAGCCATTTTGTCTCAGGGAAACTGCCCAGATCTGATGTAAAGTATTTCCGGACGTCTCTTCGTTGTATATGGCATTTCCCTGAAATAAGCAACTCTCTGAAAAATATCATAGCGCAGATCAAAATGAAGTACTCTGTGGTGAAGTAGAAGTACACAGTCAACAAAGAAACTTGCCCTCAGGCTGCACAGTAAAACGTTGGAAATCCCAGAGCAGCAACTTGGAAATCCCACCTGCTACATATTTGCCTGAGTACTTTAAGGTTCTATGGACAATTGTCTCTCTGCGTAGATTAACCTTAAATAAACTTGTTGCGTTTTGAGGTGGTATTTCTTGTTTCATTTCTCTTGCTTTTCTCCCCTATTTTATAATAAGTTTCATTCACACTGTGATACTTTAAGAAGAGATAACCTTCTACTAAGGGATGTTGCTGTGATAACCTCCAAGCCACAAACACAGGTTTTAATCTTACCTCAGGGAAGTCCTGCCTCCCTTGCAGACTAGTTTATGTCTGAGTGGATTTGCCTATCAGCGTCTTTTCTGATGAGGCATGTAGCCCAGCACGGCAGCAAAGAATCCTGCAGTAGGCAGATAAAGCTTTCTAAAAATGTTTTAATTTTACTTTAAATTGACAAATAATAATTGTATATACTTATGTGGTACAATGTGATGTTTCAATACATGCATACATTGTGGAATGATCAAATCAGGCTAATTAACCATACACATTACCTTACATACTCATTTTTTTGTGATGAGAACATTTAAAATCTAGTCTTTCAGCAATTTTGAAATATACAATCCATTATTGTTCTAGTCACTACACTGTGCAATAGATCACCAGAACTTATGCCTCAGATAAAGCTTTGAATCCTGTGAATCCTGTTACCACAGAATAGCAAGTGACCTCAGACCAGTTACTTAACCCCTCTAAAGCTCAATTTCCTCATCTCTACTATTGAGACTATAATAGCATCTACTTCACAGGGATGTTGGAAGGATTACGTGCTCTCAAGAAGGCTTAGTAAATCCTAACTCCTACTACATTATTTTATTGAGGTCTCATCGAATTAGATACCCGAGAGAGAGAAAATGAAAGGGAAGTGCTTAACATTT
Organism: Homo sapiens; assembly: GCF_000001405.40. NCBI lineage: Eukaryota > Metazoa > Chordata > Mammalia > Primates > Hominidae > Homo > Homo sapiens. The sequence continues at coordinate 68,645,237 of NC_000009.12, forward strand.
GTGACAACCTTAACGTGATCTGCACATTTCCTAAAAATTATACACTTGTATGACTTCATTTCCCCCAAGATAGTATATTAGTACTTTGGAAAGTGTGAGATGAAAAATTGTTATCCTGAACTGCAATATCCTACTTTCTGACTTCAAATCCTTATCTCTCCTGCACTTCTCACTATACCATCGCTTAGACCTCATTAGGGTCACCTCACGGCCTGTGCTTATCCTCCCACCTTTCCCATATCCTCCCACCTTTCCAGAAACTTTCCATGTATCAGTTACCCCTTCTCTCCTCTCAGCTGGGTCCTTCCCACAAGTAATGAAGCCCTAGGTCACTCTAGGCCTTTCCATATTACAAAATAATATGGAAAGGGCCATGTTTTCCCTCTTGCCACTTCTGTATCTCTCTCTTTTCCTTCAGAGCCAGTCTTTTAACAAATTATGTACTCACTGCTGCCATTTTTTCAAATCTGCCTCACTCTTTAGCACATTACAATCTGGTTTCTAGCCCAAATATTCCACCAAGTCGCCCTCACAAAGATCTCTAGTGGTCTCCATGTTGCTAAATCCAAAAAACTTTTTCAGTCTTTATCTCATTGACCCTCTTGCTGACAATGGGCACAATCCCTCTTGCTTGGACTTTGTTGCCTCTGATACTACATCTTGGTTTTCCTTCCAAGTCTCTGACTGCTCCTGTTTTGTCTCCATTTCTGCCTCTTTCTCCTCTACCTTCCATTAAATATTGAAGTTCCCCAAGTCTCAGTCCTAGACCCTCTTCTCACTTTGTATACTCCACTCTATCCTGACAATCATTATCAATCATGATTTCAGTTATGTGATACCAGCTTACATCTCCAGCCCAGACCACACCTCCATGTTCCAGACCCAGAAGCCCGATTATTTGTTTACCACATCTCCATTTGGAAGGCATTCCTCTTCAATTTGCTTAAGACCAAGTTCATGATCTTCCTCAGCAAAACTGCTCCTTTTCCTTTGTTCTCTGTCTCAATGATTGATACCATTATCCATCCAGCATATATCATTCTTGATGCCCTCTTCTCCCTCACTCACCATACTTAATTCATCACTAGGACCTATCTCTTTCATTTCTTAAATGTCTCTCAAAACAATCTTGATTCCAATATTTCCATAGTCATCACCATAGGATAGTCACTGTAGCATCAATCTAAGCTGCCATCATCTCTTTATTCTCCTGAGTTTTCTCTCCATTCACTCTGCTTTCCCAGCCCCAATTCCTTTCTCCACATTGCAGCCAGTCCCACCATGTCCTTCCTTAAAACTTGCCAATAACTTCCTATGGATCACAGGAAAATGATCAAAATTTTTAACACTGTGTTGCAAAGACAGCCTTTCCACAATATCTGTTTTCTCCTTCTACCTCCCAAAAATCTTCTGTTATTGGGACAGCAATATATCTCAGACACAAATAAACAAAAAGATAATTCCTAACTTCCTTTACAGAGAGGAATAAATAACCTGTGCGGTATAAGCAGAAGTTGTTAAACAGAGTACCCAGGAAAGTCCTTTTATCCTTGCCCTTTGGGTTCTTCATGTTTGAAATATGGTTGTGATGACTGGCACTCCAGCCTCCATCTTGAGACCTTGAAGGAGGCTAGAACCAGAAATGGTAAGGCAGAAAGATAAAAGAGGCATGGGTCCCGATGACTTGGGAAACCATGCTACAAGACTTGATTTTCTACTTCTGGGCTGCTTCTACGCCAGAGAACAAAATCTTTACATATTATATTCACCAGTTGGATTTCTGGCACTGGGAGTTGCAGTCAGTTTCTAATTGATACACACAAGATTTGCAAGGCCCTACATAGTCTTGTCTCTGCTGTACCTCCCGAGCTGCTTCTTGCCCCATTGTCACCTGTATGCTCTTCAATACAGCCACATTGGCCTGATTTTAATTCGAATGCACCTTGCTGCATTTCTTTTTATGTTATTTATTTATTTATTTGAGATGGAATCTTGTTCTGTGGCCCAGGTGGGAGTGCAGTGGTGCGATCTCGGCCCACAGCAACCTCCACCTCCCGGGTTCAAGCAATTCTCCTGCCTCAGCCTCCCAAGTAGCTGGGATTACAGGCACCCATCACTACACCCAGCTAATTTTTGTATGTTTAGTCCAGACAGGGTTTCACCATGTTGATCAGACTGGTCTCAAACTCCTGAACTCAAGTGATCCACCCGCCTCACCATCCCACAGTGCTGGGATTACAGGCTTGAGCCAGCACACCTGGCCCCATGCTGCATTTCTGCACAGGGCCTTTATACACTCTTTTCTCAGTCTATAAATTTTCCTCTCCAACCCCTCATCCTCCAGCCTGACCTAACTTACCTCTACTCATCTTTCAGATTTCAGTTAGAGCAGGACTTTCTTAGGGAAGTCCTCCTGAGCCTCCCTCTTTTCCTCTTCACTCCCGTTTCCACCAATCTAGAATAGGTTCCTTTGTTCTGTGCTGTCATGGAACTATATTCTTTTGCTTCAGAATATTTTCCTTAGGTTTAGAAATTAGATATTTATTGATGTCATTATTTGATAAATATCTGCCTCCTTTATTAGATTTAAGCTTTATGAAAGCAAGGGCCATGTCTGTTTTTGTTCAACATTCTATTCCCAGCACTTCGCACAGTCCTTGGTATATATCCTATGCCCACTAAATAATAGTCAAATGGGCTGGGCACAGTGGCTCACACCTGTAATCCCAGCACTTTGGGAGGCCAAGGTGGGCAGATCACCTGAGGTCAGGAGTTCGAGACCAGCCTGGCCAACATGGTGAAACCCCCGTCTCTACTGAAAAAACAAAAATTAGCCGAGCATGGTGGTGCACGTCTGTAGTCCCAGCTACTCAGGAGGCTGAGGTGGGAGAATCACTTGAACCCAGGAGGTGCAGGTTGCAGTGAGCTGAGATCACGCCATTGCACTCCAGCCTGAGCGACAAAGCAAGACTATCTCAAAAAAAAAAAAAAGAAAAGCAAAAAAGAAAAAATAGTCAAATGAGTGAATAGGGACCTCAAGTCCCTTTTTTCATAACCTATATCAGGCCCTTTCATTCTCTCTTGCCTCACCCACTCTCCTACCAAAACTCCATAACTTTACACTAATGTTTGCATAACGTTTTATGGCTTAAAAACAACTTTATATAAATTATCCCATTTTCATATCTACAACAACTATATAAGGTATGTAAATAGTGACAAATCTTTTTCAAACAAGGATTTCAACATAAAATCAGTCCCTTGTAATCTGTTTAAGTAGTCACCAGAGTTTTTGACCTCATTCTCTCTCATTTAAATCTTGAGCCTCACTAGCAAATTACAGTTTTGAGAATTATCCAACTGATCCATAGCCATCCAAAATACATATTCCAACAAGCAATAAGGAAAGACCAGCTAGGAAAGAAATTCAACATCACCATTGCTTTGCCCCTCAGATATTGTATTCTGTATTCAATTTGATTCTCCTGACCTTAATCCCTTAGCAAAGTGGTTCTGAAATTTAAGCATGCATCAGAATCACCTGGAAGTCTTGTTAAAGCACAGATTGCTGGTCTCTGATTCAGGAGGCCTAGAGTTTCTGATTCAGAAGGTCTGGGATAGGGTCAAAGGATTTGCATTTCTAACAAGATCCCAGGTGATGTCAATGCTGTTGGTTCAGGCACACTTTGAGAACCTCTGTTTTATTGGCTCCTCAAGAAAAGAGAATCTGTTTCTTTAAGAACCTAGCAGTGGATAAATTTGCTGTTTGGCATTTTTAACAGCAGCCTGCAGAGCATGTCAACAAGGGTATAATTTCCAGCTTACCAAGGGCAACACAGTAGAGTTGTGACTATCCTGAGAGCCACTGAGCCACTGCATATTACCCTATGGGTAATGAGGAAGAGAAGTCATCTAACCTTAGTGGGTAAGCCCTGGTTGTTGTGTGGCCTGCCCAGACCTCTGAACCTGCCCATCTCTCAAGACTATGGATGATAGCAGCAGCTGTGTGTGCTGATGGGTAGCCTGCATTTCAGTTTCTGTCTCAGCAGCTCAAATAGCTCAGCCCAAAAAGCACTAGTCCTCGAAATACAAAGAGCATGAAGAAAGCAGGATGGCATCTCCAGCTCCACTTTATCCCTACTGATGATTTGGAAGGTGAGATGATTTCTTCTGTGATCGTAGCCATCCACCCTCCTGTGAAACCCTTTCCAATCATAAAATCTGCGTATCTCCCAGCTGTGTCCCACCAAGATGCTTGTGTTGTTTTACCTTTTCATCCTCATTTTCTTCCTAAAATGGCTTGGGGAAATTGTTTTATTCCTAAAATATGATTGTGCCTGTTTTCATAATTGATTTTGAAATCTGTTTTGGATGTAAGGTTAAGGGCCAAAATAAAGACTGGTAAGGTTTAACTATCATTTCATCCATTCAACAAATCTTTAGGATAGATAATAGAGAGACACAAAGAAAGAAAAATGTCCTCATTCTTTTTTTTTTTTTTTTTTTTTTAAACAGAGTTTTGCTCTTGTTGCCCAGGCTGGAGTGCAATGGCACAATCTCGACTCACCACAACTTCTGCCTCCCAGATTCAAGCAGTTCTCTTGCCTCAGCCTCCTGAATAGCTGGGATTACAGGTGCCTGCCACCATGCCTGGCTAATTTTGTATTTTTAGTAGAAACAGGGTTTTTCCATGTTGGTCAGGCTGGTCTCAAACTCCCAATCTCAGATGATCTGTCCCCTTCGGCCTCCCAAAGTGCTGGGATTACAGGCATGAGCCACCGCGCCCAGCTGAAAAATGTCCTCATCATTCTTGTTAAGGAAATTTTCTGAAGCCTCACTCTCCTCACCTAAAAACTGAAGGTAATTATAATAACCCCTATCTTTTGCAGTTACTGTTGTAGTTAAAGAAGGTAAAACTATTAAGTTTTTAGCAGAGTATCCAGTGCATTGTAAATACTCGATACAAGCTGGTTGTTACTAAATTAGGTAGAAAGATGATAATACTGGTGTTTCAATAGATAGGCAAAAAGTATTGTTTTATCACAGTTTTGAATAAGGAAGTTCTTACAGAGGAAAGTGTAAAATTTTATTACATTTCCCATTGCCAACATTACTATCCAAATATTTACTTACATTAATCACAGGCCTCTGCTTAAGGTGAATTGCGTATTGCCTATAAGCTAGTATAAGGTGTATTTTTACAGTAATTCTATCTACCACATGTATGATGACCACTGCTACTAAGTAATAATAACTACAATATTCCTCCAGCCCTTGCCATGTACTATGCTCTATTCCTAAATGCTTTACAAGTATGATCTCATTTAACCCTCAAGACCACTCTAGGAAATAAACACTACTTTTCATGGTCCTTTTACATATGAGGAAACAGATACCCAGAGAGTTTAAATGACAAGGAAAACTTCATGAAGGCCAGGCACGGTGACTCACGCCTGTAATCCCAGCACTTTGGGAGGCCGAGGCAGGTGGATTACCTGAGGTCAGAAGTTCAAGAGCAGCCTGGCCAACATATAGTGAAATCCTGTCTCTACTGAAAAATACAAAAATTAGCTGGGTGTGGTGATGCACACCTGTAGTCCCAGCTACTTGGGAAGCTGAGGCAGGAGAATTGCTTGAACCTGGGAGGCAGAGGTTGCAGTGAGCTGAGATCTCACCATTGCACTCCAGCCTGGGCAACAGAGCAAGACTCTGTCTCTCAAAGGAGGAGAAAAAGAAAACTTCATGCAGCTCTTACTACAAACATGTGGGTATACTTTTCAGATATGTGCATGTGAATCTGTCGGGGGAAAATTATCAGGCATGTAAGTGTTTCTAGGTCTTACACCAAAGAGGATGCTGGCCCCACTGTCCCATTTCTTCTCCTTTCCCCATCTAAGGAAGGTCCCAGTTTGCCAGATGGTCTACCATGTTGGACTTTTATGCTGCAAAATTATTAAGAAAGATGGAGGGATGAGAACTGAAGCTACCATGATAATCCCTCTTGCCTCTGATGGTTGCTATTATGGAGTGAGAAGTGTATCCCCATTGTAGTAGGATTCTTATCTACAAAATGGGAGCTACACTATTTGAATTTCATGTGAGGCCCTCAGTACACTTTATCTGTGTTGATCCCATTATGCCACAGCTTTCTCTTTACCTCACTGTCTCCATTTGTGAAATATGATTAAGAATGTGGCGTACCCCACAGGACTGTTGTGAGGAATGACTCATGGTTATGAAGGAGTTTGTACAATGCAACATTCTATTTAGGGCTTCAGTATGTTTTTTATGGTTTTCAAGGACTAATTTTCAAAGCAATATGACAAAGTAGATAGAAACCTTTTCAGAAATGTTGGAGAAAGTGATTACTAATGTTAGTCAATAGTCATCATTTCATCACCTAAAAATAGATGCAACTTTGACCTTTGGTCATGCAGCAAATATAATATTTAAGAACCTGAAGAAAAGGAGAGAAACTTGGGTTAGGGCTGTGGGAGGGGTTTGGGGAGTGATGAAAAAAGAAATATGGGGGTTGATGCAATGTATATTGAAAGTGAGTGAAAGATAAAGGAGGAACTCTGAGAGGTACGTATTCGTATGTGTTCTCAATAAATATCTTCAGTTCTTCAATGACTTTTTGGATACCTAATTGGGTTTCTTTGATAGACAGACTGCTTTGAAACTGGACCATATAGATGGACAACTTTTAAACATTACAGGTGCATATTTAAAACACTATAACTTTATCAAAATTCTTCCAATCATATATGCTTATTTGCAATATAATATGCTGGTGACAACAAAATTTGTAAAACTTCATTCTGTGATGTTTCTTACATTACTCAGGGGTCAGAACACCTAGAAATTATAATTTCCTTTACACAAGGCCATGGACTATTGATATATCTAATTCTCTCAGAGAATAATCTTAACAAAGTTGTGAGGTTGGAGAGAGATTAGTGGATTTGAAAACAGGAAACTATCTTGAAGAGATGGAAACACTCAGGGTCATAGACAGGTTTACTTCTGGAAACAAAGACCTATTACAAAAACTCTGTGCACATCTCTGCATCTTCACAGAAAAGTGTACATACAATATCCTTAACAAATCAAGTTTATGAATTTTTCTGTTACTATAAGTTTCCTACTAATTCATTCATTTTTAAACAGACCACAAGCAATTGTGGGTACACAAATATTAAGACAACATTATGGGGACATTTTTTTATAACTGAGAAAATTGTTATTCATTAGCTAAAAGTTTTCTAAAAATTGGGGATAAGCTGCCACTATATTATATTAGTGGTAGAACATTGTGGTTCTGATCATTGAAACTGGCCTGCTGTGATAACAAAATCAGAATCACTGTACTAAAAACAAAGGTAGTTACAAAGAGATCAATTTGGGAGCTGTGTCTGCTAAAGTGGGCTATCGATGTGCCATTAATCATATAAATGTTTTGAGAGGGTCCATCTGATTGTGGAATGTAATTAACCAACATTTTCACTCTGAAGAATCCCTTTAATTATTTTCCCCACAGGAATCAGCATGTTTTTGATGCTATCAACTGTCAATCAGAATGTCTGAGCCACTTGCTAAACCAATATTTTTCTCATGAAAAGCTTAGTGTTTTGACTAGCCCATATAGACTACAATGAGTTTAGATTAAGTTTTTGGAAAAGATGAAAACATAGACTGGATTTCTGCATCTGGTGATACGCCAAATTACATGGCCTAAAAACCCTTTTGGTACAGAGCACATAGAAATTTCAGATACAAAAACATCCTTTTAGATGGATAGTGCTTGCAAAGAAGTAAATAAAAATAAGCAAGGAAAATTTCAATGGCCAAAAATGAAGAGGGAATTGACAACTAGAGTTATAAGTAAATCAGTTGACCTCATGGAAACTTGGTGGGGGAGGGTCTCAGTCATTTACAGTCTTGTGTTTCAACAACCTGAAACCCCTGCAAAACAAAGAGTTGAAAATGAAATCACCGCACGCAACCAAGACACTGGAAAGGGTGTAAATTTTTCCATCCGCACAGGGCAACAATATGGAAACTTCTTGGTTTCAATCTAGGTATTGGTGTGGGGGAAATATCTCCTCTAAGAATTTGTGACCACAGGAATGTCCTCACATAGGTTTGGGTGTTAAGTTTACACAGTTCATATGACTTAAGAAGTCCCAAGCTGAGAAATAAAAATCAAAGTGGTTCTGGTGGGTCATACCCCGTCCTGACAGGTAGGTCGCTGGAGAGACACAGCAGGATGAGATCACCGGGGTTTCCAATGGTCAAACTATCTGTTAGAGACCATAAATAAACTTTCAAAATGAGTAAGACTTAAAGGAAAAAATGAAAATATGTGAAAAGAACAACTATGAAAACTGAACAGGCTGAATTGGAAATTAACTAAAAGGACTTCTAAAAATTTAAATGTAATCTATAAAATTAAAAACCTGGGAAAATGGTAAGTACAAGTAAAATGCAACTGAAAAAAACATGAACCAACTGGAATATAGATCCTAGACACTACTTAGAATGTAGCACTGAGAAATAAAGAGATTAAAAATATTAAAATGAGGATAAAAAACAGTGTTTAAAGAATGAAAAGGTCTAACATACATTTAATAGGACTTTCAGAAGGACAGAATAGAGAGTAGGAAGATGCAGTATTCAAAGCAGGACACTTAGACACATCATAGTATAAGTGCAGAATACCAAAGGCAAAGATAAAGAAACCAGAGAAACTCTGTCACTGAAAATACTGAGAAACAATAACTACACTTTATCTCAATAAGTGCCACTTTTTTAAATGCAAAATATCACTTTGCACTGAAATAAGATATACAAGGCTAATTCCAGATCTGTTCAGAAAATATCTAAAATGAATCTGGGATATTTTGTCATATGAGCAGCAAGGAACTATCAAAGACGATGAAGTCATATCAAAATGACGTGGAAGCCATCCTGAAAAACTCCCGTTGGCCAAAGATGGGACAATTTGAACACAAATAAGAATAATAACTGACATGGGTTAAAATAGATCAAATGCGTAAAACCCATGACTTCATACTGATACTGCACAGAGCCTGTGTGATCACAGTGGAGGATGCCAGGGTACGATGATAGACATATAGAGCAACTATATTGTTTTGAGATCTGGTATAAAAAAAGAAAAATAATGCATAATTTATCCTAACATTACTGTATGAACTGCAACTCAGAGTAAACAAAAATATTTGCGAAATAACTTATACAAGTGTTTAGCTAATAGCTGAAGAAGGAATGATAGAATGTCATCATTTTACATGCCTTAGGAAATAATGGACCTAGACAATGGTCATCCATAGCTGCTAATGTGACAAAAAGAGAGACAATCAGACATTATATACTTCCTTATATCAACACACATCACCAGCTGTGGAGGAGTCTTGCAAAACACAAAACAAAATGAAATATAAACTGAAGGCTCTAGATTAACTATTGGCTTACAGGAAATAAAAAGGCAAGGGAAAAGAGTTAATATCACAGGGATACAACCAGCAAAATCCAGATTGTGGGGAATTTAAAAGAATGAATCAGATTCTTCAACAAAAAGTTTTAAGGAAAAAAATGTGGAAGAGGAATTTATAGATCGAAAGAAATTTAGAAGAACTATGAACTAATTGCAATGAATAGATTGTATTTGGTTCCTAATTCAAAGTGTTAAAAACATACAATACAATCAGATGTAAACACAAGATATTTAACAATATTAAGGTATTATTATTAACTGCAGATACGTCCTTTTTTTGGAGGGCAGCAATCTAGTCTGCAGACACTGTATCCCCTCTGGCACTTCCTGCTGCAGCCAATAAAGGCCGTTCCTACCATAGTTTATTTTATTTTTTTAAAATGTTATTTATTTATTTAAAGACAGAGTCTTGCTCTCTCTCCCAGGATGGAGTACAGTGGCGCAATCTTGGCTCACTGCAATCTCCATCTCCCAGATTCAAGCGATTCTCCTGCCTCAACCTCTTGAGTAGCTGGGACTCCTGGGTAATTTTTGTATTTTTAGTAGAGACAGGGTTTCACCATGTTGGCCAGGCTGGTCTCAAATTCCTGACCTCAGGTGATCCACCCACCCTAGCCTCCCAAAGTACTAAGATTACCGTTGTGAGCCACCATGCCCAGCCCCACAGTTTAAAAAAAAAAAAAATAGGTATATTGATGTATGCTGGTTATGTTGAAATGCACATGTGTACACACAAGGAATTCTTAAAATATCTCGAGCATAATTTGTTGTCTTGTTTAAGACATTAGAATGATTAAAAATAATGTAAAAATATTACATTAGGAATATCATGATAGGAAAATACCATTTAAAGAATATTAAAGTAATCATATACATAGGGCACAAGTTGTAAGACTTAAAGGGGGAAATTCAGACTTAGAAAAATAGTGATATTGCTTCTTTAAGTTATTCTAGGTTGATATGTTAACAGCCAGATATTTCAGTTGTTTTCTTCATCTTTCCTTAAATGCTCATGTCTTGTAAAGAACTTTATCCTTTTAGAATTGTAGGGGTTTTTATGGTCATCAGAAAGCACATCCTCATAATATGCTATTGTTAAGAAATAAAATTTTAAAAAATCTTTCAAACACAGATCTGTAATTAATTCAGGAGTCAAAGAAGAAATTATAATGGAAGTTATAATTATTTAAAATTAAATAATTAATAAAATTTAAAACTCATTGGAACAGTAATATAAGTAAAAGCAGCTGAAAGGAACATCAAGTAATCTAAAGAAAGAAAAAAAAGGGACTACATAATACAAAACAGCACAAATTAGTAAAATTAAAATCAGAAATTTGTTGGAGTGTAAGAGAGCCAAATAAATAACTTCCTTGTTGTCTCTTAAATTCTGAATCCACTGTAACATCAACAGAGTCGCAGATCTGAAGACCAAATTATCACTTTTATTAATGATAAATTATGTTAGAGGGTGTGACTAAGAGTAAGAGCCAAACAGATCTACTAATACTAATACCCTGCCCACCCTCTAGTTTGTAGAACTTGGAACTACATACCAGAGAGATGCAGACACACACACCCAGGATTGTTATCTTGCACTGGACTGGAGGGTGAAAAGAAATCTAATTCTCCATGCTTAGAATTTTTGATGGTTTACATCAACCCAACCAAGAAGTGAGGACCAATGGCTGTCACCTGACAACAGACACTCAAGTTAACCTTCATGCAGAGAGTAAGAAATGGGGAAAGAAATCTGGATTATTTAGGGAAATCAATTCACACATAAATCATAGGAGTGGAAAATAAGTTTTTCTTCCTGTTAAACACAATAGAGAAAGTCAACCAAATCAAATATTTTGTTTAGTAAAACGGATACATTTGGGGGAAAATTTTTAAGAATTAAAAAGACAGTACAAATAGATGAAACAGGGAAGATAAACTAAGATAAAGCAGATATCAAAATAATAAAATCATATGGACTTTATACAAATAAATTTGAGCATTTATACAAAGTGAACAATTTCCAAGGAAAATACAATTTTGCATAACGGAGTCAGGAAGAAATGGAAAACCAAAGGAATCTATAATCATTGAAGACACTGAATCTATAATTATATAAAACTCTATTCTACCACCCCAAAAAGGAAGAAGAAAGAGGAGAAAATGGAGGGGAAAGTGAAGAACTACCACCAGGTCGAAATTATTTTAATAGCGAGTTCTACCAAATATTGGAACAGGCAAATCCAAGCTTACATAAATGCTTCCAGATAATGCAGGCCACCCAAATTGTTCTCAAAGATGATTTTACTTTCTTCTCTGAGGAAGAACAATGCTGTTTCCTCTCAATTTCTTGAATTTGCTTTGGTAACTTTTACTTTCTTTTCATACAACATTCAAAGGGAGGAGAACGGGCTGGAAAAATATTATTCCTTATCTAATTGAAGAATGGTCAATATGAAATCAGAGATACACACACACAGCCTCCATTTTAAAGGGAGTGTCAATATTGATCTTTAAAAAATTAAAAGGGAAACACTACACATCTGCTAGAATGGCCAAATTCCAGAACACTGACAACACCAAATGCTGGTGAGGATGTGGAGCAACAGGAACCTCCATTCACTGCTGGTAGGGATGCAAAATGGTACAGCTATGTTGGAAGACAGTTTGGCAGTTTCTTACAAAACTAAACACACGATTAAGTTGTGCTCCTTGGAATTTTCCCAAAAGAGTTGAAGACTTACATCTTACACAAAAACCTGCACATAGATGTCTATAGCAGCTTCACTTATCATTGCCAAAACTTAGAAGCAGCCAAGACGTCCTTCGGGAGGTGAATGGACTAATAAACTATGATACATACAGACAATGTAATATTTCTGGGAGCTGAAAAGAAATGAGCCATCAAGCCATGAAGAGACATGTAGAAATCTTTCCTGCATGTTACTGAGTGAAAGAAGCCAGTCTACAAAGGATACATACTGTATGAATCCAACTATGTGACATTCTGTAAAAGGTAAAACTATGTAAATAGTAAAAGATCAGTGGTTGACAGAGGTTGAGGGGAGGGAAGGATGAATAAACAGAGCCCAGGATTTTTAGGGCAGTGAAATTACTCTGTATGATACTATGATGGTAGAAATGCATCATTATAAATTTGTTCAAACTCACAGAATATACAATGCCAAAAGTGGCTCCCTAATGTAAACTATGGACGTTGGGTGATAATGATGTATCAATGTAGGTTCACCAGTTGTAATAAATATAACACTCTGGTAGGGGATGTTGATAAGGGGAAGGCTACTCATGGGGATGGGGAGGGAGTATGTGGAAATTCTCAGTACTTTCCATTCAATTTTGCTGTGAATCTACAAGTACTCTAAAAGTTAGCCTATTAAATAATTTTTTTTAAAAGGAGACAATATATCCATAATTAAGGTCAATTCATTTATGTATCTGTTTAAGGCCAGGTTCATTCATAGGCGACATGGGAGGAAAAGTTTATGTTACCTATTCAACTAAAAAAAAAGTCAAGGAGTCTTATTCTAAGTTCACTGCCATAAATTATATATGTATATATAATTTATATATATATTATATATGTATATATAATTTATATATATATAATATATTTATTATAATATATAATATATATTATAATATATATTATATATTATAATATGTATAATATTATATATATTATATATAATATTATATATAATATATATAATATATATAATATTATATATAATATATATAATATATATAATATTATATATAATATATATAATATTATATATATATAATTAAAAAGGAAAGACTACACATTTGCTAGAATGGCCAAATTAAAGAAAAGTGACAACACCAAAAGAAATATATATATGCATATATTTTTTTTTTTGAGAGTCTCACTCTGTTGCTCAGAATGGAGAGCAGTGGCTGATCACAGCTCACTGCAGCCTCAATCGCCTGGGCTCAGGTGATCCTCCTACCTGAGCCCCCTGAGTAGCTGGGGCTACAGGCGTGCACCACCATGCCTGGTGTCTAAATATGAAATTCAGAGCCTAGCATCCCAGTTAAAAGCCACCTATCTCCAATGACAGAGGGAAGGGAATTTGGGAATGCTTAGAGCTGTCTCCCTACTCCCCACCTGACCCTCCACACAACCCTCTCAGGCCTGCTTGCTGCAATAGAAGAAAGAACATTAAGGAGGAGAAAAAAAGACATGGCTGATGCAATCCCAAGCAGCCCACTACAGTTTTACCTTTCCAGCCAGGAGGAAATTAGTAAAGAGAGACACACACCAGTCCATGCACTGCCCTGGAACCCATTCAGGGTTCCGACCAGCCCTGGAATTTCACCCACTCATTGTTGGGAAAGCTGATCAAAGCAGGTTAGCACAATCTCTCCTTGGAGTAGAATGAAATGGGCGAGAGAAGAAGCAAATGAGAAGCTATTCTTTTCTTAAAGGTCAAAACTTGCCTACTATGTCGTTTTTACATTAATATAAATTAATTTCTCACAGAAAGTTGGCAACATATACATGCCCTAGGAAAGGATAAGAAGAAGTGATCCATCCCGGGAAAGATGGGGAAAACCATGGTGGTTTCGCTATGTTAGCCTCTTCAAAGTCCGAAAGCTAGTAGGTGGCAGAGATTTCTATTAAGTTTCTTTAGACTTAAAGAAACTCTTTTTACCATCCAGTGTATTGGAAAATGGCATCCAAGAAAGACTTGAATGCATCTGTGCTACCTAAGATATTATCACACTAAGAACTACTTGAAATAAATCTCTGTTTGGGGCTGACCTAATTCTTACCGAGTATCTTCTCTTGAGAATCACCAAAAGAGAACACACCACTTTATTTGACGTTAAAATAAACATGTCAGAAAATGGACCAAAGACCTAAATGTAAAACCCAAAACTATAAAACTACCAGAAGAAAACATGGGAGAAACATTTCAGGACATTTATCTGGGAAAAGATTTTATGGGTTGGGCGCTGTGGCTCACACCTGTAATCCCAGCACTTTGGGAGGTCAAGATGGGTGGATCACGAGGTCAAGAAATCAAGACCATCCTGGTCAACATGGTGAAACCCTGTCTTTACTAAAAATACAAAAATTAGCTGGGCATGGTGGTGTGTGCCTGTAGTTCCAGCTGCTCGGGAGGCTGAGGGAGGAGAATCACTTGAACCCGGGAGGTGGAGGTTGCAGGGAGCTGAGATCGCACCATTACACTCCAGCCTGGGCAACAGAGTAAGACTCCATCTCAAAAAAAAAAAAAAAAAAAAAAAAAGGTTTTATGAGTAAGATCTCAAAAGCACGGGCAACAAAAGCAAAAATAAACCAGTAGGATTATGTCAAACTACAAAACTTCTGCACAATCAACAGAGTGAAAAGACAACCTACAGAATAAGACAAAATATTAGGAAACTACTTATCTTATAGGGGATTTGTATTCAGAATATACAAGCAATTCAGATATCTCAATAGAAAAAATATGATTTAAAAATGGGCAAGTGATCTAAACAGACATTTCTCAAAAGAAGATGTACAAATGGCCAACAAATATATGAACAAATGCTCAACATCACTAATCATCAGGGAAATTCAAATCAAAACTGCAATGAGATATCATCTTATCCCAGTTAGGATGGCTGTTATCAAAAAGAAAAAAAATAACAAATGCTGGCAAGGATGTGGAGAAAAGAGGACTCTTCTACACTGTTGATGAGAATGTAGACTAGTACAGCCATTATCATGAACAGTGTGGAGGTTCCTCAAAAAACTACAAATAGAACTACCATACCATCCAGCAATCCCACTACTGGACATTTATCCAAAGAGAAGGAAATCAGTAGATCAAAGAGCCATTTGCAGCCCCATGTTCACTGCAGCACTAATCAATAGCCAAGATATGGAATCAACCTAGGTGTCCAGCACCAGATGAATGGATAAAGAAAATGTGGTGTATATACACAATGGAATACTATTCAGCCATAAAAAATAATGAAATCTTGTTATTCATGGCAACCTGGATGGAACTGAAGGACATTGTGTTAAGTGAAATAAGCCAGGAACAGAAAGTTAAACACCACATGTTCTCACTCATAAGTGGAAGCTAAAAAAAAAAGTTGATCTCACAAAAGTAAAAAGTAGAACAGAGCATGCCAGAGACTTGGAAGCATAGGGGAAGGGAGAGACAGAGACAGACTTTTTAAAGGATGTAAAATTACAGTTAGATAGGAGGAATACGTTTTAGTGTTCTATAGTGCTATAGGATGACTATAGTTAACAGTAATATATCATTTCATTTTTAAAAATTTTTTTATTTTTATTTTGAGACAGAGTATTACTCTGTCACCCAGGCTGGGGTGCATTGGTGTGATCTTGGCTCACTGCAACCTCTGTCTCCTGGGCTCAAGCGATTCTCATGCCTCAGCCTCCCAAGCAGCTGAGATTACAGGCATGTGCCACCATGCCCAGCTAACCTTTTTGTAGTTTTTGGTAGAGGCAGGGGTTCACCACGTTGGCCAGGCTGGTCTCGAACTCCTGTTCTCAGGCAATCGCCCACCTCGGTTTCCCAAAGTGCTGGGATTACAGGCATGAACCACTGTGCCTGACCAATAACATATCATTTCAAATAACTAGAAGAAGGACATCAAATGTTCCCAAGACAAAAAAAAAAAGATAAATGTTTGAGATGATGGATATATTAATTCGCCTGCTCTGATCACTATACATTATATGTATCAAAATATCACTATACCCCATAAACATGTGCAATTATAAAAATAAAATTAAATTTTAAAAATTAAAAATAAACATGTTGAGAAATTTCTTGAAAGAGCTGTTTTCTAATCCTTCAGGCATATTTTCTCTTAAAACAGAGGATTCAAAGAGAAGAAATGTATTATTATACATTGCAATTTAGCACTGCATATTTCAAATCCCTTTTAATGATACAAGTTGTTCTGTGTTGCCAGCTGAAACCTCAAAGAGATTTCAAATGGCTACATTGCCTTCTAAAGAAGCTGATGAGTGTTCTGGGTGTCTAGGAATGGTTTTTTTGAGCCTCTAAACGAGGCAAGCCACCACATTACCAACAAAAAATGTCACTAGCTGATACATCATGTGATGCTAGCAGTATGTAGGGATACAATAAAATGGCACATCTTGTCACTTATTTTCAACAGGAAGAAGGACTGACATGGAGTTTATTGTTGGAAGGGGCCCACTGTGCCGTCCTATTGTCAACTGAGAAATCTGTTTCCCAGAATGCCCTCTCTGTAATGATTCTGTGTTAACATCAGCCAAGAGTGACATTGCCCAAGATTTGGGAGGTGAAAGTAAAGCTGTTGCCATTATACTTTAAAGATCATTGTTTGTTAGAGGTGATGAGAGACCACCTGACAAGGTCATTGTTAGAAGTCTAATCCCCTTGGAGACAAGTTAGAACCTTCTATTCTGACAAAAGCCGTTTTAAAGATAGCCTATTAGAAATCACACTGGGGTGAGAATCAGAAGCCTATCCTACTACTACAATTAATAACATAGCACATTTATTGTTTGCTATGTACTACTGTGCCCCATGCTTGACATTAAATATCTCCTTTAGAGAAATATTTGCAACCACTCTGTGAGTAGGTACTGTCATTATCCTCATTTTACCTCATTTTACAGATCAGGAAACTGAGGCACTGAGAAGTCAAGCAACTTGCTCATTTTGATTATATAGTTTGTGAAAGGAAGGGCCAGGATATTAAACTTCACTGAAACTCTAAAATTTCTAGCTGTGTGATTGTGGTCCTATCACTTCCACACAAGAAGTCTCATTTTCCTCATCTGTCAAATAAGAGGCTTGTACTGCATGGCCTCTAAAGTCCCTTCCTGGCTAGCTGTTCTATTATTCAATGTCCCTTTTATCAGGGAGTGATATTCTCCCCAGCAAGTATTTGATGCGCCCATTTAAAAGTCCTTCATCAAAAATCTCCTCTTAACTAGCAGCCCGGGGAACTCATTCCGGCTAATTTAATCTTGCATTCCCATCTGGACAGTGAGCACCTCTGGAAAGGGCCACCACATTCATCTTTGTATCTTTTCATACAGTTCCAAAATGCAATGGAGGTCAGTGAGAATGTGTGATTCTATATATGAGTGCTTGTTTGTTTTAGACAATTTTCCTAGGAAAGTACCCACAGTGAATATCTGAATTTCATTATAACCTTGGCATGTTTTGCTCTTCCACATTCCAGTATGCAACATAATCCATAGATTCACACCATTCCCTGCCATGAAGTACCTGTTGTTTTTAGAAGTCAGATGCTTCTAATATTCCTGATTTTCATTTTGATACAAAGGAGTTACGAAGCTGTGCCGAGAAAAAGGAATACAAGATCAGCTGACGTTCCACACCACCGATGGAAATAGTAACAAGGCATACAACGTGGGAAATAATGTGGAGTCTTTCAAATTCAGCAGGTTTCACAACCCACCCTTTACATGGGCTCCAGGATGACAAGTGCCCCAGTGAATGCTTTTCCACATACATCTTAGTAAAGACCATCAAAAGCCCTTTGCTTTCAGCTGGCAAGTCTCAGCCGTGCACCTTCACTGCCTGCCTCAAGACTCTATGAACTCTCCAGTCCTCTGTCAAAATCCAGTCTGGATTTTGTATTGCATCTTCAATCCACAGAATATGACGCTGGCCCTCTACATTATGGCATCATGCTCCTTGGACCTGCAAAGTAGGAAATAGCCATTACCCTAGACAGCACGTCAAGACACATTCATGCCAGAGAGTGGGATACATCTGGCAAAAACTCAAGGGCCTGCCACCTAGGTGAAATTCTTAGGAATCTAGTCGTCTAGGCCATGTCAAGATAATCTTTCCAAAGTGAAGGACAAGTTGCTGCATTGGGTCTTCCTACCACTAAGAATGGGCATAATGGCTAGTGGGCCTCTTTGAATTTTGGAGGCCACATATATCTTATTTGGGAGTGCTCTAACCCATTCATCAAATAATTGAAAGGTTTTCAGTTCTGATGGATGTCCAGGCTGCCATTAAAGCTGCTCTGCCACTTGGGCCATATGACCCAGTAAATCTATTAGTGCTTAAAGAGTCTGTGGCCAATATGGATGCTGTCTGGAGCCTTTGGAAATGCTCCTTTAGGTGAATCATAGTGCATATCTTCAGGATGTTGGAGTAGATATACAATCCCCTGTCAGCAACTATTGTCCTTTTGGGAAACGGTTTCTGGCTTGCAATTGAGCCCTAGTATAGACTGACCATTTGATCATGGGCCACCAAATGGACATGGGACTTGAGTTGCCCATCATTCATTGAGTGCTATCTGACCCACTGCATCACAACACTGAGCATGCAAAACAGCACTTCATTGAGTGGAAGAGACTCAGGCCTATCCTGAAGGCAGAAGTAAGTTGTCTAAACAAATGGTTGAGAATGGCTTCTACTCTTGCTACTCACTTCTTCTTTACCCACCTGCACCCACATTCTCATGGTATTTTCCCTACAACTGAATGACTGAAGAAGAATTATTTAGGTCTGGTTTACAGACCATCCTGCCCAATATGCTAGCATTACTTGAAAGTGGGCAGCTAGGTGAGCATGACAACTTTTCTCAAAGCCCTTAAGGATAGAGGCAAAGGGAAATCCTTTTAGTGGCAGAATATTGAGCAATGTATCTGTTTGCTTATCCTTTTCTGGAAGAATTGATAATCGGGAGTATGCCTCATGATAATCAGTGGTATGACTCACTGACTCATGGGAAGTAGTTAAATGGCCAGAGACTTGGAAGGAACACATTTGGAAGATTGGTGACAAGGAGACCTGGAAAAGGATTATGTAGATAGATTTCTCTGAATAAGTACAAAGCAACCTCAACCGAGGAAGATCTCAATAACCAGGTGAACAAGGCACCCTATTCTATGTCAATCAGCCTTCTCCTCTAATAACTCCTGTCTGCTCAATGGGGTCATCAGTCATGGAGGCAGGGATGGAGGTTACCCATGGGCTCAGCAACATGGACTGACATTCAGCAAGCCTGCCAATAGTGGAGACCAATACTGAGCCCCCATGCAGCGCCATCCCCTGGGGGTGCAGCAATTCACCTGCCAGGAGGTTGATTACACTGGACCCCTTCCATCATGGCAGGAGTAGCAGCTATAGATTTACCTTTTCTATCCACAATTCTACCAAAACCAGTACTCCTGGACTTACAAAATGCCTCATTCATTGTCATAGTACCCTATACAGGATTGTCTCTGACCAAAGAACTCATTTTGCAGCAAATCAAGTGTGGTGATAGGCTTGGGCTCATTGAATTCACTGGTCTTATCAGGTTCCTGAAGCTGCTGGCCTGACAGAATGGAGGGATGGACTTTTAAGGCACAGTTATTGTGTCAGCTATGCGGCAACACTTTTCTGCAGCAACACTTTTCAGGGCCAGGGTAATAACTACCCGGATGTAAGATATATTCTAAATTATCAACCAGAATATATGGTCATGTTTCTCCTATAGTCAGAATTCCCCATAAATAGGCCCTGAGGTTGTCCCCAACTTTTTATAGTATAAATAATGATCCAGCAAACATCTTTGAAAATATATCCTTTGCCCTTTCTTGTTTACATGTGTTTTCCCACCACCAATCTGTAAAGCCCTCAAGGAATTTTAGTCTCCCATCTTTGTATCGTTGGCACCCAGCTCAGTGCCTGGGACACTACAGCACTGGAAGCACGCTTGTGCATGAACGGATGAATGAATGCATGCTACATGGCTTTAGTTACAGTGTTGCCAACCTCAACCAGACACAAACCCTTCCCAACTGCTGGTTCTGCTGACCAACATCTGACCTAGGAAGCCACTTCCTACAATCACTTCAAGCCCAGGAAATACATAAATGTCCCCAAGATGCTAATTTTTATCTTAATATCAAGTCCATGCTTTTTATGCCTCCTCCATCATTCATTTGTTTCTTCAACAAGCATTTTCTTCCCCTGTGATGGGGATACATAATGGAAAAGACCTGGCACTTGTGCTCAGAGAGGTTACAGCCAATAAGGGGAACTCCAGGGAGGCCATTACAATGCAGAGAGACAAACACTCTGATGGGATAAGATGCAGGTCTTGTGGGTACATAGGAGGCCCTTCAATGCAGTCCCAGCAAGAGGGAAAGGGACATGGACTTCTTCAAGAGGCTAGTTCCTCTAAGTTGTGGAGGAAGGTAGAGGGAATTCCCAGCAAAAGAGAAAGAGGGGAGAGAACAGGCCCATTCATGGAGAGTGAGTTCTTCTCCAATTGCCTGTACCCGGTATTAACTCTCTTGACTCTTGTCCCTGATTCCTGGTGACTCAGTGGCATGTGCCGTGATGGTTCAGACTCCCAGCCTCACCCCTTATGATGTTCTTCATGCTCTCTCGCTGCCCCATCACTCTCCCTAAGCTTGGACTGCAGCACGTTCCCTTATTCAAAGTTTGTGTTAGTTACCTGGGGCTGCTGTCACAAAGTATCACAAACTGGTGGCATCAACAGCAGAAATGTATTGTCTTCACAGATCTGGAGGTTAGAAGCCTGAGATCAAGGTGTCAGATGACTGGTTCCTTCTGGGGGCCGTGTGGGAATCTGTTCTCAGGCTGTCTTCTCCCTGTGTTTTCACACTGTCTTCCCTCTATGCATGCCTAGCTGTAGGTCCAAATTTCCTTTTTATAAGGACACATGCTTAGTGGATTAAGACCCACCCTAAGGACCTCATCTTAACTTGGTCATCTGTAAAGACTCTGCAGTTGATTCTCCATATCCATGGGTTCTGCATTCTTGGATTCAACTAACTGCAGATCGAAAATAGTTGGAAAAAAGAAGAAGAGTTGCATCTCTACTGAACATGTACAGACTTTCTTCTTCTTATTATTCCCTAAACAATACAGTGTAAAACTATTTGCATAGCATTTACTTTGTATTCAGTATTATAGTAATCTAGAGATGATCTAATGTATACGGGAGGATGCACGTACGTTAGAGGCAAACACTATGCCATTTTATATAAGGGACTTGAGCATCCATGGATTTTGGTATCCACAGGGATCCTGGAACCAATCCCCCGTGGATACCAAGGGATGACTATATTTCTAAAAAGTGTTATACTCACAGGTCACAATTTTTGGAGAGACATAATTTAATCCTAAATAGAAGCCAAGATTCCAGATCCTAATTGTTTCTACTCTGCTTCCACATCCCGCAGTGTGACAATCAGGAAAGCCACCATCAAAAAGTCCTGATGCTCATGGTTGGGTGTTGTTGTTTTTGTAAATTGCATTTTATCATTAAGGTCCCCATGTTGGTGGTGGTTTATTGCTTAATGAAATTGCCTCCTCTGTGGGCTTTAATTATAAGGCAGGGAAATGAACAACAGAGAATACAATCTGAGGTGGCAGCCAGGCCATTTTCATTTAAACTTTTTGCAGGTTCCCACTGTGTGCTTTATTCTCATAAACTACAGAATTAAACACATGAGTCCACTGGGCTGGGCCTTACCACTCACTGCTGTCAGAATGAACATCTAGAGTAAATAATGATAGCTCCATCAGACCCACAGATGGGGCTATGTTAAGCTATGTGGCTGGTGCAGTCTCAGCAAGGATGCCTGCCACAGGCTGCCTGGAAGAGGACTCTCTTAAATATCTGCTTGAAGAATTCGGCCTGAGAGTACAAGCAAGTTGTCCACTGCGAAAACTGAACAACAGGCTACTATAGCTGGAAGGATGTTAGTAAGCCTATTCCAAAGGCTCTTAACCTGGATGTGTGGATTAGCTTTTAGGAAGCCACAGCAAACAGTGTTCATGTCCCCCCACCCCCACTCCTCCATCTCCTCGGCCCACCCAGAGGTTACCTTCAGCTTCAGTGAGTAATTCCATAAACCAGCCAGCCTTCCTGGTTGCTGAGGGCTTTGTGTGGCTGCAGGAGCACACCTGCCCAAGGTCAGAGCAGGCTGGGATGGCCTGAGAGTTAACACTATGACCTCCAGCCAATAAAAGATGTGAGTTGGTGAATAAGCACCTAGCTTCTTCACCCCTCGGTGGGACGATTCTGAGGTATGTTCTGCACGTTGTTTTGGAGGGTCCCCAGAGCCAGCGGGCCTCTGTTGTCCACAGTGGTACCCGCTGATGAGCATACCTTTCACCGGCTTTCCTCCCTTTCCTGTCTCAGGCCTCATCATGTTCCCTGGGATTGCCTCCCAGATGAATGACTTGTTCCCAAATCCTTTACCTCAGGGTCTTCTTTTTGAGGGAACCCAAATCAAATCAGGGTATACAAGCCCCTGAAGCTACATGGGAAAGTATTCATGTCTGTGCCATTTTCTGAAAGAGGGCACACAGCTTTCATTAGATCCTCAAAAGCTCTTAGCCAAAACCAAAAAAAAGGGGGTAAGAACCACTGCTCATTATTCCACAGTGAGAGCAGCTATTTCTTCCAGGTCTAATCTAATCACTCTCAACCTGGGGGGCCAAAGGAATGGAGTCAACTTTCAACTAGCTGACAAGTCTGCATGACAAGAGGTGGGGGGAAGAGGTATGCAGAGAGAACAGCCCTGTGTGTGGGAGTACAGAACAGCAAGGGCCTTTCCCAAGGCCAGCATGGTCTCAGGCTAATCTGATGTTTGTGCGTGCATTGTATTTTATATCAAAGGGGAAGGGCCAGTTCCCAAAAGACAAATATGTGATTCCACTTATATGAAGTGCCTAGAGTAGACAAATTCATAGTGACAGAAAGTAGAATGGTGTTTGTCAGGGACTTGGAGGAGAAAGGATGGGAAGTTGTTGTATACCAGGTGCGGGTTTTAGTTTTCCAAGATGAAAAGAGTTCTGGACCGGACGCGGTGGCTCACATTTGTAATCCCAGCACTTTGGGAGGCCAAGGCGGGAAGATCACTTGAACCTAGGAGTTTGAGACCAGCCTGGGCAATATAGAGAGACCCCATCTCTACAGATAGTAGTAATGATTTTAAAAATTAACCAGGGATGGTGGCAGGTGACTGTGGTCCCAGCTGCTTGGGAGGCTGAGTTGGGAGAATCTCTTGAGCCCAGGAGGCTGAGCCTGCAGTGAGCCATGATCACACCACTGCACTCCAGCCTGGGAGACAGAGGAAGACCCTGTCTCAAAAAAAAAAAAAAAAAAAGCAAATAAAAAGAAAAGAGTTTTGGAGATGGATGGTGGAGATGGATGGTGGTGACAGTTGTACAGGAAAGTGAATGTACTTAAAACCAACGAACTACATACTTCAAAATGGTTAAGATGGTAAATTTAAGTTATGTGTATTTTACCACAGTTGTTAAAAAAAAAATGTTTAAAAACCACTGATCTCAATAAACACAACAACAACAACAAAAGCTGTTGTAGCAGGAACTGTGACCCTCCTCATTGGTGCTATCTTTTTGCAGGGTCTGGTGCTCACTGTGTGTAATCGTGACTGCGGGGACCCGCCTATCGGAGTAAATATGTAAAAGGAGGTGAAGAGGTGGGCCTGATCCCTGGCCCGAGGAGTGAATTCAGGCAAAGCCCTTGATGTCTTTGTGCCTAAGTGTCTCTCCAGTTGAGGAAAACAGTCGCTGTTGTTAAGCCTCCTGGGTAGATGCCAAAAGAATGGCCACTCATGAGGAAGAGGGCTGCATTAGGCTGAGAAAGCCGCAGGAAGTGACTGAGAGGGAAGAGAGAAAGGTCAGTGTGTTTGTTGTGTGAAGAGTTGGAGGTCAGTTCTAAGAGACAGAAAAGCAATAAAATCTGGAGATGGAAAATAGCTAGGAAGGAAGTAAGAAATGAAAAGACCCGTGGCGCATACCACTGGCAAAGATGCTTCCTGGCAACAGGTTTCTCAGACTTTGTCCATGAACTCCTGCGGGCCTTCGGACAGACTCTTGGGGATCCTCAATTCTCAACAAAAATTTTCTAATGTTATTTTTTTCTGATTAGGATAATCAAAAAGTGATTTAAGTATGTTCTGCATATGACATTTATGTATGTATAATTGTTAAGCAATTTCCACAAATTAGAGATTTTGACTTTTACTGACTTTTAGTGTCTGAGCACTATTATTATGGATAGCTATGTTCCAATGTCAAATTGTCAGGAAGAAGGCTGTGCCCACCTCTCTCCTCATATCAAAATCCTGTCTGGTGATGATTTGCCATCACAAAACCTATTTCTATAGTAATATTTTAGTCTCTCATGTTATTCAATAACTTGAGACTTTTAGATTTGCCATCATTTACACTAACATACTGTGGTCAAGCAGTAACATACGGCTGCGACTGTTCTAGTGGATGTGAAGTGTAAATGAGGTGCTACAGCCAATGAATGGCCAAAGGACATGGGACTCCTCTGGATGAGCAAAGCTTTCACAGGAGTTTAAATATCCTAGGTAAAGTCAAAGTGACTGCGATAGAAAGAAAACTTGACTGAAGATCAAATTATTCATAAAATTCTATTTCTGATATGTACAGGATTCTGTCAATATTCTTATCAACTCTTTAATAAAACTAGAAATTTGTTTTTGACATCTGCAAGGAAAAAAAGAACCCAGATATGCTGATGCCACCAATAACTAAATTAGACAAACACATTTAGTACACATTTGGTAATTCAGTAAAGCTAAGAAATTTTAAGAGAATGTAACTTTTCAGAGTCTATAAAGCAGTGTAACATTAGAATTGCTTTTTTGTTTTGTTTTCTTTTTTCTTTTTTTCTTTGTTTATTTTAAAATTGCTTTTTAACTTAGGTTAACTATAAGGTATAATAACCCTGAATTAGCAAACAAAAGCTTATTGTTATTAATACTGTTTTGTACAAAATATTTTGCAAATAGGCATTATTCACACTGATATTGTTGAAATAAAAAAACAAGAGCAGGGTAAATGTAGATATGGACTTGTTTTCTTTTTAGTACTAAAGCCTACATCGACAATTTAGTTTTAGCCAAGCAATAATTTCTGTAAAAATAATTTAATATTGTAAATATGAAATTGATTGCTTTTCTTGTTTTGGTTTGCATTTATACTCCTTGCCCTTTTTTCTAGTATGTAAGAGCTACGAGCACAATGAGAATACACCTAGGCTTACTTGTACTTAAATAACATTACAATATAAGTGCTTAAGAGAACCCTAGGAGGCCTATGAGAATTTGTTTTCTCAGAAGTGCTTTGCACATCACTCAAGCTAGACAAATACTGTTTTAGAAACACAGAGGAAGGCAACATCAATGTAGCCTGGGTTGTCAGTGTCAAAAGACCATTCTTCATGGGATTCTTGTTTCCATATATCTTGTGAGCGGAGGCATGGACTATCTTTGTTCTTGGCTAACTTTTCAAGGATTTTTGTATAGTAAACACATTGAGAGAGAGAGGTAATGTCTTTCTAGGAAGCATCAAGCATTGGAGTTTAGAGATAGTAAAAGGGAAGCGTGTTTACCATCCATTATAAAACATGAGGCTGTCCTAAGTTCTCTCTATTCCTCTCCTTATAGTGCAGCTTACTGTGTGTGCTGGTGTCACTTGACCCTCTCCACATTACCCCAGGGGCATCAGGACTTGAAGAACTGGCCCAAAAATGCTGCTACTCTGGCTACTACCATTGCTGTGAGTTAAAAACTGTCCTTTGTCTCTGACCCAGGAGTTCTATGCCTTCTACCAGCATCCATGAAACTTGGCTGGCTAAATTGTTAGCTTTCCAGTAGCTATTATGAAATCTCAGGCCCTTTGTGATTATTTTTTTGTTTGTTGGTTTGGGTTTTGTACATATTTATGGGGTACATGTGACATTGTGTCACATGCGTAGAATGTGTACTTCTACTTCAGGATGTTTAGGAGATCCATCACCATAAACTTTACCATTTCTATGTGTTGAGAACATTTCAAGTTCTCACTTCTAGCTACAATACATTGTTGTTAACTGTAGTCACCTTACTCTACAATTGAATATTACTGCTTATTCCTTCTGTATAACTGTATGTTTGTACCCATTAATCAATCTGTCTTCATCTACACATCTAAATCCTTCCCAGTCTCTTGTCACCACCATTTGATTTTCCACCTCCATGAGATCCATATTTTAAGCTCCCACATATAAGTGAGTACATGCAATATTTATTTCTGTGTCTGGCTTATTTAACTTGATATAATGACCTACAGTTCCATCTATGTTGCTGTAAATGACATGATTTCATTCTTTTTTTGGACAAATAGTATTCCATTGCATAAATAAACCACATTTTCTTTATTCATTCATCCACTGATGGATACAAGTTGATTCCATATCTTTGCTATTGTGAATAAACATGGGAGTGCATGTATCCCTTTGGTACACTGATTTCTTTTCCTTTGCATAAATACTCAGTAGTGGGATTGCTGAATCATACGGTAGTTCTATTTTCAGGGTTTTTTTTTTTTTTTTTTTTTGAGAAATCTCTATATGGTTCTCTGTAATGGTTGTACTAATTTACATTCCTATCAACAATGTATGAGAGTTCTTTTTTCCACACACCCTCACCAGCATCTGTTATTTTGGCCCATGGAGGAAGTGGGGTTTGAGGTGTGACCTGGGTATAATTTGGCTAGATGGATGTGCAGTAGTGCGGGAAGAGCAATCCAGCTAGGTGAATGTCACCAAGACTCAGAGACAGGAATGCACTGTGGTCTGTGGTAGAGTGATGAGTAGGTCAGACAGACTAGAATAGAGAGTTTGGGCTGAGAAGTCCCAGTTAGAAATTAGGCCCTAAATTAGAAAATTAATTTGGGGCTAAATTGTCCTGTGCTTAAATATTAGGGTAAATGAAATCCTATATATAATAAAAAACTTTTGAAGGTTTCTAGCTCTCCTTCCCTGAAGTCATTGATTTATTTGCTTATTTATTTATTTACTTAAGTTCCTAAGCAGGGAGATGATATATTGAATATTGAAGTCTGATGTCATAGAAGAGTGAAGTATGGAGTGATAAGAGAACATCAACAAGTTTCTTATCTTGACTCTGCCACTTACTAGCTGTGTGACCTTGGACAAGTTATTTTCTCTGAGGCCAGTGTCCTTATCTGTCATAGGAGGAATAATAGAGTCCTCAGCTTAGTGAGGTGTTGCAAAGGTTATAGATAATATCTCTAAAATGCTTGGTGTATTGCCTAGTACACAGGAAGCCAATAAATGGAGAAGATTTTTCAGCTAGCTATGTGCAGCACAGATTGATGGAGAAGAAGTGAGGGCATGAGTCTCCCCTCTTGTAAAGTAATCACAACTACATGGGGATAAGGTCATGAGGAGTTGGGCTAAGATAGTCAAGGTAGTAAGAAAAACAACCCTAAATATATAAAAAAAAAACTACTAGAACTTGGAAACTAATTGAGCATTATGATAGCTAATGTTTACTGCGTGCCTAGTATGTGCCACAAGCTATTTTAAACACTTCAAAATATTAGCTCAGTTCTAAAAATGCTCTGAGGAGGTACTATTATTGTTGCCATCTCAGAGTCTATCATCTCAAACAGACACTCAACGAGATAGAATAACTTGCCTGAAGTCATATAACTAAGGCCAACAGGAACTCAAACCCAGGCAGCACAGTACCAAAGCCCATGTGCTAATCTACCAGACTATA
Source organism: Homo sapiens (assembly GCF_000001405.40). Lineage (NCBI taxonomy): Eukaryota > Metazoa > Chordata > Mammalia > Primates > Hominidae > Homo > Homo sapiens. The sequence goes on from NC_000009.12 coordinate 68,673,409, forward strand.
TTGTCTTGCCCCTCAGGAGGAGGTTAGGGAGCAATCGGTGAGGATTCACAGGTCTGGAGACCAAGGAGGGCAGGAGGAGCAGAAGTGTGCTAAGAGAAAATGATGCTGTGTGTCCTGACATGTTGAGTCTGAGCTTCGGGAACATCGAAGTGGATGTGGCCTATAGGGAGTTTGAAGTTGGGGCCTGGAGCTTGCCCGTGTGAGAGGATCTGTTTGAAGACAAAGATGTGAGAGTCACCTACTGCATAGGAGATAGTTGAGTAGTTTATCAGCATCACCCTTTTGAGTGGTCAAAGGTGTGGTGACTCTGGTCAGAGACTGCCTGGCATAGCTGACTAGGAATTGGAGAAGCGATCAGTCTGGCACTTTCCAGACTGGGGTTTCAGCAAGTGTTGTTATTGTTGTTATACCAGGGCATTCTGTCTTTGCAGAAAGACACTCAGGCACCTGCTGCCACCAACAATTATTTCCCAAGATCTGGAAGGCAAAGACATGGGCTTTTCCTTTTAACCTTATCACTGCCCTGTCTGCCATGCTTGACTCTTCTTCATTTCTCTGTGACAGACATCATGATATAATAGAAAAAGTTCCAGAGTTGGAGTTATGCCTGAGTTGAAATCACAGCTCTGTAACTCACCAGCTCAGTCATTTTGTGTAAGTTAATTAAGTCATTTAATCTTAAATGTATTTTTTAAGCTGTCAAATGGGAATAATACTTTTTTCAGAAGGTTGTAGTGAAATAACTACTAAAACCTTTAGTAAATGTTGGTTACTTGCCCCCAACAATTCCATCTTCTTTCCCCTGGGGTGGTTTAAGCATGGCCACAAATTATTTGATCTTTCCTCATTAAGAGTTGGGGGTTATGTTCCCTCCCCTTGAATCTAAGCAGGCTCATGACTACTTCAACCAGCAGAGTAGGGTGGAAGTGTCTTTTTGTGACTTCTGGAGTTAGATCATAAAAAGGTGATGTAGCTTTTGCCTGTTTGTTGAACTGCTTGTTCCTGGAGCCCTGAACCTTCATGTAAGAAGTCTGACCATCCTGAAGCCAGACGCCACAGCTGAGCCCAGCCTTACGACCGTACCCACCAAGGCACCGGGCATATAGTACAGCTGAACTGGACCTTTAAAACCAGCCTGTCTGCCAGCTGAATACCACCAAGTCATCTCCATTGACACTACATGGGACTGAAGGATCACCCAATCAAACCCTGTCCACCAAATGTCTAACCCCAAAAATCATGAGATACAATAAAATGGTTGTTACATTTCCGAGTAGTTGATAACTCAGCAATAGTGAACTAGAACAATCACTTTTATTCCAATCCCTTTAATTCTTCCTCCTCCACCTGCCTGCTTACTGGAAATAGCCAGTCCTGAGTGTATTCTGATTTGAATCCTGTTCTAATATTTCATTGTGCAAAATGTGATTTGAGGGTAATTTCATTTTATCTCCTTGAGCCTCCTTCCTTCCTTCTTTTTTTTCTCCCTTTCCTCCATAAGAATTTTCAGAGTGTTTTCATTGTATCAGATGCTAGATTGGGCATGGTCACTTTCCTCTATGTCAGGGATTAGCAAAATTGTTTAAAAGACCAGAAAGTACATAATTTAGGTGTGCAGACAAGTACCCAAATGTGCCGCTGAAGCATGAAAGCAGCTATAGATGTAAACAAATAGGTGTGGCTATATACTAATAGATGTTCATTCATCCAAATGAGTTTTGTATTCATTTACAAAAATCGGGAGTAGGTTAGATTGGGCACCCAGGCCATAGCTTGCTGACTCCTGCTCTAAGTGCCCAACACCTGGTTGGGAACATATGTATGTGTTCAGATGTCTTCCCAGGCCATATCTGGTACGTGGCAATGCTATTCAGTAGCTAGAGAAAGAGCCTCCAGCCACCCCAATTCAAAAAGGACCTGGAATTTAAGTCAAGTCTTGGCTGACAGAGGAATGGATGTTCATACTTGGAGATGGAGGTGCAGAGGCATGTAGTCCCAGAGCGCAAACAGGGATGTCAAAGCAGCGCAGGGAGCTGGAGATGAGGATGGGCTGAGCAGAAAAGTGAGAGATCAGGCAGAAATGCTAGAGAGCCTTATTTTCTAAAATTGACAGAATGCTTCTTCTGCTCACTCATTTTTCTCTCCAAGGAGTTGAAGGACAAATCTGATAAGGTAAAAATGGCTGTGAGCTCTGCAGATGCCTGCCAGGTATTACTGAAGCTATCATCTTTCCTTTTCAGAAAAATAGCTCCTTAAAGTAGATGTCTTCGGAACACAATGTAAAACCTCTTCCCCTCCCTCTAGCATAGCAGGAATTCACAGGAGGGAACCAGAATAGCATGTCATGTTCTAACAGCTCTTCCAGCAGTGAGACTAAATACACATAAACTCTTCTAAATTTGTATCTGCTGCAAACATGAACAATGACATCTTGTCATTCTGCTACGAGGTTCATCTGGACAAATTATATGCAGCGAAGGACACACTCCATCACTTTCCTGACTTTTTCAACTTCAACATCAGACCTTCATGTCCCGAAAATATCTCTGGCTTCCCTTTTATTCTTCTTTAATTGATAGCACTGTCATGAAGTCAGTGAATCCAGATTGAGAGAGAAATAGAAAATTTAGAGGAGATAAAATGCAAGTTTTTCTGATTATCTCGGCTTTGACTCTTCAAATCAGCACAGTTTATCTCAGTTAAAGGGGTTTATTTGAAGGCTATCCATGGCAAAAAAGAAGGAAAAACATCTTTTCAGAAGCTGCAAAGCCAGAGAATCTCACGAAGAACTAATGAAGTGGAGGGTAGAGCAGTGGCTTTAAACCTGCAGCCAAAGTTCTGGAATCTCAAAAGCAAGTGAGCTATGGTCCTGACTCGGTTCCTCCATCCACCTGCTTCCTCTCCTGACCCTTCTCCCTGCTTCTTTTGATGGGTCAGTTTGTCTTATTGTTTTCTTACTGTCTTCTTCCTTCATGTCTTTTGGTTTCTACTCCCACTGCCAACTCTTCACTCTCTCTTTCTAGCTCTCTCATTCAAACTTCATATGAGAAAGGATATGAGCACAATAGTCAATCCTATCAGAGTAGAACATACTGGTGGGAGGAATGGTGCAGGACTGGCTAACCTATAGGCCATAGCGTAGGAGCAGCACTCATCCTCGGTTCCATCAGCTGAGGCTGGGGGTGCAGGTCAGGAGACACAAAGCCTGATGGCTTACACGGCTTTCCTCATGGACTCTTCTTCACACCACAGCCCAATATACCCATGCCCCACTGTCAAGCCATGGGCACCAACAGCCAATGCTCTGGGACCTACCTCTCTTGCCCCCCTTCTGATCCTGAGCCCACCAGTTACCTGACTGAATCCTCTCTTTATTTATTTTTTATTTATTTTTTGAGACAAAGTTTCACTCCCGTAGCCCAGGCTGGAGTGTAGCGGCATGATCTTGGCTCACTACAACCTCTGCCTCCTGAGTTCAAGCGATTCTCTTGCCTCAGCCTCCCAAGTAGCTGAGACTACAGGTGCACACCACCACGCCCAGCTGATTTTTGTATTTTTAGTAGAGATGGAGTTTCAACATGTTGGCCAGGCTGGCCTCGAACTCCTGACCTCAAGTGATCCACCCACCTCAGCCTCCCAAAGTTCTGGGATTACAGGTGTGAGCCACCACACCCATACAGAATTCCTTCTTTATCATGATTCTATTTCTGAACACTTGTATATTTGAAGAGACAAAGCTGAGACAGCCAGAAAAACCTGCATTGTATCTCAGCTAAATTTTCTATTTCTTTCTCAGTCTGGATCGCTGTCTTCATGACAGTGCTATCAATTAAAGGAGAATAAGAGGGAATCTTTATCATGATTCTATTCCTAACTACTTGTATATCTGTCTCTCCAGCTTCTGACTCTTCAATACCCTCCAAAGGCTTTGACTCAGGTGTACTCTGCCAACTCTCTCCGTTGCACATTGCCTCTGAAGTAAACCCTGACCCAGTGAATCCAATGGGAGAGAAGAGCACAGGCTGAGCTGTTGTCAAAGAAAGGCCCCCAAAGTACAGAGACTTAAGTAAACATGAGCTTGTATCTCTCTCAAGTAATAGTGCAGAGGGAAGTATATCGTGAACATGGCTTCTGTCTCTGGGTCCAACGTGGCTGCTCCCAGCTAATGCCTTTTGTCAGCCAAAAGAAAGAGGGGAAATAAAAAAGGGGAGCACACACTCTTGCAAAAGGGAAAACCCAGCAATTGCTCGTGTTACTTCTGCTCTCATCTGACAAAAATGTCCTGGTGGCCGGGTGCAGTGGCTCATGCCTGTAATTCCAGCATTTTGGGAGGTTGAGACAGGAGGATGCCTTGAAGCCAGGAGTTCAAGACAAGCCTGGGCAACAAAGTGAGACCCCCATCTCTACAAAAAAAAAAAAAAAAAAAAAATTGCCAGGTCTGGTGGTGCACACCTGTAACCCTAGCTTCTCAAAAGGCTGAAGTAGGAGGATCACTTGTGCCCAGGAGGTTGAGGCTGCAGTGAGCTGAGATTGTGCCACTGCACTCTAGCCTGGGAAACAGAGCAAAACCCTGTCTCAAATTTGTCCTGGTCACATGCCCCACCTAGCCTCTAAAAAGGCTGAGAAATGTAGACAGACATGGGCAGACATGCCTTTCTAAAACTTGGAGTGGGGTGGGTGGTTAGATCATTCAATTAACGAAAGAGAATAGATCCTATGGAACGATTAGGGGGCTCTGCCACAGGACAACTTATGGCTGAAGTCCATGGGCTGATCCAGATTTGATGGGACTAAAGTTTCTGCAACTCCTGGGGTCCTCTTTAAGATACAGAATGCAAACTGAAAACCACAAAATTACAAATACAAGGCCTTTGAAGGGGCTCATGCTAGCGAGGGGCCAGGAAACTTAAGCTTTATTAGCTTCGTGATAATAGCACCTCTGCTTGGATTTGCTAATCAATGTCCGAATCACGTTCTTCTCACTCCCACAAAAGGTAGTTTAGACCATTTTATAGGGTGGATTTTGTAAACTTTCAAGGTCAGTGCCAAATGTGGCAGCAACATTTTGCTAAATGATAGTAAAACAAAACAAAACAAGTCTTAAATTTCCTCTTCCTGATGTTTTCACTGTAGTTCTTAACCATGCAATGCTGTTTGCTGGTGGGCTGTCCCCAGCAAGGGCTGCAAAATGCTGCCTCTAATGGTGTAACTGCGTTATAGTCATACAACCTGCTGCTGTGATTTCTCCTTGGGTGCAGCCTACTTCCCAGCCCCTGATTGGTGGACAGACCCCCTTATTTATGGGCAATTTTTCTGTACGGACAAGATAGCACAAGAAGCCCGTCTGGCAGCTGCTCATGGAAACTCTTGCTGTGTCTTCATTTTCATATCAGTAAGCACGCTGTAGGAGACGAAGAGCAGACTGAGGACTATGGCATTATCCTATGCACAGTCAATCAAGACCAGGCTAATTAGATTTTTCAGGTGCTTGGACTCTGTGGGACCACATATTACACAAATACATAGATAAACATTCCCATCCACGAGGACCAAAGAATTGTTGAAGATGGCTGCAAAATAAGTCTCTAGCAAAGGCTTCATTCAATTATCTGGCTTATGCATTCTTTCCCTCTCTTTTAGGAAACATAATGAAACCTCAATACAATTGAAGTGCTTGGACTTGTGTATTATTAATGAGTTTCACCCGGTATAGCAGTGTTCCCCCCAAAATGAAAATCTGAAAACATACATACCTGAGGTTAGATAAAATCAAATATATAAATACTAGTACATTTTGGAAAATATTTAAGAATAGTTTGCTGCGAGGGATAATGATTGCTATGCATATCTATGTTCATGCCATCCCTCAACTACATTTAATCTCTCTAACTTTGTTTTTATTTTTATTTATTTACTTATTTTGAGATGGAGTCTCACTCTTTCACCCAGGCTAGAGTGCAATGGCATGATCTCAGCTCGCTACAACAGCCACCTCCTGAGTTCAAGCAATTCTTCTGCCTCAGCCTCCTAAGCAGCTGGGATTACAGGTGCCCGCCCCCACACCTGGCTAGTTTTTGTATTTTTAGTAGAGACGGGGGTTTCACCATGTTGGCCAGGCTGGTCTCGAACTTCTGACCTCAGGTGATCCACCCACCTCAGCCTCCCAAAGTGCTGGGATTACTGGTGTGAGCCACTGCACCCAGCCATGACTTTATATTAGAAACAAAATTATGTTCTTCATTCATTAAAGCTAGAGCCTACTCTGGCTACTGAGAAGCCATTGGTCTGATGATGAGCATATGGCTCACACATAGGCAATCCTGCTTCCAATGGCCTTAGCATACCCCTGAAGGCTACACCGATATCTGTGTATCTAGGAGCATTATGGTTTCATGATTCTTTCACTTTGAAGATGGACACCTGGGTACTTCATCAGCATGTCATCTTATGCCTTGCATGGATTTTCCTCAGGGACCTGTCCTTAGTCCTTTCCTCCTCCTCTTTCACTTAACATTCATGTGTTGATTTCCTGTACTTTATCTCCAACTCAGAGTTCTTTTTTTTCCTCTCTGAATTTTGAATAGATTCTATGGGATAACTCCACTAGCATACCAGTGCTACAATCTCAATAGTTTCCAAATACGAAGTCATTCTCTTACCCCTCTGGCCTTTGTCTCTCATATTCCATATCTATATGAATGGCTCTGTCATTCTACCAGTCTGGGAACCAAACTTAACCCTTCCCGCTTTTTTATCTTTATCTTTATGTTCAATTAGTCACTTTGCTGTTTAATTCTTCCCCACTAACTTTTCTCACATCCCCTAATGTTCATTCTCCACTGTAGAGATCTCTAGCTAGAATTCCATTATCTCTCACCTAGATAGATGACTGAACAGCTCTCTTGTCTCCCTGCTTCTCACTCCCAGAGTGATTTTTTAAAAGACATGTTACTGCCTTGTCTAAAATCCTTCACAACTGGGGAGTTTATCCTCATCTTTTAGGATAAAGCCAAAGGTTCTTAGCATGGCAAAAAATGCCCTTCATCTTCTGTCTCTTGTTTACCTATTTGGCAAAATCAAGCTACGTCATAGCTCAGAAAAGTCAATAATCTTTTTGTTTTCTGGAAATGTAGGTGCCTGTCTCTTCTTCACTTGGAAGGCACTATCACTATCACCACCTCCAAGACATTTGCTGTCGCCCTACCACACTGGGTTTGGTGTTTTTCTCTGTGCTCTCATAATCCTTGAGTCTTCCTGTTCCATGGTTTCTGTCACAATGCGTGTTCTTATTTGAGTCCCCTGCACTTACACTAAACCCCTGAACACACTTGCTCATATCAGAAATAGACACTAGCCTTCTTTGTGTTGACCACATCTTAGCATGATACTTATTCATAAAAGGCACTCAAGAAATGCCTGTTAAATGAGTGGATTTTGCAGAAGAGAATCATGGACAGATGCTCCTTGACTTATGACAGGTTTATGTCTCAATAAACATATCATAAATTGAAAATACTGTAAGTGAAAACACACATGACTTATGACATTTTCAATTTGCAATGTATTTCTCTGGACATAACCTCATAAGTTGAGCAGTGTATTATTTAATGGGTATTGCTTTCACACCAGCCTAAAATCAAAAAATTGTAAGTAGATCCATCATAAGTCAGGGGTTGTCTATATTAGATAGATGATTGGAATTGATGGCTAGAAATTTCAAGAAATTATGCATATAAAATTCACTGGGAAGATTCTGTTCTATTGTTTAAGGTATCATTCTCATACTCTCAAGTCCTAGTTTCTTATCCCTCAAACAATAAATGCTCAGTGAATAGTTCAATGAACTATGTAGCACACTGAGAAGGCATAGAATGTAAAATTGTCTACAGCACTCTCTCCACCCTCAAGAATCTCACAGCCCAGGTTAGAGACATGAATAATAACAAATAATTATATTACAATGAGACAATAGCTAAGTAATACAGTTAATATGGGAAACCAAAGAAGGAATCCTTATTTTTTAGGGAAAGAAATGAGGAAGAGGTCATATTTGAATCTTGAAGACTAGGTTGGAGTTTACTGGGATAAGGGATTTGGGTCCCAGCTGAGGAGTACATGACACAGAGGAAAATCAATTCCCACATTTGGAATATGACTAAAGTCAAGGACATGGGGGTGGGAGAGCTCAGCTGGGACAACCCTGAATGGTAATGCAGGTTATGCCAATTAGTTTGGACTTTGCCTTTTAGGAGATGAGGAATCATTGAATGGTTTTGAACAAGTTTAATCCAATCTTCATTACTGAGGAAGCTTTTGAGTGGCTATATGAAAGATTTTAGAATGAGAAACAAGAGGCAGCAGTAAGAATGAGGAGACTATTGTATTCCAGGCTAGAGATTACTGGAGGCAGCATATCCTAGTGGTTATGTATGTGGACTCCTGCATTCAAATCCCAGCTGTGTTTGTTACTGGCTTGGGCAAGTTACCCAACTTCTCTGTGCCTCAATGTCCTCATCTGAAAATGGGGATTATAATAATAATTGATGAGATTGGCTGCATACGATTAAATGAAAAGGTACATAAGGTGCTTAGAACAGTACTCACCTAAAAATAAAAACATTTACTTTTTGTATCCTATGAGAGTCTGAACCGAAGAAAAGGATGTAGCATGGAGGAGACATGTCCAAGAAATATTTAGCAACTAAAATGGAAAGCATTTGGAGTACGATAGAATATGGGAGTAATTAAGATGGAGAAGTCCTAGATGATCCCTTCTTTCTGGCTTGAATATCTGGGTGAGTGATGGTACCCTCCCCAGGAGGAAGAGCAGAGATTTTTTTTGAAGGTCAGGGGTTATTAGTGTGTTTGATTTTGTAAATACTGAATCCAAATCACTTGCAGCACATTCAGGAGGATTTATCAAATAGGCTGTTGGGAATACAGATCTGTGGTTCTGAGGAGAGCTCTTCCAGGCAGAAGAAGGAAATGTAGGTTCCATCTGTCTCCAGGTGAGGATTGAAGCTATGAAAGTGTGGTTTCATAAACTAGATGGTTTAAGGAGACAATATAAACTGAGAAGGGAGTTGAGAGCAGGACTCTGGGGTACACTGACACCAAACCTGTAGCTGGGGTAAAAGGCCCCAGAGAAGGAGACTGAGCAAGATGAAACAGGAACAAGAAAAGCATCACAGCAGAATAAATTAAAGAACGGGTGAGACCACCTGTTGCTTAGCAAGGGCATGAAGAGTAGATGCCTGATAATATACTGTACCAGAGCAGTGACTCCCAATTTCAAATTTTATGAAAATGCTTATTTGCTGCAGGCTGTTTTGTTGAGTCCAGTCTCAAATCTTTCTAGCTACAGATTTGTACTAATTTGCATGGATAGATTGTATCCTAGAAACAAAGCAAATCTATGATATTGTAGCTGCAATCATTTAATTTTCCATTCCAGAAAGCAGGTTGTAGATAATTTGGTTTTCTAGCAAATGCTTATTCTTTGTTAAATCAAGAGCTAAAACACCTATGAAGATTAAATCTTCAAAAGTGCAATTATACAAATGATGGAGAAGGAGCCATGTGATTCTTTGGTTTAACTTTTTAATAGTTCAGAAATTCCCCAGTGCAATTCATTTGAGCCAACACTTAGTCTAATACACAGGAAAAAATATGTATCAATAGGTGATACTTTCTCACAAGGAAATCAGCGATCCCATAGAATTCTCATAATTAGAAATTATCCTTCTTAGGGTTTAATAGAAGGTGGAATCAGAAATTCTCCACATAGAAATGCATCTACCAAGAATTCTAAGATTTTAAGAAATTGCAATTTAATGTTGGAACATGCACAGTGAACCTGTGTGTATAATTTTGACTTTCATTTACTCACAATACATATATTGAAATACTGCTTTCACCAGGCACTATCAGAGTTCAGGGCAAACTATAGCATGCAAGACTGATAACTCCATGCCTTTATGGAGCTCAGCCTGCTGCAAGGACAGCAACTCCAGAAACAAATAGAAAAACAAACAAAGATTGTTTTAATCTGTAATAAATGTTGTGATGGAAACAAGGGGCTAAGTAAGAGAATTACAGAGAAAGCTTATTTTAGTAAGGATGGTTGAAATGGAGCCTTTCTTAGGAGGTGACATTCTAATTAAAACATAAGAAGGAAGTAAACCCTGGAAAGAATGAGTGAAAAGATTCCAGGAAGTGGTAACAGCATATGTAAAACCCTGTTTGGCAATTCAAGAAACAGACCAGTGTGGATAAGATTTAGCCCATTGCAGGGACTGAGCAGGGTAATAGGAAAAGGGGGTCGTAGAGGGGAGATTGCTGAGAAATCATGGTAAAGATTTGAATGTTTCCCTAAATGCAATGGGGAGGGTTTACACGGGGAGGAATAGGGCTTAATGTTTTAAGAACTTTATCATTCACTGGGTGCGATGCTCATACCTGTAATCCCAGCACTTTGGGAGGCCAAGGTGGGCAGATCACTTGAGCTCAGGAATTCGAGACTAGCCTGGGCAACATGCTGAAACCCCACCTCTACAAAAAATACAAAAATTACCCGAGTGTGGTGGCATGCACCTGTGGTCCCAGCTACTCGACAGGATGAGGTGGGAAGATCTGGGAGCTTGGGAGATCAAGGCTGCAGTGAGCTGTGATCACACCACTGCACTCCAGCCTGGGAGACAGGCAAGACTCTGCTCAAAAGAAGAAAGAAGAGAAGGAGGAGGAAGAGGAGAAGAAGGAGGAGAAGGAGAAGGAGAAGAAGGAGGAGGAGGAGGAGGAGGAGAAGTTGTTATTTCAGAAGTTGTGTCTAATTGCTTCTCAGAGGAGAATGGATTGGAAGTAGGGCAAAAATGGAAGAAAATAGTTCAATTAGGGGGCTGTTACAGGAGTCCAGGCAAGAGATCATGATGGCCAAGACTGAGATGAAACAGTGGGAATATAGAGAAGAGAATGGCTTAAACAGATATTTTGGAGATGCAATTGATAGGACTTGTTGTGGAATAGATGTGTGGGAATGATGAAAGTGTAGAATCAAGGAATGAAGAGTGACTCCCAGAATTCTGTCTTAATTAGGATGGTTACTTAATTAATGGAAGGTGATGCCATTTATAGAGATGCAAAGTGACAAGAGACACGATGGGGAGCAGATTGCTCAAGCTGTGTTTGATCTATCTGTGTGACATCAAGGGGAGATGCTGAGAAGACGGTTGGTGGAGTGAGTCTGGAGTTCAGAGGGAAAGTAACTCTAGGAATGAAAATCCCCAACTTACATTTTTGGGCAAACAGAGTCCCTGGTGGAAAACTATTTATTTATTTATTTATTTATTTTTAACTTTTGAGATAGGGTCTCACTCTGTAATCCAGGCTGAAGTGCAGTGGAGTGATTATGGCTCACTGCAGCCTCAACCTCCTGGAATCCAGCGATCCTACCAGCTCAGCCTCCTGAGTAGCTGGGACTACAGGTGCGTGCCACCATGCTTAGTTAATATTGTTTGCTTTTTATAGAGTTGGGGTCCCGAACTCCTGGCTTCAAGCAATTTCTCCTGACTCAGCCTCCCAAAGTGCTGAGATTACAAGCATGATTCACTGCACCCAGCATCTGGTGAAAAATTTATTCCAAACTATGCTCTTTATGTGTCCCATTTGCAGAAGCAGTTTAGCTTTATAAAGAAAGTTTCCCCTGCCCAACTTTTAGAGCCACATGGAATCCCTTAGTCATGTTGACAATACCTGTAAGGATGAAAGGGGAGTCAGTCCATTATCAGAAACAAATGGCAATTGTATGTGGAATCCAGGCAATGGAATCAAGCATTTATTTTTCCCAACGTATCATCCTATCAGCTTGCCCAGTGTGTATCTAGAGTGGGTATTAGGACACCCTCTTCTCTCTGATCTTCATCTTTCTTCTTTTTCCCTCCTCATCACCTTTGTTTATTCCTCTCCATGAACCTGGCCCCATCCCAGAGGTCCAAAGTCTCTAAGCGTCATGTAGAGGCTTCTATTATGTATTTCTACACTGGTGCTTTGTCAACATTAGTGTGCACACAAATCACCTGTGGATTTCATTAAAATGCAGACTTTGATTCAGTAGGTCTGGGCTGGGGCCTGAGACTCCGCATTTCTAGTAAATTTCTAGGTGATGCTGAGGCTGCTGGTCCAGGGACCACATCTACAAATGGTAGCCACGTCTCAGAGCATAATTTTCATGGCTTATACCAATAGAAGTGTAATTTTAACTTATTTCTTTGTAGAAGTGAATAAATGGACCAGGCTAGGAAAGAAGGAATCAATATGAGAGAAGAAAATCTCATCCTGACACCTGTATTTGAGCCTCTTTTCTTCACATTTGGTCCTCAAAAAGGCGTTAGAATGAAAAATAATCTTTAGAATCTAAACTCCAAAAGATCACACACCTGATTAATAAAATGCTTTTCATAACTTGAAAGGTTATTTGAATGTGTCCATGTGGACCAGACCTGGGTTAAATGTTCACGCTGTCCAGATCCTGCAATGCATCATGGGCTGTAGGGGCAAGATTCTTTCCTCGCATGCCCCCAACTGGTGACAGGTGGTTATGAACCTAATTAGCAGCTAAGAGCACTAGGCACTGCTTTGAAACTTCTCATACCTTATATTGGTCAGATATTTACTCTTGTTCTTGACTAGTTTGGGTGGGAGATTCAGTCCATCAGAAAGAGAGCTTCCTCATTTCTGAACTGCTAAGTTGGGAAGGCTGCACCTCCATCAACCCAAGTAAGAGAGGCTCACCTTCAAAAGTGCATTGATGGGCCAGATGCAGTGGCTCACACCTGTAGTCCCAGCACTTTGGGAGGCCGAGGTGGGCTGGTCTCTTGAGGCTGGGAGTTCAAGACCAGCCTGGCCAACATGGTGAAACCCTGTCTCTACTAAAAATACAAAAATTAGCCATGCTTGGTGGCACATGCCTGTAATCCCAGCTACTACTTGGGAGGCTAAGGCACGTGAATCACTTGAGCCCAGAAGGCAGAGGTTGCAGTGAGCCAAGATCACACCATTGTACTCCAGCCTGGCCAACAGAGTGAGACTCTGTCAAAAACAAAAAAAGAAAAATGAAAAAAAGTACATTATTGGAATGGCTCTAACAGTCCTATAAACAAAATTTTGAGAAAGGAAATGGATTTTACAAGAATGCAGTTAGGGTTCTCTGTTACATTTAGTGACAAATATTGTTATTGTTTTCAGCATATAGCTTAGATAGTAGGTGCTAGCTGACTGGCTGGCTGAGTGAGTGAATAAACTTGGCATGAGTTGGGAGGCAGGCTGGTATCATCCAAGGCAGCTGTACTTTAGAGGCAGACAGGCTTTGCCACACTGGGATTCTCGGACCCTCTGCTTTTGCATCTGTAATGCCAGAACAATGATATCTCTCTGGGAGGGTGGACTGAAGATTGGAGATAATGCATGGAAGCATCTGGCTAACTAATTAGCATGGATAATTTGATTGCTTTTTGATGGATAATTGATGGATAATTTGATTGATTTTTATTATCATCATCTCAGGCTCCTTACTTGGCTCCTTGGGCTGTCATCCATCCCCTAAATCGCCCAATTGGGGCTTCATCCTGCCCCCTCCTGTCGCCATCTGGTCATTCATCTGCTAGGCTGAGTGGTTTCACTCATCACCACCAATCCCTGCCGACCCTTCACCCCAGCCTGCAAAGCCACTTCCATCCTTCAGACCCTCCAACTTCCCTACCATTCCTCCAAGTAATCCAGATTTTGGGATAGTTCCTTCCTGTCTAGCACTCTTTTGTCTTCTTTCTTTGCCTTCTCATCTCTCAACTATAGGTGATATTTGTGAGGTAGTAAAAATATAAAAATCAGCTGGATGTGGTGGCGCCTATAATCCCATCTACTCGGGAGGCTGAGGTGGGAGGATCACTTGAACCTAGGAGGCAGAGGTTGCAGTCAGTCAAGACCGTGCCACTGCACTGCAGCCTGGGTGACAGAATGAGACTCTGTTTGAAAACAACAACGACAACAACAACAAAAAAGAAAACAGAGGAACAAATTTGAGAACTCACGGTGCCTGATTTCAAGAATTACTATAAAGCCACAGAAATCAAGACAGTGTGATACTGAGAAAAATATAACATATAGATTAATAAAACAGAACAGAGAGCCCAGAAATTGACCCACACATAGGTGGTTACTTGATTTTTGACAAAGATACGAATGAGGTAGAAAAATAAGTCTTTCAATAAATGGTATTGGAACAACTGGACATTCATATGCTAAAAAAAGAGAACTTCAACTTATATCCTGTATTGTATAATACAAAATAGTTAACAGTTAACTAAAAATGCATCGTAGACTATCATAGGCCTAAATGCAAGAAGTTTCAACCATAAAAATTCTAGAAGATACCATAGAAAAAAAATGTGCAAAGATTTAAGCAAATACTTAAATCTTTGGCTTAAGCAAAGTTTTCTTAGATATGTCACTAGAAATATGATTTATAAAAGCACACACTGATAAATTTAGCTTTATAAAAATTTAAAATTTCTGCTCTGCAAAAGACACTTCAGAAAATGAAAAGACAAGCTACAGACTGGTGGAAAATATTTGCAAATATTTTCCTACATAAATGACTTGTGTCCAACAAATGACTTGTATCCGTAATATATAAAGAGCCCACAAAGCTCAATAAGAGAATCCAATTTTTAAATGGCCAAAAGATTTGAACAGACACTTTATCAAAGAGGATATATATGGAGAAAAATACATAAAAAGATGCTTCTCATAATTATTCATTAGGAAAATGTAAGTTAAAACTATGATGAGATACAATTTTGTATCCACCAGATATATAAGTCTGACAATTCCAATGGTACAGAAGATGTGGAAACCGAAACTCTCAAGCACTGTTATTGATAGCAGTATAAATTGAAACAATTTCTTTAGCATGCAATTTGGCACTATCTAGTTAGGTTGAAGATTCACATAATCCATGACCCTGCAATTCTACTTCTAGATAGAGAATAATTCTTGCACATGTGCACAAAGAATGAATACAAGAATACTAGGTACAGCATTTTGTGGTAATGGAGGAACAATGTAGAAAATGTCCATGAACAGGAGAATAGACAAATTGTGGTATATTCATACAATGCATGCTACACAGCAAGGGTTAGCAAACTATAGCCCATGGGTCAAATCCAGCCCATTACCTATATGTATAAATAAACTTTTATTGAAACCCAGCCACACTTGTATTCACTGATGTATTGTCTGTATAACTGCTTTCGTGTTACAACAGCATTGTTCAATAGTTGCAAGAAACCATATGACACACAGAGCCTAAAATATTTAATGCCTGGCCTTTAATAAGAAAAGTTTGCTGACCCCTGATCCATAGCAAAACAAAAAAAGTAAATCACAGCCCAGGCAACATGGTGAGACCCCATCTCTAAAAATCATTAAAAAATTTTGCCAGGCATGGTAGTGGGAGCCTGTAGTCCCAGCTATTTGGGAGGCTGAGGCAGGAGAATCGCTTGAGCCCAGGAGGTCAAGGCTGTAATGAGCTATGATTATGCCACTGCCCTCCACCCTGATAAAGCAAGATTCTGTCTCTAAAGGAATGAATGAATGAATAAAATGACAAGTATATTGCATCAGTCAGAGCCCAACCAGAGAAAGAGAACTAGTGAGAGATATATATTAAGAGGTTTATTCCAAGGAACTGGCTTGTGTGTGATTGTGGAGGCTGGCTAGGCATGTCTGAAATCCATAGGGGAGACTGTCAGGAAGGGCAGGCTGGAACCATCAGTCCTAAGCTGAAGCTTGGTTCACAGGTGGGATCTCTTCTTCTCCAGGGAATCCTTGGCTATGCCTTTCAATTGCCTTTCTAATGCCTTTCAACCAATTGAATGAAGTCCATTCAGATTATCTAGGCTAATCTTCTTTACTTAAATCCAATTGATTACAGGCTTTAATCACACCTACAAAATACCTTCACAGAAACACCTAGTGTTTAACTGATTAACTGATCTAGCCACGCTGACATGTAAAACTAGCAAATGTATCCACATATATATCCACAAAGATAAATCTCATATATCCACAAAGATAAATCTCATAAATGTAATGCTGAACAACAATTAAAGTTGCAAAATCATACATAAGATAAGGTAACACTTATATAAAGGTTTAAAATGGGCAAAAAATTTAACAAAGTTTATGAATATATGGATATATAAAAACATGTAAAGGAATGATAAAGTTACTTTATGTTACTGAGTGCCACTGGGAAGGAAGGAAAGGAGTGAAATTGGGAGTAGTTTTACTGTATCTATAATATTCTGTTTGTTTGTTTGTTTGTTTGTTTTTAAAGGCAAGAGACTCCAAAGTAAATCAGGCATACAAAAATCTTATAAAACCTGGCCCTGATATTGTAATTGCTTATTGTATTATTGTTAATACTTGGGTGCGTGTGTGCAATCTTGCACAATCATTATTTTTTAAAAAGCATCATGATTAACCCCCTTTGCACAAGCCTAAAAAGTGGTGTTTATACTGGGTGGTCAACTTTGATTCAGAACTACACTGGATAGGACCAGACAGTAGAGGCTTCTTTTTTGTTTTCTAAATGCTAAACAACACTTTGGTGGATGCTCTGGGTTTTCTTTCATGGTCCAGTGTTTCAGGGAATGAACCTCACCTCCTGGGAGTTGAGCCTGGAAAATCACAGCATTCATCATGCTCCAGCCTGTGCCCAGTGGAGAGCACAGAGCAGGGTGAGTCATTCTTACTTGAGCCCCGACCTTGGCTGACCTTCGTAGTGCCAAGGTCTGGAGCCAAATGAAACTCCTGACTTAAGGAGCTAGAGATAAAGAGGCGGGTGGCTGGTCACATGGTACGTGGCCGCTGATGGAATGTGACTTGTCAGACCCCCCCCAGGGGGCTTTCAGTAGGGCCTGCATTTGTATTTATTATACCAAGAGACATAATGCTGAGAGTTCTTCCTGAAGAACGTCAGACTTCTGATTTAAGAAGTGGTTGTATACAGATCCAAAGGTTGTAATCTGCAACATGCCTGCAGAAATTTATCAACTGACATTTTTGTATGGCATGCCAACGTAAGTCTTTTTGCAAAAATTAAACTCTTTTAGGATTAAAAAGAACACATGCTATTTGTAAAAATTTGGAATATGTGAAAAGCTAGAGAGAAGAAAACAAACCTCTGAAGCTCACTACCCAACATTATCAGTGATTATCTTTTAGCCTTTTTTTCCCGGTGTCATACTTTTTTCTGTAGTTAATGTACCCTTTCAACAATGGTTATTGAGCACCCAGCAAGTACCAGGCTTTATTCTCGGTGCTAGAGATATGGAAATGTACAAAACAGCCAAGGTCCCTGCTCTTGGGGAGCTAATAAGAAAGAAGGGTAGACTAACCATTGAAAATCAGTATATAAATATACAAGATACATTTAGATACAAAATGGTATTATGGAAAAAATGATACCTAATAATACCGAAGACTTATAATGTGCTATTCTAAGCCTTTCACTCATGTGTATCAATACATTGAATAAAACTGATGTCTGTGTGTGTGTGTGTGTGTGTGTGTGTGTGTGTGTGTGTGTGTGTGTGTGTGTGTTAGAGGGAAGGTTAGGCTATTACAGGAAATCTTTCAATGCAATGATCAGGAATGTCCTATTGAAGAAGACAACGTAGGAACGAAGGTTTACTTAAAGGGAAAAAGATGGCCATGGAAGACCCAGATTGAGAGCCTTCCCAGCAAAGGGAACAGCAAGTTTAAATACCTTGAGCATAAAATAGTTTGGCATGTTCATGAAACAGAAAAAAGTATGTCTGGGACTTCAAGGAACAAAAGGCAGAAAGGTCTGCAATGAAACCAAAGATTGTCCTTTTTGGGTTCTCCAGGGAACTCTTGAGAGCAGCAGAAAAAGGCATTTTTTTTTTCCAGTGGTTTCATTCTCTTCTTATCCCACCCACTACTTTCACACTCTCATTTCTGTATGAGGAAAGGGCTGAGCTTTTGTTGCAGCTGCTACTCTTGGAACAGTTGAGACCATTAACTCACATCTCCTGCACCTGACATGCCAGCATCCTACAGGCAGAATTTAAAGCTTCGGGGTCCTCTTTGCTAAAATGCTACCCACACTTAAGTCCACACAAAGTTGAAGGCAGCTTTGCAATTGAGTTTTACCAACAATCTTAGGACCCACATTATTAATTGCTACACAGCAACCACTCCTCACTCAGCACTTCTTCCTCAGCTGAGAGGCTTCCCTCTACTGTAAAGGCTAATGATGCCAAATATTTTTTTCTCCTCCCTTGCTTCCAGATGACCAAACTCAGAGTTGTGTCTTGGCCCTTAGATTTGCTACCTAAAGCCCACAGCGTGGCTGTCTCAGTTTCCTGACTATCATTCCCTACAATCTGGATTTTGCAGCTTGAATGTTAATAGGGTAATTCATTGCAGCCCTTTGTTCTCTCTATTGCCTGTAAAATGGTGGTCATAAGCCTCAATACACATAATCTTTAAAACAACTCAATAAGGCAGGACCATTCATGTCCCCACTTTACAGACTAATAAACTAAGGCACAAAAAATTATGTACTAGAGGTCATGTAGCTGGAAAGTGGAGGAGCTAGCGTTGGAATCCAGGCAGAGGCTTCTAACCACTATGCCGCACACAGAGAAATTATTTAAAAGACATTTTAAAATTGTTTTTAATGAACACACAGTAATTATACACATTTATGCGGTACAGTGTGATATTTTGATACCTGTATACAATGTGTAATGTAGAAAGACATTTATGCAACCCCCTTTGGTTGAATATTGTCCAGGAACAGATTATTGGTTTGTTTGTAAGTCTAGAAATCAATTAACTCAATTAGCAAACAATGATGAACCATCTACAGTGTGTGCTGGGCTAAACCGTGGGATACAAAGTTGGGCAACATGACATTGAAGATGATGATAACTGGTGTGCTGAGAGCTTACTGTGCAACAGCCCCTGACCCAGGTGCTATGGATATAATGGGGAGCATCATAGTCCAGGTGAATTTCATCACAGACCTCAATCTTGTAGGAGAGAATCAACCGTGAACCAAGCGCTATAATGGGAATTGTTTAGAGTTGTGCGGTCCAGTCCGGGCATCACCAGCCACATGGGACTATTTAAAAGCAATTAAAATTAAATAATACTTACACATCAGTCCCTCGGTCACATTAACCACATTTCAAGTGCACATGTGGCTCGTGGCTACCTATAAATAGCACAGATTATGGAACAATATTCTTGCTGAACGTTCTGTTGGATGGCACTGGTTTAGAGTGTTTGGAAGCACAGAGAGACATTTCTCATTTAAACTTGGAGGTGAGGAGAGGTGTCAAGAAAGGGATCCTGAACAAAGTAATGTTTAAGCTGACACGTGAAGAATGACTAGTTTTAATCCTTACTAGAGTTCTGTGAAATATTTTGTATCTCTACTTAATGAATGAGAAAATGGTCTCCAGGAAGTTGAGAAACTTGCCTGAAGTTGCAAGAAAAGGGTGAGAGAGAATATTTGATTCCCAAATCCATGCTTGAAACACTAACAGTCACTAAAGCAACCATGGACAAAAGAGATCTCTTTTGAAAGAAACAGGTAGCAACTTCACAAATAATTGTTTGAAGACTTTGTGCTGTATTTTAAAGCACTCTGTTAAGTATTAATGTAATATGAAGTTTCCAAAAACAATTTAAAAAACACAGGGCTTCTCACCACATGGAGTCTGCCATTTCACGGAGAGATAGACAGGTGTCTATGAAATGTTGGCAGAACAAGTGAATTCTAAGTGCTATAGGAATTACAGGAGGTGGTAATGTCTTCCTGTGAAGACTTCCTGGAACAGGGAGGAATTAAGAGGGGTCTTAAAACTGTGTAGAATGGGCATATCAGAGCATTGCAGGCAGGAGGAAAGTTTGTTGGAAGGCTCAGGATGGGGGCCTGCAAGATCAGTGCTGAGAATGGGAATAATACCTTAGTCTTACGTTGGGGGTTTGTTCAGATGAGACAACTCAGTCTTTTCTGCAGGCATGGGCTTTCAACACAAATTCTTCTTGAACAATATTTATGGGTGTGTCTATAAATATTGGTTCAGGGGCAGGGCAGAGACATCACTATTTCCCCTTCAGGGAATTTCCCTCAGAGAGCATTATTGACATCACAACAGAATTCGTGGCTTCCCAGAGGAAAAGTCTTCAGGAACTCACAAGAGAGATTTTCGGGGCAACCCTTCTTTGCTTTCAGCGTGTGTTTAACAGTTCTTCCCCTTTCTCTCATACCTTTCTTCAAACCTGCAAATGAATCCCAGTGCTAGAGAGTACAGAATTACTTGTGGGAATTTAAAATCAATACATTGTTATGCACTTAAGTTCATGGGAAAAATAATCTAATTAACAAATATCTGCACTGACTTGTGAGCTATGTGAATCTGACAAATTAATACTATACATGGCATTTTATATACTCGGTTTGCTGTTCACATACTATCTGTTGGGTTCTACTTTTTTGTCTTAACATTGTCTTATGTA
The DNA here is from genome assembly GCF_000001405.40 of Homo sapiens. Taxonomy (NCBI): domain Eukaryota; kingdom Metazoa; phylum Chordata; class Mammalia; order Primates; family Hominidae; genus Homo; species Homo sapiens. Next base: position 68,694,019 of record NC_000009.12, read on the forward strand.
CAATTTTCTTGGCACATCAATATAGTCCAAATAAGACCACTTTTTAATGATAGTTTATAACAAAATCAGTCTTCAATTATTGGCTAGTAGATTTATTGCCTGATAGCATTTTAAAAATATCAGTGCAATGAATAGTTTTGTACAATCATTTTTTAATTACATATTTTTGTTTTTAGAGCATATTCTCTAAAATGGGATGACTAGAACCTAGGTTTAATCATTGTATGCCTCTTGTTAGTTGTTCTCTAGGAAGATTATACCAATATTTACCTAGTGTATCTGTCCTCCCAAAGCCTTGTCAACACTGGATTTTGAATTATTACTTTGCTCTTGGTAATTTAAGGGACCTTACTTCGACTCTCTGTCTCAGTTGCTTTATCTGTGGATGTGGATAATGAGTTTTCAGGGTTGAGGATTGAATGAGATAGTGCAGGCAAAGCATCGGCACAAGGCACGGTATATAGTAAATAGGCCGCTAATGTCTATTCTTCCCTTGTAAGGAGTATGCAATGGGAATTTAGAGCTGCTTCACGTTGGGTTTTTTGTTGTTTGTTTGTTTGTTTGCTGCTGAGGTTAAGCATTTCTTTCAAGTGATTATGTATCACTGGAATACCTGGGGTGTGTCTTAAAGCCACTCTCCCTTTCCACTCTTCTCTATCTCCTCTGTCCCACAGTATGCCCCAGTCCTGAACTAGACTTTACCATCCTCTATTCACCACCTGGTCCAAGATCCAAAATAATCACCATGACTAGACTTGAGATACAGTGCTAATAGGAGACAGCAGAACATCCCTACAAACTCAGAGTTCTAGAACCACACATTCTCCATGTGGAAAGGAAGTCCCAGTGGTTGTCTGTCCAACTTTCCAGTGATCATCTGACAGATTCCCATCAGTAGATGTGTTCTCTTCTTAAAATATGTTAAATAACACCCCTCAAGTAAATTCTATGAAGAATTTAAGGTGAGGCTAGAATTTGGCCTCTTTATTCTTGGTACCTAGGCAACATGGTCAGTACTCTTACCTACCATAGTCAATTCTCAGATAATCGTGTTATCACTTAGCCAAATTTTGAAACATCTTTGAGAAACATTGAATTAAGTTCTTAATGTCATAATTAAACCGAGTAGAGAGCATTCTTCTGTTGATAGGACTCAATATTTTATTTAATGGGACTTCTCCCATGTAGTTTACAGCCACGAAACATTTAAAGTCTACCTTCTTCTAGATAAGAGCTGGTGTCTGAAATTGATAAATCAAGAAATAGAAGCTTGAGTATGTTATTTGAAGTTATAAAAGTAGAAACTATTACCAAAATAAATTCAGAAAAATTGGAAAGCAGAAAGGGAAAGAGGATGTGGGAGACAGTCAAACTGTGTCAACTTTCTTTTCTTTTCAAAGTTGAGTGTTAAACATACTTTTAAAAATGACAGCTCAATTAAGAGATTGAATTATATATTAAATAATATATAATTATATTATTTAATGTTAAAACGGTAACTACTAGAAGAATAAAAAACCAGAATCTTCTAACAGTGGTCTTCCCACGAGGCTAGAACCACAAGTTGGAGGGTAGATAAGAAGAAAAACCTTATGTTTAATTTTAGACTCCTCTATATGCTTTGAAATTTTTGATACATGCACATTATCTTTTCCTTTTTTAAAAGGTGCTTTATTGAGAAATAACTTACATATCATTCCATTCACCTATTTAGAGTATACAATTCAATGGTTTTCGGTATATTCACAAAGTTATGCATTCGTCATTAACTTTAGAACATTTTTATCACCTTCCCTACCCCCAATCCTGTACCCGTTAGCAGTCACTCCTCATTTTCCTATTATGCCCCCTCTCCCCAGCCAGAGGCAACCTCTTTCTGTCTCTGCAGATTTGTCTATACTGGATATTTTCTATAAATGTAATTAAACAACATGTAGCCTTTTGTGTCTGGTTTATTTCAGTTAGCATAACATTTTCAAGGTTCATCCACATTGTAGCATGTACTGATACTTCATTCCTTTTTATTGCTGGATAATATCTCATTGTATGAATATACAACATTTTCTTTATCCACTTATCAGTTAATGGATATTTAAGTTGTTTCCACTTTTTGGCTATTGTGAACAATGCTGCTATGAACATTTGTGTACAAGTTTTTGTGTAGATGTATGTTTTCATTTCTCTTGGATAGATATGTAGGAGTGGAATTGCTGGGTTGTATCTTAACTCTACATTTAAACTGTTGAGGAACTGCCAGAATTTTTTCAAAAGTGGTTGCTTCTTTTTCAATTCTCACCAGCAATGGAGGAGAGTTCCAATTTTTCTGCCTCTTCACCAACACTTATTATTATCTCTCTTTCTGATTCTAGCCATCCTAGTAGATATAAAGTGTTGTATAGTAGATGTCTTTGTAGTTTTAATTTGCATTTCCCTAATGACTAATAAAGTTGAGTATATTTTCAAATGCTTATTGGTCATTTGTATATCTTCTTTGAGAAATGTCTATTTAGATCCTTTGCCCTGTGAACATTATTTTAATCTAGAAAAACTGTAAGATATTTGACAGCATGGTAAGCAAATAACAAATGTTGGACCTGGCAGTCTCTGGGTGAAGAAAATGAAGAGTGATTTCTTTTTTGTTTTTCTAAATTTTCCTAAGTTTTAAAAACAAACATAATTTTTTGTCATCTTCAAATATTTACATTTTTCCTCAATTTCTTTATCTTTTTCTGATTTGAAAAATTAGCACAAGAAAGTTTTGTTAAAGAAGATACAATATTAACCTAGAGGCAACAATAGCTAACATTTCGGAAGATTTCTTTTCAGGACTTTTCTCAACTTTGCGTACTTTTTTGAGGTTGTAGTATATGTACATGTTCAATTTATGCCTTTTATTCTTATCAGGATATCACAGACAAACTCTTGCATATTAAATAAACCTCTTATTTAATTTTTTCATCTGAAAGTCTGTAGAGGAAATGCCACCATATCGCTTGGCATGCAGAATGGTCACAAAGAAGGGCTTCTTTCATACATTCATTACTCCAAAATTAAGAAAAAACTACACAAACATGCAACACCTACTGTTCCCAACCTATGGGCAACACAAACCTAGGACACAGCAGACTTTTAAGAGGTCATCGCCTAGTCCTTTGCTGTAGTCTGATGTTCTCTGCCTGCTTCACACTGGAAAAGACAGACAGTTTTAAGTAGTATGAAGATGCTGGGCAACTCTCCAATACTTTCTAACTTGTATCTTCACAGAATAGCTTTGCCTTTTGGGTTAAATTATTTGTAATCTCCAAAGCACTGCCAACTCCCATATTTTTCCTTAAAATATGTGCTATAAAAAGCTGTATTCCTCTTGCTTTCCCCATCCTGTTTCTCTTTCCCTCATTACAATTATTATTCCTGAAATCACCCATGCCATCAGGACAAGCTGACTGCAGGTAGAGGGATGAGTTATGTTTCTCTTCACTTTTTTTCCTATCCCAAAGGCTCCAAAGTTTCTGGTTGCAACAACTTTAAAAGCTGATTGCACAGATTCCATTTTCTCCTATGGTAATGAAATTAAATAGTCTCTCATCCTGGCAAGAGCTCCAGAAGAATACTTCTTTTACACTTGCTTTAAATGTTCAATTTTCTGTACCAATATAGGCTGCTGACTCTTTAAGCTCCCATGTATGTCCACAAACACTTCAAGACAGCAGTACCATCCAAAACCACACACATACAACAGGCTGCTTCCAATGTGAAAATCCGGGGGAAATACCAGGATATAGCACAGAAGAAGAATCCTGACTACTAAAGACTCTCCCTCATAAGCCTCCAGTCATAGCTGTGCAAGATTAAATGTAAGATGAATGGCTCGTGTTTAATTCAGTGCATGGGGCTGAGAATATAGTGCTCCCCAGTGTCCAGGCTCTTCTCTTCTTCCCAGGCACAGCGCTTACATGGAGTTTTCCAGACCCCTTGCAAGTAGGTGGGGCTGTGGGATCAATTTCTGGCCAGTGGAATGTGAGTGGACGTGATGATTGCCACTCCTCCACCTGGCATTCTAAATCTTTCATTCTGTCTTGCAGTTCAGGAAGGATTTCAGAGGCCACTTGTTGAAGATAATGGCGCCATGAGACAGGAGGAGCCAGGGTCTCTGGCTGATTGCACAAAACCAGCCCCACCACCAAATCACACTGAATGTTGACATGAACAAGAAATGAATCTTTATTATACTAATCCACTGAGGCTTGCGGGTTGTATGTGAAATCCGTTTGCATACCCTGATTAACACAGCTCCTTTTGCTTTTCTCCCATCCCAGCCAAATATTTTAGGTTGCTGTGACAGCTTGCTGACAACATCTTATAAGGGGTGTCAGAACAGGAAGCTCCATTTTGCTAGCAAAACATTCAAATTCAAATATTGTCAGGAGGAGACAGTCTTGCTAGTAAGGTTCCACCTAAATGGTTCCAAGTCAGGAGAGTCACTAAATGTTTTGAGAAATAAAAGTGAAAATCAATGTGTCTTCCCAGTGTATTCACATGGCACAGTGTCACAGAGGGCTTGAGCGTCTGAGCGTGGACTTCACTGGTTGACTAACGTTAACATGCATGTCTGTTCAACAAGTGTTTGTGGTGTCATCAGTGTCACACATGCTACCTTCCTTCACAAAACAAAGCTGAGAAAGTCTGAGTCTTTGCCCTGGAAGTTTCCCTCCACACAGGGTAGGATCTGCCTCGTCCACTGTAAGCAACTGAGCCCTCCCTGAAATGGCCCCAGGAAGGTGTCAGCTATGTCTTGGGCAGACAGCTACTGCCTCTACTTAGGAAGTTTGAGTGACTTTGTTGAATTCATTACCTTTCCTTCTTTTGCAGCCATCCCAGGAGCTGAAATACCATCATTTCTTGGTATTCTTCCTAGACCAGTCACCCTTTTATTTGGACTAATTTGATGTCAAATGTTTCATAATTGATGAGGATTTTTTAAAAATGTTTTGAGTAGGTAGAAAACAAACTACTTTGCATGTTATAACAAAGAAGGGTTGAGCATGAAAAATCTATGCTCAATCATGAAGACCCCTGGGCATATTCTGCTGATCACTTCCTGCTCTGGGGATAAAATGGCAGCCTAGGGTTTGACTCCTGGTTCCAGAGATAATTTCTGTGACCTTAGGAAAGTTGTTTCGATACTCATGGTATAATGATTGCAATAATTATTTTGGTGTGTGTTGAGGAACACTGCTGACTCACTTCTGCCTCTTTCCTCTACCTCAAGCTTTAAAACTGGCCTCTCCAACCAAAAAGCGGGGCAGGGTGGGGGTGGGTGGCGCGACGGTTCTCTCTCCCTTATCAAGGCCATGACTTTCAACTTCCTTAAAACCCAGGTTCAGACTTGATATAGAAAATGTGTGTATAAATTTTGCATGCTTTAAGAATCTTTCTGAAATGCAGCTTGATTCTCTATGCTATCCCGGCAATTCTCTATTTTTTGTCCTTTCTCTCCTCCATTCTGATATTCTCTTGCTTCTTGTTCACTCCTCGAATCAATCATTATTTGGTTCATGTTGTTTTTGTAACTTGTGGGCAAAGTGAAAACTCACCTTAAAAAAAGTATGTATGTGGGTCAGTTTGTAACGAGAAAAAATGTTAAAGAGAAAAGGAGTAACTGAATTCAAAAGAAAATAGATTATACAGGCTGGTGGAAATTAGACTGGTATTCTTAATGGTGTATATATATTTTTAATGTTAGAAACAATATAACATCAATTTTTTTAAACCTTAGAATTCTCCCACCCTGGTATACTATGCAGCCATAAAAAAGGATGAGTTCATGTCCTTTGTAGGACATGAAACCATCCTTTGTAGGAATGAAACCATCATTCTCAGCAAACTATCTCAAGGACAGAAAACCAAACACCACATGTTCTCACTCACAGGTAGGAACTGAACAATGAGAACACTTGGACACAGGAAGGGGAACATCACACATGGGGGCCTGTCGTGGGGTGGGGGGAGGGGGGAAGGATAGCATTAGGAGATATACCTAATGTAAATGACGAGTTAATGGGTGCAGCACACCAACATGGCACATATATACATATGTAACAAACCTGCATGTTGTGCACATATACCCTAGAACTTAAAGTATAAACAAAAAACAAAAACTTCACATGTGCTCTCTAGATCAAGCTTATCTGTTACCTTCATACAGCTATTGAGTCGGTTACTGAGGATGAAAAATAAATAATATTGACAAAAATATTACAAAAAAAAAGAATTCTCCCACCCTAACATGAGAACTTTAAACATTGTTCTTTTCCAGGTATTTATCGTTCATGTGCATTATTTTTTACATAATTATAATCTCCATATATATAATTTTATGTTTTTGCTATGAAATTTTAGGCGCACATTGCTTAGCTCTTCTTCCTGCTTCCTAGATGGGTCACCAGGTATTTTGGAGAACTTTTCCAGGGTCAGACCTGTATGCCTGCTAACACTGGGCCTCCAGTTTTCTTATTGTTCTTAGCTGAATGTAAACATCAATGAGTTTTGAGAAGAGCTAGATAATACCAACCTCTGGGCAAAGAACAGTAAGTTAAATAGGACATGTGTCTGGTAGATTTGCATATATTCTAGCTTTTAAAAACTCAAGAAAAAAGTACTGAGAGGTATTGTAAATCACTCATGAAGGCTTAAGATACAAGTGCACCTCTTCTAAAGGGTTCTGAGTCTTTAATATGCAAACTCCTCCAAGCCTTGGCACTAAATGTATTGCAGAAGGAACATTCCTTTGGCATGTTAGGCATGTAAGGGACTTTTCAGAGCATCTTGTCTAACTCTCTCATGGTGCAGACAAGGAATCTGCCACCAAGAAAGAATGCAGATTTCACTGTTGTGGGGACAGAGCTGGAGTGACAAACCAGGTCTTACGGCTCCTAATTCAATGCTCTTTCCAATCCTGAGAGGAAAGAGGAACAAGGGGATGGATAGGATTAAGAAAGAAAGAAAGAAAAAAGGCAGCAAAAAAGAAAGCAAAGCTGGATGAAAGAGAAGAGGGTACAGGGAATTAAGAAGAAAAGGAAGGCGATGCATATGAGGTTGTCAAGCCTTTGCTTGAATGTAAGGTTCCCAGGGTAAACTGGTCCTCTGAAATTAGTGTCTCAAGTTATACAGGGGCATCAGCTAAGCGTTTAGCCTTTCTTGTCTGCTTAGACATGAAGTTTCTAGAAAGAGAGGGCAATGTGGCAGGAGGATGGTCCCTAGAGATTTGGGAAGGATGCTGGCTCTACTTCTCTACTCTTCAATGTCAACGAATGCAATGCATGCCTTTCATCTGGATTCCTGTTTTTTTCTCATTGGAAAAAAAATAAAGGACAGATGAACAGGTGGAACTATCCATAGCTCACCAATGTTCCTCAAGTTCCCTCTGAATATTTATTGGACTTCAGTTGCTCTTGAGACATCACCAAAAAAAAAAAAAAATGCTAAATGTGCATTAGCAACTTAGAGAAATGCAACCTCCGGCATTTCATAGAAAGGTCCAGAAAGAATGTGTAACTGGTTCAAAGTGGCGTAGCTAAGAAGAATATATCGATGATCTGATGTGGTGTCACAAAGCACCCAAACACGTAGTGGATGAAGTAGTCTTCAAAAAATGGCTGCTATCAGCTCTTTTATTCCTGAACATAACACAGTACCCCTCAAGTCAGAAGGCAGAGTCTATTTCCCCTCCTCTTGAATCTGACTGGCCTTGTGACTTGCTTTGACCAATAGACTGAAGCAGAAATAACATTCTAGAACTTCCAAACTCAACCCTTAAGAGAATTGGCAGTTTCTATTCCTCCCTCTTGGAAGCAAGATGCCATAGAAGAAGTCTAACCACCTTGCTGGGAGGAAGCCCAAGCCAGCTGGATGGACAGAGAGAGGTCATGTGGAGGAGAACTGAGGTGCCTGATATGTGAATGAGGCCTTCTTGAACCTTCCAATTCAGTCCGGCTGCCAGTGGCCAGTTGAATGCCGTCAAATGAGTGACCTAGGCCAGGCACAGTGGCTCATACCTGTAATACCAGCACTTTAGGGGTTGAGGTTGGAAGGTTGCTTGAGCTAGGAGTTTGAGACCATCCTGGGCAACACAGTGAGACCTTATCTCCACACAAAAAAATAAAAACAATTAGCTAGGCGTTGGGGTGCATGCCTGTGGTCCCAGCTACTTGGGAGGCGGAGGTGGGAGGATTGCTTGAGTCCAGGAGATCAAGGCTGCAGTAAACTGTAATCATGCCATTGCACTCCAGCCTGTTCCAGCCTGTGTGACACAGCAAGACCCTGTCTCAAAAGCAAGCAAACAAACAACAACAACAACAAAAACAAACAAAAAAACCATGAGTGACCTTAGGCAATACTCAGCTAGGCTTAGTTGACCCACTGAATCATGAAAAATAGTAAATGACTGATGATTTTGGCAACTAAGTTTTGGGATTGTTTGTTAAGCAGCAATCAATATCTGAAACAGTGGCTTTAAACAGCAACCATTTATTGTTTCTCATGAATCTATGAGTTGGGAGGGTGGTTCTGGTGATCTGGACCAAGCCTAGCCAATCTCATTCAGACTTGCTTGTGCCTCCACAGTCAAGTGAGGGCTGACTGGTCAAGGATGCCTCAGCTGTTATGACTCAGCTCTGCTCTACAGGGTCTTTCATCTTCCAGCAGGCTTATTCTGGTGATGTCAGAATTCCAAGACTGGAAACAGAAATGTGTAAACATTTTTCCAGCGTTCATTTACATCAAGCCGGCTACTGTCTTGTTGGTCAAAGTAAATCATACGGTTGGGCCCAGAATAGGAGTGGACTACAAGGTTAGAGGGAAAGACCTTGGAGAAAAAAGGAGGTCATTTATTGGGGGGCCACTAATACTATCAAATGTACTACTAGGAACCCATGCATGTTTCTCATAGTTAGAGGAGTATTCAATAGCATTATTAAAGTTTTGGACTGAGGTCAGGAATCAATTGAAAAAATTACATTTAAAATTAAGCAAAATAATTAGATGAATATTTTCTGATTTTTAAATAGGTTTCCAGAATTTCTGGCCAAGTCACTATTGCTCATGATATTGATGTTGTTGTATTATTTCCAATACAGGATGACTTTCCTAAATCCCTGTTGATAGAGTTGGAGATAGAATCAGGAAGAAATACCAGGTCTCATACTACATGGTCATTCATTCCATTAATCAATTCACAGTAATAATGCAATCGTAAGGCTCTTGGTAGAGTTCCTTAGAATCCTGCTTCATAAAGTTAGCTCTCTAAATAGCCAGTGGGCAGTCTGGTTGGACACTTCTCTCTGAAAACCTAAGGCTGTTTGCTTTTGGGCTTTACAGAAGTGGCTCAATACCAGGCTCATTAATGGGAAAAGGGTCATGTGTATGGATACATGTATTTGGACATTTATACGTAATGCGTGATCACTTTTGATCCAATGTTTGGCTTTACCTGTCTTCATCTCCCCTGCATTACCAGAAACTGACTTTGCACTTTCACTTACCACCGCCTCCCTGGGAGGCAAATTCATTTTCCACTCTGGATTTCATAGCTGAAGTCTGAGAAGCAGGAAAAGGAGAGACTGGGATTACCATTCCCAGATTCCAAACTAGCCTGCTAGTTACAGCGGTATGATGCTGCCCCCTATACAGTGATTCGTACCAGTCAGATGAACGGTTCTTTGATCGGTTCTTCTGTCCTCCACCACTGGTCTATCCACCCCATCTTGAACTTTGTTAATACAATATTTCTGCTAGTTATTGTTCAGGGATTGAGAGTCAGGGAAACTGTGTTCTGGTCCTTGGGTTACTTAATGTCTTGAGACCTTAGTTTCCTCATCTGTAAAGCGGGAGGGCTGGACTAGATGTATGTTCCTCCTGCTCTGAGCTGTGAAGCGTCTAGGATGCCAGGAGAAAACCAGACCCAAGTCACAGGGTTCTAAACAAACCATACCTTAAATCTCTCAGTAATGGCCAGCCACATCTGCAAGAAGCAGGCTGGGAAAACAGCTGAAGAATAACAGATATTTGTTTTATTTGTCAATTATGGCTCAGTAAAGCTAAAAAAAAATAGATACTTCTGTTATCAAGAAATTATTGCACTTGATTCAAGGCTGATATTAAACCATAGCAGACTCACTCAAGGTGGGGGGTGAGAGAAACAAAGAGATTACAAAACTGAAAAGAGGTGTTCATTTGCAGAGAACTAAGGGAGTATCCTTCAAACAGAAACTGGAAGCCAGAGATCTCTGAAGATAAGGATCATGAAATGTTGTTATTCCCCAGACAGAATGTATCCCACGTTTTCCACCGGCGTTGTTTTTGGTAAAGAAGGGTAAGTGGAAGGAAGTGATGAGGCTGAAAAATACCATTTGCTTCAATTCAGCCGCGAAGGATCCGCTACCTTTTGGTTCCTATTAAGTGAATTTAGCTTTAGCTTTCATGATAGCATTTTCCCAAAGGAGTCCTTTAGATCTGACCCCTACCCTCTTCGCAGCTAGACTGACATCAGGTGACGTTGCAAGTGCCCCCAGCCCACTAAGCGCTATCAGTAGGAATTGGCCCTCAGCCCCGTCACAGCGCTTTCCCATGACATCCCCCAGCTTCTCTCTCCTAGGACCTCCTCGCCAGCCTACCCCTACCTGTTGGGTAGGTCTTACTTGCTGGGAACACCTGCTGTCCTTAGAATGGGAGCAACCAACGCCTTGGAATCCTGGCCTGTCCCTTCCTCGTGAAGGGGGCGCCTGCGCTCAAGTGCCGGCTTCGCCGCCTCAGGCAGAGTCTAGCAGGCGGGCGACCAGGCGTAGCTGAGTTCTGTGGCCTGGGGAAAGGGGACGCCCTATCCCCACAGCCCTGTTTCGCAGGGCTTCAAGACGCTGAGAACGGCCGGGAACCCCTGGAGTCTTGGAGGCACCCGCCAATTCCAGGGGCCCACCCCAACCCCGCTCTCAGTCTGGGCCAGCGGCGGCGGGACAGGCGCCCGGTCCCCACACACCGGCTGAGACGCCCAGCCCACTGCGGCTGAAGCTCCGGCCGCTGTTGCGGCAGGTGCTGCAAACCGGTCTGCCTTCGCTGCAGGGCTTGCGGGGATGGGGCAAGTGGGTGGAGAGAAAAGGGGAAGAGCCTGGGCGGCCGGCAGGCGGGGCCTGCAGCCTCCCCAGCCGCGGCAGCCGCCGCGCAGCCGGCTCTCTCTGCGCCTCGCTCCGACTCCGGCGCGCACCAAGCGGGAACCCGCGCCCGAGCCCGGCGGGCGCCGCTGCTGCTCCTCTCGGTCCCCGGTTCCCGGTCCCCGAACGCGCCGCGGCGAGGCTGCGCCCGGCAGTGGAGCCGCTCGGAGCTGCTGGGCTTTGGCGGCCGCTCGCTGCTCCGTCTGGCCGGAGGACCGGCGGGGAAGGAAGGGGAAAGCGGGGACACACACACTCGCCGCGGCGCGCGCGCACTGCACACTCGTAGCCGCGCGCCCCCGCCAAGGCGCGTCCGGAGCGAGTTTGGCCCCGCGGCTCCAGCCCCGGCACCTGCCCGCCCTCAGCGTTGCCCCCGGCCCCGGCCCCGCCCGCCGCCCCCTCCGCCCTCCCGCCCCTCCCGCCCCTCCCGCCCCTCGCCTGCACTGCTCTCCCTTCGCTGTGGGGAAGCGACAACGTCCCGATAACTTGCAGACTGTGGCGCAACTGGTCTTGGTAGCGGAGGCACCCGAATGCTGCCCGGGTGAGGTAAGTTTCCTGTGCGTCCCCGGCCCCTTCCCACTAGACCCTTCTGAGGGGCTTGCGCTTAGGGGCTCTGCATCTCTGCTGAAACCCGTCGGTCTCTCTACCCTTCCACTTTGCCTGTCTGCGTTGTGCTGGGGGTGACGTGGAGAGGGCGCCCGTGGCCACCGAAGCGGACCTTCGTTCCGCGGGGGCCACAGCTGCGCGCTCCCAACGGACACCCACCCGCTCGTCACCCGGATCCCCGGGGCCGCAGTGACACTCGGAGATCACTCTGGGTTCACTTAAATAGGAGTACTCTCCCCTTTTCCGGGGAACCTGCAGAGTTTGGCAGCGGAAGGAAAGGTCTCCCACCACCCTCCCCCGGTACGAAACAGCGGTGAACTTGTTAGGCGCCCTGGTATCTCAAGAGGGGCTTGCGAGTTGGTGTTCTGCTCATTTCTGGCGCTGGTGCCGGATTGAACAGGTGCGGTATGGTTCCAGTCTAAATGCAGCAACAGACTTCTGCGTTTCCCAGGCTTTCTCCCCCAGCCTGGTCAACGTGACGCTTCAACATCTGGGGCAGGGGCTGGGAGTGTAGGGGCACTGGGGAGGGAGAATGCCCGGGTTTGATTTACTATGCCGGTGCCAGGAGTCGCCAGAACAGAAGAAAACAAATGTCTGCTTATCTGGCATCTATGCAGATGAGCGTGTTGTCATTTCTTATCCCCCCCAACCCCCAGCTCTCTTGTCTGGTGCCCAGCGTGGCTGAGTAGAAACCTATTCCGGAGAAGTTATTTGGGTAGATTGATTAATTCTTTCATCGAATCTACTGAAATCAGGGCTCCGAACAAGGCAATCCTAGTTACTCTGATGCTTTTTTAAAGGGAGCGTGTTACAGATCAGAAATAACACCCACTATCATCACTACCTCTCTGTGACATTCTCAGATGCAGGAGGCCCTAGCTTTAAGGGGAATGATCCTTAAGGGACCGGTAGGACCTCAGAATGTGTTAATCTCGTGCAAGGAAGAAGCGGTCTCTGTGTCAGTACTTCTGAGTCTCGGTTTGGGGAACCCCTTTTGTCCCTCTAATGAAGCACATTCAGCCAGAGACTTCTCCCCTGTTCTGCGAAGAGACTGAAGCGTTCTGCAGCTGTTGGAGTGGAGAAAGGCGAAAGGATTGGTTTCATTAGGACTCTAATGTGATGAAGTAAGGATGGGTTTCATTAGGACTCTAATGTGATGAAGTAGGGTAGTGTTCATGGAAGCTTTGCTAGAGCATTCCCAGCTGAAAGGAGACGCTGGGAAAAAACCTTAATCGGCCAAGTGTAAACCAGTGGGAGGTTGAGTGAGTTTCATGTGTGATCTCTGAGCGGAGGGAAACGGTGGTTCTGATATGGTCCTGTGGGCAGAGACTTATGAGGACTGATGAGAAAGCTGGTGAGTTTGAGACTGATGTATGATGACATCTTACCTGAGAAGGAAAACTGTGAAGCACTAAATGATAGAACCACATTACATTTTTGTCCACGTTAAGACTAGAGAGATTTAATAATAACACCTTACATTTGCATCAGTGTCTTGCAATTTGTAAATTCTTTTGAGTGTTCTCACCTAATTCCAAACATTTCTGAGGGAGGCAGGGCAAAGACTTTTTACCATGTAAACACAGAAGGAACATGAGGCTCACAGATTCAGAGATTTATCAAGGTAACAAGTGCTGGTATTAGAATCACAGTTAGGTTTTCTGTCATAACCAGGTGCCTGCTCTGTACTTATATAAGGTGGTTTTTTAAATGGCAGAGTTCTTCTGCATTTATTGTGGTCTGCATAGTCTCACTGTAAATTACTGTTTACATTTTACAGATGAGGAAACTGAGGTTTAGACAAGCAGTGGGAGTTTTCCATGGATTTACATCTCATTTAGTGGCATTTGCAAGACTAGAACTTGGATCTTCTGATGTCCAGTCCATTGCTTTGTGTATTCTGCCATCATTTCAGTTCTGATAGCAATGAGGACACATCATGGAAACTGCAATACACAAAGGACTGTTAAGCATGCCCCCAGTGACCTGGGTTCTAGTTCTGGGACTACATTTGGCCGTATGACCTGGGCCATCATATCACTTCCAAGTCTCAAGTGTCTCACATATAAAACAAAACGTTTGTATGAAATTATGTTTTTTCTTTCCAACTTTAGCATTTTGTGATGTTTACCAATGTGTTTGTAATCCAATGTTATCATTTTCTCTAGAGGAAGGAGACCTTTGTACCCCACATCACCTAAGAGACCTAGCTAATTACTCTTTCACCTTTAGTTTATCCCTTCCCCCCTTTACTACATGCCACTTCATCAAAGGAATGAAACTTAACAAGTGCGTTTTAGCTTAACATCTACAGTATATTGTTTAGTTTACTGTTTGACTTGAAAATATTCTGAGGGGTTAAAGTACTGTAAGGTACATGTCAGGGCTTACTTGAATATTCTAATTGTAAGCTCATAACTTTTTTTTTTTAGCTTTATGGTTTGCATAAAGTAAGTGCTCAGTAAATAGCTGTTGAATTAATGAAGGGGGTGAATGAAGTCATTCATAAGGAAAACATATGCTGTAAAACATAGAAAGCATCTTACCATGTAAATTCCCAACACATAAGATAATTTGCCTACAGGCATGTGCCTCCTGAAGCTGGCGGGTACAGAGCCCATTGTTGCTCTCTTTTCTGAAGGCATCATATAGGGAAGAGCTTTTCTTTCTCCCTAGACAGTAGACTCATGTCATCTATGTTATGCTCTTTTGTTTGCCGCCCCCCCGCCCCTTTAGTTGTTAGTATTACAGCTGCTGAAAGATACATTCCTAGAAATTGACTTGTCCCATTTTATGAAAGGGTATGTCTTGACATGGGGAAACCAACCATTCTGTTTTTAAAACAGGGTATTGAATAAATTTCAGGAGATGCTAATACTGTCTCGTGGTTTCAGAGGGGGAACCTAGTTAACAAAACCAACCTAGTTTCTGTTCCTTTTAACAATCTTCTCTTTCTACTCCTCCTCTTTATATACAGACAAGTAGTGTTTTTATGTTTGGAAGAATGATAAGAAAGAATATAGTGATCTTAAATATTATTAATGGATCTGCAATTTACATTGGGGATTGATGTATGTTTCCTTCTGATAAAGAATTTAAATATTAATTAGTTTAGAAGTACCGTTTATGGGTAAGAAAACTAAAACTTAGGTGAATTGACTTACTTATGGTCACAAAGATGATAGCAGGAGGACCAAGATCAATGTGGAATTCTTAAGAAGGTTCATATTTGAGTTTGTCCCAGGAGTTCTATGGTGAAGGTACAGTTTTGACTTTTAGAAATCATAGAGATTAACAGAAAACTTCTGTTTACTATCATTATTAGAGAGTTAGTACATTTGAAAATGGTTTAGCATTTATATGTTTAAGTTTTCTTGCCCAAGCAGATGCCATTAAAAATAACATGTTTTTTTCTCTTTACTTTTTTTTTGTTTTTTGAGTCAAGGTCTCATTCTGTTTCCCAGGCTGGAGTGCAGTGGCCCAACTCCAGCCTCAACCTCCCCAGGCTCAGGTAATCCTCCCACCTCAACTTCCTGAGTAGCTGCAACAACAGGCACGCACTACCATGCCTGGCTAATTTTTGTATTTTTGGCAGAGACAGGGTTGCACCATGTTGCCTAGGCTGGTCTGTAACTCGTGGATTCAAGCAATCCACAGGCATCGGCTTCCCACAGTGCTGGGATTACAGGTGTGAGACCCTGTGCTCGGCCAAAATGTTTGTTTTTATCTATTCACTATGATTCTTCTGGCTTATGTGCATCACCAGACTCAGAAATAATACTTTGCTCCAATCAGTGCTGGGAGAGAGGAAACTGTTCAAATAGAAACCAAAGACCTGTAATCCCATGGGAGGCCGAGGTGGGCGAATCACTTGAGCCCAGGAGTTTGAGACCAGCCTGGGCAACATAGCAAGACCCCATCTATGCAAAAATAAAAAATTAGCTGGGTATGGTGGCACGTGCCTGTGGTCCCAGCTACTTGGGAGGCTGAAGTGAGAGGATCACTGGAGCCTAGGAGTTCAAGGTTGCAGTGAGCTATGATCGCACCACTGTACTCTAGCCTGGGTGACACAGCAAGGCCTTGTCTCAGAAAAGAAAGGAAAAGAAACACAAATGTATGCTGGTATTCTCAACTTCTCTTCCTGATATATAAAGCCAGAAGCCAAAGGTAGCCTTGTCATGCAGCTGGTAAAGTCATAAATATGTATACATTCAATTTGCATTTGCATTTTGCTTGTACTTCTGTTAGATGGTGAGTCAGAACATTTAATATCCTGGAAATTTTTTTTTCCCCCTATGGCCAGAGCCTTCAGTAGATTCTGTAAAACATCAAGTCCTAAATGTATTTGTTGCTGAAACATGTTCTCTTTGTATCAAGTGCATTAATGGGAGTTGGAAGGAATCCTTCATTTTTTTTTAGAAGCTGGCCAGTTAGAACTGTACATTATGTAGCTCTACTGTTCATTTGTGGTCTTATCAATAGAGCAGGATGTGTTACTTTTTGCTGAGTGCCAGAGAACTGGGGTGGGAGGAAACCTAGGCTTCTGTTTTATTTTTTTTCTTTTTAAAAATCAACTTTAAACTTAATTTATGATGAAATTTTTGGGGTACTGTGTCGTAAACAATCAGCTGCTATTGACAGAGAATTGTATTCAGTCAGGTTCCTTTTCATATATAAGATTAGGTCAGGGAAAACAGGCTTGCTTTTGTACATTCTATTCTCAATTGTATTTACTTCTGTATCGCTTCATCAGAGGTATATAAAGGAGATAATCACACAGGAAAACACAGGAATCCTGCCCAAACTAGATTACTCTTGGAAAGATTTGAAACAGAGTGATTGGGACAAGGTTGCATGTTCAGTAAGCTGACAGTGCCTTGGTATTATCATTTTAAGTTAAAACAAACTAGCACTGGAATAAACAACATGAAGTGTGTGTTCTTGTAGGAAGTCTTCTGTATTGTTTATGGGACTCAATAAACAATGAATATGTAACATGTTTGGGTAATTTACATGATGGATGCACAGTAAGTTCTTGAGACTCATTTTCTCTAATGTTTTTAGAAAATCAATTGTGAAATTGCAATGAAATATAAAGCATTGAGGGTTTGGTATTGCTCCTGGTTTTAAAATGGGTGTGTATGTCTTTCAGTGGAAGTTCAGGCAAGGATTGGAATTGTAAGTACTAGGGGTCCAGAGATTATAATTATCTTGAATTGGAACTAAAGTTCAGACAGGACTGCAGAAAGTTCATTCAGTTTGTAAGAGAAAAGGTGATATTTAAGCCTTCACCATTCAGTCATGCTGAGCAAGGGGTTTGTGGGGGAGGATAAAATTAGAGCGAGCCATAAAAATGTGCTTTCCTTGCTTCGTAGACAGACTTAAGACATGCAGTGGATTCGACATGTTTCATAGTGGGCTTTTAATTTAATATACACTTTTTTTCTTTCTTTTTTAAACCATGCCCATCATTGTGCTCTCTGGATCACTTGATCATATGTTTGGTAATAAAGTAAGGAAACAAAACAGCAACAACAATTAAAAAGCAATGCAACGACCTCCTTGAGGGAGTAGTAAGCACATCATAGGTGTTCAGCAAATATTTGACAATGGAAAAGGTTAAGCATCATGTTTTATTTATATTTGTATTCTTGGAACTTGGCACTGTGTCTGGCAGGTGGTGAGGATTTAATGAGTGTTTACTGAACAATTTATATATCCAAATGAATATCACTCTTCAAAATCTTGGGATGTTCCATAATTATTCTAATGATTCTATTATTTTTCGAACCATTTTAGAAATATTAGGCAGTCTGATAGATGCTAATGTTGATAGTTTATAGTAGTCCTTTTTTTAAATCATAAATTATATTTATTCACTAGACTACAACTTTTTTAACCAAAATGCCTAGGAATAATTTTGCATTATTTATCTTCTTTAGGAGAAAAATAAATACTAAATATATTCTGTTTTTATTTGAAAGTATTCAGTAAGCGTAGTTCTCAAATGCCCAGAGTGGCTTAATAGTGAGTTTGGTTCAGGGTACAGAGACAAGAATGGACTTTAAGCTTCTCTAAGTTAATCAGCTTAAATATCACCTCCTCCTGGCGACTTTTCTGTTCTTCCAACCTAAAGGAGACCTTCTCCATATGTTTTGTTCACTTGTCACAGGGATACTGATACAGTTTTGACGTTTGTCCCTTCCAAATCTCAGGTTGAAATGTGATTCCCCATGCTAGAGGTGGGGCCTGATGGGAAGAATTTGAGTCATATGGATGGATCCCTCATGAATGGCTTAGTACACTCCCCATGGTAATGAGTGAGCTCTTGCTCTATGAGTTTACATGAGATCTGGTTGTTTCAAAGCGTGTGGCATCTCCTACCCCTCCCTTGCTCCCTCTTTTACATGGACTCCCCCTTCACCTTCCGCCATGACTGTAAGCTTCCTGGGGCCCTCTCTCACCAGAAGCAGATGCTGGCACTGTGCCTTATGTACGGCTTGCAGAACTGTGAGCCAAAATAAAACCTCTTTTCTTTATGAATTATGCAGCCTTAGGTATTCCTTTATGGCAATGCAAAAACAGATTAACACGGATACTTATTCATTTATGTATTTCACTTGTTTCCCTGTGTCCAAACTCACATTCAACCCAAGATTATAAACTCTTTGAGGGCAGAGGCCATGGTTCATAACACTGTTTTTCTAGTGTTTGGCACATGGTAGGTCCTCAGTAAATATTTAAATGAATACATGAATAAGCCCCATCCATCCTGTCAAGATGAAGTGGGCCATCATTTAGGTTACTCAAGCTGAATCAGACTGAGAGGACAGTGCTTACGTGTTAGCTATGGCAGCTCCTTTACAATGATGACCGAACCCTTTAGGATGAGAAAACCACTTGTTTAGATGATAAATTCTGGCATGATTATTAAGAAAACACTGTCTCTATTTAAAGACTGATTTCTTCCATTTACTTAGAAATGAATAGTAGTGAACAAAGAAGAGGAAATTATCAAGCACAAAACAAAACGTTGCTACACTGTTAAAATGGGCTCTAAATGTACCTAAATCATAAACATATTCATTCCTAATTAAGACACTTTGGTGTTCATATACAAGGCAATTCCTATGATGCCTCACATAAAGGTGGTATTTGAGCTGGTATTTATTTGAACATCAGCTACATCAACAGTCCCAATACCATGGAAGAAGCCAGGGCAGTGACTCTGAAAGTGCAGTCCTTAGACCAACAGAGTCATCACTACCTGAGAATTTGTTAGAAATGCAGATGAGGCCAGGCGCGGTGGCTCACAACTATAATCCCAGCACCTTGGGAGCCCGAAGCAGGTGGATCACCTGAGGTCAGGGGTTTGAGACCAGCCTGGCCAACATGGTGAAACCACATCTCTACCAAAAATACAAAAATTAGCTGGGCATGGTGGCAGGTGCCTGTAATCCCAGCTACTTGGGAGGCTGAGGCAGGAGAATCGCTTGAACCCGGGATGCAGAGGTTGCAATGAGCCAAGATCGCACCATTGCACTCCAGCCTGGGTGACAAGAGTGAAACTCCGACTCAAAAGAAAAGAAAAGAAAGAAAAGAAATGCAGATGAACTCTATGGATGGAGGACAGGCCTTCGGGTGATTCTGCTGCATACCCAATATTGCCAGTACATAGTAAATCTGTTGCTCCAAGTATAAGCCTCCTGAAGTGTTCAGTATTCCCAGGTAAACCCAGGATGTGTTGAGGGAGTGCTATCTGCCTGCTCCTTCAGAAATATGAGGGGAGAAATGAAAAATTCTCCCTCTGCCAGTCTTGGCTTTTCTCAGAACTGTGCGGATCACAGGAGAGCAAAGTATTGTGAATAGATTGGGTATCTAGGACTTTAGATACAATATAAAAAAGCTTTTGGTAGTCACAGAGCCTGCCAAGTGATGGGTATTATGGGGTATACAGAAAGTGTTAATATAAACATGGTCCTGGCTGTCAAGGAGGCTGACTGTGCTGAGAGCTTACTCTGTTCCAGGCACTCCTCAAGTGCTGTTTCTTTTCATCACCATGTGCTTCCAAGCTGCAGCATTTCTTCACTGAAGAGAAGGAAAGGGAAACCTAGTCAGGTTAGTAGTAACTTGTACCAGAGCACAGAACCAGTAAGGGATGGCACAAAGGTTCTAGCCCTGGCTTTTCTGACTATGAAGCCCATACTCTTTTTCTCTGTTTCATGGTGTAGCACCTCAAAGTACAGTTTTGAAATAAGAGTTTTAAAAAGGAGAACATAAGCGAATCTAAAATTTATATCTCCAAACTAAGTCTTTCTCTGAACTCTAGTTTGCATAATTGACATTGCGCTTGGATATCCCAAAGGCACCTCAAATTCTACATGTTCAAAACCAGAATCATGATCTGTTTTCTCCACATCTGATACTCCTGCAAGGTTCCCAGCTCTGTGGTGGGCACCGCTAGTCACCAAGTAGCACGATCAGAAACTTGGGAGCCATCCTTGGCTCCACCCTCTGCACACACCACATCTAATCCATCACCAATGTCTATTGATTTTGCTTCCTGAATATCTTTCCCATTCCATCTGCTTCTCATCATTTGTGCGGATTCTATCCTAGCCCAACTTCTTGTCTCTCTGCAGGACTGAGCCAGAACCTCTCTGGTATCCTGAGTCCACTCTGGGTCTCCTAGAATCCATTACCCATATTGTAACCAGGGCACTTGTGATGGTTGGAGGGCACCTGAGGCTCTGCTGGCCAGATCTCTGCTTCCTGTACCCTGCCAAACCCTCACGGAAGCACACAAATTCTGACCCCAGGGCTCTCCACCTCAGTGGCCTTTTGAGCTCTTGGACAGCCTCTGAGGACTTGTTTTTCCAAGTAGCTTTCTACCCTGATGTTTTTGCTCTCCTGGAGTCCAGTCAGAGGCAGGTTCATAACTACAGTCAACTACTTTTAAAGGAACAGGATGGAAACTCCAGTGTAGCTCTAGGGACTTGCCCAACCCTACCGCAAATACCAAGTTCTTAAGAGTTCTCCGGCAGTTCCCAAGGTGCACTCCACTCACTCCAACAAAGAACCAAAGACTGCTCTACTTCCACAGTTGCTTATACTCTGCCCCTGAGTTCCCCCAGGACCCTGCAATATCACATTTGTGGCCACCATAGCAGAGAAATTCACCACCTGTGGTCTAGGAATAAAATCTAAGCCTCTCCCAAAAGGCACCTGTCTCTGACTGTTGACTGTGGCTTATCCTGGCAGCTTTGAGGAAAAGGCCTGGGTTGCTTTGCATAACTGGCAGGATAGATAAAGAAACATGACTCAAAATCATTCTCTCTGTATTTCCTCATAACAGGAACCAGTTGACATGGGTGCAGGAAAAACTTCCTGACCAAGGAGTGGGGCCTGGGGCTGGGGGTGCTGGACAGAGAGAAGCACAGGGATCTGCCCCAGACTCTTCAATGGCCTCCCTTTGTGCCTGGAGTGAAGATGTGGGTCATTGACATGGTTCCAGAGCCCTGCACGGTCCTGGTCCTGCTGCCACTCCAGTCTCAGATCCACCACTCTGCCCCTTGCTGTTTCTGAGCCACACTTGCAACTGCCAGCTTCACACCCTCTGTGCAGCACTCTCGTTGCCCCCTTTGGAATGTTCTCAGCATCGGTCGACCACGCTTCAGGTCAATTCTAAGGTTACTTTTGAAAGGAGGCCTTGGCCACCCATCCCCAGTCTAGGACAGGACCAGTGGTTCCCTCTCCAGGAGGGCTTCAACAGTATGATTATTTGACTAGTTTCCTCGCCCCCACCAGCTGCTAATCATCAGGGCCCATTGCATCCCCATAGTGTCGGCACATGTAGAATTGTCTTGAGTGAATAAGTAAATGAATACCAATACTTCTACCTTAAAAAAATCCTTTTCGTAAATTCCCACTAAAGAAAGGAAATGCACAGAGATCATGAATGAACCACTTCATATTGCCGATCCTGTCCATGAACTTGATCTTCAACTTTCATTACCACTGCCTAATTTCACCTGTCATGAGCCGCATTTCTATAATGGTAGCTGCAGGTATTATCCCCAAGGAAGGTTGCCCCAAAGGCATGATATAAAATATTTCTGGAAGAATACCTGAGATACTAGTGTCTTTGTTTGCCTCTGGGGAGGTGAATTGGCTAGCTGAGGGGCATGGATGGGAGGGGAATTTTCATCCCATATTTATTTGTACCTCTGAATTTGGACCCATATGTGTGGATTACTTATTTTAAAAATTAGAATTGTAAAAGTAAAAGGAAGGAAAGCAGAGCAAGAGATGTGAAGGAATGGGAATGATTATTTAGAGGAAAGAATATGGACATGCAGTTGAAAGGGGGTTGTCCTGAAAAGAATTCCTGTCTTCAAGGATACAGCCAGTTACATCTGACTTGCTCTGCACATCTATGGAGAACTATATGGCTTCAACTTAAAAGGGATGCCATAACATATAACTTGACTTAAATAGGTTTGTCTGATCTCTCCCATCACAGAATATAACATTTATTCTAAATATAAAAGCTAATAGAACCTAATTATTTAAGAGGGAAGCAGTTGTTAAGGAAGAAGTTAGTTGGAGGCTAAAGCATTCTCCTTGAAGACATAGAAGTGCCCAAGAAACATGAAAAAATGCTTATCATCACTAATCACCAGAGAAGTGCAAATCAAAACCACAATGAGATACCATCTCATACCAGTCAGAATGGCTATGATTAGAAAGTCAAAAAATAACATAGGCTGGCAAGGTTCAGAGAAAAGGGAGCGCTTATGCACGATTGCTTGGTTTGCAAATTTGTTCAGCCACTGTGGAAAACAGTGAGAAATCTTGGAGATTTCTCAAAGAACTGAAAATAGAATTATCATTCAACCCAGCAATCCCATTACTGGATATATACCCAAAGGAAAATAAATTGTTTTATCAGAAAGACACCTGCACTCACACGTTCATTGCAGCGCTATTCATAATAGCAAAGACAAGGAATCAACCTAGGTGACCATCAATGATGGATTGGATGAAGAAAATGTGGTATATATACACCATGGAATATTATGCAGCCATAAGAAAGAACAAAATCATGTTCTGTAGCATAATGGATGCACCTGGAGGCCGTTATCCTAAGCAAATTAACACAGAAGCAACCAAATACCGCGTGTTCTCACTTATAAGTGTGAGCTAACCATTGGGTACACATGGACATAAAATTGGGAACAGTAGATACTGGGAGCTCCAAAGGGGACAGGGAAGGAGGGAGGTAAGGGTTGAAAAACTACCTGTCAGGTACTGTGTTCACTACTTGGGTGATGGGTTCAATTGAAGCCCAATCCTCAACATCATGCAATATATCCAGGTAACAAACCTGCATGTGTAACCCCTGAATCTAAAATCTGAAAAAAAGATTCTCTTTTATGATCCAGGTATTTTTAGAATAGAATAAGAGACTGGACGGTAGCATCCTATAAAAACTGGTTAATATAAGTTGGCATAACCCAAGCTTGCATTTAATCTTTGCACATAGCTTTTCCAGTTAGTCAAATTTGAACTGTAAATAAGAGAAAAATACCAACTTGTCTTAGGTGGTTCAGGCTGTCATAACAAAGTGTCAAAAACTGGGTGGTTCATAAACAAAAACAGTTTATTTCTCATAGTTCTGGAGGCTAAGAGTCCAAGATCAGGTGCCAGCATGATCAGGTTCTGGAGAGGGCTCTCTTCCAGCTTACAGATGGCAAACTTCTTCTAGTACCCTCATGTGACAGAAAGAGGGAGAAAGAGCTTTCTGGGATCTCCTTTATAAGAGCCCGAATCCCACCCTATGACCTAATCACCTCCTAATACCATCATCTTGGGGTTAGGATTTTGATATGAATTTTGAGGGGGATACATTCAGTACCTTGGATAGTCCTTTGTAGCCCAGTCAGTGTGCTATAAGAAACACATCCTGTGTTGAAACCTAGTATATACGTAGAGATATAAATAATACATATAACAGAAATAAAGGTTTCATGAAACAGTACTTAGCCATACCACATGAAATGTCCTCTGTTATTTTCTGTTGTGTTCCCTCCCAACTCCAACTTCCACCATACACTGGTCATGAGCCACTGAATTGACTTTACTCCCTACTGAAGGGCAGAGACCTGCAATTTATTTAGAAAGCATGAGTGCAATCTGCCATCCCCCTGGCACTGCCTATGATGTGTGTCAGCCTAGAGGTGTGCATTTACTGAGGAGCTGACAGGACTCCACATATAGTGCTCTGTCCACTCCTATGAAACCACAGAAAGTTGTGAGTTTAAAACCCCCTAAAGACTCCCCTTGCAAAGTTTTATCAAGAAGGCATAGTAAAACTTGGAGAGTAGACATATGATAGAACTTTGAGTTGGACAAAAGTGACTCAGATGGCTGCCTTGTCTGTCATAAAACATATGTAAGCTTCAATCATCAAACATGGCCTTTAACCTGGGAAATGTCTGTATTTTTTCCTATAGTGCTCACCCTAAAGTTCACACTAATTTATTTTAGTAAGAACCTAAATACTGTAAGGAAAACAATCTCTGACTTTAAAAATATGTGAAGAATAAAGAATAATTTGACGGTGTAGTTTTTTTCTTCCTGAAATTCCTTCAGACATTAAGCCTGCTCATTTTCATTGGCCACTGAAGCACAAAATTGAAGGGGCTCAAAATAGGGAACCCTTGGCTATGCAGAACCTTTGGGCAGGCTGTTTTACTTCTAGAAAACATTTCCTGATTGCTTGCTCCTTTAACTGCCAGCAATTATTATGGCCAAGTTTTGTATAGAAAATTTTCCCAGCATTGTCTCATCTGTCCCTGATTCTTTAAAAGATTATACAGAACAGAGTGTGTCTTTTATGCTACTGTAAAGTGATAGATTTAGTATTCATTCAGGAATGCAAGGCTCTTTGCCCCTAAACCAAATGGCCCTACTTTGCTGTCTTCTAAAATCTTGTCTGCTTTTTCTTGATAATTTTTTTTTTGGCCCTACTTCTGTGGCTCTCAGCAGTGAGCCCCTTCACTCATTGTTGGCTATTGAAAGTCCATTGTGATTTTGGGAACCAGATAACCATACTGTCTGAAATGTGTTTGCCAGATAGAGTCATATTATCCATTGAAACTGAAATTTTAAAAAAGGATCAAAAGTAGTATTTGAGGGAGGTCTTCAAGAGTTCTACTGGTAAAGCAAGCAAGCTTTAGTTCTTTCTTGTTCGCTTCATTCATTAGCCAATAGCATGTTTTCTTCTGCCCTGTTTTTGGGTTGTTCAGATAAAGTGATACCTTTTCAGGCTGTGATAGGCATGCTTTCTTTTTTCTTTCTTTTTGTAACATATTGATAATGTGTTTACTATATTATGGTCTAAAGCAGGATTTCATAGACTTTTTCATTTAAGTTAAACATAGTGGCAATTGATGAGTATTTTGGTAACAGCTTTATTTGCAATGCTTTATGCCTTTAAAGGTTATAGATTACTGCATTTCTCTTTTCCTTGGAGAAACTGCATAGCAAAGTTCCCCAGATTTTCCTGATTTCCATCTTCCATTGGAAAACAAGTTCAATATCCACAATAAAACAAGGAAGCTGAATACTGAAAAATTAACTTATTTTTAAGGAGTGATGTGAACCAGACTGTTCTGAGGTTTACGACTGCATTGTATGGGAACAAAAAGAAGCAACGGTGTCATTGCTGTGGCAAGCTGTATTTAAATGATGCCCTTTTATTTTTTTCAAGATGTGTTGTTCAGACTCAGTTGTGAAGATTATGGAAACTGAAACAAATGGGAAATCAGTCTCTCCTGCTAAGGGTTAAGAGAGAAACACGACTTTTGTTTACATTTGTTTATAGGAAACAGAATGGAAATTCAGCTTTTAAGATGTCTGTACAGTTGGGCTTCATTATTTAGTTTAGCAGTTTCTCAGAAACTCCCTCTCCTACATGACAATTTATAATGCAAACATGATGCATCATTTCATTTTGTGTAAACTTTATAGAAGGAATAGTCTTTTCCACATATGTCAAAAGACTTCTGGAAGCATTTTAGAACTGAATGCTAAGTATCCTACACATGTGCCTGGAAGCTTTAGAAATGATCAGCAGCAGCACTTTCTGACCTTACATTTTTGTTTGTTTCTTCATTTGTCCGCCTCCTTACTGAAAGGTAAAGTTTCACAAGAGCAGGAACTTTGTTCTGTTTACTACACTGTCTCCAGCACCTAGAACAGTGTCCAGCACAAAGACAGCCTGTATTATTATCATTGTTGAATGAACTCATTCTTAAGCTATAAAAACAAATTCTTAAGCTGTAACCGTTTTTCCCTTGACTTCTGAGCTCCCCCTTCCTTTACAAAATTTCAGTAGCCTAGCATCTAGCCTTGCCACTGCTTCAAGTTCCTTCCCCGAGGAGCAGCCTTGTTTGTTGCCAGATTACAGTCTTTCTTCTGTCTCTTGCTTTTTGCACCTTTAAAAGTCTAGACCAATTTAATAACCCCACGCCCCATGGTCTCTTTGCTACTCAGCTGATTTTTTGATCCCAACTCTTACCTCTTTGAACAAACTCTATACTTGCAGCTGTGCAGTCACCTTTTAAAAATTCAGTCCACCTCCCTTCCCAAATACTGTTTTTATCAAACACACCCTCATTTTTTTTTTAACCCACCTTTGAAATTTTAGCACTCTTTTTACTTTGGTCATCTCTGTCTCTGTGCAGCTACCAATTTTTTAAAAATGTTCTCTTCTATTCTCACTTCTGTCTCCAGATACGTCTCTTACCTGGGCTGGTGTAGAAACTTCCCAAATAACTTCCATACCTCCCTATCTACCCGCTTTAAGCAATTGTAATACTGTCTCTTACCTGGGCTGGTGTAGAAACTTCCCAAATAACTTCCATACCTCCCTATCTACCCGCTTTAAGCAATTGTAATACCTGCTGCTAGAGAATGATTTTGTCACTGCCGTGGCAGGAAATCCTTAGATCCTTTACCGTGTCTGAAATCTGAAATGCTTTGGTTTGGGTACATTCTGGCCCTAGTTGACTGTTGATCATTGTCATCATCATTGTTGTCATTGTCATAGCTGTATAACAGTGATAGCAGCTACCATTTCTTAAACTCTTACTTTATACCAGGCATAACACGTATGAAGCATGACATCATGAAGCTTGTTAGTGCATTTTGGAGCTGTATAATGTGATAATGGGTAGGGTGGCTGTGGGTGGAATAAGATAGGGCTGGAGAGGTGTATCGGGCCAGACCATCGACATCTTGTCAGCTGTGCTAAGGAGTTTGAACATTTCTTCTACAGGCAATGAGGCAACAACTAGAAGAGTTTGATGGAGAAGTGATGAGGTCATATTTTGTTTCATAATGGCAACATGAGCAATAGTTTAGGGGATGAATTAGAAGGGTAAGAGACTGGAGATAGGGAGACTAATCACAGAAGAGATGAAAAGGACCTGAAGTAATGTAGTGTGGATAGGGAAGAGTGAGTAGATTTGATATTCAAGAGGGAGAATTTCTAGGACTTGATGACCACCTGGATATGAGTTTTGGGGAATGGTAGTAGTAGATGATTCTCTGGCTTTTGGCTTGAGTGACTGGAGAGATTGGGGAATGATGCTCAACTGAGAGAGAATACCAGGTAGAGGCATCGTACATATGGTAGCAGAGGCAGGAGGGCTGTGATGATGAGTCCTATTTTGGACATGCATTTGAGATACCTGGGGGCTATCCAGGTAGGATGTGGCTGTAAGATCAATCCATGATGGAGACACTGGCTGTGTTGTGGTCATATCATCTGGGCTGTGGGAGAGCATGAGATCGAATGAGATTGAGATACAGGACATGAAGGTGGAGAGTCTAAAGAGAAGCTGTGTGTAAGTGTGGAAGAGGCCATGATGAAGACACAGTATTATGAGCTCTTGCCAGCAATTAAAACCATGAGACTAAATGAAATGTTCCTGAAATTGTGTAAGAAGAAGACAGAAGATCACTTGTTGATCTTCACTTGCAATTTCATTTCCCTGTAGCGTGGCTCATTCCGTTGTTTTCTTTTCTCTGTTTAAGGAAATGGCATCAGATTTTCATGATAGCATGTACAGCCTACTGTTTCGGAAGACCTCTCTGAGCCCACTGATCCCCACTCTGCCTCCCTAGAAGTGATTTCTCAGGCACACATTCTCTTTGGTCCTCTTGCTCCTGTGACTCTTTGGGAACTTTCCCTAGAGGCTTCTGTTTCATTTGTTCTCTGCTTATCTCTCCAAGCAGATTCGAGTCCTGACAGCAGGGATCATATCTTTGCCTGCTTTGTCTCCCCCAACCAAAACCTAACAGCTCTTTCTTTATTTTTTATTTTTATTTTTTGAGATGGAGTCTCCCTCTGTCACCCAGGCTGGAGTGCAGTGGTGCGATTTTGGCTCACTGCAACTTCACCTCCCGGGTTCAAGCGATTTTCTGGCCTCAGCCTTCTGAGTAGCTGGGATTACAGGTGCCTGCCTCCGCGCCAGGCTAATTTTTGTATTTTTAGTAGAGTCGGGGTTTCATCATGCTGGCCATGGTTGGCCAGGCTGGTCTCGAACTCCTGACCTCAAGTGTTCCGCCCGCCTCGGCCTCCCAGAGTGCTGGGATTACAGGTGTGAGCCACCGCACCCGGCCCTTAACAGCTCTTTCTATACTCTAGCTGCTCCTGCTACTTTTTTTTTCCCTTTTTCCTCTTTGGAGGCTCATTTGCTGACCATATTGTTGTTATTTTTATTTCATTTATTATAATTATTAATTAATTTTATTTATTACCATGTATGTATTTATTTATTATTAGTATATCATATAATATATAATAGTTGTAGATATGTTTGGGGTACTTGTGATATTTTGATACCTGTATGCACTGTGTAATGATCAAATCAGGGTAATGAGGATATCACCTCAAACATTTTTCATTGTGTTGGGAACATTATAATTCTTCTAGCTATTTGAAATATACAATAAATTATCATTAACTATAATTTCCCTACTGTACTATAAAATACTAGAACTTTTCCCATCTATCTGTGTTTTTGTATCCTTAACCAATTTCTCTTCATCCCCTCGTCTCCCCTACCCTTCACAGCCTCTCATAACTATCATTTTATTCTCTACCTCCATGAAATCCACATTTTTAGCTCCCACATACGAGTGAGAACATGGAATATTTGTCTTTCTGTGCCTAGCTTATTTCAGGTAACATAATGACTTCCGGTTTCCACCATGTTGCTACAAATGACAGGATCTCGTTCTTTTCTGTAGCTGAATAATATTCCTCTGTGTGTGTGTGTGTGTGTGAGAGAGAGAGAGAGAGAGGGAGAGAGAGAGAGAGACGTTTTCTTTGTGCATTCATCCACTGATGGACACTTACATTGATTCTATGTGTTGACTATTGTGAATAAATGCTGTAGTAAACAGGGGAGTGCAGATATCTCTTTGATATACTGATTTTCTTTCTTTTGGATATATACCTAACAGTGGGATTGCTGGATCAAATGGTAGTCCTATTTTTTTTTTCTTTTGAGGAACTTACATCGTTTTCCGTAATGGCTGTACATCTTTACATTCCCACCAATAGTATACAAATATTGCCCTTTCTCTACATCCTCTCCAGCATTTGTTACTTTTTGATTTTTTTTGGTAATAGCCATTCTTACTGGGGTGAGATGTTATCCCGTTGTGGTTTTGATTTGCATCTCCCTGATGATTAGTGATGTTGAGCATTTTTTCATATACCTGTTAGCCATTTGTATGTCTTCTTTTGAGAAATGTCTATTCAGGTCTTTTGCCCATTTTTTAATTGAAGTATTTGGTTTTTTTTTTTTTTTTTTTTTTGCTATTGAGTTGTTTGAGTTTCTTATGTATTCTGGTTATTAATCCCTTGTCAAATGGATAAATGGATAGTTTGCAAATATTTTCTCCCATTCTTTAGGTTGTCTCTTCACTTTGTTGATTGTTTCCTTTGCTGTGCAGAAGCTTTTCAGCTTGATGCAATCTCATTTGTCTATTAATATTTTGTTTTTGTTGCCTGTGCTTTTGGGTCTTACCCAAAAAATTATTGCCCAGACAAATATCTTATAAGATTTTCCCAAAATTTTTTTCAGTAGTTTCATAGTTTTAGGCCTTACATTTAAGTCTTTAATGCATTTTGAGTTGATTTTTGTATATGGTAAAAGATAGGTATCTAGTTTTATTCTTCTGCATATGGATATCCAGTTTTCCCAGCACTATTTATTAAAGAAACTGTCCTTTCCCCAGTGTATGTTCTTGGTGCCTTTGTTGAAAATGGGTTGGCTGCAAGTGTGTGGATTGATTTCTGAGTTCCGTAGGTCTATGTGTCTGTGTTTTTTTTGGGTTTTTTTTTTTTTGTTTTTTGTTTTAGCCAGTACCATGCTGTTTTGATTACTCTAGCTTTGTAGTATAATTTGAGATTAGGTAGTGTGATGCCTTCAGCTTGGTTCTTTTTGCTCAACATTTCTTTAGCTATTTTCAGTCTTTTGTGGTTTTATACAGATTTTAGGATTGTTTTTTCTATTTCTGTGAAGAATGTAATTGCTATTTTGGTAGAGATTGCATTGAATCTACTCCGTATAGCGATGTGCAGATTCAATTGTTAAATTGATATACAGATTTAATTGTTAAAATGATAAGCATTTTAACAATATTCTTCCAATCTCTGAGCATGAGACATCTTTTCATTTTTTGTGTCCTCTTCAATTTCTTTCATCAATGTTGTATAGTTTTCCTTGCAGAAACCTTTCACTTATTTGGTTGAGTTTATTACTAGGTTTTTTTTTGTAGTTATTGTAAGTGGGGTTGCTTTCTTGATTTCTTTTTCGATTTGATCACTGTTCACATATAAAAACTCTGATGACTTTTGTATGTTTATTTTGAACGTAACCCTTGAAAGTGGGTATGCTTGTCTTGTTCCAGATCTTAGTGGAAAGGCTTTCAATTTTCCTTCTACTACTTTTTATTGATTATTTTTATTCTCCTCTAGAAGAATAAAGAAACAAAGTGAACAACTCAAATTTTGTACAGGTTTATATCAGTTGATGTACCTCAAACTAAAAGTGCCTGCTTAAAATGTGTTTTTGGCTGAATGTTCTATTTCTGACTTAAAAAAAAAGTGAATTAGCAAGAAGATCTACAACACCCAGTGCAGAATTATTGTCATTTATCATTCTCACTATTTTAAACTCTATAGAAGAAGAATATGTCTTTTGGCAGTTCCACTACACCTACTATAGCTTCTCCTGAGCAGAGTTTATCTCCTGGTCTCATTGGTCAAACTTCCTGTGTTTTAAAATGGCATTTTGCATACACTTGCACAAGTTGAATTTGGATGCAGTGAGAGCCCTTATCCAAGAAACACGGATTCTGTCTGACTCATCCGGCCTCTCTGCTAACACTTTGGTGCGCCCTGGTCAAGTGACTTGACCCTATTTGTGCATTTTTTCTTTTTCTCATCTATGGAATGAAAATCTAGCCACTGGCTCCTGACCTCATTCAAAGACATGTTGTGAGGCCAAATGAACTGAGGACCTTTGAGGTCCTTAGAACAAAAGCATTGCACACATTAGAGAATTTATTTTGTAAGAATTGCAGAAAGAGATCAGGCTCAGGGTAGCCACCATTATAGCCCACGAGTAAGCAAATATGAGCCAAGAGGTCCCCATAAAGGAGAATTCTCTCCCATCACTAAGGCCAAAGATAGGAGTGGGACACTGCTAAAGTCTGATTAGAGTTCCAGAATTTAAACATCACCTTCAGCATGGATGAGGAGAGCAGCATGGATGAGGAGAGTGGCATGCTTTTATCTTTAAAAAGAGACGAACCCTGAATGTGGACGTTTATTGAAGAAAGCAAAACTCATACTTACTTGTTAAAGAAAAATAATGTTAGTGAACTGCAAATAATTCATGTGAGAGGGTCCAAACTAGGACATAATTCTCTTAAGTATTAAATAAGTTTATTGCTTATTCCGTTTAGTTTGTATGGTATGTGGTAGCCAACTTATCGTATCTTCTGAGTGCCTAATGCTCTGCCTTGCATACAAGGATGATTAGTGTTTTACTTGGTGCTGCCCATTTAGATGTAATATGAGAAGCTCCTAGAAGTCACCCAGAAAACACTTTTAACACCTATGGAATCTTTCAGTTTGTTTGACTTTAACTGGACATTTCTCAAATGCTAATGAAAATCTTATTTAATAATAGAAGTATTTAAACTAAAAGGGTGTGATTGGATTGTTTGTAACACAAAGAAAGGATAAATGCTTGAGGTGATAGATATCCCATTTACCTTGATGTGATTATTATACATCATATGCCTGTATCAAAATAATCTCATGCGCCCCATAAATATATACACCTTCTATGTACCAATGAAAATTACAAATTAAAAAAATTGAAATGATTATAGTCTGATGACCTATACCAAGTGACAGAGGAATCTGACTGGAATTACCTGGCCAAAAATGAGGGAAACTCATAGAGTATAACACCATTGGCATAAGTGTCACAAAATTGGATCTGTACTCATGACATTGGATTTATAATAAGAGCCCCAAATCTTAATTCTTTAGTTAGGCTGGCAGTGAATAGAGTGGCACAATCATAATCATACAGGTGCCGTTTCTCAGTTTTCTGCTTTTAGAATCAGATTGTGGACTAAGCATGGCAGACTTGGTTATGATTGCAGGCTACAGTACAAATATTAGCAACCTCAACAAAAGAAAAAGTGTAGTTGGCAGGAGGTGGGATGTGGCATCAGGGAGGAGAGGGTGCTAATATCCTCATTTCTTAAAATAGCAAGATAAGCTATAGCTGTTAAAAGTTGCTGGAATTCCACAGTGGTTGTGCCATCTTGCATTCTCATATGAGAGTTTCCGTTGCTTCAACTTTTTATGAACACATGGTATGATCGTTCTTTTGAATTTAGATATTCAAATAGTTGTGTCCTGGTGGCTCATTGTAGCTTTAAATTGCATTTCCGTGACGGCTAATCATGTTGAGCATCTTTTCATGTGCCTATTTGCCATTCTTATATGATTTTTGGTAAGGTGCTAAACTCTTGTATTGATTCTAGTAAAGTTGTTGTTTTTTTTTTTAGCACACATATTTTTTATATAGACAATCATGTTGTCTATGAATGAAGATAGTTTTACCTCAGAACAGGTGTTGGCGAAAACAAAAATGAAGACTTTAGTACTTAACGTTGCAAATAAATTAAACAGAAGAATTAGAAGAATATATTAAACTTCAAGAGGAGGCCAGGGCAGTGTGAGGAGAATCCTTGATATGGGTCAAGACCTAGAGATTCAAGCATGGTATCAACAGTTGTAAAGATAACTATCAAGAGACTAAAACAAAATTTGAAGAACAGTTACCTTGGGAGAATGAAACTAGTGGCAGGGATAGGAAAAGCAAGAGTTGATCACTCTCACGAAGTCTTCTATCTGGTTTAATTTATTGCCTTGCACATACGTTTCCCTGAAAAAAGTAAATTATTGGCATATTGGTAATTAGGACATAAAGATAAAAACAATATGAAGTAATTATAATAGGTAGAGGGTAAGACTGAATAATATAAAATAAAGAATATGGGGAAGTGGTCTATGTTTAGAGTTATATAAAGAAAGGAGGGGTCCTGAAATGACAGTCAGTGCTGATAAACGCCTGACACTTACTTAGGCTCTTGCTGCATTCTAGGTACTTTCTAAACAATAAACATGTGACACTTGTTTAATAATCACAGCAACCATGGAGTGGATACTATTATCACCATTTAATAGAGGAGGTAAGGAGACGTAGAAGCACTGATACTAAGTATGTTATTTGAGTTGACACAGTCAGGTTTCAGAGCCAGCTGGCCCAGCCCCAGAGCCGTCTCTCTACCCTACAAAACTGCAGTGTGTCTCATGGAAGGAAGGTAGGTGTGATACCCCACAGTACAGACAGTGGGTGCTCCTTCATCCTAATTAAACTTGGCTTGTTCTCTGAGGCCATCCCCTAAAGAGATACTTAACTTTAGTTCATTCATGATTCAGCAAATATTTGAGTGCCTATTAACACAGCTCTAGGTACTAGGACTATTCCTTTCCCCAGTCAGTGGCAAAGAAAAATAAGTGCATTATTTGATACAAGATGCTATGGGGAAAATAAGGCAAGATAAGGAGTAGAATGATGGTAGTGGTGGTGGTGAGGTGTTATTTTAGAAAGGAAGGTGAGAGAAGTCCTCTCTAAAGAGCTGGCACATGAATATTGTCTTTGCCCATTCTGGCTGCTATTACAAAATACTGTAGATTGAGTGATCAAGTAGCTTAAACAACGAACATTTATTTCACACAGTTCTGAAGGCTGGGAAGTCCAAGATCAAGGTGCTGACAGATCCAGTGTCTGGTGAGGGCTCACTTTATGGTTTACAGATGGCCATCTTCTCGTTGCATCCTCACATGCAGACAGCAGAGAGGAAGTGAGCTCTCTATGTCTCTTTTATGAGGGCACTAATCCCATTCATGAGGACTCCACCCTCATGACCTCATTATTCCCCATAGGCCCCACCTCGTAATACCATCATATTGGGGGTATGGATTCCAATATATGAATTTATGTGGGGGAGGGGGGCACAAACATTCAGTTCATAACAGATGAAGACCTAAATGAAGTAGAGAAACAAACTGCAGATATGGGGAAAACATTCC
Organism: Homo sapiens; assembly: GCF_000001405.40. Taxonomy (NCBI): domain Eukaryota; kingdom Metazoa; phylum Chordata; class Mammalia; order Primates; family Hominidae; genus Homo; species Homo sapiens. Next base: position 68,728,588 of record NC_000009.12, read on the forward strand.
AAGTAGAAGGGATGAATAGTAAATGCCAAGTCCTGAGGCACAGCTTGTTTGGCCCACTTGAGATACTGGGGGAAACCTGAATGGCCAAAGCTGAGAGAAGTAGCAGAAGGGGAATACTTGGGACCAAGACAAGTAGAGCTTTATGAACCAGATAATGACTTTGGATTTTGTTCTTAGTGTGATGAGAAGCCATTAGAGGGTTGAGTGAAGGGAAAGGATATCCAACGAGAACCTCCTGCCCTGTGTCTCATGAAGAGGCAGTATTTCAAGAAGAGGCTTAAAGCTGAGAGTGTTTTGCTAATCAGTGAAGATGTGACTAATGAGCTGCTGGGGAAGTCAAGCCTTCTGTAAGTGAAAGTGTTTGCATTCATTGTACTCATAGGTACCTTCCCTAATGGTGATTGTGAGCCAGGACACTAGTTAAATTGTAGCTACTTAGAAGTGGTAATTCATGGCACACTTAATGATTTCTTCCTATGTTTAATGACATTAATATGTTCAATCATCATTTAAAAATTATCTTTCTTAGCTCTAAAGTAATAATTGCAAGAAATGCATTAGGGTACTGGTATATGGGGGTTGCATAGGGAGAAAGAAGGAATTTTGAAGAAAGGTTTAACAAGAATTTAAAATATTTAGATGAATGGAGATATTTATATCCAAATATATTCATGTTCTTATAATATCCTTCTTATAAGAACTTTTCAAATTCTTCTACTTGAAATATATAATTTTTAAATCACTGATTATTGAAGAGTAGGAGTAAACTCTTGCTTTCTGTTACCTAGGGCAAAGCATATCTTGGTTCATTTCTGGGAGATAGAAAAAAGCTCTAGTCTAATTGATTTTTCCAGAATAGAAAAGGAAAATAATTTCTTAACATGTTCAACTGTATTAAAATTTATATTAAAACCAATATAACTAAGATTATCTAAAAGGCAGTGAGAAAGGGAACATATCTATATCTATACACACATAATGGTCAGTATCCCGAATATGTAAGGTATGTGTATAATTATACAAGAACTAACCTTTATTTGGATAAATGGCCAAAGGTTAGGTACTATCATTTTTATACATGAAAAGGACCAACATAGACAAAAGTAATCATCCATAGTAATAGTAAAAGCAATACAATCTGAAGTAACTGAGTCTTAAGAAATAAAATGATAAGTTACAATGTTGGCATGGCTGTGTAGAATTTGGTATTTGTAGATTTTTGTTAGCTTTCAAATTAGTATATACTTCCTAAAGGGTACCAACAATATTTAACAAAAGCCATTTCATTGAATATACCCTTAGATCCAGTAATTTCCCTTTTCAAGGGAAAATAAGTCAAAGGAGAAAAAAAAAAATCTTGTTAGAACAACATTCATTATAGTCATGAAAGGCTAAAAATGACTTCGATATCTAACATTTGGGGAAATGATTAAACAAACCATAATAATTCATAACAATAGAATATTACTTGCAGATAGAATATTATGGAGAAGTCTGTGTGAAATTAAGTGAAAAAAGAGACATAATGTTGTGAAAGACTGTTTATAAGCAAGTACACTGATCAGGATGAAAAAGCATAGAATGGTTACATACAATTTGCATTGATGATTTTGTTTACCTTTTAATTGTGTATTTGGCTGCATATGAATATGGCATGAAGAACAGAAGAAAATATAATTCACTTAAAGGAGGTATATCATAGGATATAGAAAATAATATCCAGGGTCAACAAGATTTGGAGCACCTGATACGAACAGCCAGGAAATGGGATGCCAATGAGGGTCTACTCTATGCTTCCAATGAAAGTGAGGATGGAGTAATTGAAGAAATACTCCTCAAGACTAATTGAAACTAACATTCATTCCCAAAAAGTAAGCCATGTCAGCAGATGAGATTTATTTTTGGATTAAAAAATAACTTCACAGAAACTTTTAGATCTGTTATCGCGGCCCATATCCAGTTACAACATTAAATTTTTTTCTATATAGAAACAGATTTCTAAATTCTTAACAGATATCACACTTTGAGTAATGTCATATACAAGTAAATTGCAGAAAAGCAGAGAATTTCAGCCAACAGAAGTCACTGTAGTGGACTTTGACCTGGACTTTGTTGTGAAATAAAACTCTTGAGCTTGTCACACCAAGTTGTATTGGAATGGGACAATAAATTCCAAAGATTCATTGAGTCCTTAAAATGGGTGGGTAGGCTTTATGTATATGCTGGGTACAAATTCAAATCGACTAGGTTGGAAACAAGAAAAGGATGAATGGATTTCATGATTGTTTTGAATTTAGAATTTTGAATACAGTTATCCAATATTTCTTCTCCCCTCTTTTCATGAGAAAGGATTACCCTGAAATGGGGCCAGGCAGGCCACTGGTTTCCTTGAAGTCTTAGTTGAAATATGCTTCTTCAATCATTAACCAGTAAACAGATATGACTTCCATAATCTTCACTGTCAAGGAAAGTTACCTTTAGCACATGCCTGTGGATCCCTTTCAATATGTGTGATAATTTTGGTTTCAAGGGTCATGTGTTATGGTCAAGTGCTGCTTCAGAATCTTAGAGGCTGTTCTAGAACGCTTGATGTCTAAAGCTTGCCATGTTTCAATTTAACATCAGTTTGTGAATATCTGTTGTGCCAATATGATTTCTGGTATCCCTGATGTCTGGATAGGACGTATATATTTTGTGGGGAAAACAGAAGAGGTGAAGCTAACACTGCATTGTGTACACTGGACAGGATCAGTGATGATCCAGTTCCTTTGTCTTCCCAGCAAAGAACAGCCTCTGAAATGAGGCTGATGTTGACCACTTCCATAGATTATTGAGAGGGTTAACCGAGATAAAGGAATATGGGTGGCAGGAACTAAGTAAATGCTACTTCCTTTCACTTTTTATGTGCAAAGTATTTTGAAAGGTGCGGAGGGCAAAGGGGCTAACGTTTTAGACTGAGTGGGTGGTTGGGGAGGCAATCGCAAAAACAAATGTGTGATCCTTGCTGTCAGGGAATTTGCAACAGGTTGGAGGAGCCAGGCAAACACACTCAATTAGGGGAAGATAATGCAATTAAAAGAAAGGTGGTAAAAGTACTGAATGTGGCTGGAGTTAGACAGCCTTAGGATTGCAAATTAAGCCTTTGAGGTTAGTGCATGTGATGGTTTGTATAACCCAAATTTGAAGAAAGGCTGGTACACAGGGCAAATGCATACTAGGAAAATACTCTGAGAGACAGTCACACACTTTAAAAAGTGATAAAATGTTGTAATTATACTGTTTACTTTTGAAAACTGCCTATTGTTCACTTCACTGTATTTCAGGAAGCATTTTATAATAAGCAAACTGCAACCCTTTTTTAATGTTTGTGGAAGGAGGTGTGGGAAGTAATGGCGTTGACTCTCAGCCACTTCTGGCTGGTCTCTGTCTTCGAGGGATTCCTGAGCCTCCACCGAAGCACCATGGGTGGGGCTGCTGTGAACTAGTCACGAGCTAGATTTGCTTGCTAGCCACTCCTGAAATTCTTACTGTGATGTTGGAATAGGGAGGTGGAGGAAATAAGTGTTTTATTTATACCTCTCCTTTGGGACTTACCACCTTTCAAGGTGTAGTTTCAGTTATTTGCAGGTGTGTCTTATCTTCCCTGTTGGATTGTAAATTGCTTGCGGGAGGAAGGGTCTCTCGTTTATTTTTCAATAAACAAAATGTTGTCAAAAGGAATTCCCTTTACTCCAAAGTCTTGCTGATTGAATTACATGGATCTTTTTTGTTGTTGTTTATTTAATAGCACTATTCAAGAGTATCTGAAACTATATCAGTATTCATTTAGTCTTTGGCATATTTGGGATTCAAAGGAAATTCATTCTCTTCCCACGTCTAACTTGTACTCTCCCGGTGTTAGGGATCAACCACAGCATGTTTTAGAGTCTTCATCTATATCCCTCTGGAAATTCAGAACTTTGACCACCTACTGTTTGTGCAGAGGAGATCAGAGGAGGCACTTGTCTCACATCTGATAGCTAAACCAGATACGTGGGTCTGGTAAACAGAAGCAGGTGGAACCCAAAAGAAGACAAATTGACACATCTAACAAATGTAAGAAGGCCATTGTTTTCCCTGGGCATGGCTTTTTGGGAGAGCTCAGAGTTAAGTAGCAGTTGACATGACAGAAATGGCAAGAACACAGTGGAGTAGAAAGGTCTGCTGTCCCTGAGGCAAAGCCGGGTAATTCTTTCTTGGAAAGAGTGGGCATTACAATTGATTACTGGCACAGTGGGCAGGCATCCATGAAAAGCTCATAATCCGTTGCTGGTGATGTGGAGGTGGGTTGGGGGGGGGGCGGCGCGGTGGGAGATGATGATGATGATGACGACGACGATGATGTGGTTGGAACCTGTACCAATTTTGATGCTTTGCACATCCATTGAATTTTGGTGCCCTCTTCCTCATAGCAGAAGGGAAAGTTATTTGATCTAGGTGTGGGCCGCAAGGTGATTGTAAATGCTCATGTACTTGTGTAGTTGAATTGGTGGTAACTTATTTTTAGAAGTCCTCTAAGAAGCCAACCATCCAACCACAAAATTTCCAGTGGGAAATGAGAAGCAGATTGCTGAAGAGAACCTTGCTGCTTGCCGTCTGTACACATGCAGTATGGCACTAGGTGCTGGTTATTCCTCCAGTACAATGGTTAATCTCTTGCCTGTTCCACCAAAGCGTGTGAGCCAGGCTGGCATTGGGCTCCAAACTGCAGAGCCTTGCATATTTCGTTTTTCTCTGTTTGTTCATTTTGTGTCTACCAGTCTAACTGGTTGACGTGTGAAGCAGTGTGAAGAATGAGGGCTAACCGCAGTGCTTCCCAAAGAATTTTTAAAATTGCTCTTTCCCTTGAATCCTATTGTTTATACTATGCACAAACTCTGTGTGACATTTAGATTTGGGGGAGAACAATTGAATAAAATTTTTCTCAGTCAGTTTGAGGTCACAGACCAAGGGTTTTTCTCTTTTCTTCTGAGATCCCCACTTATTGAAATACTTAGACTCTTTTTTTTTTTTTTTTTTTTTTTTTTTTTTGAGATGGAGTCTTGCTTATTCGCCCAGGCTGGAGTGCAGTGGCGTGATCTCAGCTCACTGTAACCTCCGCCTCCCGGGTTCAGGCAATTCTCCTGCGTCAGCCACCCAAGTAGCTGGGACTACAGGTGCAGGCTACCATGCCCAGCTAATTTTTGTATTTTTAGTTGAGACGGGGTTTCACCATGTTGGCCAGGCTGGTCTCGATCTCTTGACCTTGTGATCCACCCGCTTCGGCCTCCCAACGTGCTGGGATTACAGGCGTGAGCCACTGTGCCCGGCAATACTTAGACTCTTTAAAGGATCATTTAACTAGTATATTTATTAGGAGGCAGTAGAATGTATTGTGGTGATTAAGAGCTTGAATTTGGGCTGAAATTCTGGCTCTGCAACTTCCATGCAACCCCACGAAAGTCACTTAGCTACTTTATTCTTCAGCATTTTCAGCTATAAAATGGGGGTAATTATATTCCTACCTCATTGACTTATTGTTAAAAACTCAATGTTAAGTACTCAAATTCTTGCTAATATTTATTGGACAATTTGATTGATCAAGGCACAAAGTATATACAGAAAAGTAGATGAAGTTCACCCCATTAAAGAGTTTACTACAGTGTTGTTGAGGAAATACGCATGTGAGACACAACCAACTGCCTGGGAACTCAAAGTGAGACAGGTTTTATTAGAGTTCAGAGGAGAGAAAGATCACTCCTATGTAGGAGGCACACAGAATTAATAAAGCTAGAAGAAACAATAGAAAGGGAAAGATGTCTTAACTGGGAGGGAAGGACCATAAGAACAAAGGCTCAAAGCTACGTCCAACATATCTCTACTGCTTTGTTGAGTGGTTGACCAGTGAAGACTGCTGGTAGCAGGCAGATGGGTCCAGAATGTATAAAATGGACTGGATATAGAAGATCCTCCTCCTTTTTCTCTCTACTTATTTTTCCTCTAATGTGATGACTGCTACCTGCTCCCATGACATTTTGCTCAAATGGTCTTGAAACTCACAAGGATAAGAATGTCCCTCCAGTCTATACAAAAGGGAGAAACAGGATTGATAAGGAAGGAAGAACATGCTTATCTATAAATCCACAATCTGATGGAGGAACTATTCTGCAGAACATTTGGTGAGGTTAAAAGAAAAAGGAAAGCAGCCCATCATTTGATTGTTGTAGGAACCTTCTACTAGCCAAACAGATGGAGGCTGAGGCTGATCTGTTGATACTGGGCAAATGGCAAAACTGGAAAAGGCAATAGGAGGTGACCATCTCAGCTTCTGCTGGCTGAGTAATTGGGCTAAAAACAACCTAGTGCCTTTCGGCCTATTTTTGTCACTTTTCAGAATACAACAAATAAATTGCTATATTGGATTTAACACCAACCATTAAGAAAGAATGACTTTATGGCATGGAAGATGGAGGAGCCTTTGATGACAGTGGTCCTGATCTCTTGGAAGTTTTTTTTAACAAACTTTTTATATGAGAACATGTTTAGATTTAGAGCACTATTACAAATGTAGTGAGAGAATTCTTATATACCCCATACCAGTTTCCCCTATCTTTATCTTATATTAGTATATACATTTGCCACAATTCATTAACTAATTTTGATATACTACTGTTAATACTTTATTCAGATTTGCTGTTTTCCCCTAGTGTCTTTTTTTTTTTTTTTTTTTTTTTTTTTTGGTGGTTGTTCTTGTTCCAGGATCCCATCTGGAATACCACGTTATATTTGTCATTAGATTTGTCATGTCTACTTAGGCTCCTCTGGGTTATAAGTTGACCTCCTCTTGATCTCAGCTCACTGAAACCTCTGACTCCCGGGTTCAAGCTATTCTTGTGCCTTAGCCTCCCAAGTAGCTGGGATTACAGGCATGTGCTACCACGCCCAGCTAATGTTTTGTATTTTTAGTAGAGATGGCGTTTAGCCATGTTGGCCGAGCTGGTCTCGAACTCCTGGACTCAAGTGATCCGCTTGCCTCAGCCTCCCAAAGTGCTGGGATTACAGGCATGAGCCACTGTGCCCGGCCACAAATAGATATTTTAAATATGACAATAATACATGCTTTGGAGAAAGGTAAAGCAGGATAAGGGAGTAGGGGGTTCTGAGGTGGAATGATGGGACTGTTACTTATATACAGCAGTTGAAGAAAGCCCCATTGCTAAGGTGGCATTTGAGCAGAGACAGGGAGGAAGCAAGGGAATGAGCCATGCGCATACCACTAGGAAGAGTATTTCAGGCAGAGGGAGCAAACAGTGCAAAAGCCTGAAGCAGGAGTGGCTTGGAACACTCCAGGAACAGCAGGTTGGTCCATGAGCCTGGAGCAGGGTCAGCCAGGTAATGAGATGGAGTGAGTGAGGACAAACACAAATTTGGGCAGGTGGTGTCTGGGATGGAATCACGGAAAGCGCATGTGAGTGGCTGTCGTGGGAGCTGTGTACTGCTGTGGAGTTGGGCTATAGAGGTCCTTGTGGGGACTTGGTCTTTTTCTTTGAGGAGAGAGGAGCTATTGGAGGCTTTTGAGCAGAGGAATAGGGTCATCTGATTTCATATTTGAAAAGGACCACTCTGGTCACTCTGAATGTTGCAGAAGTAGAAAGACCAGTTAAAAAGTCTTTTACTCTACTAGTATATTTTATCTTAATCTATTAATCTTGATCTATTTGTATGCATATTTCACATGTAGTAATTGTGTACATACAGTTTTGCCATCTGTGTATTTTAACATTTTTTTTCTGTTGCTCTGTAGTCCTCAGGTTTATAACATTCAGTGGCTGCATAATAGTTTGTGTATTAGTCTCCTACTGCTGCTGTAAAAACTTACCACAAATGGAATGGCATAAAAGGATACAAATTTATTATCTCACAGTTCTGGAGGTCAGAGTCCTAAAATCAAGGTGTTGGCAGAGCTGCACTCCTTCTGGAGGCTCCAGGGAGAATCCATTTCCTTGCTTCTTCCATCTTTTAGAATCCACCCTCACTCCTTGACTCATGGCCTCTCACTCCATCTTTAAAGCCAGCAGCATCTTCAAACCTCACCTCTGCTTCAGTCACCACTTCTCCTATTCTGAACCTCCTGTCTCCCACTTCTACACACTTTTGTTATTACTTTGGGTGCATTTGGATAATCTCCCCATTTTGAGGCACTTAATTTAATTACATCTCGAAGATTCCTTTTACCATGTAAAGTAGTATATTCACAAGTTCTGGGGATTAGGATGTGGACATCTTTGGGGACATTATTCAGCCTACCACAGCTGATGTTTTGTAGTTTACTTAACCATTCCCATTGTTGAATACTTAGAAGGCATCCAGTTTGGGGCCATTTTGATATTCCTATACTTCCTATAATTATATACTTTGACCTTCTTTTCTTTCAGATTGTGTCTCTTAAGATAAATATCCAAGTTTAGGTTTCCTGGAACAAAGAGCATGAACATCTTATGTATTTGCTTCCAAATACAGTTAAATTATTGGTAAATATATAAGGATGTCAGTTTCCCTACAACGTCACCAGGTTTGCTTTCTGTCAATTAAAGGTGTGTTTCCAGTTTGTTACAAAATGACATTTTATTGGTGTGTTTATTTTATTTCCTTGCTGGCTAGGTTGAACCTTTTTGGAGTGTGCATGGCGGCATATGTCATTTGTATTTTGAGAATAGTGTTATGTTTATTTTGCTTTTTAGTTGTATCTGGAGCTAGAAGAATGGGGACAGGATTAGACTATTGCTTAAGTAAGGGCATAAGGCTAGCATGAATAGATGATGTATGCAGAACTATGTTGCTTTCAATTCTCCATCAAAGGAAGTGATTTCCAAAATTAAAAGGGTGTTACTAAAAGGGATTTGGATGACAATGAAAGAAAATCCAGGTAATTTGAATGCATTTACCTCTCTGGGGCACACTGGATTGTATCTCAGGGTTAGCAGGGTTGAAGGAGTTAGCAGGCATCATCTTTGAGCCATTGCTGGTGATTGTTGAGTGAACTTGGAGAGTGGCAGAGGTTCCAGAAGACCAGAGATATGCAAATGTTGTTCTATATAGCTTTTGACAAAGTTGAATTCCTAAAACTTTCAATGTGTGAAATGCACCCTTGCAAAATTTCTGAACTATCATCATATAAATTATTTAGGAGTCCAGAGAAGAGATTGCATTGATCCTTAGGAACCAGCATAAATCTACTAATGCGTAGTGACCAATTGTCACATTTTCTTTTATAAAAGGGGCTTCTATATTGGAAGATAATGCCAAAGACATCAAAGCATTTGACAAATATCTCTCACCGGTCTCCTTACGCACATAATAGAGAGATGTTGGAGGATGACAGAATAATGCAATAAATTCATAGCTGATTCTATTCATATGCCATAACATAGGTAATGACTGAGTGTTCGTCAGCCTAGAAAGAGGTTTCTAGTGGCAGGTATTTAGGGTTTTCTTGGCCCCAAACTGAAGCAGGATCCTTAGAACTTGGATAGAGATCTGAAAAATTCATATGTATGTGGCTGATGATGTAAACCTATAGAATAAATCTTCATAATATGAACTATGAAAATAGGCCAACACCAACTAGGTACATTTAACAGAAATAATGAGAACTTCTAAAATTGAGGTTGTATTTATAATTGAAACAACAGTTGATTTTCTTTATTTTTGGCCGTCTTGAATTTCACCAATTAAAAACAGTAACACTTGTATAGTGAAAATGACTTTTTAAGGTTAATTCATGTATGGTAGGAGAATGCTGGGTCCACCTACATATGGTTGCTATGAGAGCATGCTATAATAAAGAATTGCTGGACTGAGAGGAAAAGATGTGAGTACTGTTCCTGTCACCACCATAAACTAGTTGTCATCTTGGGCCAGCAGTTGGCATCACCTTCCTTGGATCTGCGTATTCTCATCTGAAAGCTGGAGATGACAAGGGGTGGGGTGAAGTTAGTCACTTTGCTCCATTCCGGCTGTCATGTGATATGAGGCAGTACAACTTGATTCTCATGTTCCTTGGCGAGTTTGGCCAAATTTCTAGACTTTTAAATGGACCCTTCCACATATTTCTAGCTTAAACAGACCCTTTCAGGCCCTCTCTGAGAAGGGGCCCCTTTTCTTTTAATCTGCAAGTTCCTTCAGATCACCCTTCTTCAGGATCATATTAAACTATCCACATTTTCAACGCTTCAATCCAAGTTTCAAACAGTGTACTTGAGCCCACTTTGATCTCAGGAAGGCCAACATTTTTTTTTTCTTCTTTTTGGGCTCAGGCCCATGCCTCAACATTTCTGGATGAGCCTATACCCTCTTCTTCACCGGCCAAAAAAGTTCTCCATGGCTTTACCATGGGGTCCAGCCTTCAGTTTCTTCATTCTCCGTCAGCCGACCCTGAACAATCCTGGCCACCGTTGGCATTTGATCATCGACTGTTTCTCTAGCTTCCTCCCCAGCACCACTATTTTGATTCTGCTGTAATCTTTATGACCATTTAATTTTGAATTTTTAAACTTCATATTTTATTTTCCTATTTCATATCTTCACATTATCATTTGTAAAGGAGTTTAAAATATTTCATGTGCCTCGATTTACTCTTGCATAGTCTGATTTTCCCCTCTTATCAGTCCTCAAATATCATCAACTCTTTGTTTTCTGCTCTTATGGGACGCAACATTTGTACATCTTCATACAATCTAGCCTTTGGCTTCTTTTGTCTATATACTTAGATTAACCTCTCAGAGTTGGAGATCTTTGACTGAGGGATATAGTAGTATAGTTCTTGATCCATTTTGGGTACCTTTATTTTGACTGACAAAGACAAGAGGCCACGTTAGCACATTATATTCTTTCCTTAAAACTTTAAAATATTTAAGAAGGCAGCATTTATATTTAAACATAAATTTCAGCCTCCTTCTTGGGGCTTCCCTTAATACCAAAGTAATTTTGGTTGGAGGAATGTTTTGCAGGCTGTGATATCTCAGATTGCAACACTTCTCAGCCTGCTGTTTCCTGTGCTTCTCCTCCAGCTCCTTCCACTGAGAATTCTCCCCAGGCAGCATTTTCACGCTTTCAGTGCTCATTTCAGGCACTCTCTGCTCTGCTGTGCCTATGCATGCTTGAGGCTTTGCCCTAAACTCATGTGACCTGCATAGCTAATTTCAGGTTCTCAGTCTAGGCTTACTACTGCTGAACCCAAGAGACTGATGTATTGCCCAGACTCCTGCACGCTGTCTGCCAGCCACAGGTACATTCTGGGGTCATGTATTATGCTCCTGGTTAGCACATTGGGCAGGGAACAAGCTACCCATTGTGGCTGTGACCAGGTATAGAGTCTCTGCTTATCTGAAAAACAGTTCTTTGACCTCACTACCTGTGGCCATTCCTTCCTGCTACTGTGTCCTTGATCAGCCAGCTCCCCACCCTTTGCCTAGAAAGCATTCCCAATCCCTACCAGTAAGATAAAGGGAGCAAAACAGAAAGCCAGTTCTGTGTGGCCCAAGGCTCTGCTATATATGTGTTTGCATCCAGTGTCTGAATTTTCTCCCTGAAGAAATGGAAGATCTTGGGACGGATCTTTTGGTAAGATTTAGATGTTGCGTAGCTCCTAACAAGGCTGTATAAATAGAAGTACTTAAAGCCTTTAGGACATGGACACTCTCAGAAAGTGTTTTTAGTTTATCTGATTTCTATACATGTTTTTGGGCTGACTAAATGTTAAGTAGTTCTAATACAGTATGATACAATGGGTCTCTACAGTCTCTTGGGTTCAGTGGAAGTTAAGTGGCTGTTACATGTGTAGTTCACAACAGTAGAAGACAGAAATAACCTGTGTCTTCTCCATAATCACAGAGATACCTCGCATAAGGACTAAGGTGCCTTTTAATACATTTTTATCCTGAAGCTCTCTGATAGTGGTCTTCTATGCAATGCGGGAGTTCAAACTTCATAACTAGCACTCTGGTTCAGTAGCTCTGATGAAATCACTGGGGCTCCTTTAGCAACTGAATTGTTTGCATGTCATAAAATTATGATATGCTTCAAAGGCAAATATTTATTTAGTGAGAAATATAGGTGTGCACAGTAAGGCTTGTGCCTTCCTCATGGCGTATTTCCTTATGAAGTTCATTAGTCTCTGACTCTAGGCAACGTGATATAATGGGAGTGGCACAGACCATAAATGTCACAAGATCTGAGCTCAAGCCATGGTGTAGCTAGTTATCCCCGAGTTGGAAGACTTCAGGCTCAGAAGCCACTTGGTGTGTCAGAGGTCTTTTACCTACAAACCTGAGAGGGACTGGGGGAAGTTTTAGATCAGGTCATTTCTAAGAAGTCTTTTAGCTTTAAAATCTCAAATTAGTATTTCTAAATGCCATTTTACCCACTTTTATATAATTACTTGCCCATTTAACCACACTTAGAAAATTAAGAAAAAATATATCTACTCTTTCATTCTCGAACACAGATAAAATCATTGTTCATGTTCTGGAGTATTAGCTTCCTTTTTTCTGAGCAGATATATCTAAGAATGCCTAAAACAGTGTGTGTACATACATTTCAAAAATTGGAATCACATATTTTTTCATAAATTGATTTTTGTTTCATTTAACATTATCCCATGTCATCTGAGTAGAACTTAGAGTTTTTATCCAAAACTAGATTTCCTTGGTCACTTTTGCAGTTTCTTTGGAATTTTCCATATCGAAGGCAATGTTATGCACTCTCCAAACTAAGCACCCTTGGCTTCTGAATGTGCTGTAAGTACAGTCAGTTGATTCCATTCCAGAGAACAAGCAGTAGAAATATCCCAGAGCACTCTGCCTTCTTGCTGTCACTGCGTGGGTAGAGACTGCCATGGCCAGGGGTCAAGGTGGAGGATGAGGGGTGACCCCTAAAAAATGATATTAGCATGTGACCAAACAGTGTCTCAAATCGTCTCGAAAGCCCACCAATCCATTGTGGAATGACCTCTACAAATAGTTTTGCTTCTGCACAACCAGGTGAGATGGAGCTGACTCTAAGCAAAGAGATAGAGAAGGGAAACTTGGTAACCAAGCCTTTTCTTTCTGTTCTCTGCCTCCCTTCTCCACGCCTCACCTCTTCCTCTCTTTGGCATTTCTCTTCACCCTCTCTAGCCCCCCAGTTATCACTTTCTCCTCCATGGGCCCGTTACATTTTGTTCATGCTGCTGATAGAGTCCTTATCACGTATTACTAATTGGAAGATTTGGGTGGTAGTTGTTGGGGGTGGGGAGAACCAGGGTAGGTTATCATGGCCCTACTCATAAGAAGTTTATGTCTCCTCACTTCTATATGAGTTTCAGAACTGGAAGATAATCTTAGCTGAGGTTAGAAGAACATGTGAAGCTGAAATATTACTGAATATTTAAAAATTATTTTCCACTATTACTTGTTTCCTTGCATGTGGTTTCAATGACATTATGGGTTACATTGGTTTTGGTGGCCTTGCTTAGAATTTCAACATCAGAGAGCCTATATTAAGAAGTCCTACATTTAGTGGGAAGTTTTACTACATCACTAGATGTACTATAAGGTCATCTAGTTTCTGATTCTAAAGTTCTGTGATTTGTAGCACTGTTTCCATGGGAAAGTGCATTCCAAGTTCTAAACAGCTGAGTTTTGGATCTCAGCTCCTTTGAGAGTTGTGGACCAGTCAGACACAAAATTATCTTTAAATATACAGATAGGGGTATGTAATTTGTGTTGTATGTAGAACTAACCACCATTTGAGCCCTTATTATGTGTCAAGGGCTATAATAAGAGCCTTCATACATTCACTTATTCCCCTCTTCACCATGATTGTTTGAGGTAGGCATTATTATTTCCATTTTACAGATGAGGAAGCCAAGGCCCAGCAGAGCTGAGATGTGACTGCAGAGCCGTCCAACCCCAGTCCTGTGACCTTTCTCTGGTGCCTGATACCTCTCAGCATTTGAGGGCCTTTTCTCTTCCTGCTTCATCTCTAAAGGTCCTTCTAGGAGAGAGGTGAAAGGTAATTCTTTTGAAAATACCTATTTTAAAGCAGTATTATTCCCTTCGAGAGACCCATTGATTCCCTTTGATGGAGCCCAATACCATGCTGGATCTTTGCTGTTTCTGAGTGGTGTGAATGGGCAGCTGATGTGGGTGGCCTCAGGAGCCTGTAGAAAGAGGTGCCCCAGGAAAATCTTTTACACAAAAGAACACTACAGCATCTGACTGCAAGATTCAAATAAACACACTCAAAATGGTCTGTAGAGAATAGAGTGGTCAACAATGATGGATAGTAGGTCTCTCTCTTTTTAAAAACAGATTTAATTATAGTATTCACACAAATCTAACTGAAAATATGAGCCAGAATGTTCATTTGTTCACTCACTCATCAGCTGTCAGACTTTGAATGAACGCACATATGTACCAGATTTTGTACTAGGCCCTAGGAGGGTACAAAAGTGGATGAAACATAGTCCCTGCTTCAAGGAGCTCAGAACCTAGTGGGGAGCAGGCCCAGAAACCTTCAGATCCTCTGCTGTGCATTTTTAAAATAGCCCAAATACCAAAACTTTTTTTTTTTTTTTTTCGAAACAGGGTTGTCACTCTGTCTCCCAGGCTAGAGTGGCACAACTATAGCTCACTTCAGCCTTGACCTTCCAGGCTCAAGCAATCCTCCTGCCTCAGCCTCCTGAGTAGCTGGGACTACATTTCCATGCCACCATGCCTGGCTAATTTTTTATTCCAGTATAAAGTTGGGGTTTCGCTATGTGCCCAGTCTGGTTTCAAACTCCTGGGCTCAAGTGATCATCCTGCCTCAGCCTCCCAAACTGTTGGGATTACAGGCACGAGGCAGGCTTGGCCCAAAATGTCTTTTAATGTCAGTTTTGAATGAGCTTTCATAAGAACACTGCATATGTGTGAGGAGAAATCCCTTTCACATGGTGTAGATTTGGTAAGCAATATTTCCAATATCAGAAAGACTTGGTCAGTGTATGTTGATTTGCCAAAACCCACTGGCATATAAGGATGCTGTGGCTGTTGACTTTTCACATTTGCTTAACCAAAGTGCCAGTTTATTGAAGATGAGTTCTGTGTCATGTTTTACTGCCCTGCATGTTAAGATTTGCTTTTCATGACACTAAGACAATGGGAGATTGAATGGGTGGAGTTAAAGAGGCCCCTGTCCTTCTATTGATTCTCCTTGGGTTTCCTGCTGAGTATGGGTTGAGGCTCTGGCCTTCTCAACTGGGTGCCAGATGAATGTACCGGGAATCCTGTTAGGGTGACATCTAAGAAGAAGACTCATAAAGCACAATATTGGGAACTCAATCAGAGCTTGTTTCAGGAGGATCAGGGCTGAGCTTAGTGGGGGTTCTTGGTGATAGGGATTCCTTCCTGAAACACATTTGTCTTCCTGGAAAAGGAGGAAGGTGTAAGAACGAGAACCACTGATGTATGCAGGAGGTCCGTAGCCTCAGTTGCCATAGATACTGAAGGCTCTGCATGGCCTGGCCAAGGATGGACAATGTTACAAGGTGGACCCACAAACCACAGTGATCTTCATCCTCAAGCTGGGGCATGCTGGGCCTCATTTTTGGAAAGTACATTTTCCACGAGATGTGCTAACACAATGGGGTTCTATGTATAATCTGCCTTGAACAAATAGGTTTCATGGGAGGCCACGAAAAAACAACTTCATCAAGTCTCCCACTCTCCCATTAAAATTTATTCAGTGGAAAGCATTTCCCCTGTTTTTTGGATGAAAACATATCACGTGGCTATTCTGATTCCTCATATATAATAAAAAGCCCCACTTTAATTTGCCAGATATTTAAAATGTCTAGTATCATGGGATAGTTAAAGCTTCCAGCTTCATTCATATTTATAACTGCTCCCCTTCCCCTGGCTAGGGCCTGTTGCAGGGAGAGGGGGCTGTGGTTGGAGGCTTTTTCTCTTGCTTACTCAGTAGCTATGACTTCTGGACTGGGGTGAGGGGCTGGGTGGGGAACAGGAAGGAGTGTAGGAAAGCTTTTACTAGGCAGGCGGTATCATAGGAGAGCTCTTTTTGTGTTGTGGGTGTTTAGAGTTGATTCTTTCTCTTGTGGGGCCCTTTTGTGGGTTCTTTGGAGATACCCTCTCACCTTGTCTCTGGGGGCCTCTCACCTCCAATTTCCTTGGTGGGGCTGCTGCACTCTCTTCAGCCTAATTGCAGACTGTTTCCACAGTCTCTAGAAAGCCCACCAATCCATTCGTACTCCTGTCTGCTGGGTTCTATTGCTGTCCAGGTGGCCCTTGTTGGGAAGACCCTAATATATAGCCCTGTACATATGCTCATGGTGTGGTCCATGGGAAACACTCACACTTCCTTTGTTCCCACCAACTGGGAGAGGGCAGGCTGCTCCCAGGGCAACTGTCGTTTCCTTTGGCTTGTCCGTCAGCATCCAGCCAGCTCTCCAGTTCTTCAGATTTCTTAGGCAGAAGTCCCAAACAAGGTCACAGTGCCTTCCACATCGTAAGAGCCTCATGCTCTCCAGGTAGTCCTGTTGAGCCCCCTCATGAGGCTGGAAGGGGGAGAAGCAGGGAGGGGCAGGTACTCTTATCTCTTCCTAAGCTTAGTCCTTTAGGCTAGGACCAGACTGGACTGCAGCCTGCTTGCTTCAATCATTCTCTCCTTTTAGCCACCAACAAGCAGTCTGACCTACTTGTAGCCACACCGTAGGTAAGAGGTTTAAGACCAGTGAAAAAGGTTTTGGGCTATGTTCTTTGAAAAACTGCATCTAGGCCTGGCACTTCACTTTGGAACCTGGTATCTCATCCATCTTAGCGGCTTGTTTGACACATCCCATTTTGACATTCTGTAATACTTTCTTGGGAAGCAGGGCTTATCCTTAGCTCTTGGAGATGCACATGACACACAGCATAGAAAAGGCTCCTGGGAGTAGACAGGAATGTCCACTTCACTCCAGCCTCTTCCTCTCCTGCCCTCCATCCTGCTCCAAGGGCCTGTGCTCCACCTGAATCTTCCATCCAGGAAGCTCCCTCTCTGCTGCCTGCTCCCACTCTGTGTTGCCAGCTCCTTCTGTTCCTTTAGGATTCCTTAATGTTCCTTCCTTAGTAAAGACTTCTTTGTTCAAACCCCACCTAAGTAGATCTCCCCTAATTTTCTGTTTTCTGTTACCGCAATTCCCTTTATTTCCCTCACAGTACATCTTATATTATAAATGATAACGTTTCCAAATAAATTATACAAGCTATTTAGTGTCTTACTCTCACATCAAATGGTAAGCCCCATAAAGGAAAATTCATGTCTGTTTTATTCGGAAACTAACCAGTGCTCACTAAATATATGTTGAATAAATGAATGAAAGCATGAATTAAAAAGTTACTTTTGTTTAAGCTGTTCTTTCCCCACATGTCTCTCTTCTTTTGTGTTAACTCTTTTTTTTTTTTTTTTTTTTGAGACATAGTCTTGCTCTGTCACCCAGGCTGGAGTGCAGTGGTGCGATCTCGGCTCACTGCAACCTCCACCTCCCGGGTTCATGCTACTCTTGTGCCTCAGCCTCCCGAGTAGCTAGGACTACAGGCATGCATCACCATGCCTGGCTAATTTTTGTATTTTTAGTAGAGACTGGGTTTTGCTATGTTGGCCAGGCTGGTCTTGAACTTCTGGCCTCAAGTGGTCCACCCACCTCAGCCTCCCAAAGTGTGTTCACTCTTAACAAACAGATTCTTAGTTATATGGCATGCACAGAGTTTTGGAAGTACTGAGACAAGGCTTAATTTTTGGTATATTTTTCTGTTCATCATCATCTCCCCTCACCCTTTCTCTCCTCTCTCTGTCTCACTTTCTCTTTCCCTCTGGCTCTGTCTTTTTCTCTCACTCTCTTCTAACAAGAACTTAGTTTGAGGCAAGTGGAGCAGAGGTGCCACCCCATGTTACAGATACCCACACCAAGGAGAGTTAGCTGTGAGATAACCTAAGGGGTTGATGGCAGGCATGGCCCAGAGCTCAGCACTTCCATGTCTCTTCTGGTCTTGTCCTCTCTGTGCCTCTCCTGCAGTCCTTTGTGTCCAGCTGTCATCTGGCCTTGCAGCAAGGCCTGGCTTACCACTTCCAGAACCTGCCGAGGTAGCAGCAGCCTGGCCTCGGGCTGGAGTGGAAAGACTAGTTCCCAGCCCAGAATCTATCTTGCATGGTACACAGCAAGAGAAATTCTCTTCAAGATGCAGCCCCATGAAAGCAGCATGTTTACAGGTAGTAGATCCCCAAAGTTGTCATAGCCTCCCCTAACCCCCTCACACCAGACCTGTCCCTGCCCTTGGCCCACACAGTTGGGGATTCATGGGCTATGGGAATGTCTTTCTCCTTAGGAATAGAAGCTGGATTCTGAAGGAAGGCGCTGGACTTGAACTAGGCTTGGCGATCGCCTTCCCTCTCATTCTTTCCCTGCCTACTCCATAGACAGTCCTAACTCTGGCCACAAGTCAGAGAATTTCACATTCCTCCCTTAACAAGTTTTACTCCGTATAAGGCCCTGGGGGCAGTCTAGATTTCCTGGGCAACAACTTGGGTGTACTTGCTTCAGGAGGAGGAGGAGGCTTATCTCGTATGTGCACATTCTTCTGGTGTGTCCTATCTGGTTATTATCAAATCGAAACTGCAGCAGTTGAAGTTTGTTGCTTAATTACTGTCTGTTGATTGTAAAATAATAGACCACCAATTTTGTTGGTTAGTTATTACTGCCACGTCGTTATAAAGTGCGCGCTGTAACATGGCAGTGTTTTCCTTTATGCTGTCTTTTTGATGAGTATCATTATTTACACTAATAATAATGGCTTGCATTTGAAATATGCTTCAGAGTTAACACAGCACTTCCATTTTATTATCTCATCTGGCTCTGTTATAAGGAAATGCAAGCAGGCAACTAATTTTAGGAGAGTTGGAGGTAAAATTTTTATTCTAGAAATTACTATAAATTTTGGCATAATATAGCTTCTTTTTACAGCAAGTACTTATTACTTTAGTTAAAAAATCAGAAGCGAATTTTAAAATTGTAGATTTGCTGTTTTTTTTACACCTTCTTGTCATAATCCAAAAAGTAGAGTACTAGAAGACATATTCAGTCCAGGGTCATATAAAATCATAATATCTTAGCTAGAAGCCACTCCTCTAGAATTTGATCCACAGTATGGTTTAACACTACATTGTAAGGAAATGGATTGTCTACCCCAGAGTTTGCTTAGCATAGAGGCTTCATTTATGTATTTATTTAGGTAAAACTTATAGAACATAAAATTAACCATTTTATTATGAAAAATGGAGGTGAACACTACCTCTATCTAGTTCCAAGATATTTTCACCATTCCAAAATAAAACCCCATCCTCACTAAGCAGTCACTCCCCATTCCCTACTCCCTGTAGCCCGAGGTAACCCCTAATCTGCTTTCTGTTTCTGTGGATTTAACTGTTCTGGGTAGTTCACATAAAAGGAATCGTACAATCTGTGTCATTTTGTGCCTGGCTGCTTTCACTTAGCGTAATGTGTTAAGGTTCATCCACGTTGTGACTTGAGTCAGTGCTTCATTCCTTTTTACAGCTGAATGCCCAATATTTTTAATATCAAAACATTTCTGGGATTATGGAAACTCCAGCCCCACAGACACACAGTCCCACCATATCCTTCTCTCCACTGGGAATGACTTCTCACAAATGTGGGATTTTAGTCCATAATAAAGTACAAATGCTAAAGAAGCATGTGTAGTTATAGCTGTAATTTGCTGCATTTTACTTTAGACTCAGGAAGAAGGCTCTAGATAGTTCTATGCAAAGATTACAGGTGATTGTATTCTTCAGACACTCATATCATGAAAGTTTGTGCCATCATAATTTTTACAGACAGTGCTTAGAATACGCCTGGATTTGTAGTTTTCTTGCAGTAGGCACCACTCGGCGGCTGAGTTTCAGATTTCTTTTCTTTTTTTTTTTTTTTTTTTTTGTTTGAGACAGAGTTTCACTCTTGTTGCCCAGGCTGGACTGCAATGGCACCATCTTGGCTCACTGCAACCTCCGCCTCCCAGGTTCAAGCGATTCTCCTGCCCCAGCCTCCTGAGTAGTGGGATTACAGGCATGTGCCACCACGCCCTGCTATTTTTAGTAGAGACGGGGTTTCACCATGTTGGTCAGGCTGGTCTCGAACTCCCGACCTCAGGTGATCCGCCCACCTCTGCCTCCCAAAGGGCTGAGATTACAGGCGTGACCCACCGCACTCGGCCAGGTTTCAGATCTTTTCTCCAGCCTCTGTAGGTGACAATGTATAAAGAAAAAAGAATGAGCTTCTGAGGTGGACAGAGCTGGGTTCAAATCCCGCCTCTACCCCTTGTTAGCCATTTGTCCTTGGGCACATGACTTGAAGTTCCCTCATGGTAAAATGAGAATAATAATATCTACTCATGGTCCCCCAAAGATATCCACATCCTAATTCTTAGAACTTGTAAATATTACCTTATTTTGAAAAACAGTCTCTGTAGATGTGGTTGAATTAAGAATTTTGAGGGGATTACCCTGTATCATTCAGGTGGGCCCTAAATATTTTACAAGCATCCTAATGAGAAAGAGGCAGAGGGGAACAGAGAGGGACATGCAGGGGAAGGTGATGTGAAGACATAGGCAGGGAGTGAAGTGATGTGGCTACCAGTCAAGGAGTGCCAATTCTGGCAGCCACCAGGAACTGGAAGGGGCGAGGGACAGAGTCCCCCTGTAGCCTCCAGAGAGAGCATGACCCTGCCAGCACCTCAGTTTCAGCCCAGTGACATTGGTTTTGGACTTCTCGCCTCCAGAACTGGGAGAGAATAAATTTTCGTAGTTTTAAGCCACCAAATTTAGTGTAATTTGTTACAGCAGCCTCAGGAAGTGAATGCACTTCTCTTATAAGGTAACATGACCACCTGTAACCACATGTTACAGTTTGTTTTCCTCCTAAAAAGGACAGAAGTCCTTCTATCAAAGGTGTTTCTCAAGCTTTAAGTACAGAGGTTAAGAGTTTGAGAGCAGGGCTTCTCAACCTCGGCACTAATGACACTTAGGGGCCAGAACATTCTTTGTTGTGGGGCGGTCCTCTGCCCTGAGGATGTTCAGCGGCATTCCTATCCACTAGATGCCAGTAGTTCCTTCCCCCTAGTTACAACAACCACAAATGTCTCCAAACATTGCCACATGTCAACTGGGGGACAAAACTACACCCTGTTGAGAAACACCAAGGTAGAGTACAAATTAAGTACAGCTTAATCCCAGCTCCATCACTAAGTAGCTGTGTGGCCATGGGCAAGTTAGGCACCCTCTCTGAGCCCCAGTTTCATTATCTATAAAATAATAACAGTCCCTACATCACAGGGTTGTTGTAAGGATATTCAAATGATGTAATATGTGTAAAGGCTTCAGAACAGTGCCTGGCAAATTGCAAAGTATTTAATGCAGGAAAATGGTTATTAACCCATGCTCTGCCATGCTACTTTGTCACACTGTTTTCCATAGTTTCTGTTATAGAACTAATGGCCATTGAAAACATTTTCCAAACAGTAACTTCTGTTGTAAAGATGCACATGTTTTAATATTAAACATCCTTCCTTCATTGCCCTCCCCTCTCACCTTTCAGCTCCCCAGGATTTGTATGCGTAGATTGCCTGTCAGTTATGCTAACTCACTGAACTCTTTATATAATTCCCTGGATAAGCTGTAACAACAAGCAAAACCCTTCCATCTGTCAGTGATAGTTCTATTATTCCATAATTACAGCTTTCTCGTCGGTGACGTAGCTGTTGCATTCACTTATGAATGTGTCAGTGTCTCCATTCAAATGTGTGAAATATTTAGCAGCGTTTAGCAGGTTTTGGTGAAATGTTAGAAAGTGATTTGAATAGATACCATCATATACTTTTGTAAGGAAGAGGAACGTGCTCCAACTGTGACCCAGGTCACTGTATCTCTAAACACTGGAGACACAGCAGTGAATAAAATGAAGATCCCTGTTCTCAATGAGTTTGCATTCTAGCACACTAGAATACTTATATGCACAATAAATTAGTAAATGGTATCGTGTTTAGGTAGTGATAAGACTATGGGAAACCAGCAGTTTAGGGAAGGGGGTTGGGAGTGCTGAAGGTGGCACAAGGGGGCAGGTTGTGATATTAGAGGGGACAGTTTTTAATCCTTTCATGGGGATAATGAAAATATCTTTGACATGGATTGAAAACCAGTGTTTGTTGATGCACCTCTGCTGATGACTAATGGTTGGAATTCCTAAGTCTTTCAAAGGTGGTGAACCTTTTGCTCCTTCCCCACAGACTGCCTGGGAGTGCCTTTCAAAGTTAAGCCATGTGGCTTTGGTTTATCCCAGCTGCTGTGGGAATTCTTTATAGAAACGGTTCAGGGATCATTATTGGCAATGCGGTCTCAGGGAAGAAGTATGCCTGGTAGTTATTGTAAAGTGGATGACTTTGGGCAAGTCGTGTAACCTCTAAGCCTCAGTATTGTTATAACGGTTGTAAGGTTCAAATGAAATAATGTATAGAAAGCACGTAGACCTGTGTCAAGAGCATAATAAATTCTTAGAAAATGTTGGTAGTTGTAATTTTATGATTAGCTTTAAAGCATATTTCTAAGGTACTATGTAAATATTCATGGCACTTGTCATTTCTTTCTAAAGCATACCTATAATTATCAGCTTTTCATAGGCAAACATTTCTTGCATAAACCTTGCCTGCCAAAGAAGGGTCTGCATAGAGAACCTATGAATTGATCTCTTGTGAGCTTAGGCTTGGACACTCTTTGAATACTGTGTGCCAACTTTCACAAAGATTGAGATGAGAGAATAGAGGCAGGGAGTAATTCAGGTAATAAAAGTCCAGCTACTAAAAATGCAGTTTTGTGATTAGTTCTCATGGATGACTCCAGAGATTGACTTTTCTGGGTAATTATATGGCCCTTCATTTTGTTGGTAGGGATTTACATAGACATTTGTTAAATGATTTTAGAATAGAATGAGTTGCCTAGTTATGCTGAGTGAATTGAGAAATTCCTCAAAGAGTCATGGGCTTCATTGGGAAATGGTCAAGATCAAGGATGGAGCACATCTGGAATTCATTGCTGCACTGCAAAGAAAGTTTGGGAACTGGTAGAAGTGGTAGTTACACAACATTGTGAACATACTAAATGTTTACTTTAAAGTGTTTAGTTTTATGTTATATGAATTCAGATAATAATTTTCTTAAAAATGGATTTCTGACAGTGCTAGACCTCAAGCTCAGATTCCCTATTTTCATATCTAATTATTTAAAAGAATTGTTAAAGAATATGATAGTCCTTAACATTTTATATATATGGAATAAATTTTCTTTAATTTTATAAATGTATTAAAGGTTTTATATTTCAGTATATCCAACATGCTTGTTTTCTCGTTTATAAAATTCAGTTATTCCAACTCTAAAATTTTATGGTAATAAATTGATTACACAAGTAGAGGCCAAAGCTGTATCCCCACAGTGTCTATTATGGTATCTTGCCCATAGTAGGTGCCCAATAAATGTTCACTGAATTGTATGTAGGTTGTTTTCTGAGTTGCTCATAACTTTATAATGTCATACATTAATGCAAGTGGGGTTAAACTAGACAGTGTTAGAGATCTTCAAGTTCAGCTTGCTCTAAGATGAGCAACAAGGCCGAGAAGTTAGGTCACTTACATAGTTAGTGCAAGGGTAGGATATTGCTTTTTAAGTTAACATTTGTAGAAACATGCATAAGTAATTCATTCAGCCATAGCCATTGGAATATGGTTTGGTTTCCTTTTTATTCTTTCTTTTTTTTTCTTCCTTTCTTTTTCTTTCTTTCCCTCCCTTGCTGTCTGCCTTGCTCCTTCTCTTCCTTCTTTCTTTTCCTTTCTCTTTTTTTAGATTTACAAACCTGATAATGCAGAAAAATCATGTTTCTAGGGGACTGCAAAGCCCATATTTCATCTCATCTTTTGCCAGGAGTTACCAATGTATCCTTTAGTCAGTCTTCTCTGGATTTTTCTTACCTCACCTATTAGATGAGAAGGGTAGTGCTTATTTTCAATGGAATGCTCTGCTTTTGAGGTTAATTTACAAAAACTCTTTATTGGTTAAAATTTTAACTCTCTTTCTGCCATATGGTGCAGATATTTCCTTCAATTTGCTTGCCTTTCAGTTTTGTGAAACAAAGATTTAATCTCTGAGATTAGTTGTTAGATCTAATATTTTTCTCTACGATTTTGGCTGTTGGCATGCTAAGATAGGTCTTTTCCATCCTACCATTACATAAATTGTACCTTAATTTTCTTCTAGTACTTTTGTGGTTCCATTTTTTACATTTAAATCTTATTGCATCTGATATTTATTTTTGTATAAGGTGAGAGGTAGGGATCTAACTTCATATTTTCCAAAATGAATAGCCAGTTAACCAAACTGATTTAAGAATCCATCTTTTTGTTACATTAATTTGAAATGCCGTAATGAATACTGAATTCTAGGCTTTTTTTTTTTTAACATTTTAAAGAACAGAATAGGTAAGAACAGAATAGGTTTAAATTCCTATAGCTTTATGACACATTTTGATAACACATTTTGATATCTAGTTGTGCAAGCCCTATCTGAATGGTTAAATATGGTTTATTTCCCCCCACATTTTCTTGATTTTTTTTTTTTTTTGAGACTGAGTCTTACTCTGTCACTTAGGCTGGAGTGCAGTGGCATGATCTCGGCTCACTGCAACCTCCACCTCCCAGGTTTAAGCAATTCTCCTGCCGCAGCCTCCCTAGTAGCTGGGACTACAGGCGTGTGCCACCATGCCCGGCTAATTTTGTTTCTTTTTTTTTTTTTTTTTTTTTTTTTTTGAGATGGAGTCTCACACCGTCACCGAGGCTGGAGTGCAGTGGCGTGATCTCAGCTCACTGCAAGCTCCACCTCCTGGGTTCACGCCATTCTCCTGCCTCAGCCTCCTGAGTAGCTGGGACTCCAGGCGCCAGCCACCACGCCTTGCTAATTTTTTATATTTTTAGTAGAGACGGGGTTTCACCATGTTAGCCAGGATGGTCTTGATCTCCTGACCTTGTGATCTGCCCGCCTCGGCCTCGCAAAGTGCTGGGATTACAGGCGTGAGCCACCGCACACAGCCTAATTTTTGTATTTTTAGTAGAGATGGGGTTTCGCCATGTTGTCCAGGCCAGTCTTGAACTCCTGACCTCAGGTGATCCACCCGCCTTGGCCTCCCAAAGTGCTGGGATTACAGGCGTGAGCTACCATGCCCGGCCCTTCTTGAATATTCTTCATGATTGTTCTTCTATAAGAACATTAGAGTAATTTTGTCAAGTTCTAAACAAAACTGCTAGTGGGATATTAATTGTAACTCCATTGCATTTCTGCGTTTATTTAAGGGAACATTGTCATCTTTACAGTTAAGCTTTAACATTCAGCAGGATGGTGAATCATTTTATTAATTTAAGTCTTCTTTTATGTTCCATGATTTCTTTTTTTTTTTTGAGACAGAGTCTCGCTCTGTCGCCCAGGCTGGAGTACAGTGGCGCGATCTTGGCTCACTGCAAGCTCCACCCCCCGGGTTCACGCCATTCTCCTGCCTCAGCCTCCCAAGTAGCTGGGACTACAGGCGCCCGCCACCATGCCTGACTGATTTTTTGTATTTTTAGTAGAGACGGGGTTTCACCGTGTTAGCCAGGATGGTCTCAATCTCCCGACCTCGTGATTCACCCGCCTCAGCCTCCCAAAGTGCTGGGATTACAGGCGTGAGCCACCACGCCCGGCCGGTTCCATGATTTTTTAATGTTAGTTCTGTACACCTATCTTTTGAATGTATTCTATTTGTTTATACTCTTTCTTTCTTTTATGAATGTGAATTTTTACCCCATTTTATTTTTTACCTGGCTCTTTCTAGAAATTAGGGAAGCTATTGATTTTTGTATATTGGCTCTGATTTTATTTTCAGGTGATTCTACTGAATTTTGTCAGTGGAGTTTCATAACATTTCCAAATAATAATTTTATCTTCCAGTTTACATTATTTATAATTTTTACTGCTTTGGCTAATACTTCTAGAAAGATATTAAAATAACAGAGGTTATATGAGGCATCTTTTTTTCTGATTTTAAAGAGAATGTCACTAGAGTTTCACTATCATAAATGATTTGTGATTCTTGTCCTACAGTACTCTGGCAGTGCTAGTCTCTTTTTTTTAAATAACATGTTATCTATATGTGATCTTCTTGACATGTAGCAGTTGAACTCTGTGAAAATGGCAACTATATTTACCTGGAACTCTATGTCTAAACAGTGACCAATTGATCAATAAATAAATACATTTTATTGTGTTGCTCTTTCTGCCTTGCTGAACTTTGAAAGATCTGTAAGAATTTGAAGTGCATCATAATTGTTAGGAAAGTAGATCAAACATTTATGTAATGTAAAGCCTTTATTTTTCATGCAGCATTGTCAAGACCTTAGATGTACAGTGTAACTGAATGGTTGAAGTTTACACTCATACTTCAAAAAAGAAATGTTTTCCTTTTGTTGTTTGCTGACTTTGGAGACTGCTTTCCCAAAGAATCCACTTTCGTTTTTACTACTGATCTGTGTTTTTGGATAGCACCATGGCACCTTGAAAGCACATTTATGAGTATACCTCTGCTTACTGATATCACAAGAAGTTTGCAAATATCACAAATATATTAGGTGCTAATGTCAGAGGAAGATACTAATTCAAAATGTATTCATGTACTTTCATAGATATAGACCCTTTTTGTTTCTTACTGCTCCCTCATACAAAGAATAAGTTGCTCTGTATAAGTAACACAAGATTTTTCCTCCTTAAAATGTGGAAAATATTGAAAAATAGAGGGAATATAAGCCTGTTACTAGGGATAACCACTGTTGATATTTACAGTTGTTTTGTGTCTGAGTAATTGCTATCACACTACATACTGGTTTGTATACTGTCCTTTTATCTAAACATTACAATCACATGTGTTTTTCCTAGATGGTGGAACATTTAAATAAGACAACTAAAGTTATTTAGGCTAGTTGGGCTGTGGGAATCTGAAGTAAGAGGTGGTCTGTGCAACCTTAGAAATGGGTGGAGCCGGAGGATGAATCGCAGGATGAACTCAGCATGGTTCACCCACAGTCTTCAAATAGTCATTGATCCAGGTGTCCTCAGAGAGCCTGAAAAACAATGCTTAGATCATCCTGCCTGACCTCTAGGAAGCTTAAGGTCACCTGAACAAAATAATCCTTTTCTTTCAGCAACTGGGTGGCCTCTGAAAGCTGGCCCTACTTTGCCATCTTTGATCAGTCGTCTGGCACTGATTACAGACTATTAACAGTGTAGACTCATTCCTGTTGTGCACAAAGAATCGTGTGGAGAAGGAGGCTGCATAAATTGTCTTACTCCTAAGACCAAATTCCAGGGACTTTTTTAGGGCCTTTGGCCATGTGTTATTTTATGTAAATATTTTTTAAGACCTCCCTGTTTGACAGGTCAGCATGTCTCCTTCTATTGTATAATATTAATTCTAGAAACTTATAGCAGATCCATTTCCATTTCCAAAGCCGAAAAAGGAAGAGCTTGAATTAGAATTTAATGTGAAGAGTTTGTAAATTGCTTATATTCTTATTTTGTCAGCTTGACACATTTGTGGAAAAAATAGATGTCTAAAAATGTCTAGTAGCTGCTATGCAGTCTGCAGTCTGTGTATTCATTCTTCATTTACAGTTTTTGTTTTACAAGGTCATCTGTAAATTAACAGCCTACCAACAAACAAAGATAGTATTGCAGAGAGTAATTTTGAACATCTTTTTGTCCTAATCATTTTTGCATTTCAATTAATTGAAAATAAAGAGAATTAGAAAAGAATTTTCTTTTATCTTTCACCTTGTTTGAGGATTCTGATAATGTGTACATGTTATTCTTCTCTCTATATGTTTTCTCTATCATTTCTTCTTTGCACCAAACAAATATCTTATATTTTTGCCTATATTTCCATTTTCTGGAATTTCAGCTTAAAATACTTGTATGCATCTCAATCTTTAGAAGAGATTTAGAACAGCATTGTCTGATACAAATATAATGAGAGGCACATATGTAATTTTATATTTCATAGTATGCACATTTAAAAAGAGAAACAAGTAAAACTAATCTTAATGATATATTTTATGTAGCCTAATATATCAAGAATATAGTTTCGACATGTAATCAACTATGAAGAATTATTAATATATTTTCTATTTTTTATTCAGACTAAATCTGCCAAATCCAGTGTATATTTTATACTTATAGCACATATTAGTTTAGACACGCAGGTTTCATTAGAAATACTTAATCTGCATTTAGATTTCATAACTTTCATAATTGAAAAAGTAGACTGACATTCCCAAGTTGTTCCAACATACTTAGCAGTTTCCCAAGAACAGAAACAAGCATCAATTTTTTAAAAACTTTAATTACCATTATATAAAATTTAAAGTTCACCCTGTCAGTTACAGGCTTATCAAATACTAAGTGGCTGCATGTGGCTAGTAGCTAGTGGCTATAGTATTTGGCAGCACATTTCTAGAATTTTAATTTTCTATTTTAAAAGACAAGATTAAAATTTCAGTAAAAAATTACATTTGTGACATGGAAGGTGGCTTAAAAGAAAGAGGTTGGCATTACTGGCCAAGGTAGCAAAACTCAGATAGGAGAAACTTCAGAGACCTAGTTTCATTAAACTTAGCTCTGGTTTATCGTGACTGAAGAGAACTAGGGGGCTTCATTATGTTAAAAAAAAGAAAAGGCCTTGAAAAATGTGAGTTCCTACCTCTTTCTCTCTGAAAGAGTCGGTAGTGGAGGATGCTTGTTTTAGACCTTTGGTTATACTCCTGCTCTCTCTCGTAAATTCTTTAATATGACTTTCTAAGAATGCTCTGACCATGTGTGGATACTAAGCCCTTTAAAGAGTGGCTGAAATATGTGATTTTAAAATTATTTTTAATTTAAAAACTGATACTCATTTAGTTATTAGAAAACATTTATGTATGTTTGGAGCAACTGGGTATATAAGTCTACTTTTTCAACTGCAAATTTTATGAAATCTAAATAAAGTCAGAAGATTCCAGTTCCAGATAAGATGAAGTAAACACAGTTTACTCTGACTCTGCCACCGAGTGCAGCTATAAAACCTGGATAGAATGCATGAAGCAGCTATTTGAGGACCCTGAAAAGTAAATAGTGGCAGGACGATGAGGGGAAATGACCAGAATTGGAAGCTCCACCAAATTGACAAAAGAGAGGTAAATCTGGTTCCTGTTACTTCACTATGGCTAGAAGTGGAAGTCTCTACAAAGGCTTTGAAAACTAAACTGATGTTGGAAACGTAACCCACGGAAAGAGGTTTAGAACTTGAAGCCTGAAGCTATTCACGACAATTGCCTGCTAAGACAAAAATAGCAACATTCTCAGTAGGATTGAAACAAAACTCAGAATCTTGTAATAGAGTGTTCCAAATGTCTAGGATACAACCGAGAATTACTTGGCATATGAAGAACCAGGAAAATTATCCATTTTTATGAGGAAAGACAATTGACAGAGGCCAATACTGAAATGGTAAAGATGTTGGAATTATCTGACAGACTTTTAAAGCAGCTCTTACAAAAATGCTCAACAAGTAAAAACAATCACTTCTGAAACAAAAAGAAATTCTCAGCAAATGAATACATGATATAAAGAAGAACCAAATTAAAATTTTAGAATTCAAAAATGCAGTAACCACAATTCTTAAAACTCACTAAGTAGGCTCAATAACTGAACAGAGGTGAAAGAGAGGAAAGTCAGTGAATTTGCAGATAGCTCAACAGAAATTGTACAATACGAACAACAACGAGAAAAAGGATTGCAGGGAGAGGGGAAGCAGAGCCTCATGGACCTGTGGAATAATAATAAAAGATCTAATGTTCATGGCATCAGAACCCCAGGAAAAGAGAGGAAAAAAAGTATGGCACTGGAATAAGATTTGAATAAATAATAACTGAAAAATCCCAAGATTTGGCATAAAGCTACAGATTCAAGAAGCTCATAAAACCCCAGACATGAACCCAAGTAAATCTCACTGAAACACATCATCATCAAACTGCTGAAAACCCAAGACAAGAAAAAATCTCGAAAACAGAGGAAAAGAATGCATTACCTGTAGAGAAACAATGATTTGAATGACTGTGTATTTCTCATCATGGAGAAAGTGATATAACATTTTAAAACTACTAAGAGAAAATAATTGTCAACTCAGAGTTCTATATTCAGCAAAAATATCCTTAAGGAACTTTCAGACATTCTCAGCTGAAGGGAAACTTAAGAGAATTCATTGCCAGTAGTAGACCTTGTATAAGACAATTGCTAAAGGATGTTCTTCAGACAGAAGGGAAATGATGCCAGAAAAGAATTTAGAACATCTGGAATGAAGGCAGAAAAATAGAAATGGTGAATATCTGGTAAATACACTAGACTAATCTTCTCCTCTTTAGTTCTCTAAAATATGCATAATGGTTGAAAGAAAACAAATGTTGTCTGATGAGGTTTTCAATGAATGCAGATGTAATATATGACAACTATAGCATAAAGCAGGGAGTAAGGGGACTCATGGCGTGTTAAGATTTTTACATTCCAGTTGAAGTGGTAAGATACTCTTAAGTAGACTGTTAAAAATTGAGTACAGCATGTGTATTGTGATCTCTAGGGCAACCATTTAGAAAACTAAAACATGTCAAGAAAACATAATAAAGTGGAATACTAAAAAATATACAAGTAACCCAAAAGAAGGCAGGAAAGGGGAAACCGAGGAATGAAAAACGGAAGAAACAAACAGAAAACAAGTAATAAAATGGCATCCCTAAATCCAACCATATCAAAAAGTACATTAGATATAAATGTTCTAAACACACCAATTAAAAAACAGATTGTCAGAATGGATAAATACAATCAATATTTTCAAAGAAAATTTAACACCTGAAATGAGATGTGCAGTAAGTATAAACTGCAATCCAAATATTGAAAACTTAATAGAAAAAAATGTGGAATCTCATTACTTTTTATATTGATTTCATGCTGAAATGTTTTTTGTGTACTGAGTTTTAAAATATATTATTAAAATTTCACCTATTACATTGTATATTTAAAAACATGACTACCAGAAAAATTTAAATTACCTGTATGGCTTACATTAAAATTTCCATCAGACAGCAATCTTCTAAGGTATGGCTTTTGTAAAAAATGAAAAGAAATATTTCAAGCAGCAAACAGGGTTGGTCAGAAGCTACATTTTTGTATTATCTTAGTTAAGACATTAGGAGATCTGGATTACCCTTTATTAAGGCTAACAAATGTAGGGCTAAATGTATTAAATTTAGTAATACAATATAAAACAATTTTGGTGTGCACAACATCTGTGGCTAGCTACAAGCTCAGCTCTGTGGCACAGTTCATGTAACTCAGCCATGAGCACAGCTCTCTTTTGGAATGGGTCATCCATCCATTGCTTTACCTAGTACTTCTCACAAATCAATAACAACTACTCTAGTTAATCAGAACTAAAAATATTGTTGTCAAACTACTCTTTCTCTGAAAAAGTTACTTTAACCATACATTCCAACCTGAAGCAAACAGAAGTCCTCAGTGAAAAAAACAGACAAACAAACAGGACTATTCCAATGAAATGCAATGGAGGTGGACAGTGAAACGTGGGAGTTAAGTTATCTATGACCAGTGTCTAGTGGTGTTTCTCATTAGCTGCTGAGGCTGGAGTTCTGTGAAAAGGAGAATTCATACCCACATTTCTCAGAGTGAGTTGTTGGCCTATCTAGTTGTTAGGACTTTGGGACAGTCCATGAGTGAGAGACAAACCATGAAGGTCAGCTCACTCTGCTGGACTCTTCCTCTAAGTTGTGGTTTAACGTTTAGCTAACAGAGACCCCATTGCTTATCTCTCTGTCCTCACCTCCAGACTGTAAGCTCCTTGAGTCCAAAAAACCATGACTATTTTGCTTAAAGCTCTGCCTCTAGTATTAGCATAATAATACGTAGGAGCTCACAAATATGCTAAAAATAAATGAGCATATGCCAAAGTCTCATCTCAGCCAAGCCTTGCTGGCAGGGGATGGAAAGGTATTTTTGGCTTCATTCTAAAGAGTCCTATTCTCAAATTTTCCTGTTGACATGTTCTACCTCATAAAAACACATACATATTTTCTGATGGTTGTAATCTGGCAGATAGTGATCATTTTGGTTTTAGTTTTAGTTTTATATGTAGCATTTAATCCTAGTTACTAGTAGCATAAGGAATTGGAGAATAATTGGAGAGAGAGAGAGAGAATGAAGATTCTTATATTGGCTATGCAACTAACTAGCTGTGAGGCCTGGAGTATGGTATTACCCAAGCCTTCTGATGTGGATATTTTCATTTGCACATTAATTACATGGAGTGGACCAGATGTTCCTCTCTGAGGTCTCTCTGGCTCTTGTAAAATGGAATGAATCTTGCATGCACAAAGCCTCAAAATTCCATACCAATTCGAATATATTTCAGACCATTGCTATAAAATTGCTGCAAAGTATTATGGTAGAGAAGGCAATGATCATTAAGATATGGTAGTCTGCTGGAGTTCTTGTCTCTCCTTTGGGGGAAGAAATACTCACATGCTTTAGAGATTACAGAAATAATTTATTTCTTCTCTGAGGTGAAATTTCCTATATTCATTTCTTATTGCTGCTGTAACAAATTTATACAGAATTAGTGGCTTAAAACAATGCAAATGTATTATCTCATAGTTCTGGAAGTGAGAAGGCCAAAATTGGTCTCACTGGACTAAAATTAAGATGTCTACAAGGCTGCCTTCCTTTTGGAGGCTCTGGGGAAGAATTCCTCTTCTTGCCTTTTCCAGATTCTAGAGTTAGGCTGCATTCCTTGGCTTATGGCCTCCTTCCGTCTTCAAAGCTGCAGTAGCTGGTTAAGTCTTTCTCACATCATACCATTTGTACACTGACTCTTGTGCCTCCCTCTTAAAAGAACCCTTGTGACTACACTGTGCTCACTGCATAATCCAGGATAATCTTATTTTAAGGTCAGCTGATTAGCAATCTTAACTTCACCTGCAGCCTTAATTCCCCTTGCCGTGTGATAGACTATAGTCACAGTTTCCAGGGGTAAGGATGTGGACATCTTTTGGCAGCCATTATTCTGCCTATCGCATTGCCATCTTTCTGAGTTTTTAAAGTTTTAACCAATAATTGCAGAGCTAGTAATTTATTTTCCTCTGTTCCCTTTTCGCACTCTGAATTAGTTAATGGATGGCAGGAATCAACTGAAAAAATTAGGGCTAAGTAATGTCCTGGATTAACTGAAGAGATTCTCTTCAGGGAAAGCTGTCACAATCTCCAGCTATTTCTTAAAGCTGGTTATGTGTAGAAGGTTCTTTTACCTAAGATCATGTTCCTATCCACAAAAAGACAGAAACTATGTCCTTTTAAAAGAAATAAAATGCATTATCTAAGCTTAATTTTTTTTATTTCTAATCAAAAATATCATAAATGTTTGCCAAAGTTCATTGTGCAATTTTTTCTCCCTGCTGAGCAGGTGGCTGAAAGTCGTGGAATGTTGTTTTTCTGAATACAGATTCATAATGCCCATAGTGAACATGCTCATTAAAATAGAAAAATTAGACTGTATTAATTTGCATTTCAGTCCACTCTTGGGTAGATTTGTTATGTGTAGTTCTCACTATAATTATCTGCGTCTTTGGAAATGCCACATCTATTTGCAGATTAATTATGCCATTATCAAAGGCTTAGAAGGAAATCTTCAAAATTCATTGTTAACATTTAAAGAAAATGCACAGGAAGCTGATATAGAAGAGATAAACCAGAGATTTTTCTGAGTGTACTTATAGTGGGCAACAGAACTAACACTTATCTTTAGGTTAATGGTATTATTTAGACTTGCACTTATGAAGTGTTGATTTAGAGGATAATACATTGGTTAAGAGGGCTCAGTGGTTAAGTTCCATTTCACATTTATTGTGATCTCTGTTTCAGCCACTTAGTCACTTAGAAACGTTTATGAGTGTATGGGATGTGCCACTTCCTTTAGAAGACAATGGGGATACTATCCTTAGAGCTCCCATACTGTACAACTCCACGTGTTAACATTTTCCTCACTCTGTAGTCTATATGAGTGGTACCCTCTGGAGTAGCGCAGTTATCGAATATGAGGCTTAATGCAAGGATCCTGGCATTCTCTATGACAGAGGCTGTGCACAGTGGGGAACAGATTCACAAACAGACTCATGTTATGTGTGAATGGGTACATACGGTAATAAGAGCACAGAAGAAGGGAGCATCTGACTTTTCTTAGGATGGACCGGGATATCTGGGTTTTTCAGAGGAAGCTTTGCTCAAACAGAGTCTTGAAGGATCAATAGGAAATGGTGAGACAAGAAAAAGTTGGATGATTTTCTGGGCCAAGCCAGCAGCCTGTGCAGAGGAAAAGAGGTATGCAAAAGCATGCTACATTTACAAGACTTGCAGATATTTGAGTATGACTTAAGTGTGAGATTCATGTGGGCATGTGAATGAGGCAAAGCGTTTAACCTTCCTGTGCTTTACTTCCCCATTTAGTAAAACCAATAAAACAACACTACCTACCTTGTGGGGTTTTGTGAGTTTTAAATGAGATATCATCAGTAAAATGCTTAGGTTAGGCTTGATATATAAAAAAGCACTCAACGAATGTCAGCTGCCTTTGAGACGATGATGATGATCACAATGATATTACATGAGGTTGAAAAATTAGGCAAAAGCTACAGATTCTGTGCTAAGGAGTTTTGACATAATACTGTTGGCTGGGGAAATTGTGAAGGATGTTAAAAAAAAATACAATTCACAGCTCTATAGATTTATAAACTCCGTGTCATCATTTAGCAAGGCTGATTAGACCCCATGAATTGATGCATACTACTTGAAATCATTTAGAGAGACTGATGAAGAAAAATGCCATTTTATCAATTTACACTCAAAATAGAAACCACTCAGCATGCTGTGATAATTATGGCAATGAGGTGGTGTATTTCCTTCCTATGAATTGGTAAATCTCCTTGAGCTCCTATGTGAACATCACATGGTTTCTTAAGTGAGGATGAGGAGAGTCAGAGTAAATGTAGATGAGTGCTTTGAAAGGCTGGTGGATTAGCCTTGCTCACTTACTACATGTCTGGCAGGGAGATGAGAAACAGGACCTGGTTGGTACCTTCTCTGGAAATGCTGGTTACACTCTGATCTTCTCCTCCCTCTCCTTTTACAGATATCCCTTTTTTGGACACCCCTCTACTATAACTTCTTTTTTTTTTTTTTTTTTTTTTTTTTGGAATCATCACCTTTGTTTCAGCATGCTTTCAGGAGATGTCAATGGTTTTCCAGTTCATCTTGATTTTTTTAAAGGTGGCTGCTCTTTGGTGATATTTTGGGGTTTACTTTTATCTCAACAATAAGTGGTCTCCATAGTGTTCATCTATTCATTGCATTCAGCACCTAAACAGTGCGTTATTTTTGGGAATAGTCAGTTCAACCCATCCACTGTGGGAGAATTCACAGTACTATTGATTACATAGGATGGCATTTTCACTTCTAAATGTCATCTTATTTTCCTAACTTGTTGTTTTAATCATCTCTAACATTAGATTTTGAGATCCATTCTGTTTGAGGACCTGTAGTTCAATGAATGAGTTGGGAGTATAAAATTTGTCTCATGAAGTTGCTATATTTGTATAATAATAAGCTTAACTCATCAAGTTACTACTGTAGGCCTTTAGAATTTGGGTATCTTTCTAGTGAATGCTTTAGGGATATAAACATTTATTTTACTGGATTTTCATACTACTGTTTAATGCTATAATGTTACCTTATACATTCTACCAAGCATTGTAAGCTCAGACAAATTAGGCAATAATTTGTCAAAACAAAAAGTAATAATGCTAGCAAAGACAAAGAATTTATGCTAGTTACAGGTGATAAACTAAAGCTTTCCTCGTCCTCACCTTCATTCTGTGGTCTCTTAACCATAAACATCAATGTAGCAAAGAAAAATTGATTTTGTAATTGATTTTGAAATTGTAATTACCTTGATTTCCTTAGTGATGGTTATTTAAAATACTGAAGCATTTTAAGCTAAATAAAACTAATTTTAAAATAAAACTAATTTTTATTTTAAAAAAAAGTGGAGAAGGCCCATGTAAATTCCCTGCCTTTTAGAACATGCATTCTGAATATTGTTTTAAAGCATTTCAACAAAAATGCTTTGATGGAATGCTACAGTCACTGCTCATTATCTTGAATTCACTTGCAGGTCATTTGTTCTTAACTGTTTTTTTAAAAAAGTGAGTGTTTACATGTTTTTACTCCAAAGGAAATCAGTTACAATTGTTCATAATGGGTGCTTATTTAAAAACGAAAGCTCTGAGAAAAACTGTGCTTCTAATTTTTAATATTTCAAACATTATAGATGTTGGCATTGTGATGAAACAAAACTTGCCACTAGTAACATTTTAATGGTCTTTTCCATGGAGCAGTTGGAGATGAAACTGTGTCATAAAATATTTATTAAAATGCTTATACTTTACTGAAAATTTGAGGGTGTACCTGTGCTGTACTGAATTCTGTGTTCTAGCAAATATTTCATAATGATGCCTAGTACAAATTTTTATTAATGCAACATGGAGAAAATGGTCGTTCTCTTGTCTGAGTTGGATTAAAGCAAAGTTCCAAGCAGAAGTGCCAGAGCTATTTTTAAATGTACAAGGCATGCATTTTTTTCTTTTAACATAAATTCTCCATCAAAATAGGACCTAAGATTTTAAGAAACAAATATAATTTATTATGGCTATTTTGTGTTTAGAGAGATACTAATAGATTAGAGAAAGTGATTTGCCATTTATTGAGAAGGGCCAAAAAGCACATTAAAATATCCAATTTGTTAGTAACTTTTGAAAATGCAAACTTAAAAAAGTGCCACTTTTTGTTATCTAAGTCTAAGGCTAAGAAGAATGATCATACCAAGGTTGAAGTAGAGGTGGAGAACAAGCACTGTCAGATCTGTTGGGAATGACAATTGATGTAGACTTTCTCAAGGGTGATGTGTTTACAAGAAGCCTTGCTATACATATCCTCTGATCTAGCAGTTCCACTGCTGGAAATTTAACCTTAGGAAGTAATTGGACAAGGGGCCAAAAAATAAGACAATGATATTCATGATAGCATTGTTTCTAATCTCAAATATTGGAAACACCTTAAATTTCCATTAGTAGATAATCAAATTATGGCTCTTTTATCCACTGAGTACCTTGTAGCTATATAGAATGATATTGTGTAGGAAAAGATGGCATAATATGGTAAGGAGGTGACAACTTGGTATGTATAATATGGTTAAAAAAGAATGTGCACTAAGACTTGGTGGATATCTATAACAAAATGTTAACAGAGGCTACCACTGGATAATGGATTGCAGGAAACTTTTACTTTGTTTTTTGCTGCTTTTTTTATATATGAAATAAATACATCTCTTATAAGCAAAAACTATTGTTATAAATGTATCTATCTTTGATTTAGCACTTCTACTTTGAATAATCTGTCCAACAAAATGAACGTACAAAGATCTTATATAATGTTCAATGCAGCACTGTTAAAAATAGTTGAAAAAAATTAACCTACCTGCTTATCCCCTATTAGAAATATGTATAAGAAGGTCATGGAATAGCCATACTTCACAGCCATTGAAATTGAAGATGTAAGTCTATATTTACTGATATGGAAAAAGTGTTCACAACAAATATGGAAAGGGCAAGTTAATAAACATTGCATTATGTAGATAGGTAGGTATGTACACAGATAAAAATCTGGAATGCTTTTTATTACAGTGTCAAAAGTAATTGTTTCTGGGTGATGGGATTGTGGGTAATTTTCAACTATTTTTTTCTATGTGTCTGTATTTTAAATTTTTTTACAATAAATAAATATCTCTTTATTACCAAAACAAAGGTAAAAAATCAACAATATCAGATATCAAAAAGGAGAAGTAACCAAAAAATATTGTTAGGTACTACATGAAACACTATGGAGATAGGTGAAGTAAGTGGTATTTCTAGGAAAATTT
Source organism: Homo sapiens (assembly GCF_000001405.40). Classification (NCBI taxonomy): domain Eukaryota; kingdom Metazoa; phylum Chordata; class Mammalia; order Primates; family Hominidae; genus Homo; species Homo sapiens. Next base: position 68,766,883 of record NC_000009.12, read on the forward strand.
ACTTTATTAAAGTGGTCCCAGGAGAGAGTCAGTAACCATGAAAGAAATAAAAATGTTATCAAAAGATGCTTTCTAAATTCAAAGTGCAGGCCCCCAGATAGCCCAAGTAAATTCTTCAAATAGTCAGGGATATTGATATTAAGTAGGGTAACTATATAGTTTATTGAAGGGAGCTTTAATTGAGAGAACCAGTATAAACTAGAATGCCCCATGTAAACCTGACAGATGGTCACATTACTATTTCAACTTTTTCTAAGTATAGAGCAAAAGACAGACTTTCAAGATTTTTTAAGATACCAAAATGATCTTAGTACCAAAACTTCACAAAGATAGCTGGCATGGGCATGTGCCTGTATGTGCACACACTGCAGATCAATCTTGATGCAAAACCCTTTCATAAAATACCATCAGATAGAATTTAGCAATGCAGTCCGGGCGCTGTGGCTCACGCCTGTAATCCCAGCACTTTGGGAGGCCGAGGCGGGTGGATCACTTAAGGTCAGGAGTTCGAGACCAGCCTGACCAACATGGTGAAACCGCGTCTCTACTAAAAATACAAAAATTAGCCAGGTGTGGTGGTGCACACCTGTAATCCCATCTATTCGGGAGGCTGAGGCAGGGGAATCGCTTGAACCTGGGAGGTGGAAGCTGCAGTGAGCCGAGACTGCGCCACTGCACTCCAGCCTGGGTGACAGAGCAAGACTCTGTCTTAAAAAAAAAAAAAAAAAAAAGAAAAAGAAATAATTTAGCAATGCATTAAATAAATACCATGATCAAGTAGGTACATCACAAGAATTTAAGCTTGGCTCAATAATGGAGAAGCTAGTCCACATATTAGATGAAAAAAGAAAAACCTGTATGGTCATCTTAATAGGTGCCAAAAATACTAAAATTCAACATCCACTAGTAGATTAATTTGGGCAGTGGTTACATGACTGTTTAAGTTTGTCAAAACTAACTGAACTATATTCTTTAAAAGGGTGAATTTTATTGCACTAAATTATATGCCACTAAAATGAACTTTTAAAGGAATAAATAAAATTATAAGTTTATAGTAACAAAAAAAACTGACACACATTCCCAAATAAAAAGAAAAAAATTAAAACTTAGTAAAATAAGTAGAATGCATTCCCATTTAAATCAAATATATAAGAATGCTGACTTTCACTGAAATTATAAACTGTACACGGAAAGTACCAGTCAGGAGATAAGGAAATAATAGACATAAATATTGGGGAGGAAGTTGCAAAGTTAACATTATTTGCAGATATTTCAATTGCACAGCTAGAAAGAATCAACTGAAAAATTATTGGAAACAACAAGAGAAATCAGTAAGATGGATGGCTAGTTATAACTATGCCGGTGGGAAGAGAAGTGGGAAGAAAAGGAAAAAGTGGATGTATACATGATTTGAAGTTTCCACCATCATTCATATGTATGTGACACACCCCAGGCCCTACACTAAGTGCTGCAGGACACTTTACCTACAAGACACAGTGGCTGCCCTTTTTCAGAGACCATGTAGCCAGAGACAGAAGTTGGGTATACATAAAAATGACAAAGGACTTTATGGAGCAGTGATCATCAAGGGGCAGAAGAGGAATTCACAGTCCTGGGGAAGGAAGGCATAGACTGTAAAGTAAGGAGAGAGAAGAATGGGTTGTCAGAGGTCACAGCTTGTCCTCAGAGCCTAAGACAGCCTTTAGAACCTTTTGATTAGGTCTACCCTATGTTTAACTTTTAAATTTGTTTTTTAGTTCAACATCTACAAATTGTAAGCATCCACATTTTTAAAAATCTAGATTTTTAACCTCTATTAAAAAATTAGAAGCTTGGGCAATGTATGGCATCCTTTTCTGCAAGGGCAGCTGTTGGGTGGAATTGAGCAGTAGCTGTCAGCCACCTTTAGGTGCCTGGGTCTCTCCAGTCTGTTAAGTGCAAATGCTCTATTCTCTCAGTACTGTCACCCATTAGTTATCTATCTGTTGTTGGCCCTTGGAGGCATTTCAATAGAAACCCCTGGTGCTAATAATAAAGTAAAGATACTGGGCAAACCTTCTCCACTCTTGGTCATACAACAGTACTTTTAAAAATTAGCTAGTCGTAGTCGCCCTGTTGGGAAAAGCCACGGAAGCATTTGAACAAATGATGAAGTGTTTGCCTCAGTAAATGTACAACTTGTTTATTCCCAGTAATGCATCCCTATTTCCCCGTATTATTTTTTAAATTGAAAAATTATTTTAAAAATTGAAAAAGAAGATTGAGAGGCTATCTTTGTGGGGAACTGGCCATTGTCTACATCTTCCTCAATGCATTCTTTCTTTTGAATTCTGAGGCATGTGCAGAATGCTTTTTAGCCCAGGGAAATCTTTCTGTTCTGTGACACATCATTAAGATTAATTGAGCCTTTCAATTTTACATTTTCCAAGAGCAAATTAAGTAGGAAAAATGGGACAGGTTTTCACTGTCACTTATACTGTGTTTTTTTTTCTAGCTTATATTCTACATCTGATGGTCAGATCTGTTAGGTATTCGAAAAGCAGTAGCATTAATTGCATTTTCCCTTCCTTTTTGCTGAAGGGCAGATGTTTTTATGTTGTTAATGGTGGGTTGGGTTAAACATAAGCAGCACACTGAAAGTATAACTAGCTATTATTTATGAGAAAAGAACAATGTAATTCCCCAGATTTGGCTAATCTAAAACTAAGGTTTATTTTATAGACTTTAAATAAATAAATATTTATAACCTATAATTTTGCCCTTAGTTCTATGCCCTCAATACACTCTAGGCTTTTGGTCCCATTTGTCTTTCCTTTTTTGTATCATCGGTATTTTTCTTACCTCTAGTTATTTCTGGGGAAAGAATGAATGTTTAAGGAAATTCTGTCCTCAAGAACACTTCCGTGGCCTGTCAAGGTGGCATGACATTGCTTGCTTTCCTCTCGTTCTTCATGAAAATGCCTAGCAGGGTACCTGGCACCCAGTTGGAACTTGAAAAATACTTTTTCAATTTGAATTAGCCAAATTCTGGAAAACGTAGCCTATCTCACTGCCTCCAGTTTCTTACCACCTGCCTACGGTGTGGCTCCTCTCATCTGGGTTTTCCACGCCTTCTCTCCTAGGCCTCTACTAGAGCTCTCTCCAGATCACCAGTTCCTGCCCTGAAAAATCAACAGTCCTTATTTCTTCAGCATTTCTCACAAGTGACCTCTGTCCTTCTTTATGCAACAAGCAGCACTCATGGAATAGAAAGGTCTTCGCTGGCTTCTGAATGAAAATTCAAGAACCTTTCTTTCTGCTCACTCTTAGGCAATAAAATGTCCCGCTACCATGTCAAATCACTGTTTCAAGCTGGTATCCCAAGTGTCCAGTGCTATGTAATTAGCTAAGCCTCCGACTTCATTATACCTACTCCTCTCCCTCAGGAAGGGGAGTGGCAAGTTTAAAATCTCAGCTCCTAAGGAGGGGCATGATTCTCTTCCTCTCTTTTCCTGCCTTTTGCCACCAGTCCTCCTGCACCTTGCTGGGGGTCTGACTTCTCAGGGTAAAAATAAGGATGAAGGAGAGAAGGATCTAGAATAATTTGAGTATTGACTTGGTTGTCTGGAGAGATTGTTGTGCAGTTCATGCTCAAAAGAAGTGGACTGGTACCAGTCTGCGGCCTGTAAGGAACCAGGCCACACAGCACGAGGTGAGCAGCAGGCCAGTGAGTCTTACTGCCTGAGCCCCGCCTCCTGTTGGATCAGTGGCAGCATTAGATTCTCATAGAAGCGCAAACCCTACTGTGAACTGTGCATGTGAGGGATCTAGGTTGCTCACTCCACATGAGAAGCTAATGCCTAATGATCTGAAGTAGAAGATCCCCCTTCCACTGCCCACCCCATCCCATGGGAAAATGGTCTTCCATGCAACTGGTCTGGTGCCAAAAATGTTGGGGACCGCTGCTGTAGTGGGTTTGGGGTAGAACTGAGCTCATGTGTAGATGCATTTGAAGAATCTGTGGAACATATAGCGGAAATGTATGTAAGTAACTATATATGACAGTCTGGAAATGTCAGCCCTATCTAGAGATAGAAATTTGAGAGATATCAGCATATCGATCATAGTTAAAACCATGGGAGTGGTTACTCTTTCATAGAGAAAGAGTTTAAAGTTAAAGAGGAATCTAGAGACCAAACATTAGGGAGCAATCCTTACAGACTTCATCAAGCATCCTAGCTCTCTCGGATGCCTTTTTCACCCTGAAGAAATCATTGGCTCCTTCTGAACCTCAGACTCCCTGCTGATGAAAGTTAGTGAAGGTGATTTCTAAAGTCCCTTTCAGATCTGACATGCTGTGGTTCTATCCCTTTGCATTAGTTTTCACAACTGCTTTGGGACAAATAGGGCATTTACTAATTGCTTAATTTTATAAACTCGCTAGTATCTGTAAGCCTACACAATTATATGGACCCCTCATCTATCTTTCTGATAAGCAGAATGGCTGTGCTGTACACCTCAACTCTACCAACAGTCTTGAAAGTAAACCTGGAACACCATGAAAATGACAGGTTTGAGGAACCCAAGTGTATTTCATGTGTGTCAATAGGGAGTGATGAATAAGAGCTCAGCTTCTGAAGCCAGACCCCTGGGCTCAAATTCCTCTACTGTCACCTCAGGCAACTTAGTTAACCTCTCCTCTCTTTGTCTCATTTCCCTTATCTATAAAATAAGGGTAAGAATCCTAGAAATCGAATGAGTTAATATACACAAAATACTTAGAAGGCTCTGGCTGGGTGTGAACTACCATCATGTGATAATGATAATGATAAGACAGCCTTGTCTGATGAAAAGGGTCTTAACTGTAAGGGCTGAAGGTTACTATCTTAGACTTATAGTTTTCAAAAGGAGAGTGAAGAAAAAAAATCTGTACCATTTCCTAATAAGTGGGAACTTTCAGATGGCTGAGCTCTGTGGATGATAAAAATTCATTTCCTACTATCAAATTGAGCTACAGGTGAAAAAGTTGTGGATACTGAAATACAGTTGTATTTAGTTTATAAATTTGTATGAGGTAGGAGGAATTAGAACACACCCACCCTTCTTTTTGTTGCACTTACTGGTCATATTTAGCTCAAAGGAAAGGTGCATGAAAAGGGAAGAAACTGCCCGCTTTCTCCATAATACTCCTTTTTATCTTAAAGTGTCTTAGAGGCTAAGGAATTCTTGGCTGTGAAGTTGTCACCTTCTAAAACCAAAAAATTTCCCTAAGGCATGTTGCTTATGAATCTCTAGGTTTGCAGCAGCAGCTTCAAACTTCTTTTGAACATTTGACCTACTCCTCCAAACATCCCTCTGGATGTCAGCTACGTAGAGGGAAAGACACACCTTAAGGAGCAGTAACTACTGAGACTTCTTGAATCTTCTCTCAGTTGCTCTTCTTATTTTGTCTGAGAGAGGCTGGGTTCAACCTGTTTGTCAGGCACAGCCAAACATGTGTCCTCCTGCAGTTTATTGTATGCCAAGAAGGATGGTGACATGACAGCAGTAATTCAAAATGGGGTTTTAAGTGAATAAATAAGAATAAGCCTCTGGGATTAGTCCCAATTGAAAAGTTCAGCGCTACCGGGGAGGGTAGCTGCTACTGTTGGGGATTAACAAATGGCTTGCTGCAGGGAATAGTATTCACTGATCCAGCTGCATTTTAGTTATTGATGGCCTCTCTGCCCCAGTGCCCATCTCTCTTCCCAGACACACAGATTCTGCTGGCAAAGATCTTAGAAATGTGGTTTTGCCCAATTATTCTACTCAGAAACTACCTGCTTGTATATGAACCTTCCAATTCATAGTTTTTAGACCACAGAAAATGTATAGCTCTATAATACTATTTAGCCTTAGGGAAGAAGATGAAGAAAGAATTTCCCTCCACAGAATCAAACTGAAAGTAAGAGAACAGAGAAAGCCTTCTGGTAAGAGTAGTGGAAAACGGGTAGGATCATTTTGCGATCACAGCACTGAATATGTGAAAAAAGAACTCTGTTATAGGCCCTTTACTGTTTGCAAGGCCTTTTATGGACACCATATTATTTTATCTTTACAACAAAAAGGCTGCATCCCCACTTCATAAGTGACAAAAGTGAAGTCTAGAGAGGTTGACAGACTTGCCCAAAGTCCCACTGCTGGAAGTATGATAATCTGACTCCAAGTTTGGTTCTTTCTTTGCTATGTCTTGCTGTGCACTAATACACTGAGCTCTTAAGATTCCCAAACACCCACCCAGCTGAAAGATCCAAGTATATAAATCCAACTAGATTTGCAGCCTTTGCATGTTTTAAAGTTAACTTTATACATTATCCATAAAGCCATCAGTTCCTCCACCCCCTTGGCAAATGGATTAATCCTTCAAGGGAAGGATAGTAGACAGACAGACAGAAGCATTTCACCAAAGAAAGGGCTATCGATTGTATTCTTCGATTATGGCCTAGGAGGGTTTTAATGTCAAAGAGAAGGCACCAAGGAGGTTCCTCTGAGGTTCCACTGAGGAACAAGGAGAGATATCACTCCTGTTTTCTATTCTATTCAAAAGACTTAAGGGATTAGAGACTGGGGGTTAGATGGCTATTTTAATTTAATATCTTCCTTTATAGTCCCCCATGGAAAAAACTAAACAAAGTAACTACAATCCACAATTACTTGTTTACTTGAATTGTGCTGAGGGCCTAGCCTGTAAGATTCTTCCATCAAGTCTTTGAGGCCCCTTTCTATCTGTTCACTGTCTCCATAAGAAGGATATGTCTCCGTGCAATGGTGTGATGCCTTTTCACTTTATCAAAGTTGAGAGGGCTCAGTAGCCGCTTTGTACACTTCTACCTTGATTTTCTAATCTTTGCTGTTGCTCTGAAGTTTTAAGGATTAGATTAAGCAATTTTAAGGTAGATAACATAGAGGGTGTCTGTACTTAACGGGCCCTCAATGATTATTTGCAAATTGAATGGTTGGTAAGTTTCTGAGATAATCTATTATTTTCTTTCATCAGAATAACCAAGTAAGTTCTTGGTGGCCAGAATTGTGTCCTTAAATGCAATTCTTATTCTTCACATATGTTCTAACAGCCCACGCTGAGTTCCTATGATGCTACTTTAATTCTGTTCCATTTCATGAATTATTCTAGGAGGATACCACTGAGAAGGCAACAGAGCCGACTTTGCTTGAACAAAATACACAAAGCTTGCAGTTGAGAAAATAAAAGGCAATAAAATGGGCTTCATTTCCTCCTATTGCTTTCTTAGAAGTAACTAACTTTAAGGGTACTGTGGGAACAGGGTCAAGAAAAGCTGATGGTTCTATTCTTGGTGATCTGTAACTGGCTTCGGACAAGTCTTCAGAGTTTATGTGAGGTTGCTGGAGTCTACTGGTGTTTAGGGCCCCAATGAAATGCAACTTTAGGGGTGTGTGTGTTTCTCTTTTCTCTCTACTGTCAAGCTAGTTCTCTTCCACTGATACTGTTGTGTGTCAGAGAGATTTGGAAGCTCAGCATTCCAGTTTAGATTTCTGGTTAGTGTTTGAATAAGATATCTTCCTTCCAATTGAAGTACATACATTCTTATCCTATTCTGTCCTTCTCCATTTACATTCCATGCTGTTTTTGTCCATATCAACAACATTTTAAGATCTAACTTTATATAGAAACGTGTATACATTTCAAATAGTTTGATAATGTTTTCCATATGTGTACACCCATGTAAACTAGCACACATATCAGGATATAGAACATTTTCTTGTAGCCCCTCTCAGTCAGTCCTAAGGGTAACCACTATAATAGTCCCCCTCATCCAAGGGGAAACATTCCAAGACCCCCAGTGGATGCCTGAAACTGCAGAAACCAAATCCTGTATGTGTACTGCTACATAGTACTACAGCTAATTCATCCTTCCATGTTTTATGTCTGGTGCCTCTTTTGTACTTTCATCAATGTAGATTCTACTGGACATCTTCCAGAAGAGGCCAGTTTCATTGCAACTGAAGTCTCACTCAGATAGTATCTTTTTTCCTTGATCAACTTCTTCAACTCTGCTAGAAATGTGGCAGCAGCTTCTTCATTGGCAGACAAAACCTCTCTAGTAAATTTTATATTTGTGAATCCAAACCTATTACCAAGTCGGTGTAACCATCACTTATTTGCAGTAAGTGGCTTGGTGTCACTCATTTCAGGGGATCCCTTGCTGAAATCTTCATATAGGCTTACTGCTTTCTGATGCAACACATTGCCATCAATTGGAATGCTTTCTGTTCATGTCTTCCACCCACAAATTTAATGCCCTTTCCATCTTCACTAAGCACTTATCACACACTGTCACCGTAACTTCTGCAATTTGAGGTGCAACAGCAAAACTAGCACATATTTCTTTTTCCTTCTTCACAACTTCATGGATAGAGGATTTGTTCTTACCACAGATCTTAGCAATCTCAGCATATTTTTTTTCACCTTTTCACTTAGAGGAAGCACTTTACAGCTTCTATTTGGCATATTACAATTGTCAGCATCACTACTGTTGTGTTTGGGGCCATTATTAAGTAAAATAAGAGTTACTCAAACATAAGCACTGCTACAGCAGTCAATCTGGTAACTGAGATGGCTACTAAGTGACTAATGGGCAGGGAGCATAGACAGCATGGATGCACTGGTTGTAGGGATGATTCATGTCCCAGGTCAGATGGAGTGCGACGGCACCAGATTTCATCATGGCACTCACTCACAGCAGCATGTAATTTAAAACTCATGAATTGTTTATTTCTGGAATTTTCCATTTAATATTTTTGGACCAACGTTGGCCACAGGTTAACCAAAACTGTGGGTAGGAGGGGACTACTTATTTTGACTTCTAAGTTGGTTTTGGCTGTTTGGGGACTTCATAACACTGAAGTCATAGTGTATGTATTCTTTTGTACTTAATTTCTTTCATTCAACATTATATTGTAACTCATCCATGTTGTTGGGTAAAGAGTTCCATTGTATAATTAAACTGTTTATGGTTGTTTGAGTCTGGAGCTATTACACATAATAATAATAATGCAAGAAACATTCTTGTGCATGTCTTTTAGTAGACAGATGCCCTCATTTCTCTTGGTTATATTGTCAGGAGCAGGATTCCTTAGTCGTGGGCTATAAATATATTTTCTTTTAATAGGTACAGCAAAATATTTTTCCTAAGTGGTTGTAACAGTTAACCCTAAGTTCCTATGGTTTTAAAGCACAGTTTTTTCTGCAGTATTTTTACTGTAGGTTGTTGATGCTAATTAACGTGGAACATTGAGGTATTTGCCAGCCCATCTTAGATTATATACATACACACATTTTTGTATTTTACATTCATTCAATTTGGATTCAGAGGTAGAAATTTGCCTTGTCATATATTTGGAAATTTAATAGTGAAAAATTGCCCTCAGAAATTAAAAGAAAACTATCTAATAATAATATTGTTCTAAGTGCCTACTCCCTGCTAGTCACTTTAAACATTCTAGTTCCACTTATTCCTCATTGAGATCTTATAAATTAGATATCAGATTGGGACTCTGTCCCAATTCTAGATATTGTTATGGTCATTTTTAAGCTATTTATTTATTTTAATTTTATAAGATGAGGTCTCTCTCTTGCCCAGGCTGGTCATGAACTCCTGGACTCAACAATGCTTCCACCTCAGCCTCCCAAAGTGCTGGGATTACAGGCGTGAGCCACCACGCCTGGCCCTAAACTATTTATTTTTAACCTAAAAATAAGTAATATTTTTTAAAATATAAGTAATATTTTAAAAATCTAATATTAATCACAATAAAGTTTAACTGTGGAATAGATGTCTGGTTTTGTGGCTTCACAGTGAGAATGAATCTTGACTAAGTGTGGTATTTAATTCATGGGAGTGAAACCGGAAGGGGGAAATGAGCCAGGGAGGTTCCTTGGATCCTGCCTCTGGCATTATTCATTTGCAGCTGGCTACATTGCATTTTATGGCTGCTATTTTCTCTCATTTGTCCTTGATTCCTTCGAAAGGAAGTAGTAACTCAATATATTAAACACTGCCTAGAATCCTCAGTGCTGAACATTTTAATTCTATCAAATTTTTATTAGCATATCGTTGAAAAAGAAAGAAAACCTAGGGCTTCAGTTTCTTAGGTCACATAATGGGTAGTTCCAGTAACACACCTGCATGGGCTGGAGGGCACTCTAAATAATAATAATATTCCTGATCTTTAAAAAATATATCAAGGTATAGAGCTCTTAGAATCAGTGTAGAAAAGCCTGTTAGACTGGATTTTCAAATAATAGAGTTCTCTTCCCTTTTAGACAAAGCTATATTAATCCATCCTTTCATTCATTATCATGCATTCACACAATGATTCAACAAGTACTTACTCAGTACAATGTGCCAGGCCCTGTTCTAGATATTAAGCATATAACAGAGAACAAAACAAAGGTCTTTCCCTTGTAGAGCTTACTTTCTCAGCAAAGAAACAGGCAAGAAAATGTATACATATATGTCATGTGGTACTCCGGAGGACAATAAAAACAGAGTAAGGGGCATGCAAATGTAGACTTGGTGTTGAGAACTGCAATTGCTTTTTATAAGGAACAGTTATGAAAGCCTCTCCATCAGTATTAATATTTGTGCCAGGACCTGAAAGCACTGAATCATACATGACTCAGTCAATTCTCTGTCCCCAGCTCTACAAGGACAAGGGTAGAAACTGGGAAACCAGCTAAGATCTCTAATAGGTGTGTTCAGGCAAGAACCAAATAGCATATATGTTTTATTTTGTGGGCTCATCACCATCCTTGTGTTTTATTAGTAAAGGTAATTATTATGTTTATCCAGACATGGACGAACAATATCTGGTACATTTGAGCCACATTGATAATAATGTAGTAATATGAAGTTAACAGTAATATGCTGTGGGTATTATAAATTGAGTTCTATATTTAATGTTCTTTTCTACTTACCTAATATTAATTTTTTTGTAGACATTTCCTCCTCTCTCCTGTTTTTATTGAATAATTTGTAGCATTCTTTCAGCCACTTACAGTTGAACTTCAGTCATTTGTGTCTCCTGTTCATCCTCTGCACAGCATGCTATTAGGTTCTGTTGTTGCCTTGTCTCCCAAATCCATCTCCTTCTGCCTTTCCCAACTTTGGTTTTAGACCTTTGTTTCGTCTCAGAATTAGCCATCCTTCTCTAATTCATGCGAAATTCTCTCTTTAATCCATGTGAAATTCAGAAAAAACAATACAGGTTTTTGAAATGAGTCCTTGATTCAAATTGGTTCAGATCTTTGTTCTTCCGTGTACTGGCTGTAGTGCCTTTTGCAATTTTTGAACCTCAATCGTTCCTTCGTAAAATGAGTATAACAATATCTATGCAGTGAGGATTAAGTGGGATTATGGAGTGTTTAAAGTGCCTAGCAGGGAGTAGGCACTTAGAAAATGTTGGTTCTTTCCACCTTGTGTTCTTCTGCTTCAGATCTCTTAATTTCTACAACTCTAAATGTGCTATTTTCCTCTCTCAGTAAATAATACTACCATCTCACCAGTTTAAATAAAAAAAGCTATGAGTCCCCTTCGAATAATCTATTTCTTTCACAATCTAAATTTAATCCATCTGCAAATCCTATTTGTTCTAACTCAACACATATCCTCAGTCTCTCTGCTTCTCCCCATTGACACTGCTACAACCCTAGTCCAAGAATCTTATCTGTACTGTTGCCATAGGTCCTGAATTCATCCTTCTGCCTCCACTCTGGTCTTCTTTCAGCCTGTTTTCCACAGAGCCTAAGTGATATTTAAAACATAAACCAGATAATATCAGTCCCCTGCTTAAAACCCTCCAGTGGCGTTTCATCATATTCAGAATGAGATCCAACTCTTACCCTCTCCTAACACTCCCGCTCTTATGCTTCAGCGGCACTGCCCTTTTTTCTTTTTCTGCTAACTCATCAAACTCATGGCTGCCTCCGGCCTTAGCACTTGCTATTCTCTCTGCTTGGAATACTCATTCCCCAGATGTCCACGTGACTTACTGCTTCTTGTCATTTAGATCTCAACTCTAATTGTCCCCTGACTTCTATCAGTAGTGCTCCATCACACCATCTTACTTTTCCTAAGGCTTACCACTATCTGAAAATAGCCTGCGTTTCTCTATTTTCCCCTCAGTAAGAATTAAAAGTTCATACTAGGGCCCATTTCCTAGCAGTGTTTGGCACATAGTAAGTATGCTGAAAAAAAAAAACCTTGACTGACTGAATAAATGAACAAATAAACTCACTTTTAATGAGATATCAAGGTTTTATATTAATTACATGAGCCAAGAATTGTGGTTTCATTTTTAAAATGTGAGGACCTACTGGTTTAATCCTTCATACTTCACACATATGCTTGTGCTGGAACTATGACTGTAAATCAATAGCAATACCATCCTCTGTTTTGGCTTCTTCCCCTAACCTAAATAGTTCTCAGATTTACTTTTCTCTCCATCTCCACTGCCACACTGTCACCTTAGTGCAAATGACCATCCTCTCTGGCCTTTTTTCTGTAAGGTTTTAATCTCCCAATATGTATTCTCCAGACTGCAGGCCAGTGAGCTTTTCAGTTGCTGTTACACCCATGCTTGAAAACCCTTTAAGTTTTCATTGTTCTCAAGATAAAGACCAGAATGTGGTCTGGTCCACCACCTCACGTCAGGCCAGCCCTCACTCTCCACTCCAGGCCACACTTTCTCCTCCCCTCCTGGTTCCCGCCTGCCAACTGGCTGGGTAGCCGTTGCTTCCCGCTTCCTGCAAAGTTCTACATCGCACCCATTTCGCCCACTTCTTCAGATTTCAGGAGATTGTTCCTTCCTCGAGGAAGCCCTCCCTGATTAGGCCAAGCGCCACTCCACGTCATACAGCCCCACATCACCATGGGCCTCTCTTTCAGGGCTTTGTTTTATGAGTATGCAATCCAGAATATGACAATCTTATTGACATGCGTCAACGCGAGCTTGCGCTCAATAGCTATTTGCCGAAGGAATATACGGACTAGCGGCCCGACCACTCCTCGCCCCTCCCCTACCACTGCCGCGCACATATTACGCATTAAGCAGGCGCCGCGAGTACGGACATCGCGAGCGCCTGCGCGAAGGGCTACGCATGCGCAGAGGGGCCAGCCCGCTGACAGATTCTCGGTGGCGGCGGCAGCGGCGGCGGCCCTGGACTGCGGGGAATGGGAATCCTAGGTCCCTGACTGAGCACCTCCCCCGCCTCCCTGCCCCCGACATGGCTCAGGAGAAGATGGAGCTAGACCTGGAGCTGCCTCCGGGTACGGGCGGGAGCCCGGCGGAGGGCGGTGGCAGCGGCGGCGGCGGGGGCCTCAGGAGGTCTAACAGCGCCCCCCTGATCCACGGCCTCAGTGACACTTCGCCGGTGTTCCAGGCCGAGGCGCCGAGCGCCAGGCGGAACAGCACAACGTTCCCGAGCCGCCACGGCCTGCTGCTGCCGGCCTCCCCTGTCCGCATGCACAGCAGCCGCTTGCACCAGATCAAACAAGAAGAGGGCATGGACTTGATCAACCGAGAGACGGTCCACGAACGGGAGGTGCAGACCGCAATGCAGATAAGCCACTCCTGGGAGGAAAGTTTCAGCCTGAGTGACAACGACGTGGAGAAATCCGCCTCCCCCAAGCGCATCGATTTCATTCCTGTGTCACCAGCACCGTCACCCACTCGGGGAATTGGGAAGCAGTGTTTTTCGCCATCCTTGCAAAGTTTTGTAAGTAGCAACGGATTGCCTCCAAGCCCTATTCCCAGCCCAACGACCCGATTTACCACCCGGAGAAGCCAGAGCCCCATCAATTGCATTAGACCAAGTGTTCTTGGACCATTGAAAAGAAAATGTGAAATGGAAACTGAATATCAGCCAAAGAGATTTTTCCAGGGCATCACCAACATGCTTTCTTCTGACGTTGCACAGCTGTCAGATCCTGGTGTGTGTGTATCTTCGGATACCCTTGATGGAAACAGCAGCAGTGCCGGATCTTCTTGTAACTCACCAGCGAAAGTCAGCACTACCACCGACTCTCCTGTGTCACCTGCCCAAGCGGCTTCTCCATTTATTCCACTAGATGAACTTTCGTCTAAGTGATTCACTCATCCTGAGACTTTCTTTTTGCAGTGGAGAGAGAGAATAATCTAGTTGGGGCAAACACTGAACTTTGTCAATTAATTTGAGGCTATTTCCTATTTGACCCCTTTTCTTTTTTGAAATTCCCTGAAATGATGTTATTCTAGAGAACTTCTATGTCAGGTTCCTTTGGATACCCTTGAATTCAGTGTAGTAATATTTTCAGACGTTTCCCCAATAAGTGTGTTGAAGCATACATCTTTACGCTGCTAATATGTCTAAATACATATGTTATCCCTTGATTTTTTTAAATAACTGAGAGCTCTATTTATTTATGGGATTATTAAGTTCTGATGAAAATATAAATGTTGACTTAATCAGCATAGTAAACTGATGTTTAAAATTCCATACTTCATGCCCACACTAATTTTTAATGTTATTTTCAGTGGTTGCCGATTTCCATTTGATGAAGAACTATACAGCTTAAAAAAATACGTTAGTTATATCTATCTAGTGGTTGTCTGTTTTACCCAGGAATTCTTGGATATTTAGTTTTCTGGGTACTGAAGTGGATGGGAGGGGGAATGATTAAAGAACAAATTATAAAAGTTTGAACAAATCTTTTCAAATTAAGTATATAAAAGTAAACTTTTAAGAAAAACATTTTTAATGAGATTTTAATAGTAATTCTAGTCAGTCATACAACTATAACTACTATAGAGAAAATAAAATTTTTTCCTTTTTTTTTTTAACCGGAAAGTGCATTTGCTTGGGTGTAATCCTAAAGTGAAATGGGACAGTGCCTTGCAGTCTTTGCCCACTATACATAGGCTAAGGCTAAGCTCTTTGTACTACTGCAAACTTAAAAGTTTTTCAAATGTGGGAAACGTGTGGGAAGGCTTGTTGAACTTTGGCGCACTCAGGTAAACAATACTCTCTCAATTGTTGATATACTTTAAAATATTCAGTTGTGCCTCAGTTCCAGAAATTATTGCCAAACAGGAGCCACAGCAATTTTTGGCTACTTTTCTGCTCTGCCCATCTGTCACCTTACTGGTTTTCCCTTGTTCAGGAAGGAAGCAGCTGTTTCCTTGCCAACAGGTCCCTTCCTCTCCATCTCCCACCAAACTAGGGCACCATTGATTAGACAAAGGTACAGTGTAACTTGGGTTTCTGACAGCAACAACAGGACTGTGAATTGTTTAACCTCTGTGGTTAAAGCTACAGCTTGAGTTGACTGCCTTGGGGATGTCAGTTAATTAAGGGGTGATGATTTGCAAGAGAAAATTAGTGGAGAGTCACATAGGTAAATCATTATTTAACTTAGGTTTTCCTAAAGTTAGAATAGTCGAATGTTCTTTTCTTTACCTTTACAATTAAGACAAAATGTTTAATAAGAATAGCAAAAATTTTTTTATATTATGCATCCTTATACCTCACATATCTTCCTTAACTAGATAGTTTGACAGAAAGAATGGCATACAAAGAGGAAAGGGGAAAAATGACTCAGAACAAGACAAAAGCTCTGACTGTTTAAAGTTATCGCTTACAGAGACTTTAACAATTTTGTGGAATTTTTACAACTATGAGAGTAAATGGAACTGGTCAACTCTTGACAGTTGCCTCAAGATGGAGTGAAATTGCATCGAGGGTAAGACTGTGTCCACAGGTTTAAAATTCTCTCTTCTGAGTAATAGTGTTCATGTGCTCCCATTCTCGACCCTGTTGTTGAAATTCAAACTTAAATAGCCTGACTTCTTGTTGGGTAACTTGCCCTGCCTCCAGAGGTATTTGAACTTCATTATCTTCAACACAGGAATTGTTAATCTTCTCACTTCACCTGTTCTTGCATTAGCTCAATTGATGTCATCACTGATTTCCTAAACTAGAAACTATGGAAGCATCTTTGACTTTTCCTTTTCTCTGTTGGATTAGCTTAATCACCAAGTCCTGTCAACTTCTGAAATGAATCTCAAATTTCTTCCCTTCTCTATCTGTTGCCCCTGATTTTGCCTTAAGTTCTTGCCTGAGTGATCTCCCAGCCTGTCTTCTGTCTCCTTTTGGTTCAGTCTTTATACTGCCTCTTGAGTAATCTTTCTGAAATTTAAACTTGATATTTTTCGCCCTCTTGCTTGAAAACTTCACTTGCTTCCCCATTTCCTACTCTTTAAGGAATGATTTCTTTAGCCTCAGATAGAAGGACCTTTATGATCTGGCCATATTCTGAAATAGCTTCAATCCTCTCCTCATCTCTGTTCCAGTATACATCTTTCCTTCTTATTCTGCAAACATTAGACCACTTGATATTCTTTAAATATGTCATGTACTTTTCTTGTGTCTGTTCTTTGGGATAATTCCTATCCTTTTCAGGGAGGCAAATTGCACGTGAGTTTAAGTATGAAGGCAATGTATACCTGCTGATTGTAAAATATTTAAACATTGTACATATCTGTGTGGTTTTAAAAGTCTGCTTTTAATTATGTAAAATTCATCTTCCCTTTCCACAGATAACTTCTGTTAACAACTTGATATCTATTGTACAAGATGTGTTACTGGCATTTCCATGTATATATGTATATAAATGCAGGAAACCAACATGTCATTGACACCTCTCTTCTTTACTTTTCCCCATATCTAATCATTCCTCAAGTCTTACTGATTTTTATCAGCTAGAATCTATCTCCTTATTTCTACCTCTATTGCCACTCTGATCCAGGCTACCAGCATTTCCCTCTTAGGCTTCTGAAGCAACTTCCTAACTCCCACTTGTGCTCCTCACACTCACTCTGGTCGGCTATCCATTCATTCTCCATACAGCAACTAGAGTCATTCTTTTAAAATTGCGGACCTGATCCTTCCATCTCCCAGCTGAACGCTTTTCATTTGCTTCCTGTTCTCATGAGTATGCCAAAATGTATTAATTCTGGGCTAGGAGGCCCTGAGGAATTTGGTCCTTCCCTCCTCCCCCCTCGTTTTCTGTGCTTCGCCCTCACTGGCTTGCCTTTCTTTTCCTTAAATACATCATGTTCTCTCCTATTTTAGATCCTTTTCCCCGAAGGTATGGAAACATTATTTCTGTAAGCTTATTCTTCTATATAGATGGGAAGTTTTTAAATCAGATAAGGTTCTAAGGGCATGTGGACAATTTACGTTATCATAGTATTGTTCATAACGTCCATCATTATTCTGTAGACTGTAAGGGCTTACTTAGCTCGTGTAAGAATTATCCTTCAAAAAGCATTTTTAAGGTATTAGTATTGCTAATCTATAAACTTTGTGCAAGAAGTCCTAAAGTCAATAGCAACATTTATTTAAAGTACAGTTTGTCATACTTAATAAACCTCTGGTATATTTTCCTTTATTATGCTTGTTAAAAACACAGTATAAATGGGAGAAATCATTAAAGATCATTAACTCCAAGGCTGCTGGATGTTAGGACCCTTAAGCATACTTAAAAGATTGATTGTAATCAAGAATAACTTGTATCAGATTGCCTTCCAGTGATTCACATTTATTAGTTCAACCAGTTACATACCTGTAGCAAGAGACCAGTTTATTTGGCAATAAAATTGGGGAAGGAATCAAGACTTAAATGAGGAAAGTGAGTCTGAGAACATTTTTTTTCAGGGTGTGTTTATAGATTAGTAGAACAATTTTGAAGATCTAACAGAGGTGGGAGTCAGGGGAATGGTTGCCAGACAATTGAACCAAGAAGATGATGATCATTTCTTGAGTAGCACCAGAGAACAGAAGAAAGAGTTGGCCTTGGAAAGGAGGTCTGGAAACTTATTTTTCTTCTGAAACAGGAGGGAGAGTGAAAAGGCTAGGCAAAGATATCCATAAATGTTGAATTGATTTGTTGTTGCAGGGGTTTAGGAGTATGGAGGTAGGTATATGAAAAGTAGAATTTGTTTCTGATTGTGCCTATTTTCCAATTATTGAGGAATCTAAGATACATGAGGATAGGGACAGGAGATCATTTGGAAGCTTGAGTGCAGTAAAGGTTTAATGTTGCCTCTGAGAATCTAAAGGAGTAAGTTAAGGACAAGTAGAAGGCTTATTAGGCTATGATGGATGCCAGGTTGCAGTTGGATGGCAGGCACAAGGAAGTGGGTTGGATTGACTAGGTTTGGGAATTGGTTAAGTGGGTACTAGGTAAAGCCCAGTGTGTGAAGTAGTTAAGGGTTCTGCTGAAAGTGTAGTTTGAATGATTGGCTGAGGCATTGAGGATAAGAGAAGGGAGCAGAGGCTTATGGACTAGACCACTTTTTTCAGGGCTTTACCTTATCAGCCATGACAAAGTATAGAGAATCTGGTCTCAATGTAGGTCTCTCACTCCAGCAGTTTTGCCCACATTTTTCATGGCTGTTAGAGAATCAGGGCTGAAGGCAAGCCTTGAGTGCCACTTACTTGGTAAAAAATTGTGTCAGATTGCTCACTGTAGCCAAGACAGAGTTCTTTGTGGCTTCTGTAACTTGCCATCCAAGTAAAAAAATTTTCTTAAAAGTTGAAATGACCTTTGTATAAAAAGTAATAAAATACTTGCTATGTGTCAGGGACTGTTCTAAGTGCTAAGCAAATATATCAATGCATTTAATCTATCACTATCATCTGAGGCAAGTGCTATCATTATCCTCATTTTATAAATGAGGAAATGGAGACACAGGTTGAGTTACTTGCCCAGGATTCCAGAGCTGGGAGGTAGGCAGCGAATTGTGGTGGTTAGGAATATAGACAGTGGAGCAGGGTGGCTGTGGTGAGGATTGAATGGGTTCGTACACAATGTGCTTACAAAGATGCTGGGCAATTAGCATCCTTGATGGATGAAACTCCTGCTTTCACACTCAGTTAACAGTACAATATCCTTCAAAGCAGGCTATCCTTTTATGAAGCGATTGTTTCTGATGTTAGCCTTTCTTATAGTGAACAGACATTTCCCTCTAACTTCCACCATTCAATTCAAGTCCACCTTTGGCAAATGCAAAACAAGCCTTATTCTTCTTTTTATAGGTGATAGCCCCCTTCTAGAAATCAGAAATACTGATCCTTCTCTAATGACTACTTCTTCCTTCCAGATTTTAGAAATCTTGAGCTGTGTCTTCAGTATGCTGTCTGTGAAATAAGGCTATCATTGCGTGGCAGCCAAGATTTTCACCAGATTGTGATTCCCTTATGACCATTTGCCTTCCTGGGTAGGAAGTGATAAATGGCCTGATAACGTGAGTTTTTGCCAGTAATAATAATAATGATGTGTTAATATTTCTTGAGCATTCACTATGGGTCCAGACACTATTTTTAGTGCTTTACATTTATGAGTGTTTAAAATCCTCATGACAACCCTGTGAGGCAGGTGCTATGGATTCCCATTGAAGAGATGAGAAAACCAAGGCCATTTTCTCAAGTCCCTATTACTGTCTATTTTTTTTCCTTTTGAATTTAGGCCCTTTTGGTTTTTTTATTATTATTATTATAAACTTTTTTTTATTATTAACTTGAAGACCATTTCCCAGCTAACTTTAGCAACTTGCTTTATTTTACTAGTGCTGCTACTTCTGTTTTGAATCAAATGATAGGTAATCATTCCTTAAAACAGTATTATATTAAAGGAACATACCAGGAAGTTTTTTTTTTAGTAATAGGCAAGAAATTAAAGTGTATAGAAGGAAATCATGGTTCCACAGCTTTATGTATTTTTTCCCTATAGCATTAATTTTATTCAAAGATTTAGGGGAAATTTTTTGTTTTAGAACGAAAAGGGACTGGTAGCTAACTGTTGTAAATACATGGTAGAGTAGAGTACAAAACAAAAGTCTATGAGGAAATGACCACTTACCAAGCAGCTTCACGGAGCAACCATACCCTCCACGGTAACCATTCTCTTAAGGCGATTGATGGAAGAGTTTCCAACCGGAAGGTTGGGATTCAGTACCACCCCCGCATGGACAAATGCAGATGTGAGATCACTCACAGCCATGTCTACCTTCATGGAAAATGAGTCGGCCCTCTCCAATACCATGACACGCAACCTCTGGCTGCACTGCGGTTATGGGATTGGCTTCTCTCCTACTTTTGCGGTTATGGGATTGAAACTCTCCTACTTTTTAGAAAATCCTGTGGAAGGATCAGGTAATAGGAAAAAGGCTGGTGAATTCTGTAAAGGGAAGTGAGTAGAATTGAGTTGGGTTAGGGAAGGAAGCATTTTAGGCAGCCACCATGGAAAGAAGGCAGGCCACCTTCTCACTGACGATGAGACCCAAGTGCTAAAGGCCAGCAACAGGCAGTGTCTGAAAACTAGTCTGATATCATCACAGTCTTCGAGGGAAAATATGATTCTACTAGGGTTTTCATGTCAATAGTGGACTCGAATTTAAGAAGTCTCCAGTCCTTTTGTAGAAGTACAAGTGTTTTTTATATATGAGCAGAAGGACCAGAAAGAAACCAACTCTTCTTCCCATCCCTCCTTAATACAGAATTTATTTACTTTTCTTGCCAATCTTTCATTTAAAGATGTCTCGTAACTCTTCTTTAATTCTGTTTCCTCCTCCTTCTCCTGCATAGATCAGATCCTTAACAGACCTTTCCTTGACCTAACATTCATTTTTCTTCCAATTTTTCTTTCTAATCTTTCTTTCTTTTTTTTTCAGAGACAGAGTCTCGCTCTGTCACGCAGGCTGGAGTGCAGGGGTGCAATCTTGGCTCCCTGCAACCTCCGCCTCCCGGGTTCAAGTGATACTCCTGCTTCAGCCTCCTGAGTAGTAGGGACTACAGGCATGTGCCACCATGCCTGACTAGTTTTTGTATTTTTAGTAGAGACGGGGTTTCACCATGTTGGCCAGGCTGGTCTCAATCTCCTGACCTCTGGTGATCCACCCACCTCAGCCTCCCAAAGTGCTGGGATTACAGGCTTGAGCCACCATACCCAGCCTCTTTCTAATCTTTCTACCTTGAAAAATCAACAAAGAAGTCTTTCGTCAGCTTTAGATAATTAAAGCCAAGCAAGCAACAAATGTTGGTCTTTTTCAGTAGAAACCATGTTAAAAATAGTTACACAAGCATCAAGCATCTCTACCCCCATCACACACCTTGTCCTTGAGAACTGGTTTTGCTGTGTTTCAGTTCTGTCCAGTTCTCCCTGGTGACCCTTTCCTCCCTTGATTAGTTCCACAGCACTGCAGGCTAAGGGGAAAAAGGAATGTGTGGGCCCAGGAGGGGACTGTCCTAGGAGACAGGCCGATACTTTTTACTTTTAGATAAGAAATGAAAAAGTGTTCATGACTTTTCCCTCTGCAGACTCTCCCTTCAGGTTCAAACTTGGAACTTTCTAGCTTTGGTCATGTATTTTATGCCCTTAAAGGGTTTGTACTTTTCTCCATACATATCCAGATGACCCTAAGTCCAGAAATAGCCAGCTGCTGCATCTTAACTACAAGTTAATTTTATCATATTAGAGGAAGATATCAGGAAGGTTTTTGTTTTGTTTTGTTTTGTTTTGTTTTTTAGTAATAGGTAAAAAATTAAAGAGTATAGAAGGAAATAGTGGTTCCACAGAACAATGGTTCTGGTTTGGAATCTCCAATGTGAAGACCCATGGTCTTCCTTAAACTTGGTAGCTTGTGGGGATTTGTTTTTCCCACATCCCAAAATAGCATCTCTGTGACTGGGCTGAACGTGTACATCCTTTGTCGTGGAGTCAGGCTCACGTTTAGGACCCCTTTGGGCATCTGGCTGGTGACTATCACTCCCTCTGTGGTCTTCCCCATTGCCTGCTTGGGTCCCACCATTATTCCAAAGCATACAAGTGAACTACTGTCTCAGAAACTGATATTATATTTGACATACACTGGGATTGCAACCAGTTTCTTTGCACTGACAGGATAAGAGAGCAGGCGGAAATTTCCATCAAGAGGGATGAAAGAAAGGATATGCTCAGATTTCCAGCACTTAAACACAAGGATGGAAGCTGATATCATCCAACCACCTGGGGTTCATGAAGGGAAGTGTAAGGTCTGGCATTCCAATCAGCTTGATACAGCATCAATCATCCCCTGGGTTTCAGCAGCAATTGTAGAACCTGATTTATCAATAATGGCATCAATCTCTTCAATCACATCAAAATAGGCCTCATTGTTGGTGTATTTCACCCCAGTACCTCGCCAAGGCACCATTGACAGTTATCCAGTGGGAAGTTGGTCACCCACATTGGTGCTTCCTGTGATGGTGTTGACAACTGTTCGAAGGATAGTGGGAGGCTTTATCTTTTCTTTGAGGATATTTGACTCGGTAGCCAACGAGTCAGCTTGGAAACCCATTGCCAAGCGTCTCTTCTGATGCCGCATAAATCACAATCACATTGTCCTTCATCACTAATTCTGAACAGACTCCAACATAGTCCTGAAATGTGTCCACTACTCAGTGAAGAAACTCTGACAAATAGAGGGGAGACCTCCATCTGGATCACAGCCACAAAAAAAGATCTTGTGGTGGTAAACACTTAAGAGACAGTGGTGAGGGGTAGGGATAACTGGAGGCACACTTTCTGCCTCAGTAGCTTGTTCTTGCACCTCAAAAAAGTATTCACAAACAGAACAGTGTACCACACTTCTCCAGTGTTTCTCCAGGAAAATATCTCCAGAGGAGTTGATCAAGAAAAGTCTATAAATCATGATAGACTGTGATTGTCAGGTGAGAAAGGAAAGCCTTTTTCAGTCTGAAAGCCTCAGGACTCTGCAGATTTTCAACCCCATCTTTCAAGACCAGGCTCAGTCTTCCTCTACTGCACGAGCCTGAAGTATCCCTCCCTTGAATACCCGGCCTCACTCCTCGGAGCACCTGATGCTTGCTCCACCTTATGAACAGGTCCCACCCTGCTCTGCTTTACATATTTTTTAACTGACTTTATATTTGAAATTTGAAATTACCAATCCCACAAATTTTGGATTTTTTTGTTTTCTTTAAATATATACATATATATAAACAGAGCTATGTTTAATTTATACAGTATCTTTGGTTGTTCCTAGATTGTCATTCCTAGGGAAACAAAGACAACCAGTTTGACCCTTCCCTCCCCTCCTTTCCCCTAAAAAACTCTAAGTTAAAACTGTGGCATTTTTTTAAAGGAAAAATGTAACACCAAGATTCAAAGAAGGATCATGCTTACCTCTTCTTTCCCTGTGAGAGGCTCTCCCCAGAGGTAGAGATTTAAATTCAGAGGAATTGAGCAATCCTTGAGAAACTTTACTTTTTAAAAACTTTTCTTCATAGAAAAATCAATTCACTGGTGAGTAAGAGGATCCGAAAAAGGAAAACCTCCCTTTGAAAACATTCCAGAATTGGTGATTAGACTTCCAGTTTCATACTATCATGTCCCTACATTAGACATTTTGGAACAAACCATCAAAAACCACAGTTGGTTCCAAAGGGTTAGTCTTATTTTTAGAAGTTCAGTAAATATTTAGAAATCACTTCAACACTGACTTTTAGTTCTATATGTAGCTTGTTTGTGAAAATAATTTTATAACAGAATAAGGTTAAGCAGATAATGTCAAATAATTGGGTCTTGTGTATGTACACCCAAACGCACATGAGCGCGCACACACACACACATACACACACGCACCCACTCACTCACCCTTGTGGACCTTTTTCTGCGTTCCTGGAGCCATATTTAGCTTTCCTGCCACTTTAGATTTTCTTCTATTTTTCCCTTCATTTTCTTAAACAGAAACTTGGGCTTTGTAAATGATACTGAACTATGCATATACCTATGTAGGTACTATATAGATAGAAAGTGTGCTGTGCTTTGATTTTGCATCAGCGGTTCAGATTTCAAGTGCTGCCCTAAGAGAGAAGTAAGTATTTGGTACTTGTACCTAGGACCTCTTTGTGCCTGATTTCTGTTTCTCCTTTTTGAATTTCTAGAATAAATACTCGGGGAGATGTAAAAAATACTCATTTACAAATTTTAAGGCAACATGACTGAAAGTAGAGAACAGAGAACCTATTGCTTTTGTTTACCCGCAGAAGTTCGGTTCTGTATCAATGCCAGGTATAATTCTGGTTTTTTTCCAGTTGCCTACAGTGGTCCCCCAAACCAAACTAACCTCTTAAGGCTTGGCTAGCAAGGCGTGTTGTGAAAGAATACAATTGAGAAAGATATTTTGTGCCCCAGCAGAGTAAAATGGTTGTTTGAGGTAATCGCTCCTGGGATTCGGCAATCCATCTCCCTTGCTTTAAGGACAAAGAAAGGTTTTAATGTCGAGATGCCAAGAGGATTATCAGAACTTGGGAGTGACAAGTAGCTGTTGAGTATTGGTATCTTTTGGGAAGGAAAATATGAGATATTTGGGAGGGAGTGGGAGTGAGGGGATGATGGATGGATTGGGTATTTCTTTTGGCACTGTAAATGTTCTCTTGGACTATTATTGTGAACTCCCTGTTGAGTAAAGAATGGCATTGAGGATGGTTTTCTTCATTGTTTGTTTCACTTCATTTAGGTTTTGGATTTGAATCAGGATGTGTTTAAGAATTTCTTTGAGTCTCTTTCCCTTGATGCTCTCTTCTTTTGAGTCCTCTTGGGGAAAAAAGGTAAATAATATAATTATAATTGTCAGGTTACTTTGAGTCAAGAATTAAAATTCCTGATGCTCTTTACCAATTTATATTGCATTTCTAACTCTGAATTTAAATTTCATACCTTTTCTATATAGTCTTTCTCAAGGCCCCGTTTACCATACTACTTGCTTTCAGTTATTTCTAAAATACAAACTTGAGAATGCAACTGTAATGGCTACCACAGAAGTTCAAGTTTAAATCAAACTATGCAGTATGAGTAAAAGACCTCTCCACTTCAACATATCCCCTGGATTCCAGTACTCTAGCTAACTGAGCTGCCTGCAGTTCAGTGTTTTCTGTATATGCTTACTGGCTGTGCTTTCAGACAAGCTGTGTCCTCTGCTTAAAATGGCATCTTCTTCCTCCTTCCTCCACAACCCCTGCCAACTGTTTTTCCTTAACTAACTCCTTAAAAATTTAGTTCAAGGGGCACATCTTTCCTGATGGCCCCTGCCTCTACAACCACGGTCAGTTAGGTGCTTTCTTCTGTGATCCTGTTGTTCCCAGGGCTTCCCTCTATAAAGGCAATTAATAGTCTGAATTGTATTTGTATGGTTTCTTTTCTCTTTGCCCCATGCAAAAATAGGGACTAAGCCTTTTATTTATGTCCCTAATACAGGGACATAATGCAGAGCACATTATAGTTACGCAAATTTATGTTGAGTAGATGAATTAATAGATGGATAAATGGATGAACAAATGGTACACAGTTTCTGTTTTGTTTTGTTTTATTGAGTTCATGATATTTGCGGTGAGATTTTATTCCATTTACAACACAGTGCCATTTAGAAATTCATTCAACAAGCATTTATTCAGCATTTACTGTGGCACATGTGTTTTTTTGTTGTTGTTTGTTTGTTTGTTTGTTTGTTTGTTTTTGAGACAGAGTCTCGCTCTGTCGCCCAGGTTGGAGTGCAGTGGCGCGATCTCGGTTCACTGCAAGCTCCGCCTTCCAGGTTCAGCCATTCTCCTGCTTCAGCCTCCCGAGTAGGTGGGACTACAGGCACCCGCCACCATGCCTGGCTAATTGTTTTGTATTTTTAGTAGAGACAGGGTTTCGCTGCATTAGCCAGGATGGTCTCGATCTCCTGACCTCGTGATCCGCCCGCCTCGGCCTCCCAAAGTGCTGGGATTACAGGCGTGAGCCACTGCGCCTGGCCCACATGTTTTTTAAGAAAAAGGAATGTAGTAAGATTCTTAGTGGAACAAGTTCAGTCACATGGCTGAGCCCTTTATAGTTTGCTGAGACTAGAAATTCATTCATTAAGCGATGTTGATTAAAGCACTGATTATGTGCCTCACACTGGGCTAGTCTCTTAGGATACTTTGGTGTACAAAACAAAGACTCCTGCCCTGTAGAACCCACATTTTGCATACATTCTAACAGGGTAGAAGGAGGGGCAGTAACAAACATAAAAAATAAGTAAATTACTATGTAAATTTACACATATAAAGTGTGTATGTGTGTATGTGTATACACATATAGTGTATGTGTATACACATATAGTGTAAGGAACAGGAGCTCAGCATGGCTGAAGCAGAGTTGTTGAAGGGAAAAATAGTTAGAGGGGGGTTAGAGAGGTGGGCAATAGTGAGGATTATTGCAAACATAGGTGGCATAGTATCTTGTATGAAGGACACTGGCTTTATGAGTGAGATGAGAGCCATCACAGAGCTTTGAGCACAGGAGTGACATGATCTGTCTTAGATTTTAATAGGAACACTCCTGCTGTGTTGAGAATAGACTCTGAGGGCGTGGTAGAGGCAGGGGGACCAATTAGGAGGCTATCCAGCAATCCAGGTAAGAGATGATGATAGCTTGGATGAGGGTGGTAGCGGTGGAGGTGGAAGAAGTGGCTAAATTATAGGTATATTTTGAAGATAGAACCAACAGATTTTGCTGGTAGATTTAAGGTGGGCATAAGAGAGAAGTTAAGCATAACTGAAAGGTTTGAGGCCTAAACAACGGGAAGGATTGGAGTTGCCATCAGCTGAAATATGGAAATCTATGGGTGGAGTAGGATATTTTTTGGTGGGGGGAGGGGCTATGGCTGTGGAGGTGAGTGGCATTAGCTGCTGAGTTTTGCATACGTTAAGCAATCTTTATTAGACATTCAAGTGGAGGCATCAAGTAAGCAGTTAGATACCTGAGTCAAGTTCAGGAAAGAGGGCTGGACTGAAATACACAATTGTGAGTCATCTGCCTGTGGATAGTGAAGTCAGGAGAGTAGATGGGATCACTAAGGGGAAAGTGTCATTAAAGAAAAGACTAAGAACTGAACCTTGAAGCATTCTATAACATTGAAAGATCAGGAAAAGGAAACCAAGCTAGAGCAATCAGAGAGGTAGGAAAACCAAGAGAGCACGGCGCTTTAGAAACCATGTGAAGAAGACATGAGAGAAGATGGAGTGATGGTGTGTCAGTTGCAGCTGATCTGACAAGTGAGATGAAGTCTAATCACTGAGTGCTGCATTTAGTGACATAGAGGTTACAAGTCACCTGTGTGAGAGTCATTGCGGTGGAGTGGTGCAGTTGGAGCCTGACTTGAGTGGAGTTAAGATAGAATACAGTGAGCACAATTGGAGACAGCCAGATAGCTGAAGAAGGATGTGGGTTCTTCTAGATTCTTGAGGTGAAAAAGGAACTGAAGCGAAAGGTCATCTTCCTCCCCTTTTATTGGTAAATTGGTATTAAGTGTTTCACAAGAAATACTCCTTTACACGTATGTGATTATAGCTTGGGGGAACAATCAAGGATAAATGACAGTTTCTTTTCTTTCTTTCTTTCTTTCTTTCTTTCTTTTCTTTCTTTGGCATTATTGTGAGAGGGAACAATTTTATAAGTAAATGTTTTTACTCCAAACATGAGTAAACTGTTCAAGCTAAGGGCTTTACTGACTTACTTCCTTCATGGGTTTGTCTGGTTCATCTTATTCCCTTGTCATCTATTTCTCCTGATGACTTTTTTCCACTTATAAATTGAAATATAGTTCCACACCCATGACACAATTATTTCTGTAACTTTGGCCCAGTTTCCTAACCCAGAGACATTTTTCTCTTCAGTGAGTGCTGTAAATTAAAAAAAAAAAAAAAAATAGTTCATTGTCTTCTTAGATTTTATTCAGGAGCAGATTTTTCCCTATTCCTTTGCAAAATTGTTGCTGAATAGTGGGAGAGGAGAGGACCAGTAATGATAGGAAACAAACAATATTTTCCTCACTTTGAATTGCTAAGATTTCCTTCTAATCATAGAATATTGTCAGGTTCCTTCTTGTGGGTTGGGAAGTCTGTCTGGATCCTTTACAAAAGAGGACTGAGGGACATCCAAGCCATATTTGTAACCAGCAGGGAAAAATGCCTTCTCCTGGAACTGCTTATCTCTCCTGATAATGCATTTCTGTCTTTCAAGACGTCAGTTAAGTGCCGTGCACTCCATGGAATGTCCTCTGATCCTTCCGGCTCTAGGTAGTATTGGTTTTCCTCTGAATCAGTGTACTACCTTCTGCCTGTACTCCTTACTTTGTGTGTGTGTGAGAGAGAGAGAGAGAGCGTGTGTGTGTGTGTGTTTTAATGGTTAAAACATCTGTGTCTCTACAGGCTGGTAGAACTACATTCCACACCTAACCTTGTGACTTCCAAGCTTTCTGATTTTAGGCAAATTGCTTAATCTTTGTGTGTCTTAGTCTTTTCATCTGTTAAATGGGAGTGGTTCTTATCACAAAAAGTAGTAAGGATTAGAAAGGAATTCTCTATAAAATTGTAAAGTTATTTATTCAGAAAACTGGTAACTTGAATAAATGGAAACCCGAAGAATATATGTAATATATGGAATAATCCCCTATCTTTAGGGCAAATTTCCTGAAGGAAAGGGACAATAGTTTATCTGTCTTTCCTAATACCAGTTGACTGAGAAAGAACTTAGTGAATGTTTATTAATGGTGATAGATAACGCTTGGAAAATATGTGGAATGGTTGCTCACAGAAATCTGTGATATGTGTCTTAAAATATTTGCACATTAGCAAATGTTTTAGACTTTAGGAAATCTTCCAGACTAAAACTCTTTCTAGGGAAATGGTGTTGCAATTTTGATGGTATATAGGAAGTCAGTGAGCTTTCCTTTTAGTTTTCCTAACATTCATGAAAATTTCTGGGTTTCTCCTATTTCATTCATATTTTCATAGAGAATTCAGAAATCTGCTTTAATTTTAACACAGTCAATCAACCTTGTTCTATAATTAGGATGAGAAGTTAAATGACATTTACTTTTGAGCAAACTTTCATAAGATATGTATTTTAATCATGTGAAAAAAAGATTAGAATAACAAAATATACTGAAACAGGCAAATTACACCTTCTAATGAGAGAAGCGATGCAGGTTCATTTTAGAAATTGTAGAAAGTTCTGATAAGCAAAAGTAGTACACTTCACTGAGATGCCATTGTTTGCACTTCATGTATATTGTTCCAGGCTTTTTCTATGTCTAAATATGTATATGTGATTTCATACGGTGATAGCATCCTGCTGTATATTCAGCTCCATAAACAGCTTTTATTCCCCATGTAATATACAGTGAATGTTTTAAATATGCTTCTGCATTTTTTTGATAGTTGCATTTTTTTGATAGTTGCATGTTATTTTTTTCTGTGGATGTACCACAGTTAATCCACTGTTACTCTTTAGTTTGTTTTCAATTTTTTCCTCAATTACAATGTTCTGATGTACATCTGAACAAACTTTTAAAATTTAAAGACCACAAACATTTCTTAGACTTGCCAATATAAAATACCTAATTCAACTTTGTTCATTCTTAAAACATTCCTTTCTGAACCGGTTTTGTTATTTATTTGATGGTCATGTTTGGAGCTCCTGTGTGTGACTGAAAAAAGAAGAAAAGTGTAGTTTTCTGAACATAATCTGCATTTCAGATTTTTTCATGAATCTAAGACAGCATTTTCCTCATTTGATCCAAACTAGAGAGTTTTGATAATGTCATCAGGAAATGATGCTCCGAGGTTGTCTTCTCCTCAACCAGAGCAACCCGTAATTCATGGCTAGTGAGGTTGCCAGGAAGTCAGTGATCCTTACCATTGTGTCATTTGAATGAAAGAAAGGCTGGAGCATAGGAAGTGGGGAGATGAGAAAGAAGCCAGAGTTAGATATCTATCCCACAGATTTAAGGTCACCACCGTTTCCGTCTTTCATAGCTATGGCAACTTGAGATCCCATGTTTTCTAGGTTAGTTATCAAATATTCCCTCCAGTAGCCCAGTGAAACATCTTAGAAATTCTAGTATTTGGACATCAAAACTAGCATATTTCTATTTTATGCACCTAAAAATGACACCAAAACCCTTTATGACATCATGGTTGTCAGTTTTAGGGTTATAAAATATGGTGACCATATATAGATCTTAGGAAAAGGAGTAAAAGAGATGAGTTAATTATTCATTTTTTCAATAAATGTGGTGAATGAATACTTACTATGTACCTGGCACTGTCCTAGGGCCTGGGCTTACAAAGACGAGTGGACAAGTCCTTAAGTTGCTCTTGGCGTGGTACACACATATATGTTTAATGTCTACGATGCTTTGTTGTTATTTGTTGCTGTGTAAAAGACATATGTCCAAGATGCTACAGGAACCCAGAGGAAGGAAATGCAAAGGTTTTTACAGAGGAAGCAACTCTTTAGCAGGTTAATAAGTGGATAGGCATTCCCCAGGGAGACAAGGGGTACATGATGAGTGTCATTCAATATGTGCAAAGAACAGAGTATATTCTAGGATTCTCCAGCAAACAAGAATTGCAATGTTGATTTAAAACATTTGGAGTAAGTATTGGGTTGAATTTTTTGTTGGTGATGGTGGTAGTGTTTGCTAATTGTTTTTATTTTTCCATATTTCTCAGTTTTTTAAAATCTTCATTGTTTATTCCTTTTTAGGGAATTACTAAACCATTTGACCCTGAAAGATCAGATGAAATGGACATGGCTTATTAAGGAGTTGTTGTAACTACTTCTTGTCTCAATGACATACTATTTTCCTGTCTTGGATTTAATTGCTTAGAAATTATGGCTACAGATTCACAAAGAGATTGGAAGAAAGAATAGATAAAGAATATATAGTTCAAATTATCTGCTAAATTTTTTGTGCTGTTAGTAATTAATACTCCAAAATGTGATAAAGATCACTGTGCCCGTTTTGTTTTGTTTTGTTTTGTTTTGTTTTGTTTTAGCATTGGAAAAGCCTTGGGCTATACATTCTGAGATTTCAAACAAAGTAGATTTATAGTGGAAAGGAACCAGAGGTTTAGACTAAATAGATACGCTGTAAGAGAGCCATAATGATCTTATTTAAATATTTTCCACATTAAATAAGGCATGAGTACTGTTATGCTACTGCCTTTTTTTTAATAATTGAATTTGCATCCATGGTGGTTTTTTTTCATTCCCCGTGGAGTTCCACTTGATAGCCAATGTGAATATTTGAAGAAAATAATCTGTTGGAGCCCAGATTTGAATTAAACTTCCTCAAAGTATAATGAAAGTTTTGAGTTTGTCTTATAAGAAAGAAATTTTTGTTTATGCTTTAGAAGCTTAATTGATAGAAGTCTGGAGAGCAATAATTGGGGTGAATTTTTAAGATGGTTGTAAGATTGTTCACTTGGTAAATATTTCTTGAGCTCTTACTGTAGACACTGTGGACCAGTCATTGAACTGAATTAACTTTCACTCTAGTTCCTAATAGACATGTTAAGCTGCTGGCTTCATGGAGTTTACATTATAGTGAGAGGAAACAGACAAAAACAATAAAAGGTAGTTAGTAGTTAGTAAAATCATTGCCAATTACAATAAATGTTAGGAAGGAAATAAACAATGGGCTGAGAACTTGAACCACAGAGAAGCACCTGCTTTGGGTAGAGTGGCCAGGGAGAATCATCATGGGCAAGGGGGAGGCATGTGCATGCACTTGGGGAATTGAAAGGAGGCTGGTGAGCAAGAGGAAGCATAGCATCAGATAAGCATGGAGAGCTAGGCAGGCAACAGACCACACGGGGTCTTATAGGGCAAGATCAGAAGTCTAGATTTTATTCTAATGCCATAAGAAGACATTAAAGGGTTTTACACAAGGCCTAACCTGAACTGATTTCTTTTTTAAGACCATTATTGCCTTGTGGAGAATGGGAGCAGGAAGATCAAGTAGGAGGATGTTATATTAGTCTAGGCAAGAGATATTGGTGACTGGGCTGAGGTGTAGCAATTAGGATGGAGAACAAAAGATGGTTTTGAGAAATCAGCAAGATTTGGGAGAGGGCATACTAAGGAGAAAGAGAGAGAAATCAAGAATGACTGATTTTTGTAAATGAAGTTTACTGACTTGAGTAAAAATGGGAATGAAGTGACATTGAATGAGATGGGAAAGTTTGCAGGGGCAGAAATAAAGAGGTGTTTGAGTTTTGTTTAGGACCTATCTCTAATATGTTTTTGAGGATTCTAAAGGGAGCTGTCAGTTGGCTATATAAGTTCAAAGCTAGGGAAATCTGGATGCAGCTAAAATTATATTTGAGATAAGCACACCTTCCATCAATATGTTGGCTGTAATTTTAAAAAGCATTTGGAGTATACTTGAAAATACTGAAACTCTCTATCTGTAGTACATACCTTCTGTTCATCAGTGACTAATTTTAGGGTACACAACAGTTGTGCAAAAGAATGAAGTCCTCTTAGTTGCACTTCTTATCAAAATCCCAATGGTATTGTTTTATAGAAATAGAAAAAAATTAAATTCATATGGAACCACAAAGGAGCCCAAATAGCCAAAGCAATCTTGAGAAAGAAGAGCAAAGTTGAAGGCATCACACTTCCTAACTTCAAAATATATTACAAGCCACAGTAAACAAAAGAGTATGGCACTCTCATAAAAATAGACATATAGGCCAATAAAATAGAATAGAGGCCCCAGAAATGAACCCATACATATACAATCAATTGATCTTCAACGGGAGTGCTAAGAATACACAATAGGGAAAGATAGTACCTTCAACAAAGGGTGTTGGGAAAACTGGATATCCATATGTGAAAGAATGAAACTGGACTTTTATATCAGACGCAAAACCAACTCAAGATGGATGAATGACTTAAAAATAATACCTGAAACTGTGAAACTCCTAGGAGAAAAGCTAGGGGAAAGGCTTCATGACATTGGTTTTGGCAGCAATTTCCTGGATATGACACCAAAATCACAGGCAACAAGAGCAAAAGTGGACAGATAGGACTAGGACAATATCAAACTCAAGAGCAAAGGAAATGATCAACAGAATGAAAAGGCAACTCATGGAATGAGAGAAAATATTAACAAACTATACATCTGAAAAGGGGTTAATATTCAAAATATATAGGGAACCCCTACAACCCAATAGCAAAAGAAAAAATAAGGAGCCTGATTGAAAAATAGGCAAAGGACTTAAATAGATATTTTTCCAAAGAAAACATACATGAGCCTGGCCTTCCCATATCAGGTTCCTTAGAGAAACTGAAAATAGTGATGGTGAAGGGGCTGGTGGAGATACCTGTGGGCAGCAGGTGCCCGGTTTGGGCCAGTGAGTGAGGAGAAGCCTCACACACAGCATGTGGTATGTGGCTACCATTTTTTCTCTTGCTTAGGCCCTGCAAATGTTGGGGGTAGACCTTGCCTTTCGAATGCAATAGTCCTTGAGGTTTGTACCATGCTTTTCATCCAGCATCTAGACAGGGCCTGCACATGCACAGGTGTTTGTTAAATGGATGAGTAATCCAGTTTTCCTTGTTTTCTGTGGCATGGGGAAGAAACATGGGTTGCTTGAAGTACCTTGGGTTCAACAGACCTCACCATTTCCTTCTTACTGATGTAAGAAGGCCTTGAAGACCCATCCCAGTCAGTCATCCATGGATAGCATCTATGTCAAGAGGATGTCGGGCCTTTATGTGTGATTCTATAGTTAGTGCAGTGCACAATGGGGCTCCACTGAAGGGTAGATGGAGGCTGATTTCCAACCTGTTCTCAGCTGCCACGCTCTGTATCTGCTGTTGAAAAGGGGCCTTTTTCTTTGCAGGGTTAAGTCTGCCCAGAGGTGGTATCTTTTTCTCATTTTTCTGCAAGGGCATAGGCATTTGCTAAATCAGAAAGGTTGCCTTTTTGTCATTCAAACAAAGGTGTCCTAGGCTTCCCAAGGTCATATTTGGGTACCCTTGCTCCAAATTCTCCATGACTGTTAAGTTCTTGAGGAACTTGAGCTGTAAGCACTCCAAGTGTTGGAATACTTTGAGCAGTTGTCTCCCTGTGCTTGCATCTCTTCTCCCCCTCATATAGAAATCCCAGATAGGAAAAGTGTCGATCCAAGTTGCAGGCTTCCATGTCCATTCCTAGGGCTCTCAGGCCTCGCTGAGTCAGCACCTGCTACTACCACACAGGTGGATTGGTCCATAGATATTTTAACCCATTGCTCTGTTCCCAGATGCCCCTGCCTTCCTTCTGATAAGGCAAATTTAATTTGTGTGTGTGAGGAGGGGATGGAGAGGGTGCTTTGCTTGAGCCAGGATATAGTCCTTTATATTCTGCTGAAAATTCTCAAAGGAGGGCTATCCAAGGGAAAATAACAAGCCCGGGCATGAGAGAACTTAGAATTCCAGGGATACTTAGCGGTATTAACACTAGGAAAAGGGCACATTTTTTTTTTCATATTGGATTGCTAATAATCACAACAATGCTAAATACTTCCTGGATTTCTTTCAGTTGGGCTGAATTTAAGAAGTATAGGTTTATGCTGTTCCTTGATGCTGAGAAAAGAGGGTACATGTAATACTGAGACATCCGCACAGTGGTGGGTGTTGAGGCACCCTGCCAGGTGGGAGAGATTTGAAATATATTCCAAGACTAAAGATTTGGGATTTTTTTCGTACTTTCAAAACCACAGGGATTGACAGAGTTTAATAATAAGATTACAGAGTTACTCCTGTGAATATAATATACCACTTGAAAGAAGTACATTTGGTCAGGCTGGACGGAATCTCATCAAAGAGATAAGGGAAAGTCCGGAAGACACACCTGAGTATGGTCTGAAGCCAAAGAACAGCATGCTCCAAAACAAGCCCAATCTCAGGTTAAGAAGCCTTCATCATTTAGAGTGGCCACCACACGGACTCTCCTTGTTTTGTCTTTTGACTGTTAGGTTGAGTTCTGATGGAATGAATGATGGGGGTTTGCCCCAGCATATTAGCAGCGCATTTCGGCCCTTGTGCCAGTCTGGAAACAGGCGATAGAGAGTGAAGTCAGTGTGTTACCATCACAGAAAACAGCTTAGAAAAAGATACCCCACCAGATAAATAATGGGCATCTCTGGATGAGAAGATTGATGGCTCCTTTTATTTTCTTTGTGATTTTCTGTCTCTTTCTCATATTTCTAAAATAGATATGAGTTGCATTTATAATGATTTTTAAAGTTATTCCAAAAGAGAAACTATTCAAAGAAACTGAAACTTTATGGAATGAACCTGGAATAGCAAGAAAAGATATCTTATGGAAGTATTCGAAATACTAAATTGATAGCCATCCTTAGTTTTTCATGTCAGTTTGATGCTTGAACATTCCTTGATTATCCAGTGCTAAAAGGAGGAAGAAAACATTTATGAAGCATCTACTTAATGTGTAAGGACTTAAAAAATGAGACATCCTTTCTGAACTCAAGGTAGCTTATCTAAGAACAACAGAAATACGCATATATGCATTAAACTTTCCATTTTTGTGTCTATTCATGTGCCAGGCACTGTGATGGATAGAAAATGGATGGATGGATGGATGGATGGATGGATAGACAGAGGTTATTGCCCTCAAGGGGCCAATAGTGTACTAGAAAGAGAAGAAATTTAAACTGAGGATTACAATATAGTCAGTAAGTGTCACAATAGAGTTAGTCCCAGAGCACGTGAGTACAGAGAAGAAACGCTGCCCTTTGCCTCAGGAGGGGTAGGAGAGGATTCATACGAGGAAGTCATGCCTGAGCTGCATCTTGGAGGACAAAGAGCACTCAGCCTGAGAGTGAAGGGGATGTGCCAGGCATTGAAGTGTGTGCAAAGGTAAGATGCAAAGAGAACCACGCATTCTGAGAGCTGACAGTCATCCCATGTGGCTGCAGTTGTGTTGGGGTGAGCTGGGAGGAGATATGAGAGTCGTGAGAGGTCATACGCTGTGCCAAAACCTCTGAGGTTTGCCCTGAAGCAGTGGGAAGCCCTTGCAGGATTTTAAAGAAGGAGAGTGGTTAGACAGATTTGCATATAGAAAAGTCCCTTTAGCAATGTTGTTCACCAACAAGGCAGACTAATTAGGAGGCTAGGGCAGCAATCTGTGTTAGAAATGATGAGATCTCAATTAAGTTTGTATAAGGGAAAATGCAGAGAAAGACTCAGAGTCAAGGAACATCAAGGAGATTGATTGGAAAGAGCTTAATTGATAGGTTGTGGGGAGGATGTATTGAGGAGGAATTGGGATGGCCCCTTGATTTCAGGCTTGGACAACTGGGTGCTAATGGTGGCATTCTTTGAGCTGGATGGGATACGATAAACTGCAATTGAAGCATTTTAAATTTATAGTGCCTGCGAGATACTATAGAAACCCTAAAAGCAGCTGGGAATATAAATCTTGAGCTCAAGAAAGTCTGGGCTCAAAGAGTTATTTGGGAGTCATCACAAGTAGGTTGCAGTTAAACCCATTGGTGATGGAAGAGATTATTCAGAAGCAGTGAGAAGAAAAGAATTCGGAAGACCATGAGGAACAGGAACATTTAAGAAACAGTCAAAAAAGGTGGAAGCCTGCCAGAGAGCCCAAGAAAAAGTGTTCAGAGAAGTGGAGGAAAGCCAGGCATACCAGGAAGGGAAAACCAGGCATATATGGAGGCCCTGCTCATGCTGTCTCCCAAGTTCATCATCCGTGGAAGAAAGGGCAAAGAGCAAATGCCAAGTGGCAGACATGCACTTCCCAACTGAGTTTGCCTCTAACAAGTCTCTCTGGATGTAAATGTCTGTCGATACCTCACTGCTAGAATGTCTAGGAATACAAGTTTCTTGTTTGTTTAACTGGGAACATTACCTTCCTAAATAAAGCTATGATCCTGTTAATAAAGCACATGGGGAAAAGGGATTTGGGGTATTTGGGGTAGGCAAATGACAGTGTTGGCCACTTCAGGTAGCCAAGGGAAGAGGGACAGTCAGTGAAGGAGGACTGGTCATTCATCAGTTCAACACAGATTTGAGAGCCTGCTGTGTGCAAGGTATTCAGTGTCCGTGCTTCAGAGAAGTTGAGGAAGGTCATGAATGAAATGACTGCTTGGGTGAAGCAATGAGGAATCCACCTTTGAACTTGGGGTGGTTGTCCAGGAGGCCGGATTGCTGTGCCTCCATGAGCGTGTGGAGGGGTGGGGGTGAAGATGGAGAATGGACAACAGTCTTTTGAGGAGTTGACTTTGAGCATAAAGGGAGTGGGATGATGCCGCAGCCAGGAGGGAGCATCAAGGTGAAGAAGAGGTTTCAGGAGCCAGGAGGAAGGGTCTCAGGAAGGAGTTCACATGCTCATATTCTCAGGGTGAAGAGCCAGATGAGGGAAAGTAGTCGATTCAGGAAAAAGAGTATCTGATAAAGCTCCAGACAGGTATGTGTTGTGGGGAGCGGAGAACATACCTTAGCTGTGCATCAGAGAGGGACAAAGATGGGTATGGGCGTTCATAGTTTACAGGTGGGAAGGCAGGAAACAAAGGGCCCACCATTCCTCGGGGAGGCAGGGGGCAGGTAGCGGACTTAAGGAAATAAGCGAAGTCTTCAAATAGGCAGTATTAGCAGAGAGGTTAAGAGCCACTTTGGAACTGGACAGTCTGTGCATTCCCATCCTGGCTCCAACTGTATGACCTTGGGCAAGTTATTTATATATTTTATTCTTCTAGTTTTCAATTTTTTTTTTTTTTTTTTTGAGAGACAGGGTCTCACTCTGTCATTCAGGATGGAGCGCAGTGGCATGATCATAGCTCACTGCAGCTTTGAACTCCTGAGTTCAAGTGATCCTCCAGCCTTGACCTCCCAAAGCACTGGAACTACAGGTGTGCACCACTTCACCCAGCTAGAGGCAAGTTATTTAACCTCTCTGTTGCCTTCGTTTTCCTCTGCAACCAAGCAATGAGGATAATAACAGAAACCTGTTACTTGGAGTTGTTGGAAGAATTAAATGAGTTAATTCATGTAGTACTTGTCTGAGTGCCTGGCACAAAGGAGTGTTTCATATGCATTGGCTGTGATAATGATTATTTATAGGACAGAGAGCACATGCAGTCCAGGGTCACCTAAACGCCTAACTGGTCCAGAATGCAAGTGCGTTGGCTGAGGGCTGTGAGGGCACAGCAGATGAAGCATTGCATTCTTCAAGGAAGTCCTCAGGGGGAGGCATTTGAGATTGGCACAGCCCTGGAGAGGCTAGCTCAAGTAGAACAAACACTGTTGGTGCAGGCAAGAGGCTGTCAGAGCACCTGCCACATTTGCAGAGGAAGGAGCCCTCTGACACTTGAGAGGGAGCATGTGGGGCGCAGGGGGCCCTGTGTGTAGAGGCTCCTTCACCTCAAGGGTGGGAAGAATGGTGGAGGAGCGGCCAGAGATGAGGGTGAGCATCACACTTTGCAAGGCCTCGAATACCTGGAGTTTCTTCTGTAGCCACGAGAAGGTTGGGAGCAGGGCAATGAGGGTCCACTCTGTCCTGTGGTGCTCCTTCTGGTGAGAGTAGCTAAAAATAGTCATCACAATGCTGAGTGCAGGGACTGCGTATGGTGTGCCAGGAACATTGGAGTGCTGTAAATCTTGGACATTACTAACGACTGCCCTGTGAGAGAGGTACTGTTATTTGTTTTATTTTTCAGATGAGGAAACTGAGGCACACAGAGGTTAAGCCACTTGAGGAT
This sequence comes from Homo sapiens, assembly GCF_000001405.40. Taxonomy (NCBI): domain Eukaryota; kingdom Metazoa; phylum Chordata; class Mammalia; order Primates; family Hominidae; genus Homo; species Homo sapiens. The sequence goes on from NC_000009.12 coordinate 68,805,584, forward strand.
TCCATACAGCTGGTGTGCGGCAGAGTCAATAGTGAAGCTGGGCAGTGTTGTGACACCAGAGCCTCTTCCTGTGACCACCGAGCTGTCATCACCTGTCACATTAGGGTGTGGCTCTCCAGAGGGGGTAGTGACAAGTGGAGATTGGAGCAATGACCTCTGCTAGGCTTATGGCAGCTTATTGATAAAACATTTTCTGTCTTAGTCAAGGAGAGTTTGGCTGTAAGGACTAGAAACTCCTGCAAAGAACTCAAGTGAATGCTGAATGGATTGTGAAGATACAGGGGCGCTCCCAGAACCCAGTTGCTTGCTAGGGAGTATGGCTAGACATTACACAGCTGGAGAGTTGTCAGGCTGTAGCAGTATCTCTGTCTGTCTGGAAACACAGGGCCTTCTCTGTGCATCTTTCCACAGTCTGATTAAATTGCAGCTTTCCTAGTTTCACTCTCCCAGGACCTTGGCTAGCCCTGACCCTACCTGACCTGAAAAGTCACTTGACTCACTCAGTCCCTGTGTTGTAGATAAAGTTCTTGCTTTGGATAATCTGCTGGTTTAGCCTAGTTCAAGTGTCCCTCCTTGGTTCCTTCTGCAGCTGGGATAAAGGTGGCACAGGTTATGACCAGGCAGGGAGAAAGCTGCTCTGAGAACTCCATGATCTTCAGTGGTTAGTGAAGCTTGCACGCCTTGCCATCTTGACTTAACTGCTAACCCTGCACTCCTCAGTCCCTGGCTTTGCTCAGGTTCTGACAGTGTTTTTGTTGTAAACATCTTGTGGGGCTCCTTCCTTTCAGCCTGCAGCTCTGCCCTGGTCTTTCAGGTCTTCATCCTCATGACTATTGCAGCAGGCTCTAGAGTCACCCTTCAAATCTGGTTTTCGCTTCCCATTTTATCTCGCCTTCTTTTAAGCAATATTATTTTTACAATTTTTATTGGCCTCCTATTCAGAAGCCTTCAGCAGATGTTCCTTAATTTGTCACATTCATGGCTGTCTCCCAGGGCCATCTAGCCCGCCGCTAATCATCCTCTTCCCTTGAATTCCCATCGTATCAGCACAGGATAATTTTCTCTTACCAGACATGCCATGGCCCTTCCCTTCTCCACGCCTGCTCCTTCCCTCCTGCTCTGACATCTCTCATCCATGACTTAAGAATGCTGACTGTAGACCCTGACTCTAGACCACAGTCACCTCCCTCTCCTCTGAACTCCTTTTAGTTTTGATTCTCTAGGGAAATTGTTGGTTTGTTGAAAGCAGCTGCCTGCCCAGTGTGTCTTGAACCTGCACACAGCCAAGCACATGTCAAACACTTGGAAAATTTAATATTCAGTGATTAGTGGCTGATTTATTATCTCTTTTGGCCTTGGTTTTTTTTTTTTTTTTTGCTTTTTAATTTTTTATTACATATTAAAGAACATTCCATATAAGCTCTCTGACTGTGATGATTGAATACTTGTTAGAGGCAAAGCCAAGTAAAAGTATTAACTCTAATCCTGTTAAAGACTTTCCCATTATTACATGTGCTTGAGTTTTGGCTTCTCTTTTGTGTGCCTTGAGAACAGGGACCATCTCATTCATCTTGTATACCTCAAAGTACCTCACATAAAGACATCCGGGAATACATGTTTGAGTAAATGAATACCCTCCTCATTGAAGAATAGATCTTAAGTGGTCATTTCATGACTGCTTCTATCTAGGCATTTACATTTGTGCCTAGTTTGAAACCACTTTCATTGCTTGTTACGAATTAAGCTTATTCACCCAAACTACAGAAAGGCTTTTAAAAATTTTTTCCTTTGGACAAAATTTGTCTCCTGCTCAGTCCTTTTCTGCCCATAACAGCATTGGCCATCCCCTGCAATGATTGTATTTATTTAACAGTTCTTCCTGCTTCCCTGCTATGGCCTTTCAGACTTCCCCACAGGCACAGAGCCCCCAGACACCTGGCAGGGTAACTATCAGCTGTTCTTTGTATTTGGGGCATATAGGGGATCTGTGTGGCTTTGGTTTCTCAATAGAAAATGACATAAACGCAGAAATACTTTGCAGGCTGCTACAGGAACAAAGGCAAACAGACTTGTTTGTTTGTTTCTGAGACCAAACATTTTTCTGCCAATCAAAACTGGTTTTATTTGCATATAGTGTATCATAAATTGTTGTAATAATTGAATAATTCCCAAGGCATGTACTCTTAGGAAAAAAAGAGGAAAATAGCTTAGAAATAAAATGTGGACAAAAAGCATAAGCTGGTGAATGAAAAATGAGAAATATTGCCATGTAGTAAAGATATAATATTGTGAAGTCTACCCAGTATCAAATGTATGGTAAAAACTAGGGAAGAGGCTGGCACAGTGGCTCACACCTGTAATCCCAGCACTTTGGGAAGCCAAGGCAGGCAGATCCCTTGAGGTCAGGAGTTCGAGACCAGCTTGGCCAACATGGCAAAACCCTGTCTGTACCAAAAATACAAAAATTAGCCTGGCGTGGTGGTGTGCATCTGTAATATTAGCTACTCAGGAGGCTGAGGCGGGAGAGTCACTTGAGCCTGGGAGGCAGAGGTTGCAGTGAGCAGCGATCATGCCACTGCACTCCAGCCTGGGTGACAGAGCAAGATTCTGTCTCAAAAACAAAACAAAACAAAAGGGGAAGAAAAAATGTAAGCAAGTTATAGAGGCAAGAAGTTCAACTATGTGAGATTATTTGTGATTATCCCAGATGTGACTGGGAAGAGATAGAAAAGTAACAGTGTTAGTTAAATCTCCATGGATTCTTTGCCTCCATGCCAAATATCATGACTATCTAACTAATTACTCCCCCCGACTCCCAGCTTCCCCACCACCCCGACACTATCACCAGATACACACAGATACATACTATGTCTTTGTATATGTAAAATGAAAATCATTGCAGGACATCATGCAGTAGCAGTGTTTTTCATGAAAGGCTGTGAGTTACATTGGTCTGAAAGCAACACATCCGTCATGGCTGTTTTCACTGGCGACTTTCTTCTGTCTAATGTTTGCAATGAAGGCTTGGCTTGAAAAGGCTTATGAATTCTTTTAGCACAACCTTTGTTGGGAAAATGAATTACAAGTGGTTCATTTGATGCTGATCCTTTTGTCATTGCCATTTATAGCTATTCTGTTTATTCACTTTGGGAGAGCCATTCTGAGAATTGATGAATGTGTTTTATGAGAGAATATAAGAGCCCTGCAATTTGTTTTGATTGGTCTCCATTTGGATTCATAGCGAGCAGGTGCCATCGTTTGGAATTGGTTTTGGCAGTGGCTTGGTTATATAAATATTAGATACATGAAGTGAAACCTCATTTAAATTATTTTCATCAGTAAGAATAGGAGAGCTTTACATTGAATGTAAGACACCATAGTTCTATTTTTACAGCTTCTAAGCATACAAATGTGTAACATACCATATGTCTGAACATATGTATGTAGAAGTGGCCTCCATTGTACAAATATTTAACATACAGATTTTCTGCATTTCTTTGAGAGTTTATGCAAATATTCTTTAAAAAACTCTAAGCCTATAGTTTCTTAATATAAGAATTTTTTCTGGTCTGAAAAATACAGGCATTTCTGCTTTGGAAACTATGTTAAGGATTGTTTCAGTTTGGTGTTTTTTTTGTTGTTTAAGCCTCAGAAAATAACCCAGCACATTTTAAACCTTTGCTTTCTCCTGCTTTTTGTTGTTGTTGTTGTTACTGTTGTTTTTGTTGCCAAACCCACATTAAAAAAAATACCACGCCTCTTTGTAAGGGCTCTAGAAGAAGAACTATAATACTTCCTATCTTCCCAGCAAAACTGTTTACCAGGCTGACGTTTTCCTAAGAATAGCTCCCTAGGTTTTCATGAATCCATATAAATTTCCACACATTTGTTTTTTATTCTGGCACAAAATTTAAGAGGGACTTACGATCATAGGTGGAAGGAGCAATGAGGAAGTCTGTTGGTAACCCTTTAGGTAACATCCTAAACCTCGGGCTACTTGCGGGCAAATTGTTAAAATGCAGGACTCATGATCTCTGAGTACACCCATGAAAATTTAAATACCCTTCACGGTGCTGGGTCTTTTTGTAAGCAAGCCAACACGGTGCCCAGACTCTTTTCCACCCTCTAGCTCTCAACCTTATGTCCCCAGCAAACGGCTCTAAGTCCAATTTCAGTGTTCTTCATAAGTGAAGCTTTCCATGAGCCCCACAGGCTGACTTATGCAGTTCCTCCTCCAAAAACCCAGAGTAAAGGACATGCCACATTGTAAATTGTAGCCACTGCAATGCCTGTCTCTCCTGCTAATAGGATTCCTTTGAAGACGAGTACCTGTCCTTGTCATTATGGCCCCGGGCCTAGCTTACTGCCTGACATGTTATGCTCCATAAATGTTCATTGAATGAATGAAAGAGTGAATTTATTTGGTGTTAGGTAATAAAAATGAATTCAAAAGAGCATAAATAAAACAAAAATGATTGACTTTAACATGCAGGTGTGACCAAGGCCCAAATTATCTTCCAATTGCTTTGTCTTTCGGGAAATGCGCTAGGAAATGTTAACATACACAGCCTGAATGGCATGAAAATATTTGAATATGGCTATCCTATTGGAAGCCCAATTCCCATAGGGCAAGTTGCACTCATAATGACCAAATAATCAATGAGTCCTCTCCTCATTCCAAAGAGGATTTGAAGTGAGGCCCTACCTAAGAAACTTGGCAGAGGCACCAAAACAAAAGCACTATCTAATGGAGTTAGCGCAATTCATAATCGAAGAGAAGTGGACAGCAGCAGAGATGGACATGAAACCCAGGCCTTCGGAGGCCTATCCCAGCGTTCTTCCAATTCATTCTTGTTGCTTCACTTTATCAGTGTTTAATAAAGTGTTTGTTTTTATGGGAAGATGAGTAAGGACTCGTGGCTAGTGTCCCTTAACCTCTTGTGTCTACAGATTGGCCTACTTAGTTAAGTGATTAGGTAATTAGCAATTCTCCCACTTATTTGGCCATGTATGAGAAGCAAACTCATCTGTGGCAAATTAAAAATACTGAGTTTTATGGCCCTAGTTGGGGAATTAGAGGTTGAAAGGGTTGCTTCTGACTCACATATGGCCCCCAGGCACAATATATCTAAAACTTTCGGTAACTATAGAGTTTTAAAAAGCTCCTCTACCACCTTTTCAATTAAGACATGCCCTCTGGGTTGAGGCTTACTGATGTAGAACAAGTTTTATAGGAAAAAATTATGTAAATTAATATAATTGGCTAACCTTTTGATTGCACTTACAAATTGAAAAATGCGGTGCAATATTGATTAGACAATCTTCTCATTGTTTTTAAGTAGGAGAAAACAAGTAAAAGAGAGAGGTGTATGGTGGAAAGAGCATTAGTTTTGAAGTCAGACAACCCTGGATCAAATCTCAGCCCTACCACTTGACTGGACTCCAGGAAAATCATCCCAAGTCACAACCTCGCTCCTCTCCTTCCTCCTAGACTTAATGCAGGGGCTGCAGTAGACCCTGACTACTTGGTAGTGATCTATTTAAGCTCTTAACGGATTCCCAGAGCTATAACAATAGAAACGTGTGTACCAGTTCCTAGCCTACCTCCCAATCCACATTTCCATTGAGAATCATGTTTCTCAGGCTTATTCCCCTACTGCTTTCCCACTTTCATTATACTTTCTGTTTTGTTTTATGGCCCATCATTGGGTCGTTTGTCCTTAGAGCCATTCCTTACTCTTCCTGTGTTCTGTATCACAGGGAAGTCATCCCATATAGGATGCATTTCTCAGGCTTCCTATGGGCTCAGATGCTTTTCATGAGGTTGGTCTCTGGGAGCCATAGACAGGGATTGGCGGGTAGAAGGTAGATGAGAAAAACCAGGATGTTCTCCCCCAACCTGTGTGTCTTAGGTGGCATCTCCAATAGTGACTGTCTTCTCCATGCTTCTAAACATACCCCTCCTACTGCAGTTCCAACTTCTGCCAGTCAACCCCCGTCCTGATGTTCTGACCCCAGCTGACCTCTGCTTTTGAGGTCTGTTAACACCACCTTCTCTTGTGCCTGCAGCCCTAAAAGCAATAGTGGCATCATGTTGATTGTGATCTGTTTCATCACCATCTCTTGCTTAGCTTTTCAGTTCACCCATCACTTTTATAACCAATTCCATGTATTAAATATCCCCTCTTTAATATACCCAAAGTGGTTTCTGTTTTCCCTAATAGACCCTGAAAGCAATCCTGAAGTGATAAACTCTCTTTATTGCCTTTTCTGGTCACAGTAGCTTAGATGATCCCAAGCCTGTGAAGCGTGCTGAAAATACTGACTCCCTAGGTCTACCACGCAGAGGTAGTGATTCCCTGGTTTCAGTGTGTGGCCCCAGAAGCTGAATTTTCAAAAAGCTTCCCTGGTGGTTGTAATGCCCAGCACTGATTTAGAGAATGGCAAAGCCAGGCTGAGATGGAGGTGCGTGGGGTGGGAATGGATGGTTGCTAGGTTCATTCACCAACTAAGGGCGTCACTTTTACAAACCAGCCTCACAGCAAGAGAGCCCAGCTCAGCAAAATTAAAATGACTGCATCCCATGGACTTTATAGGACACTTACAAGTGTCAAAATAGCACATGTTAAATTGGGGAGTGCCAACGGATTCTTTGAAGAATAAATGAAATCACATATGTGGCAGCATTTCACACATCGTAGTTGCTCAATACATGATCTTCCCTTCTCTCAAATTGAGTGAAAACATAGAACTATAGAAAGCTATGAAATAGTATAAATTATTTATTCCTTAAGGTCACAGAATCCAGATACTAAATACCAGAAATAATAGATAAGTAACTACATAGTCAAAAAAAAGTCATTGTCTGGCACATATTATTGCTCACTGAGCTGGTGCTAAACAGTCCAATCATATGACACCATAGGTTAGCTCTCTTTCATATCAGAAATAATTTTTGAAAATAAGTTTTAACTAGGACTCTTGTGTCAGATTACATAGTAACATCTTCTAAGGAGACATGAACCTTGTGAGTATGTCCTTACTTGGCCATTGGAATTTCTGCATTCCAGGCTCTTGCCAGAGACTACAACTTTGAGTACTCCACTGTCCAATTCTTATCAAAAGACTGGTTAGGAGAAATAATATTCATGGAGGACTGCCTGAAAGATATGCAGCCTGTTCATTCCTCATTGAGATAACCTAAATTCTATTTGTGGTTTAAGTCAGGTTATCACATAGCTTCCTATTTGGATCTCCACGTATTTACTTCTTGTCAGTTTCTCTTTACTGGGGAAGATGAATGAAAAAAGGCACATCTATCATTATGGAATTTTGAACAATGTTAAAAGAGAAGACCCTCAGAGGTTTCCAGACAGAGAAAACCAGCATGCTTCTAGCGCAGGGAGCATCAGACTAACATGAAACTACTCATCTACAAAGTGGGAAGTAAGCAGTAAGCAATACAGTATTTACAGAGAGATGGGACAAAAGACCTGTGAGCCAAGAATCCTGCATTGGCCAAGAGCTCTATTCCTACATAAGTGCAAAAGGAAGACATTTCTGGACATGGAGTTACTCAGACTGGGCCATCTACATGCCACTTCTGAGAATTGAATCAGGACATAGGTGTCAAGGTAGGAGGAGATGAAGAGCCAAAGAGAGAGTGATGAGCAATGAACGTTGCAAAACTTATGGTCAAGTCTAAATAAATGATCATAATGTGACTACGAAGTCCAAATTGTTCATTAAGATTTCTTAAAGTGGAAGAGACGTGTTGACTATGAGGAGATATTTAGTAGCTTAGAGTGGAGCAGGCAATGAAAGAGTAAAAATATTCCAAGTATCTCTACCTATGGACAAGAAAGAGAAAAGAGATGTCATGGATTGGGTTCTCTGGAAGCAAGCACTGGCACACAGTTTTGGTTGCAAGATTCTTAGTAGGAATTAACACCCGTGTATTATGTTCCCTAGAAAGATATGTTGAAGTCCTAATTTTCAGTACCTGTGCATGTGACCTTATTTGGAAATAGGGTCTTTGCAAATATAATCAAGTTAAGATGAGTTCATGAGGGTGAGCTCTAACCTAGTATAACTGGTGTTCTTATAAGAAGAGGAAAATGCCACATGAAGAGGGAGACACATGGAGAGAAGCGCTAAATGGTGACAGAGGCCAGGGCTGGAGTAACACAGTGGCAAGCCAAGGGACTCCAAGAAAGATGGCTACCACCAGAAGCTAAAAAGTAGCAAGGAAGAATTCAATCGAGTCTCAGAGGGAGCATGGCCCTGCCAGTACTTTATTTTGGACTTCTAGCCTCCAGAACTGTGGGAAAATAAATCTCTGTCATTTGAAGCCACCCAGACTGTCGTACTTTGTAGCGACAGCCCTAGGAAACTGATAAAACCTGTAAAAAGATGAGGGAAGGCGCACAAAATGAAAGTCCCACGCAAGACACACAAAGCCTGGGCCACCTTGATGGGGAGCTGGAGGAAGAGTGCCACCGTGCCACTCAGTCACAAGAGGTGACTGCCCCAGGAAGGCCATGACCTAGGCTAAACTGGCTCCCTGCAGAGGCATGCAGTAAGGCAGTCTTCCCTTCTTACAGGAGATCTGGGTAGCTCATCTCCATGTCTACACAGCAAGCCGAGCGAAAAAATGGGCAGCGAAAATAGTGTATAGTCATTTTGCTTTCTTAATTGAAAAACAGGTTTTTAAATGATTTAAAATCAAAAAGATAATATGAGCAAACCAGCAAAGAAATAATGAGTAAAAATAAGTATAGTAACAACAAATGTAATTAATAGTAAACAAAACATTGTTATAGGCATTGCCTTTATTTCCTGACCAACATAGTTCTGGAATGTATAAGGCAAAAAAATGAAGTAGACATACAGGAGAACATGGCAAAACTATAATTATATTAGGGAATTTTGATATAATTATTTCATAATTTGGCCGGGCACGGTGGCCATGCCTGTAATCCCAGCACTTTGGGAGACTGAGGCAGGTGGATCACTTGAGCTCAGGAGTTTGAGACAAGCCTGGGCAACATAGTGTGAGACCCCATCTCTACAAAAAAATTTAAAAAATTAGCCAGGTGTGGTGGCGTGCACCGGTAATCCCAGCTACTCAGGAGGCTGAGGTGGGAGGATCGCTTGAGCCCAGGTGGTGGAGGTTGCAGTGAGCCGAGATCATGCCACTTCACTCCAGCCTGAGCAACAGAGCCAGACCCTGTCTCAAAAAAATTAATAATAATAATTATTTCATAATTTGACAAAGTAGACAAATAATGATACAGGTTCGTATTTGTATATAGTGTTTATACCCTAAAAACACAGAATCTGCATTTTTCTCTTTTGTCTATAGAAGGTTTACAAAAATCTATTTCTATGGCCACAGGAAAAAACTAAATGAATTTGCGGAGAAAAGCTATTTTACTCATCCCCTTTTTTATCCCACTGTGATAAAACAAAAAATTGACAGTGAAATAATAATAATAAGTAAAATGTAAATGCTTGAAATTAAGAAGCCTTCTTATAGATGATTCCTGGATCAAATTGAAAATCAAATACAAAATGACAAATTCTCTGGAAGTTAATTAAAAAGAACATTTCACATCAAAACTTATGAAGAAATTGTTAATGCATTTAGGAATACTTTATAGCCTAAATGCTTTTGGTACTATTAAAAAAAAAAAGAGTGAAAAATAAGCTAAATATTGCATCTAAGAAATTTTTTTAAGAATCAGAAGAAAGAAGGTATTATTAATGACGAAAGCTAAAATTAATGTAATTGGCCTCAAAACAATTAAAAGGAGAGAATCTGACTAATGAAAATATGTATATAATATAAAGAATGTACATATACACATGCAACATTAGGAATGAGGAAAAAAAATTGCCCAGATCCCGGAAGGATTAAAATAAGTCAATAAGACAATGTTATGTTCAGGTTTATGGCAATAAAATTTGAAATCTAGAGGAAATTGATGTTTTTCTAATAAACTATAAATTACCAAAATTTGATTCAAAGAAAGGTTATAAATCCCGAGAGGAGTTATAAACAGAAAAAAACGTGAGTGCGTATAAAGAAAGCCTTCCAATTTTATGAAAAGTATAAATTCTTTCATACCAAAAACTGATAAAGATGGCCACAACGGTTGTTCAATATCACTTATGAAAATATGCTTTTAAGAAGATTAAGAAATCAAATCAAAGATTTATTCTAGAAACATAAGGATTTTTAATTTTATATTTTTATATTTCTAGAAATATAAGGATTTATATTTCACTTTATTTAAAAGAGTGACAAATGAAAATATCCAGGAGTGAATTTAGTAAGACATAAGACAAATTTTAAAAAAAGATTGTAGTGAAAGACAAACTAACATTTGAAGAAGTAGAGAGCTATACTATCTTTTCAAATGAGAAAACTTATGATCCTAAAGATAAAAATTGTTCTAAAATAACTATATATAATCCCAGTCAGAATCCCAACTTGGAAGATAAAAGTGTTGTCAGCTCAGTCAACACGATTTTTTTGTTTGTTTGTTTTTTGTTTTTTCGAGACAGAGTTTCATTCTTGTCGTCCAGGCTGGAGTGCAATGGCCCGATCTCGGCTCACTACATCCTCTGCCTCCCAGGTTCAAGCAATTCTCCTGCCTCAGCCTCCCGAGTAGCTGGGATTACAGGCACCTGCCACCCCACCCAGCTAGTTTTTGTATTTTTGGTAGAGACAGGGTTTCACCATAATGGCCAGGCTGGTCTCGAACTCCTGACCTCAGGTGATCCGCCCACCTCCGGCTCCCAAAGTGCTGGAATTACAAGCGTGAGCCACTGCACCCAGCCCAATCAACATGTTTTTAAAGGCCACATAAAAATATAAATGCAAGAAAATTTCCAAACTTGAAGGAAAAACAGTCAGCATGGGGAAGTCGTGCCAGCAGGCATCAAAGCATACTATCATGTTACTGCATTTTAAGCAATATGGCATTAGCTTAGGAATCCACAAGTCAATGTTTGGAACAGAGTAGATGCCATAACTAAATCAATGTATATAGGAAAACTTAATGTATGCTAAAGGTGGCTTGTCTTTCTGGTAAGGAAAATATCATTAAGTAAATGATTTGGGGGCAATTAGGTGTCCATCTGGGGCAATATTCCATTTGGATTAGATTCCATTTGAAGTAAGAGCTAATATTAAAGATGGACCCATAAAGCTATCAAGAGAAAATATGGGAGAATACATGTATAACATCAGGTTAGGGGGAGCTCTCTTTCATAATCCATCTTCCAAAAAGGAAAAATTGCAAGATAGTAAATTTATAATCCATAAAGGAAAAATTGGCAGATTTGACTGTGTAAAAATTTAAAATGTCTATGACAAGACACAATAAATAAAGGCAAAAGAAGAATAATACTTGCAACCTCTAGGACAGAGCTAATGTTTAAAATACTAAGAGGTCTCACAAATTGTTTATAAAAGAAAGATAAAACAGCCCAGTATAAAAATAGTCAAAGGGCATGAACTGGAATTGTAAATCACCAATAAACCTGTGAAAAGAATCAGCCCCGTTAGTAGTGAGAGAAGGCGAATTAAAACCAGAGATGCCTATCAGGTGAGCAAACACTTTTAAAGATGGCGAACACCAGTGCTGATCAGTGTGTCAATAAGCAGGCACTCACCATGCACATTTGGGCTGATTGCTTCAACCTTTGCACCGGAAAGAAATGTAGCAATAGTCATTCAAATAGTTAACATGCTTATTATGTTTGGCCCCACAGTTATTCCACTTCTAGGATTCTTTCCCACAAAAATAAAAGTACTAGAACATTAAAGATGTTTGAATAAGACTGTTTATTCCTGCTCTGGTTAAGGTAGCCAAATTTGGAAACAGTCTGCATGTTCATCCACAGAAGAGTGATTGGTTAAACAATGGTATGTCCATCTTGTGAATATATGCAGTTATTTTTAAATGAGATAGATATATAGATTTTTAAAATATTTTGATAAGAGCAAGTGGCAGAAATAAATGTGTGTGTGAAAAAGCATAGGGAAGATTTTGAAAGGCTATAAAACAAACAGACTGTTTATATTGGCTATCGCACGGTGGGGGAGATAAGACCTCATTCTTTTTTTTTTTTTTTTTTTTTTTTTAAGAGACAGAGTCTCACTATGTTGCCCAGGCTGGTCTCAAATTCCTGGCCTCAAGCAACCCTTCTACCTTAGCCTCCCAAAGTGCTACGATTACAGGCGTGAGCCACCATGCCTAGCCTAATTCCTTTTTACTTTATACCTCTCTACATTTTTAAATTGATTACAATAAGCAAGTATCTCTTCTGTATAAAACATAATTATAGCACAACAGCTTTTTTGAACTTTTCTTTGAAGTTGTGTCATCTAATCAACCCTTATGGAAATCACAGGTAGTTTATCATAGGGATAATATTGAAAAATTGTCCACATGTCACATGGTGTCACCTCTGTGAAGATCCATAGGAGAAATTTCCACTCCAGCTTGAATCTCCAGATACCTGTGGTTCATTTGAGCAACTGCTTTGCTTTTATCTTTTGCGCATTGTGCATCTGGTAACTGATCGTATTTTCCTTTCCTCTGGAAACCAGGAATCTCAGAGTCAAGTTGTAGACTGTAAAGTTTATTCAACAACCATACCAGACTCTGTGGCTTATGTTCTATGCACAGCCCTTGCTGATGGAATCATCTTGCTCTCCATGTTTATTTTCCCTCACCCACATTCCTTCCTTTGTTTTAATTTTAACTGCTTATGTTGCATGTATCCCTATAGCTACCTCTGATCTTTTTTGGGAGATGTAGTAGGGATATGAATAAATGATGACCAGAAATTTCTATTTTAACAGAAACCTGGCAAAGAAAACGGTCTCGACAATGAGTAGGCCACCCATCACTACTAACTACAGATGACTTGCCATTTCATTTACAAAGGTAAGGAAATAAAGTCTGTATTTTTAATTAATTCTGATCAAATCAGTATAGAGCCCTTACCTTTTTATTGTAAATATTTTTACAAATATTCTAAAACATATATCTAGCTCATAACCTTTAACTCTGACATCAAATTTGAATAAAACATCAAGCAAACAGAAACAAGAAATTTTATGAATTTTGGCATGCCAGAAGGGTTAAAAAAAAAACCGAGATGTGGTCTCTGTTGTTAATTACTATGTGTGTTAAATTTTTAAATAGTATTTTCCTTATTTTTAAGTGTAGCAGTGTTCACTGTAGAATACTTGGAGAATCTAACAAAATATAAAAATGAAAACCTAAAGCATTTATAATCCCATCATCTGTAGATAATCACCAGAACTTCTGAGAATGTCTTTCCTCCTTCCTTTTATGTGTACATGGAAAATACACATGATTATAACTTCAAAAAAAATTTTTAGAGACGATGTCTCGCTGTGTCTTTCAGGTGAAATTCATATAACATAAAATTAGCCATTTAAAAATGAACAATTCAGTGTTCATTTTTAGTACAGTTTAGTACATTTACAATGTTATGCAACCACTACCTCTATGCAGTTCCAAAACATCTGCATCACCCCAAAAGGAAACTCAGTGCAGTCAGCCCTTGGTATCTGCGGGAGATTGATTCTAGGACCTGTGGATACCAAAATATACTCAAGTCCCTTATCTAAAATGACACAGTATTTGCTTTTGTTTCTCTTTTTGAGACAGGCTCTTCCTTTATTGCCCAGGCTGGAGTGCAGTGGTGCGATCATGGCTCACTGCAGCCTCAAACTCCTGGGCTCAAGCAATCCTCCCACCTCAGCCTCCTGTGTAGCTGGGAAAATAGGTGCAAGACATTGAACCTGGCTAATTTTTTATTTTTTATAGAGATGAGTTCTCACTGTTTTTCCCAGGCTGGTCTCATACTACTGGCCTAAAGCAATCATCCCATCCTGGCGTCCCAAAGTGCTGTGATTACGGGTGTGAGCCACAATGCCCAACGTAATTATATAATGTTTTTTAAAACAATGTTTTGAATTCATACTTACCTTGACTTCATTAGTTACAGATGATGTGGTGCAGAAGCATAGCAAGTCTAAGAAGAAACAGTAGTCATCATTGTGACCATTGTAATGGCCCTTTGCAGTTTACCAGTACATCCCCAAGCATCTTATTTGTCCCTGCTACATGGCCTCTCCGACTCCAATGCCCCTGGTTAATAGGTTTATGTGACCTTTGTTAAACATCACTCTACAGGAAAAATAAATGAATAACTCTTGAATCCAGATGATAGTTCATGGCCTTCGTTTATCATTATTTTATGTTTTGTGCTGCTTAAAAGGAAGTGTTTTAAAAAAAAATAGAAGTTTACCTGTTTTTCTCCTCCTCTTCCCTACTGTCAAGTCAGGGATGATTCACAAAGTAATAAAAAGTACTTTAAGACCATCTCATCCTCCGTCCTTCATTCATGCCAGTTAGTTAACCTCTCATTAAGGTTGTTTTTTTAAGCACCCTTCAGAGTTGCTCTTGTAGTTTTTTGGTTTTAAAAGCTGCAAAGTCTTAAAAGTGAAATTACTGGAATGGCATTCTTTAGGGAGGTCTTCATTCTGTTGGCTCTGTTAAACAGTTGAAGGCCTGTATTTTACCCTGAGCCTGATACATAAACCATTTTAATTCTTCTGGCATTTTTATTCAAAACTGACCTAATATGATTATAAAGAGACTAGAAAAATGAATTATTCTTTAAGTCAATTTAAGCTGATACAGCATGGAAAACAATAGTTTGTGAAACATCTGTCCTGGAAGACTCTATTCTAACACGGACAGATTAAATAGATGCAAATAGAATTGCAAAATTATGTAAGAGGGTGGTTTGATTGGTGGGCAGTACTAGATCTAGTGAGGTTGGCTCACCGTGATTCTTGCGTTTATTTTCCTGGATGGTTTTTAGTCATATCAAGCTCATGGCAGTGTGGGTAAACTCAGTCACTTAGTTCCAAGGCACAGAAATGGTTGATGAATCCCTAGGTTTAGCATATGCCGTGTTTATTAAAAGCCCAGAATTTAAAGCATGCTTCAAAAGCGTAAAAGAAAGTCAGAAATTTTACCCTTCCTTGGTGTATTAAATGTTCTGCATGCAGTTTAAGGTAAGACCCTTAAATTATGGTTCCCTAATTATGAAGTTATCCTTGTTTACCACAGAAGTAGCATAACTGGCTTTAAAAATTCAGATGAATTATAGGTCACATGTGAAAATCTTATCATTAGGAAGAGAGAGAAACACATTTGAAGATCAGATCTCCCAATGAAAAAACATATTTTATCTTAAGGCATTAGAATTCACAAAGATACGCAATAGTTTTGAGTGTGTAAAAATGTAAACTTCTCTATATCATAATTATGAAACAAGTTAAAAGGACACGGTAAGCTGGGCACAGTGCCTCATGCCTATAATCCCAGCACTTTGGGAGGCCAAGGCAGGAGGATTGCTTGAGCTTAGGAGTTCGAGACCAGCCTGGGCAGCATGGCAAAACCCTGTCTCTAACAAAATAATTACAAAAAATTAGTCCCAGCTACTTGGGAGGCTGAGGTGGGAGGATTGTCTGAGCCTGGGAGGTCGAGGCTGCAGTGAGCTGTGATGGCACCACTGTACTCCAGCCTGAGTGATAAAGTGAGACCCTGTCTCAAAAACAAACAAAAAGGCAGATACTAACACAGAAGAATATTAATAATGCACTTGGCAAGCAATTAATGACCTTAAAACATAAAAATAAGCAAACCACTAGTATGAATAACCATAATAGGTAAAAATCAATATCAGAAACATTAAGACCTCCATAGATAAATGGACGAAACAATGGAAGACTCGAAGAAATACAAAGAACTAAAACTGATGTGAAAACAATGTTAACCTTCACCAGTAATTTTCACAGATGCAAATTAAAACCAGGAGATGATTTCTTTTACCTGTCAGATTAGCAAAGCTGTTTAAGATGATAACAGTCATTACTAAATGTGTAATGAAACAAGCCCCCACTCACTGCTGATAGCAGTGTGAATGAGTATACTCTTCTGGAAATAAATTTACCAATATGTAGTAAAAGCTTTAAATTTTTTAATACCCTAGTATGCCCTAGCAGTTCCAAGAATTGAGTCCAAGAAAACATTGAAGTTAGATAAAGATATAAGCATAAAATAATTATTGTACTATTTGCAGGAGCAAAACTCTTTGAGCTGCCTCAACTATCCTTCAATATTAGCATTGACTAAAGTATTAACACACAGTGGTGTCCACACAGTGGTATATCTTGCAACTAGAAAAAAATTATTCTTACAAAGATATTTTTGTAATCAAATGGGAAAATGTTTATTACATAAATGTTCAGTGAAAAATACTGGGTAAGATAGTATTGTAAGTTTTTTCATATGAAAATACACATAATAAAAGGTAGAAATAAATATGACAAAATGTGAATAGAGGAGTTGCCCAAGGGTAGTAGAATTGAGTAATTTTTTTGTTCTGACTCATATTTTTTGGTACTTCCCAGATAATTTTACAGTGAGCATGCATAACCAGAAGAAAAGTTTTTTAAAAGGCTATGTAGCCTGGGCACGGTGGCACATGCCTATAATCTCAGTTACTCGAGAGGCTGAGATGGGAGGACTGCTTGAACTGAAGAGTTTGAGGCTGCAGTGAGCCATGATCACACCACTGCATTCCAATTCCAGCCTGGGTGATAGAGTGAAACCCCATCTCTAAAAAAAAAAAGCTTTGTAGAAAGAAACTTATACACATGTACATGCTTTCTTAGAGCATATGGGATAAAATATATTACGAAAATGTTTTAGATTTATTTTTGAAAGATTAAGGAATGCAGATTTCTTTTTTAGTATTCTGAAATGTTTCTGTCTTCCTTAGGAACAACAGCAATAGCAATAACAAAAACATACTTAACTAAAATAGATCCTTTGGTTAGCAATATTATTAATATATTGTATTTCAGAGTAACATTGAAGTTCAAAGGGCAGTGTGTTTCTCTTGTAGATGTCTTCTGCTGCTGAAAATGGAGAGGCAGCACCTGGAAAACAAAATGAAGAAAAAACCTATAAAAAGGTGAGTGTGCATTTTATTTTCTAAAGAGGAACACCGTTTTGCTGTTTGGCACGTGAATATTATCAAAGGCCTTTCCTTCTCCCAAGCAGTTGTAAGTTACTATCTTAGTTTCCAGTTGCTGCTATAACTAATTACTGCAAATTTAGTGGCTTAGACAACATACATGCATTATCTTATAGTTCAGTGAGTCAGAAGCCTGACATGGGTCTCCCTGGGCTGAGATCCATGTGTTTGCAGAGCTGTATTCCTTCCTGGACACTCCAGGGGAGAGTCCACTTCCTTGTCTTTTCCGGCTTCTAGAGGCTCCCTGCGTGCCCTGTGTCATGGCTCCCTGCCATCTTCAAAGCCAGCAATGGCCGGTGGCGTCTTTCCCAGGCTGTATCACTCTGACACTTTAAAGGGCCTGTGTGATTGCATTGAGCCCTCCTAGGCTCACAGAAATATGGGAAAATATTAATAAAAATTAATATTCTTTATCTAAAAGGTCAGCTGATTAGCAACGTTAATTTCCTCTGCAACTTGAATTCATTTTTGCCTTAGAAGGTGACATATTCACAGGTCCCAAGGATTAGAGCATGGGAATCTTTGGGGGTCAATTCACCATAATATAGAATATTGAGTGAAGAGAGTTGTTTGAAGACCCTTCTTATTCCTAAGAAGAAGGCTCCTGAGGGCATGCAGTGTTCTGTGTATAATATATGAATCCTTTAATGGACTCACTACTTTCCACCAACATTTAAAACATTTCCTACCTTTGTATTTTAAAACTTTTAAAATGTGAGATGCTCCTCTTCCCCACCTTTTCTAAGCCGCTCAGATTTTATGTCTTCAGCCCATTTCACAAAAAGTCTTTTTCCAGACTTCCTAATGTATCTTAACTTACCAGTCTTTGATAAATTCTCGACTCCCAGCTACCAAGCTAATGTTCAAACACGTTACTGGGTAAAATATGTTCCCAAGCACCTCTACTCCTGATTATAAATTGACTATACATTTTAGCTTTTCAAAGTTCTTGCTATTTTGCCCTCTTAAGAGTAGGAGGTTTGTGTATTGAAGGTTTATTATTTCTTAATTTTTCCTTTTATACTTTGATGGACAGCCTGCAAGACGTTTAGTCATAAAGTACATGAGCTATGGGCTCTGACCACATATTCAGGTCATGGAACTAGCATGATGTATTTTCTATTCCATTTTCATATGGGAGAATGTGCCCTTTTTCCTGGCATATCTTCTTTATCTGATTTTTCCACTCAGCCAAACCTTGAAATACAAACTGGGAGGTTGTCATTCAAAGTGATGGTGTGGTTGGAAAAGAGTTGGGTAAAGATTCAAGAGCTCAGAAGTGCCGCAGTATATTTTATAAAATTTGTACATTGGGCCAGAGGCAACAATACACTATTATTTATTTTTAGACACAAGTGAAAAACCAAATCCTGTCTCGTTTACCCAAGATTCCGTGTACATTCATTCAAGCATGGACCAACACAGAGATGATTACGTTGCTAGCCTGTTATTACTTCAGATCAGTTTCAGGTGGTATTCTCAATCAGCATCAAGATGCACTGAAATTCTTGACCAAATTCTGACTCACAGGAGATCCTTTGTCGCTGCAAAAGTTATAGAAAAAATGTGACCATGACATCTCAGAGTTTGCTAAGTGTACCCTGCCCAAGAATTTATTTAGTCAAGCAGGTTTTCAATAATTAGTATAGGTAATTCTATGATTAATGTCTCCAGTAGGATATTTAACTCAGCAATGTTTTTTAGGTTGTAAAAACTAAAAATCAAATTCTATGGTAGGAGAAATAAGGAAAGACACAGAAAACCTAAGGGGACCAGAAATTTTTTTTAATGAACAATTTTTTATGTGTAATAATATCAGGATCTTATTAATGATTTCTGGTTTTAAAAAGTATAAGCAATGGAAGGAGATGTACGTAGCCTCTCTTAAAAAGCACCAAGAAGACCAGCACAGCACTTAGAACTTCAGCCCTTAATAAATATGGTATTGATATGAATAGCAAGAAGAAGGAATCGCTTAGAGAGAGTGTTGTTTTACTGGCAGGTAAAAGCTCAGCTGAATTATTCGGTTTAGTTCTCTGATCTTCAAACTAGAGAAGGTGTTCATGGTGGACTTAGGAGTTAGCTATTGCAAATGTGTTTATCTCCAGGTCCAGATAAACCATTTCCCAGATGAAAGAACTTAAAGCTAGAATAGGAAAACCTCTGAATGTGAGCTTTAAATGAATTTCAGAATGGGAAAATTGTCAGAAAACAGGACATAAGCAAATATTATTCTTATTTTCAAAAATGAGGAAGAGTACATTCTGGAAACCAGATTATAAGTGAGACATTATTCCCCAGTATAATTTGAGCATTATTATTAAACATATGGTTTATACATATTTAGAGAAGAAACATATCTTTTACAAACCTGGAGAAATTCATAAAGATGTAGTTTATTTCAAACTAACTGCATTTCCTATTTTGAGAGAGTCATTAAATTACTCATAAAGAGTATGTTCAAATTTAATGAGTCTTGATTTAAAGGTGTCTAAAAGATTCGCTAGTCTCCTTTCAGACAAGGTGGATAAGTATGGGTTAAATATTATGTTTATTGTGTTTGTATCTGGTTGGACTGATGGTCTCGAAAACTGGCAATTTTGCTCCCTGTTCACTCGGTTTCCACCAGCATGATGCATGAGTTGGCCCTGGGTAGCTTACCATGTTCACCCATGACCTTAATGAAAGCATAAAAGCAGTGCTTTGCAAATGCAAATGACAAAAAAATTGTAAATGATAGCAAACAGACTACACAAGTGTTGTCAAGGCCACCATACATCTTATTCCCTTTACAAATACCTTAAATTTCTTTCCCAGTCCTGAAGCCCTGATCATAAGGTATGCACAGATTTACTAAGAAGCTTTGATGACCCATTGTGTTTTTGCATTGACTGAAGCCAGTCCATGGATCCCAGGTTAAGGCCCCTGGTCCTTTATGCTAGGAGTGAGAAATATACCACAGGAGTTTATAAGTAGCTCACAGTGGAGTGGGAGAGGCAAGACATGAAAACAGTTTTAGAACACAGTAGTCTATAATGAGGAGTTCAAAAGGGAAGAAACCAATGTTGTTAGAATTAAGCAGCAGGTTTAGGCTTTCTGTATGGAGCCCCAGATTTACTGGGCAGCTGCCAGTAACATTCAGCGTCATGAGTGCTATGATTTCCACGTGTTATTAGGGAACACTCAGTGTTCATGGGACAACTTTACACTTTGCGTCTCAGCTATTTGCATGTGATTATTGAGGCTGGCTGCCTTTTGTCTTGCAGTTGACCATTTCCTGAATCCATTCTCAGTTCTTGGCAAGCCCGGGAAGAACAGCTAACATTGGTCCGTGAGGTTAATAATGTCTTCAGCTAATGGCTAAAATAAGAAGTTTGATTTTAGCTGCATAAAACAAACAAGTTGCCCATTAAGACAGGCATTAAAGGCTGCCTGGCTATATTTACAGAGTGGAGTATTTCCATTATCAGTTAATTTATTGAGTGCTTTCCGCAAGAGTTGTAAATGCAGAAGCCTACTGGGGCCAGGCAGCAAAGAAGGGAGTGAGAAAACGAGGGGACCATGGTAAACAGAACCCACGCCTTCCTTAAAAGGGGCAGCAGGCAGTCAGCTCTAGCCAACAGAGCTATGAATGAATGCTCGCCCAGGGTTGCCAGATACTCTGATGTTTTTCAAGAAAAGAGAGATGAAGATTTTGATATGAAATCTGCCATTTTTAAATAACAGCAACTAATTCAAATGTTTTTAAAAATACACTCTGGGCAAAACAGTTTGCCTGCAGGCCCTATCTGTCCCGTAGGCAGTGGCCAGTTTACAACCTCTGACCTCCCTGTTGGTGTAAAAAAGTGAGAAGAAAAAAGGAGGATGCAAAAGAAGTGTAAGAACTTGTCTCTGCCTCCCCTGACCTTACAACTTATTTGGGAGAAAAAAGAGGGACCCACATGAAAAAATTAAATCTTGACCCAAATCGGTGTTGAGTAAGTGCCAAGACAAGTGGTATTTCTCTTTTATTTTTATTTTTTTGAGATGGAGTCTCACTCTATCGCCCAGGCTGGAGTGCAGTGGCACAATCTTGGCTCACTGCAACCTCTGCCTCCCGGGTTCAAGCGATTCTCCTGCCTCAGCCTCCCGAGTAGCTGGGACTACAGGTGCATGCCGCCACGCCTGGCTAATTTTTTGTATTTTAGTTGAGATGGGGTTTCACCATGTTGCCCAGACTGATCTCGAACTCCTGAGCTCAGGCAATCGACCCACCTCGGCCTCCCAGAGTGCTGGGATTACAGGTGTGAGCCACTGGGCCCGGCCAAAAATTCCACTTTTTAAGTGACTGTGCATTCTGATTTACCTACGTGTTTGTCTTGATGTCAGGGAGTCCAATGAGCACAGGCACAGAAACAGGGAGGAGCATGATTTGTTGGCATTACAGGAGAGGCTGGCCTGGACAAAGCTAAGTGGTGGTGTCTGGGGAAAGTAGTAGGCAGTTTTGGAAGTATGGGCTGGCTCTAAATGACAGCTACCCTTGGGTGCTGGTTTGAGGTGTTTGGATTTTATGTTCTAGGCCAGTGTTGTTCAACGGAACTTCCCGCAATGATGGAAATGTTCTATAATTTGCACCAATGCGGTAGCCACAAGCTATGTGTGGCTATAGGGCATTTGAAATGTGGCCAGTGTGTCTGAGAACTGTAATTTTTAATCTTAATTTTAGTTAAATTTAAACTTAAATAAGCACACGTGGCTGATGACTGCCATGCTGGGGAGTGCAGTTTTCAGGCGGTGATGTACTGTAACATTGTTGTAGGGGCTAGTGACAAATGAAAGGCCTGTGCAAAGCCAGTGGCAGAGCACAAGTTGTACAGGGTTGAGGGAGATGACACGGGAAGGCTTTTGTGTTAGTTGAGCAACAAAGTTGGGTGCAAAGTTGAGTAGGAAAAGATGTGGGGAATATTTTTGAAAAGAAAATTACATTTCCAATCAGTGCGACTACCAGAAGTTTTCTGCCATTGGTGGAACTAGGGAAGTTTGGGAAAGAGTATTGTGTTATTTTGGGATTTTGTTTGTTTGTTGTTTAAAAAGGCAAGAGACCTAAAAGGAAGCAGGAGGCGCAGGGCACGAGTTTACTTGAAAGAGGATGGTCTCAATGCAAGTCAAATACTGATGCTAGACATTCAAGTTTTGTCTGTTTTATATGTGAAGAAATGACCCAGCCCCACCTCTCCAAAACAAACAGATGTCAGGGTGGTTCAGTGACATATGCCAGGTTACCTTGCAGTTCTTTGTTAGGAAGATGATTAGAAGCTCCAGTCACATGATGTCCCATGTTGTCATTTGTCCGTTGGACTGGGTCAGTGTTTCCCAACACCAGGGCCTTGACTGTCATGGGAAACGTGCACTGCCATTTGCCTTTCTTCTTGTCTCACCTCTTCACCCTGAGGTTGTCGTTCTAGGCCCCTCACCCCTTCCTCTTCTGTTTCTCCTGCCTTTCTGGGCCTGCCCACAATAGGCCTCCACTGGGAGATTCTGGTTTTGATGACCGCAGGCTGCCGTGGGGTCAGAGGCCACCTGCCTGTGGCACCGAGGCCTCGCCTACAGTGTGCAGAGTCTTTTTAGCTGGTTTTCACTGTGACGGGCACACGTGCTCACAGCATTCAGAAAGCTCCATTGGGAAACTGACCAGACCAGGACACCTACAGGATCCTTGACCCAAATGCCCAGTTTTTTTCACTTTGTTTTATCTTTGAAGACCTTGGTTGTTGCTTCATTCCAGTGTCTGAGACAGTTTCCTATCAGTGGAGGCAGGCAGCGGTGAGGAAGGAGGAAATAGTACCTGACCGTGACCACATTCCAAGGAAAGATGCCTTTTATTGCTTTTTCACCATGAGTAAGATAATAGCTCAGAGACACTTTGATCTAAAAGGAAGTATTTCTTTAAATACAGGGTCTTTTATAAAATGTTTCTGACAGCTGGTAACACTGTCTGTCTCCAGGGAGAACCGGGTAGTAGGGTCCTTAGTTGGTGGGAAACTTCTCTGTGTAAACCTTTCTATGGCCGAGCATGGTGGCTCGGTGGCTCTATGGCTGGGCACGGTGGATTATGCCTGTAATCCCAGCACTTCGGGAGGCCGAGATGGGTGGATCACCTGAGGTCAGAAGTTGGAGACCAGCCTGGCCAACATGGTGAAACCCCATCTCTACTAAAAATACAAAAATTTGCTGGGCACGGTGGTGCAAGCCTGTGATCCCAGCTGCTTGGGAGGCTGACACAGGAGAATCACTTGAGCCTGGAAGGCAGAGGTTGCAGTGAGCCGAGATCACGCCACTGCACTCCAGCCTGGGCGACAGAGCAAGACTCTGGCTCAAAAAATAAGTAAATAATACATCTTTCTATGCATATTTAATTTTGAACTATGTGAAGGTAATACCAGTTCAAAAATTGAACAAATAACGTTTCAGGATTTTGGAGGGAAGAGGGGCTGGAGTGTGTTCTCTGTCCTGACCATTCTTCTTTTCCTTCAGATTCTGGAAAGCCACCACTTCCATAAAACAAGCAAACTCGTTTGTGCTAAGCAGCAGTTGTCATGAATAGCAGCTATGCTGGTCTCTAGGATGAATGACCCTTTGGTATTCTAAGTGTGATTCCTAATCCACCTTAATCCAAAATACCCTAACCTGCTGGTTCTCAACCAGCAATTCTGCCTCCACCCCCCAGGAAGATTTGGCAATATCTGGACATATTTTTAGTTGTTACAAAGTGAGGGCTGGCGCTACTGGCTTCTAGGAGATAGAGGTCAAGGATGCTGCGTCTTATGATGCAGAGGATGGACCCCCAAAACAAAGAATTATCTAAACGTTGTTAGTGCCAAGGCTGAGAAGCCTTGTTCAAATCAAACTACCCTTTTTAAGAGGAGGGCGGATGTGAGTCCAGCTCTTCCAGATACTGGTTGATAACTGTAGGCATTTTTCCTAGTTGTTGTGAACCTTAATTTTTCTCATTGATAAAATGTAATTAATTAATATCTACCCAAGCTGGCTTATAGTGCTGTGAGGATCAAACAGTTTAACAGACTTGAGCAAATACTGGGAAAAGTAGCATACTAATGAGTGAAGTCACTGTTTTGATGAGCAAGAATGCAGTCCCTGAGCCTCTGATTTCCAGATTAGTTCTATGGGGACGGAGCACTGGATTCCCGGGGAGAAGGGTTACTTAGTCTCCTGGGGGTAGCTGCAGTCAAGCCTGGGCATGGGAGGTGAGCTGACAGTACTGGGGCATGATGCTGTATGCGTCCCAACAGCAACAGGTGTTTAAAATCAGAGAGAAAGATGTGCTCTTACTAGTAAACGGGTGCCGCTGTGCTGAAGCCTAGGCAACAGAGCAAGACCCCATCTCAAAAAAAAAAATAGTAAACTGCTGTTGTGTTTTTAAAAATTAAGCAGCAAGGAGGTGAGCTGCATCATTTACAGAGGGAACATTTTTTAAATAATTCCGTTACACTTAGAAGCATGTGTAATCATATCACGTTACCATGCACCCCCCGCCCTGTCAGATCACCCCTCCAAACACTTGTGCTTCTGTCTCCTTCCTCACTAAGTACTAAAGCAGGTGATTGCAAGTCTGCCTTTATGAGTTTTAAGCAGGACATTACAGATAATTAAGCAAAAAGAATTGGCAGCTTCAGATTAAAACAGCTGAGCGAGCCAACCCTCTCATTATTAGCCTGTTGCCCTGAATGGTTCATTCTGAAGTGACCTCTTTCAGCATTCGCTTTGGAGGGGGCCTCCATATGTTAAGTTACCCAGGTTTGTTGTACTTCTGCCTTCTGATTAACTGTAGACTCTCTGTGTTTTGGTCCCTAATACCAATAAACGTCACATTGCTGTCTCTAAAACGCGAACTATAGGAAATCGTATTCTACACCCAAAACTTCCTGCACGGCTTCCTTCACTGGCAAAAAAACCCCACAGTGTTGTTGAGTTTGGTGTGAATGGCAGGCGAGGAGGTTGGGGTGTTCAGTGTTACTGCAGCCAGTGGGGCCGTCTGAACTGTGGCCCATGTTCTCAGGGCACAACGATGCTTTTGTTTTTCAATTAAAAGGCTTAATATAAGCAGGTGTTCACTCGCTTCCCTGCACAGCTCAGCCAACCTGGTTCCGATCTGGCCAGCAGGCCCCCTTTCCCTGAGGCCTGTGGCTCATCCACTTTCACCACTCACTACCTGCCCTCCTTTGCCTGAGCACATAAAAGAGATTTTTTTTAAGGTGGCTCTTAAGAAGTTGCAAAAGGACATGAAAATTTAAAATTCTAAAGTTCTCTGTTCTGAATTTGGGAAAAGATAACAGCAATGTAATTTAGGTTCTAGTCTTACATCTACTCAATAGTCGTAGGGAACATACCTTGTGCTTATTCAGAGTTTTTGCTGTTTTATGGAGTTAGAATCATTGGCTGATGGAAGAATGTTATCAAATATATTGAGTTTATTTTAACCAGAAGCCTACTAATTCAGTGAATTGAAGCCTAATTATTACCAATCAAAAGCAATTTTAAAAGCAATGCTAATAATAGAGTTAACATAAGTGCTTAGTGCATGCCCGCTATCATTCTAAGCACTTTAGAAAATACATTTAATCTTCCTAACAACCTTATGAGGTTATACTATTACGACCATTTTACAGATGAGAAAACAGGTACAGAGAGGTTAATTAAATGCTCCAGGGCATAAAGCAAGTATGTGGCAGAATAAGTCTGGGATTTTAACCCCAACTGCCTTTCTTCAGGATCTGTAAGACCCTACCCACTGCATTATTGTCTGAATGCTGTGGTGTCTGGAGGGCAGTGCTGCTCAAGACATTAAAACAGTGATTCTCAATTATCTGCAATAGTAGCAGGGGTCAGTAAGATAAACTCAGACAGCTTTGGAATGGGAACAAATTAATAGAATTTAACTTTTTTTTTTTGACGGAGTTTTGCTCTTGTTGCCCAGGCTGGAGTGCAGTGGTGTGATCTCAGCTCACTGCAACCTCCGCTGCCCGGGTTCAAGCCACTCTCCTGCCTCAGCCTCCTGAGTAGCTGGGATTACAGGTGCCCACCACCACGCCCAGCTAATTTTTTTTATTTTTAGTAGAGACAGAGTTTCGCCATGTTGTCCAGCCTGGTCTCGAACTCCTGACCTCAGGTGATCCACCTGCCTTGGCCTCCCAAACTGCTAAGATTACAGGCGTGAGCCACGCCCCAACTAGAATTTAACAATTTTAAAATGTTTTCCCTGATTCATTGGTTCCAAAGCCATTTTTCTCATCAAAGTGTATCTCACTTCTGAACACAGAATCTGAACTGTAGCCTCAAGAATAACTTTTTCTAGAAAGTATGTAGTGATTTTAAAGTGAAAAACAAAAAAATCCCTTGGGCACTGTGCATAACACTAGAAATGGGAAGATGACTAAAGTGATCATTTCAAAAATTATCCCTGAGTGCAGAACTCAAAATTGACAGTAAAGGATGAGATCCACTTGACAGTGGTGACATATCTTGGATTGTCAAGTTAGGAGAAGAACACATTTTAAAACCTAACTGGCAGTTCTGTAGACTGTCACAGAAAGAGTCACAACTCAATAATAATCTTCTCAATCACTTAAAAACATCTGGTAAAGAAAGCATTAGCTAGGAGGATGACTATTTTGAAAGTCATTTTCCTCTATGGGAATCCAGTTCTCCCAAATGGTACACTGTATTTTCTGGCAAGTTCTGTTTACTGTCTGGTCCTGTGTCAGCTGCTTTTATTATGCCAGAGAAAGGAATATGTGGCAGCTCAGTCCTCTGCATGAAAGAGGCAACCCTTCAACATATCATTAAGGAAGGAAAAGAAGATGGGCCGTGGGCTCTGTGGGGGCTGTGAAATTAAGATTCTCAGTCCTCTATCTGTTCTGCCCAACTTCTGACATGCACGTACACCCAGACACCCAGAGACAGAAATTGGGTTCAATTACTAGGAGACTTCTAAACTATTCATGAGGTCTTGCTGCAGTTCTTTCCAGCAGAGTTGATGAGCTACTCTTCCTCTTAAATCAGTGTTTTCTGCTCATCCAAGATGCACTGCTGTCTACTTCATTGCAGATCAGGAATCGTTTGGTTATTGAGCACAGGGCTGAAATGTAGACTGTCTGGGTAACATTCTAATTTTCCTGAGCTAAGTTTTCATATTGTGACCTTGCCATTTTTATGGGTGTGCTTAGTGCCTAGAATGTATGACATACATTTGACTTACGTCCATGTACTCATTCATTTCTCCAGTTGACAAGTATTTATTTAGCTTGGCATGGTGCTAGGCCTTAAGGGGTGGAACAGAGGCCAAGACAGACATAGTCCCTGCCCCTAATAATGCTTTCATTGTCATGGTACAGACAGATGAGAAAGAGTATGCACAATCAAATAATTACTAACTTTTAAAGTACTATGAAGAAAATAAAGATAGGCAAAGGTACTGCTGCCTTTTAGATAAGGTATTCAGGGGACCCTCCCTAAGGAGGCAGCACAGGGGCTGGGATCGCGAGTGTGTGAAGGAGGCAGTCAAGATAAGAGTGGACGAAAGAGTGTGCTTGGCAGAGAGAATGGCCTTTGCCAAGCCCTGAGGCAGGAAGGAGCTTGGTGGATTCAAGGAACTGAGGTGGAGGCCAGTGTGATGCAAGGTTCTGAGCAGGGAAGAGTGGCCGAGTAGCGTGACAGCAGCGGTTCCCAATGGGGGCAGATTTGTCCCCCAGGAGACATTAGACAGTGCTGTCAGAACTGAGGGGAGTAGGTGCTACTGGTAGGAGGCCAGGGACACTGCCCCCCCACCCCCCGACAACAAATACTCATCAGCCCCAAGTGTCAATAGTGCTAAGTTGAGAAGCCCTGAGTTAGAGAAATAGGCAGCAGCCTAGACAAAGGTTGTGGACTAGAGGAGAAAGAAGAAAACAAGTTTGAGATTCATTTCAGAGTTGATATTGACTGGACGGGGCCATGGTTGGATGTGGGGGTGAGGGCATGGTAGGAATGATTGATCCCAGGATTCTAATTTGAGCACCTGGGTGGATGCTGTGACCATCTGTTGAGACAGAGATGAATGGTAGGGGGGAAACAAGTCTTCCAATTTGGACATGTGAGTTTGAGAATGTCAGAGAGGCAAGTGGGTGGCTGGACATGGACTTGGGACTCAAGGAAGAGGTCTGGGGCTCAGCTTCAATTTGTCAAATTGCAGATGCATAGGCATTGGTGAAATAGATGGAGAAGAGAGGCCTCAGGAAGGGGGAACATCCATATTTTGATGTTGCCTCCTAAGATCCTTTTCCACAGTTATATTCCTAAAATACACAAAGCTGGCCAAGTCACTGCCTTATTATCTTCCATTGGCCTTCTGGTACCTTCAGAAAATATCCATGCTCCATAGCGTGGCATGTGAGTCCTTCACAGCCATCCCCATTGGGTGGGTCTTGACCATCTCCTGCCATTATCTTGGACACGCACCTAACTGCGGCCGCACTGAATGCTGCACCTTCCTCTTTTCCATCCCCATTCCTTCCCACGCAAGCTGATCACTCTGTGATGTCTTCATTCCAGAAACAGCTCTATCATTGCCTTTGTCCACCCTCCCAGGCAGTGGCTGTCAGTCACCCTCCCCAGCCTCCCTCAGCACCCTGCACTTAACCCTGTTATGACACAGGTGACTTTGTTTTGTAATAATTGTTGGCAGTTATGTCCTGCCAACTGCACTGTGAGTGGCTGGGGAGCAGGAGCCTTGCCCAATTATTTTGACATCCAGAGGGTCCCACGCAGCGTCTGGTACAGCATCCAAAGGATGTATCACTTTTTTCTTCTTAATTCTAAGATTGTTATAGATTTTCCAAAGAGATATGTTCTTGAGCCTACAGTTCTGGAGGTGCAATTAGAGGTGAAATATGGGGCGGGGCTGGGGGGCTGAAGAGGGATAGAATTTGTACTGTGGATGTTCACAGAAAGAACACTTTGAAGGTGCTCAGTTCCATTCCCTTGGCTTTTTCTGTTTCAAAATGGTAGTGATTACCTGAGTTGTGGGTCACTGTACAGGCATTTGAAAGTTGGCTCTTAATGATGTGGCATCCTGAAGTCCCCTCATCTGTAGTCTACAGATGGCTTGTGATCAGCTGTTCCTGGAAGAACTTCAGCAATGAATTTTAAAAGGCAGTCTTTTTCCAACACTGTCACTTAAAGGTTCTATTCTTTCCAGATGTTGGCTCAATTAAAGGCAGCCCTTAGATGACAGTAACTTGTCAGGGGAGGTCAGGATTTGGGATCGTTTGGCAGCCCATTTCTCCAGAACAAACATCATAGTCAATGCCCTTTTCTTTGTAACATGAAAGAAACAAGATCAATGATTGTTCAGGTTTGCTATTTCAAAGAGAGTGAGAGGGAACAATAGCCTAGCAGTTTTAAAATCAACTGTATCCCTCTCAAAATCATAGAGGAGTGTAGACTTTATAGCTGCACTTAGGACCCAGAAACAGGCATTGATGAGAACAGACAGAACATTGGACCTTACTCTCCGTCTTCCTTCCTCACCAGCAGTGGACTGAGAAGGGAGTGTGTGGCCAGGGCCATCAGGCTGGCTGTGCCATTGATGAGCTCATCCTTGTGCAAGACAATGGCTGAGCATAGAAATATTATAGTATGGCTTGAGTATTAAATCTAACACTGTATGAGAAGGTACCAGGAAGATGGTAATTGGCTGTACAAATATCAAATTGCTACTATTGATGCTGGCTCCCCACCTACTCCCAATGGAATTTAAGCCCTATGAGAATGGGGACTTGGCAGTCCAGGTATTACTAGAATTCAATACTTAGTGAAGGCCCCAATAATACTGCCACCTACTCCATATTGGGATACTGTTCAAAGTATGGAATTGGAAATTTCAAACCCATTCCAATTGCAGATTGGGACCCCATTCTCCTTCTGTGGTAGTCCTTATTATTGACTATTGAAGGTGGAAGGTTGTTTCAAAAAGCAGTGGAATTCTGTGGCAAAAGGAAATCTAACCTTCATGGATTAAAGACACCTTTTTAAAAAGCCTGTGCCTAGAAAGTGAATTTTTTTTTTTTTTTTGCTTTCCGTCATATTAAATAAAAACGACAAATTTTCTGTTGTAGCTTTACCATCTCTCAGTGTCTGATTTAGTTTGAGGAAGCTATATTGGGCTTCAAGAACCCTTTTTCCTCATCTGTCTCTGACTACACATTCAAACTGTTCTTCCTGGGACAATAGAGTTTTTCTGGGCAGAAGCAAGTGCCACCCTCTTGAAGGACAGAGAGTACAGTAGAATGGGGTGAGGGTGTATGGTTGAAGACAGTAGGGTAAGGGAAGGTGGGAGTGGGCAGACAACATCTAAAACCCGTTCATGGGTTTTAAAGAAAATCATGAACAAACTAAGCTGCACAATCAGCATAGTCCCTCGCCCCAGGTTATTTCTTTATTTTTAACTTATTTATTAATTATTCTAATCTTGGAGACAAGTCTGTTCTCCCATTCCTGACCCCCAACCCAGTGTTCTTTGGAATATTTGATTTGGATATAACTTTAAGATTACAAATTAGAGGGGTTTTAAAGTTGTAAATACAAAAGAGATTTAAAGCGGTAAAGTTTCATTTGAGAACAAAATCAAAGGATGGAGTCTTCTGAGATTCTGCTTCATAAAAAACAAAACAAGACCCTGTTTTCCAAGGAAGTATTCAATGTAATAAAAACATCAAACGTTTCCATTTCCTTTGGAATTTGGGGTATGCCAACTCAAGCTGCATTGATGTTTATCTCTATGCTTTTTATTCATTTTTTGGAGAAATTTTGTTTTTAGCATATGGGATATGTACACACATACATCTACACACACACACACATATGTATAGCTTATTTTTAAGTGTGCATTTTTTTTGTTTTTTTTTATTATGAGGGTCCTGAATTGCTTCAGATGAGTTAATAGATGGGTGGGAAGAAACTACACTTTATGATAAAGCTCCTGATTTACCTGGTCAAGGGAAGGCTGTCTTACCAGAAGCCAGGTGGCCATGCCGAGCAGATGCAGCATGTCTCAGGCATCCCTTGGCCCTCAGAGTCCCTAGTGGGGACACACAGTGGCTGGTATACAAAGCAGAGTCTGGTCAAATCTGGGGCACCAGGCCGAAGCCCTTTCCCCTCAGGCTTCCATTTCCATGAGAGAGGAATTTAAACCCACAGTCTACTCCTGGAATAGGAAATGTTACAGACATCCATGCCCTTCCTGCTTATTGACCCAAATTCAGCCTTAGCGAGGTCACTTGGGCCGGAAAGCGTTCAGCACCCAGATGGCCTGGAACAGTATCTTTGTTTCCAGCTTTCCAGCCTCAGAATGCCTGTCTCCCCACATGTTCTCCCTCAGTAGATAAATCTGGGCACCTGTTTGTGTTAGGCAGGGATACAGCAGTGAACACAAGGAACTTGGCCCATGACCTCAGGAAACCAAGTTAAGGGGTTCTGTGCATTTTAGCACTTTACTAAATTACCTTTAAAAATGGTTATCCCATCTTAGACGTCCCCCCGCTAATTAG
Organism: Homo sapiens; assembly: GCF_000001405.40. Taxonomy (NCBI): domain Eukaryota; kingdom Metazoa; phylum Chordata; class Mammalia; order Primates; family Hominidae; genus Homo; species Homo sapiens. The sequence continues at coordinate 68,837,329 of NC_000009.12, forward strand.
GGGAGCCCTGTTTTTCCGAGTCCTCAAGAGTACTAAGCACTGCTCCTTTAAAAATGTTTTAACAGCTAGATAGGTGAAAATGCCTTAGTTTTCACTTTAATTTGCATTATTATTGTAAGTTAGACTTTTTCAGATGATTTTTATTGATTTATGTGTATTATTATTTATGAATACCCTTTGCTGTCTGATTTGTAAGCACTAATATATTTAGGGCCTTGCATTTTTGTTGCAGATGCTTTTCCATTCTTAAATTAGACTTTTACTTTTCCTTACTTTGTGTTTTTTTTTTTTTTTTTTGACCCAAGCTTTTATATAGTCAAATTTGTTAATAGTTCCCTTAAGGCTTTTATCTTTGCTCTTATTTTGTAATTTTGTGCTAGTAATGCCTTGCTTTAATTTTAATAATTTGTAATGCAAGACTTCCCATGGTATTCTTAATTTTCAAAAATTTCTTAGTGATGTTTTTACATTTTTTCCCTCTAATTGAACTTTAGAATTATAAGGTCACTATCTCTAAAAAAATTTCTATTGTGATTTTTGTTGAAATTATATTAAATTAATGAATTCAGAAAGAAGCATCTTTAAACTTGTATTTTTCCTTCCAAGAATGAAATGTTTATGTATTTATTGTCTTTTATGCTCCTCAGTAAACTTTTATTTTCTTCATAGATTTTATACCTATTTTTAGTTGAATATATGTCTGTGTAACTTATGTGGGGTTTTTTGTTATTAATGTTTTGAGGTTTTTTTTTTCTTTTGCGCATGGGATTTTTTTTTCCATTACATTTTCTGACTGGGGATACGTTAGATCTTGATTTATGTGAGTTTATTTTGTAAACTGACAACCTGTTTTTTTTTTAACTATTCTACTCGGTTCATGACTGATTCTTGGGTATTCTAGGTAGCAATCATATAATGTGTAAATTATCATTTTTCTCCTTCTAACCAATATTTTGTAATTGGCTTGTCTTATTAATTTGATATTCAAAAACAGTATCAAAGAATTCTTGTGATAACAGCACAGCCTTGTCTTACTTGTGTTTTAAAAAACAAATGCCTCTTGTACTGTTTCCAAGAGTGCATTCTTTGTACACACAAGTTATTAATAGATACATAAATAAAAATCCCTTGGTCACGTACATTTGGGAAGTGTCACTCTAGTGCTTCCATTAGTATACTGTTGTCTTTTAGCTTGAAACATTATTTTCTGCATTAAGAAAGTTTTTTTCTGCCTCCAATTTTACTAAAACTTTTTTAAAAATCATAATTGAAGGGAGAGGAAGGGAGGGGAGCAAGGGTTGAAAAAACTATTGAATACTGTACTCAGTAATGGGGTGACAGGATTGATTGCACCCCAAACCTCAGCATCGCACATTATACCTGGTAACAAACCTGCACTTGTACCCCTGAATCTAAAATAAAACTTGAAATAAATTTTTTAATTAATTAACTAAAATCTTTATTGAATATTGGCTTTTTCATATAATTTAAGCTGACCATGGAAAGGCAATTATTGTAAACACAGTTAGCTTTTTGAGATACTCCAAGTACTAGCAAATAATAAAATCATGTTTCTCTTAAAATATTATTTAATTCAGATTTTATATCAGTTTAGATGAATGGGATCATTTTATTTCCTTATAGTTTGGAGAATGTCTTAAAATTTCTTCCTATGGGTCTACTGATCACTTCCCCATACCAGAGTAATGTGTGGAAATTATCTTAAGAGTTAGTGCTTTTTGCAAGTTATTTTGGGGTGGGCAGTTTGTTGAAATCATTGAGAAATTTTGGTTTTGGCAGAGGGGAAAAAGCTTGTGTTTCTTTTGCCTGAAAGTCTGTGCTTTTTCATCTCTGTTTTCCTTTTATTGAGAATTTTAATGTAATTTCATGTTATATTTGGGCCTATGCTTCTTCATTTGCAAAATTTGGGGTGTGGTTGACTGCTAAATGCCATTGAAGTCTCTTGATTTCTTGGTGGTGGTGGTTTTGTTTGTTTTATTCTGTGATCATCTCTTGCAGCAGTCATTTTATGAAGGCCAGGCAGGATGCCTTGGGACGGGGAAAGAGAAGAAGGTAAAGAGTGGGGAGAAGGTTACATCTCCTTTCGAGAAAACCTGAGTTGGTTTCCCTTTGGTGCAAAGGCAATAATATCTTGCATATTTTCCCACCCTCCCTTAAACACCCTGTGGATTAGGAACTCAAATGACTCTATAGGTTTAGGAAGATTAATCCTCTGTGGGAAAAAGTAGAGATTTTCTCCCCCTTTTCTATGTTCTTGGCAAAGTGAATACAACAGAAAATTATCAAAATCTGTCATGAGAGTTTGAATTTAGGAAAATTAACTTGAATGTGTATAAAACATGACACTGTGCTGCCATCCCACCGGCCCTTCAAGCCTAGGGGAGCCCTGATGTAACCAGAGCCTGAGATGGAGACGTCTTGCAGAAAGAGGAGGAGAAATGCCAGGGTGCTGTATTCCTGTTAGGTCCAGCCATGGTCGTCTCCATTCCAGAGAGGTCATGACAAGACCATTTTCTACCCAGATGGCCAAGTGTGTACTCTTCCTTGTTATAAACTCATCACCCATTCATTTATTCAACAAATTGTCCTCTAGGACCACTTTCTGGGACCACACAGATGCAAGCCAGTCTCCTTCATTTCAACCCAGTGCCAATTAGCATCAACTCTTGGGGCTAGTGGGATAAAGAGTGAAAATGTTCGGGTGCCTCAAGTAAACAGGACCTAAAAGTATTGAAAGTATTTCACGGCCCGGCACAGTGGCACATGCCTGTAATCCCAGCACGTTGGGAGGCCAAGGCGGGCAGATCACCTGAGGTCAGGAGTTTGAGACTAGCCTGACCAACATGGTGAAACCCCGTCTCTACTAAAAATACAAAAATTAGCCGGGCATGGTGGCGCATGCCTGTAATCCCAGCTACTTGGGAGGCTGAGGCAGGAGAATCGCTTGAACCCAGGAGGCGGAGGTTGTAGTGAACTGAGATCGCGCCATTGCACTCCAGCCTGGGCAACAGGAATGAAACTCCATCTCAAAAAAAAAAAAAAGAAAATATTTCACACTTGCTATATGTATTAGTTTCTTATTGCTGCAGTCGCAAATTACTGCAAACTTAGGGACTTAAAAACATTTATTATGTTATAGTTCTGTAGAACAGACATTTAGTATTCTTCTGGCTGGGCTAAAATCAAGGTGTCAGTGTGGCTGTGTTCCTTATGGAGGCTCTAGGAGAGAAGCCTTTTCCACAGGGGCCACTTACATTTCTTGGCTCATGGCCGCTTCCTTCACCTTTAAAGCCAACAATGGCAGATTGAGTCCCTCTTACATTATGTCTCACTCACCCGCTCCTTTGCCTCTTCTTTTTTTAACTCTTAACAACCCATATTATTACATTAGGCCCACCTGGACAGTCTAGGACAATCTCCCTAACTCAAGATCAGCTGTTCATCAACCTTGATCGTATTTGCAACCTTGTAAAGTAACATTATATTTTGCCTTCTAAGGTTACATATTTGCTGGCTCTAGAGGTTAGGATGTGGACATCTTTGGGAGACATTGTTCTGTCTGCCACCATATAATTTCACAATGTCCTCCTCTGTGCATCTGCAGCTCTTTGTTATGCCTTTGTCATTACTGTCAGTCTGTCTGGTACTCTCAGTAGATACCAACTGTGATCCTGAGGTGTAGACATCACTGTCTCAGGTCTGTATTTCCTTCTCCTCTTCTCTTTCCCTTTTCTACTTCACTCCTTCCATAAAATCGATGTGCTCAATAAATGTACCTTCAATACCTAAGTCTCCCTGTAATCAACTTACATAAATAAGAAATCACTTTCTGGGACATAAACATGAACCTGGCTTCAAATGCAACACGTTGTGACTGAAAAGCAAATGTGGCTCAGGTTACTACTGTTAACATGAAGCAATTCATGTTTGAACAGAATTTTCAAAATCAAATTTTGAACTCACTGCTGGAGACGATGTGGCCCCCTTCATTTCCTGGATTATTATGCATCTCCCACAGAACCATTTGCTATATTATTTCTTTGGTGTTTACAGAAGCAGATCATGTTTATGAAGCATGTCCAGAAGAAGGAAATGATATATGGAAAATCTCTACGTGGGGTATAGAGTCAAGTGATCCCTAGGTTACAGTTGAGAGCTATAAATAGGCCAGTGACTTCATGTGTACCATGGGACTGGTATTTTCCATCTTTCGTCCCACAGTTTGGATAAACTTAGATGGATTTTTTAATAGTTCTTTGAAAATGGAACATTAGCTATCCACAGAGATTTAACTTGGGACAAAAAAAAGGAATAAAAGTCATCATTTCTGATGACAGGATTAGACAGACCTTTTTTCTTGAAAGTAATTGAATATTCTGTGTGTTTTTTGCAGTTTCTGTTGAATTGAGAATAGTGACCATCATTTGAGGTGGAAATAGCAGAAATGATTAATTTAGAAAGAAGAAGGATTGTAGGGTGGGTGGAAGTGGCATTTTCTGCATTGTATTCTTAGAAACTTAGACTGTTAGAGTTGGAAGTGCTCTGATAAAACCGTTCTTTAACATACGAGAAAACAGAGGCCCAAATACCTTAAGTCCCTTGTCCAAGAGTATGCTGAGTGCAGAAAGCCACACTGTGGCTCAGGTCCTGGGCCCTGGCCCTCAGCGTTTCTCAGCCCACTGCACTCATCTCCAGCACTTCTGATGGACTCACTGGGGTGACACCATCAAACCATGTGCCCCAAAGATGCCTTCATGTTGGTTTCCACTTGGGCATTTCTCATGCTTGGATGGCTAATATACTCCCTGCCTGGTTTACTCTTGAGAACCCGGCTTTCATCTGCTGTGGGACACAGTAGCCTTTGCGTGAGTGCCTACGTGCACATGTGTCCATGGAGGCAGGGAGGGTGGACAGGCAGGGAGGGTGGACAGTGGTACACACACTGCACCAGCAGCACTTTTAAAGACAAGGATCATGACAAAAGCAACAGCAAGTGCACTTTCTTTTCCAAATTACCCAAGGTTGTTTTTTAAAAATAGTAATATCACTTCAAGTGTTTTGCACTTGGCTTGGTGAAACAAAATGTGAGTTAAAACTGTGGAGTATTAAAGCATTATTCTTGACACACCTACAATATGAGACACTCCATTGATGTGGATAGCATATATGCAGACAACAAGCATTGATGTTGTACTTCCACCTATAGATAGAAGGGGGATGTACCTTGGTATGGGAGTTTTGCACTTAGACAAAGTCTTAGTTCTCAACCAGAGCTGATTTTGCTCACCACCCCTCCAGAGGGCATTTATTACTGTCTGCAGGTATTTTTGGTTTTTATGTCTGGAGGAAGTGGTGCTACAGGCACCATTTGTAAAGACCGGGGATGCTGCTGAACATCCTACAATGGACAGCTCCACACATCAAAGAAGTCTCGAATCCAAAATGTCAATAGTGCCAAAGTTGAGAAATCCTGGCCTACAGGAATTTATGACTTATCTGATACTGGGCTTTGAAGGCTATATAGACAGTTGATTAATTTAGAAACAGCTTGGCTTGTGGAATAAACATACCTGGTATAGTCTGTGAACTGAAGTGAGCCAAGGTGGTCCCAGTATTGCTTCCACACTTGCTGTCTCAGATCTCTGTTCTCAGTGACCAGAGTTAAAAACCAGCTTCCCTCTGCCCTTCACGTCTGTGGGTCCTATGGTTGAGGATTTTTATGTATTGTTTTTCTTTGGGGTCCTGATAAAGCTTAGATAACCAAACATAGAATTTTTAAAGGTGATTGTGAATACAAAGAACTAAGGAGTGCCTTACCCTGATCCATTCTTTACACAAGCAGCCCCAGTCAGGGAACCCTATGCCAGGGGAGGAATTGGGCCTCAGCATGGACAAGTCTTGGCAAAGACCGCTATGGCAGCAGTGTCTGAAAAAGGAAAAGAGTCCAAGGAGGGAGGAAATGACTAGGAGGCTGCTAGAGCCTTCCCTCAGCGCCATGTTCTACTCACAGACCAATGTAGTAAAAATGATTTGTATTTCCTTGTTCCTTTTTAAATTTTTGAAAAAAAATTTCCATATTTGGGGGTTTTCCCCATTGCCAGGTGGTTACATTCCAAAGAAATTATATCATGGGATACAGACACAAGTATTTCCAATCATGCTTATTGTGTAGGGCTGATGGCAAGGTGATTCCCCTCCATGGCCACACATCATAACCAGGCAAGCCCGTTAAGTATCAGCAACTGGAAGTCCAGCATCAGGACCACCCATCCCTCTGTCAGGCAGCCCCGGTTGGTGGTGGTAAATGGAGGAGACTGAGGCCTCTTTCACTCACTTAAATTCGGAGAGTGAGCCACTCTACTCCTGTTGGGAAAACCTATTTCCTTACCCAACGAGACTGTAGAAAATTCCCCTCAGCCATATACCATGCCAGGTTTCTTTTACAAGCCAACCTGTTTCCAAGCAACCCTTCTTGTAACCTTCTGGAGCCAAGTATCTGATATTCGTACTGGGAGAAAGATGAACGGATTCTGCACAGACACGGGCCCTGCCAACATGGGCCTGGGAAGAGGGGAAGCTGGATGTGTGGCTCAGGAGACAGGCAGAGGTTGTTAGAGGAAGCACAGAATACTGGAGGTGAAGATAAAGTCAGTAGTTGGCCAGGCCTTTTGTGCAACGGACTCAAGAAACATGTAAGAGAACAAAACATTTTTAGACTGATAACTGATTACTTGTGTACATCTTGAAAGTTGGCTGCTGCAGGGCCTAAACAAGAGAGAGGCCTTACAGTAGGGGTTATGTGTCCATAGGCTCATGGAAGCTTGGCATTGAGATGATCTTCATTCATTCAATATCATCTACTCAGTCATTCAGCCAACACTGAGTTAAGCTCTGAGCAAGGCATTGTAGTTAGATGGCAGATAGGTTAGCGTTGTTGGAAAGAGTGTGGGGTCAGAGGTCTGGGCTGCAGAAACCCACCACAGTTTCCTCTAATCATGCCTGGGAAGGGGGAACCAAGGGGGAAGGAAGCAGCCCTCTATTGAGCAATCAACTATGCATCGGGCACTTCCACTTGTGTTGTAGCAGCAGGAGCCAATAATCGTGCATTTGGGACTGGGCCACTAGAAGACTGGCTTGTTGGGATCAAGTCAAGGGGTTCTTGGAAACCTGCTGAGAACAGGCCCATCACCTGACAGCCCAGAAAGATGTCCGAGTCTGGTGGCCAGATCCAATGGGGGAGATCCAGTGGGGGAGATCCAATGGGGGAGATCTAATGGGGGAGAGCCAAAGGTGTTTGTTGGTAGCTCTGACACCAACTTTTATGACCTGGGCAACAACCAAAACAATTTAATAACGCTCTCTCAGAGTTCAAGAGAAAAGGACTAAACAGAAATAAGCAGCAGCCCAGCCTCTACCCAGCTGGTACTCCTGGAAATTGCACATGGGTGAAGCAAGGCTGCTTCCTCCTGCTCCACTTGTGAGAAAAATGACTGCCTGTTCTCCTTTCTCAGTATCGGTCTCTAAGAGTTGTAATCCAAAGAAGGCAAAATACAATTACTTTCTGTTGCATTTTTAGAGCAGCAACTGTAAGTGGGAGGGAAAAAAAAACAGACATCTAGAAAATGGTGGAATGAAATATGTTAAATCATACAAAACAAGTGGCTTCCAGTGACCACCTATACTGAAAAATAAATGAAATCAGAAAGTCGTATATCGTGTAGAATTTTAGAGGAGGAAGAAATTTTGGCAATTCTCTAAGCCAGCTGCCTTCATTTTCTAGAGGAGGAAAGTGAGCCCCCGTGCTATAATGAAGCTGTCTCAGAGTCTCACAGCCCCCTGGTGGCAGAAGGAGCCTGAAACTGATTGTGCTGCGTGTTGGTGATCCCAAATGTCTGTCCATGTTTGTAAATTAATATGGTGGGGCTTATGAAATCAGGACCACAGTCATTGTCTGTGAATACTTCTCTTTTTCTACCTTTGGTCAAAAAGTTGGTTGGTAGAAGAAGAGCTAGAAGCCTAGAGCCAGAGCCGTGGAGCCGTGGGGGTTCTCTTTCATCCTATCTGCAGCTTGGGTAGCCAGCTGGGTTTTGGAGGAGAGTGCATCTCTTCCGAAGACCTTAGTTGCTTTCCTTGCGGAAGGGCTGATCCTGGCCTCCGGGAACAGGAGAAACATAGTAATTTTAAAGGTTATGAGGAAAGGAGG